>NC_000011.10:15685000-16310000 GCF_000001405.40 Homo sapiens
GGAAAATGGAGAAGCCCAGTTTTGAATGCAGATTGCCTGTGTTTGCCTGTGTTTATAACTGCCATGAAAGTCAGCTTCCTACCTGAAAATCAATTGCTCCTTTTTGTCCAGATAAGCAGCTTGTCTTTTAATGTTCATTGATTAGGTCAAGCAGAAGAATATTCATTTAGTGCCTAGTATGTGCTAAGTACTGTGCCAAATATTCCACATCTAATCATGGCAATATCATCTCAATTAGTTATTTCTTCTAACTTTAGTGATCAATAAACTGAAGTTCAAAGAAGTTGAGAAACTTGCATGAAAGTTTCAGGCAGCAAGAAAATTTCGACCTAGGCCTGGCCCTGCTACTAAATCAGCTGCTATCCTAGAATATGTTGCTGCCAATTGGCTGGAGAGTAATTCAAAGCATCTGTAGAATCCTTGCCTGCAACCTGCGAAATTCATTAACTTTCTCCCACATGCTCCCCCATTGTCACTAACTCCCTGTCATCTCTACAACTTTGCTCACACTGGCTTCCCGACCACAAAACTGCCTCCCTCTGCCACACTCCTCCTACTACCACCAATGTCCTCCCTATTTTTGTTAGCCTGTTTTGCATTGCTACAGAGAAATACCTGAGACTGGGTAATTTATAAAGAAGACATTTATTTGGCTCACAGTTCTACAGGCTATACAAGCATGGCACCAGCATCTGAGGCTTCTATTGAGGCCTCAGGAAGCTTTTTTTCATGGCTAAAGGAAAGGGGAGCAGATGTGTCAAACAGTCAGAGAGGAGGCAAAAGAGAGGCCAAACCCTTTTATTTATTTATTTATTTATTTATTTATTAGTATTTATTGATCATTCTTGGGTGTTTCTCAGAGAGGGGGATTTGGCAGGGTCATAGGAAGGTCAGCAGATAAACATGTGAACAAAGGTCTCTGGTTTTCCTAGGCAGAGGGCCCTGCCGCCTTCCGCAGTGTTTGTGTCCCTGGGTACTTGAGATTAGGGAGTGGTGATGACTCTTAACGAGTATGCTGCCTTCAAGCATCTGTTTAACAAAGCACATCTTGCACGGCCCTTAATCCATTTAACCCTTAGTGGACACAGCACATGTTTCAGAGAGCACGGGGTTGGGGGTAAGGTTATATATTAACAGCATCCCAAGGCAGAAGAATTTTTCCTAGTACAGAACAAAATGGAGTCTCCTATGTCTACTTCTTTCTACACAGACACAATAACAATCTGATCTCTCTTTCTTTTCCCCACATTTCCCCCTTTTCTATTCGACAAAACCGCCATTGTCATCATGGCCCGTTCTCAATGAGCTGTTGGGTACACCTCCCAGACGGGGTGGCGGCCGGGCAGAGGGGCTCCTCACTTCCCAGATGGGGTGGCCGGGCAGAGGAGCCCCCCACCTCTCAGACGGGGCGGCTGGCCGGGCGGGGGCTGCTCCCCACCTCCCGGACGGGGCGGCAGGCCAGGCCCTTTTAAACCATCAGATCTCAAGGTAACTAATAGAGTGAGAACCCTCTCATTACCACAAGCAGGGCAATAAGCTATTTATGAGGGATTTGTCCCCAGGACCAAAACACCTCCCACTAGGTCCCACCTCCAACACTGGGGATCACGTTTCAACATGAGATTTGGAGGGGACAAACATCCAAACTCTATCGCTACTCCTTTCTGTCTAGTCAATGACCTTATCCATCAAGGAACTACAAAGCACTGTCTCCTCCAGGAAGCCTTCCCTGATCTGTCTAAGGTAATTACTTCTCCTTTGAGCTCTAAGTTCTTAAAGGATGCCTGCCTCATTCTCTCAACTTGTCAAAAATCCCCTTTGAATTGATTTTTTTTTTTTTTTTGAGACATAGTCTTGCTCTGTTGCCCAGGCTGGAGTCCAGTGGCATGATCTTGGCTCACTGCAACCTCCCAGGGTCAAGCAATTCTCCTGACTCAGCCTCCCGAGTAGCTGGGACTTCAGGCATGCACACCCATGCCTGGCTTATTTTTGTATTTTTAGTAGAGATGGGGTTTCACCATGCTGGGCAGGCTGGTCTCGAACTCCTTACCTTGTGATCCACCCGCCTCAGCCTCCGAAGTGTTCAGATTATAGGCATGAGCCACTGCCCTGGGCCTTGAATTGTTAAGTAACCTTTGTCTTTTCATTTTTAAAAAATGTAATACCTTGTTCCCAAAAGTATTGAAATTTCCAAATGACAGAGGCAGTGTATGCACCACATGCTACTGCAATCCTATGTGCATGTGTGGGGTGACTCAGTATGCCACCTCCTCAGAGAGGACTTTCCTGATAATCCCATCTAACATAGCAGCTTCCGTTACTCTTTGCCTTCTTGTGCTGCCTCGTTTTCCTAGCTGGCATTCTCTAATATCACTCTTTGTAAATTTCTTTATTGTCAGTTTTCCTCACTAGAACATAAGCATCATGAGAGCAGGCACTTGGTTCTATTCACACTGGATCCCAAGAAACTAAAATAAGGCCTGGCTCACAATTGGTGCTCAAATTTTTTTTTTTTGAACAAATGACTAAATGGATGAGTAACCAACAATCCCTAGAGTAGTGGCCAAAGAACCACAGCTACTGTTACAGAAGTGGGTAACCCCAGGAGATTTTGGTAACAGTGTGAGTTGATGGGAGAATGTTCCTCAGAAGCATCAAGACTAGAAACCAAGAACAGCATATATCCTGGGTAGTTTTGCCCCTCTTCACCCTTTTCTAAACTGCGCTACATTCTGAAAAGATGGGCTTTATGGATGCATTATTCAGATTACTTTTTCCTTTGGCTTCTGGTCGAGTTCAGCCAGTGGGAGGCTTCATCAGTAGATCAGAGGTGGAAAGGTAGAAGCCTGAATACTTATTCTTCCAGCTCCCTCCTTGCCATGTTTCTTTACTGATGCCGTCACCCCTATCAGCAAATGCTCTCCTACATCCATAGCTCAGCCCAGGACTGGTAAGTGCACCTGTCCTTTACCCCTTCAGACCTAGGGGTAGTGGCAGGATCCCACAGCTGCCAGCCTCAGGGTGCTCATCATCTCTTGTGAGTTGCCTCAATCCTGCTCACTCCTTTGTAAACAGTCCCTTCATTAAATTCTTTCAATCATTCTTAGACAGGAAAAACCCTGCCAGACACAGCTCAAAAAATTATTGGACTAGCATCAATAATAAGAGATCAAGGAGTTAGAATCAGAAAGAAAGGAAATCATGGCATAGTGATGCTTCTGCCTCTAAATCCATTATGAAAAGGGGTCAGGCCAGTTTCACATGAAGGGGCAAGGCCAAAGAGAACCTCTTTGAGCAACAACACTGCCAAGTCTGATTCCCAAAGAAGATTCTAACTCCATCTTTGAGCTCTTTCCCACCTCCCGCATGTTGGGAAGGATGCACACCCCAGTGAAAATGTGGATTGGCAGAGGCAGCCTTGGGAGAATGTGTCATGCACTGCTTCCTCCTTGGACCTTTCAGCCAAGCCCACCCACGCTACAGCAACACAAAGGCTTCTTTGTGGTCAGCGTCCAGCATTGACCAGCTTCTCTTTGCTGCCAACCATATTCCCCTTTCAGTTTGTCCTGTTCTTGACCCTTGGTTTTTAGTTGTTGTTTTTTTTTTGTTTTTTTCCTTCTTGGCCTTGATCCTGCCTTTTGGATTTAGTGGCTAAACATAGTTTCCCTGTTTGACCTTTGGTTCTCTCTAGGGACTTTGGCTCACACTCACCACTCTATTTTCACTCCTGGATGCGTATACAGAATGCATTGACCCAACAGCATCTGGCCACTTACACAGTACCCTGGGATATGAGTGCGCATGTGAGTGCATGTGTTTAAATGTGTGTATATATGAATGCACATATGTGAGTGCACATGGCAGGAAAATATCAAACTGCCTGAGTCTCAATCTTGGCTCCACCACTTACTAGATGCATGGTCTAGGGCAAGTTACATAGCCTCTCTGTTCCTCAGTTTCCTCATCTGTAAATCTATTAGCAATGTTTTTAAAAGTACCTACTTTATAAGGTTTATAACATACTAGGGTTATACCTACTATGTTAAGGAGAGGGTGACCCCTTTGTGAGCAGGAAGGGTCATGCGATTATTTCTGGCCAAAAAGTTGTGAGCAGAAGTGATCTGTGCCACTTACCTGCTGATGTGAGATCTTCTAGGACTTTCCTTTCCCCTGCCACTAAGGCCATCCATGTTCCAGGTATTGGCTGCCTGAGTCCCAGATTGAGAATCTGGAACAGAGACCCCACCAATCCACCATGAACAGGGAACAGAAGAGAGAAATTAGTCTTGTCATTGTAAACCCCTGATATGTTGAAATTGTTTGTTAACACAGCCTAACCCAGCCTGTACTGACTGAAACAGCTGTTGTAAGGACTGAGATAATTCATATGAAAAGCTCTTAGTACAGTGTCCAACACATCAAAAATACTCAATAAACATTGGTTATTATCATTTGTATGAATGGAACTATTTTTATCATTATAGTTCACCCTTGAACAACATGGGTTTGAACTGCCCAGGTCCTCTGATAGGTGGATTTTCTTCCACCTCTGCCACCCTGAGAGAGCAAGACCAATTCCTTCTCTTCCTCCTCCTCTTCAGCCTTCTCAACATGAAGATGACAAGGATTAAGACTTTTATGATGACCCACTTCCAGTTAATTAATAGTAAATAGATTTTCTCTTCCTTATGATCTTCTTAAAGACATTTCTTTTTCTCTAGCTTACCTTATTGTAAGAACAGAGTTTAACATACAAAATACGTCTTAATCAACTATTTATCAGTAAGGCTTCCAGTCAACAGTAGACTATTAGTATTAAGGTTTTGGGGAATCAAAAGTTATACACAGATTTTTTACTGTATGGGGGTCAGCACTCCCAACTCTGTTTGAGGGGCAACTGTATTTGTGTGGGTAGGGATGTGTGTATATAAGAGCGTTTCCTTTGTTAGATCAAACAGTTTCAACAACCTTCCATTCTCAGCACTTGAGAAGTCAGGTGAGCCATAATCCAAACTGTCAGTACAGTTTAAAGGTAGAGTTTCCTGACCTGAGGGATTCCCAAGAGGGTGTTCTGACATCAGCGTCACACACAGACAGTGAACATGCCCCAAAAACTGTAGTAGGCAAGTCATATTATGGATTTAACTTCCTCGATGTAGGCTAAAGTGGTAGCAAAACCAGAGACGGTTCCTTGGGCCACGGATTAGAGACAGGAGAGGCTGTGTTGGATCGCCTTTCTGTACAGTCTGAATGATTGTTGGTCTGCAGGGACCACAGAAGACCTCCAATTAATTATTACTGGAGAACATAAAATCATAAACAAAATTCCTTGTAATAAATTTTTCAAATGAGATTGCATGTTTTATTTACAGTACTGGCCCATTTTGGGCTTTAAATCTATGAACAAAAACAAACATGCTTTTTTATCAAACAGACGGGGAATAAAAGTATTCAATATCCTTTCTTTCTCTCCTTGCCAAGGAGGACATGCGCTCTGTGCTACAGAGGAAGACAGGCCCAGGCTCTGTCAGCTGGTAGAATGAATGGACTCATTTTGCTTTGCAGAGGAAGGTTTAAGCTATAAAGATCCTTCCACATGGTGGGGGTTGGGGGGTGGGGGATGGGTGGTAGGGAAGAAAGGAAAATTGAAAACAAAGGGTCTTGCTGAGGTTCAGACGTTTTACTTCTTAATTCAGCATGGTATCTGAGTTTAAAATAGAACATATGCAAAGTGTAAACTTCTAAAACTGAAACAGCTATCATCAGGCATGTTTCTATAGCTAAAAAATCAGAAACCCACTTGATCTGAGCATTCTACAGAGAAAGTGAACCAAGTAGAAAATAGATTCTGGCCCAAGGTCTCATTTGCCCTTTGTCTACCTGTAGCCTAGCAAGGTCATTCTGAACCTTGGGGGAGAGGCATCTTATATAAATTCATATGAGTCCTCATAGCCTCAGATCTGGTAGGCTCAGAAATGTTGTTGCCAAAATGTCTATAAAGATGTATTTTCTCATAAATATTGGTGATGAATCAGTGAATACAGGTCTACCAGAATAATGGAACATCCCATTAAACACTCAGCTAGGCAACAGTTTGGAGCAAAACCCTGAGGGGCAAGGTTGTTGTTTTCCAGTATGTGATATAAGCATAAATCAAACAGCGATATATTGTACTGTGTTTCTGTATTAGTTTCCCGCAGCTGCTGTGAAAATTTGCCATAAACTTGGTGACTTAGAATTTATTCTCTCACAGTTCTGGAGGCCAGAAGTCTGAAATCAGTATCACTGAATCAAAGTCAAGGTGTGGGCAGGACCACACCTCTTCCAGAAGCTCTAGAAGCAAATCCATTTCCTGCCTCTCTCACCTTCCTGGTTCCTGCCAGCATTTCTTGGTTTGTGGCCACATCTTTCCAACGTTTGCCACAAGCTTCTCTTTGCCTTCTCTTCTGTCTGCATCTCTGCTCTTGCTGCCTCTCTAAGGATGCTTTGATTACATTTAGAACCCACTAGATAATCCAGGGTAATCTCTCCATCTCAAAATCCTTAACTTAATCCATATCTACAAAGATACTTTTTCCATATAACATTACATTTTCTGATTCCAGAGATGAAAACTTGATATCTTTTAGGGCGATGACTGAGCCCACTATTGGCTCCAGTAGTCCAGGAACCAAATGTGAAAGTAGAATTGTCCTCTCTCACTCTCATGACCCACCTGCAGAATTTGTGTTTCCCATTCCCACAACCTTAATTTCTGCTGGATTAATAGTTCTGTTTCCCAGGGAAAGAGCATTTTCACCAGGGGACACAATAAGTATTCCACTAAAGTTGAAACTATGATTCCCACCAGGTCACTTTGGGCTCCTCCTCAGGTAGAGCAGGAGGTAAAGGAATTGGACCTGCTGGAGGCACTTAGGTTACTGCTATAAAGTGAGGGCAAAGAGGAATGTGGCCAGAACTCAGAAAGTTCAAAGGGAGTCTTTTGGTTCTTCTACAACCGGTGGAAATCGTGAATCAATAATGTCAGCATTCAAGACCTCACCAGAGCAAGACTACTAAGACTCAGACTCCTCTGAGATGAAAGTCTAGATCTCCAAAATCACTCAGTCTAGATCACTCAGGGCAAACAACCTGAAGTGTTTACCAAGGGTGAGGGAAATCTAGAATGGGTGGAAGAAGAGAGAGATGATAACAGTTATTTAAAAATCCCCAATGAGTTTATTCAACCAAGCCTCCTGTATTGAGTCTGGAGACGCCTTTTGTGTCTGCGGTGGATTCTGTAGGCACCAACTGGGTCCCTGCTTCATGACTAAAGCTCTTATTTCTCCAGCTGCTGAGTGTGTCACATGCTGATGGCTTCTGCTGAGCCTCTTTCCTTGGACTTGCTGTTTGTAGAAGGGAAAATCTAGTTTATGCCCCCTCCCTAGGGCAAGACACATTCAATGACTGGTTGGTTTGAGGGTACCAAAGTGAAGGCACCCTGTCTTGCCTGGGAACATCTCTGAAGGACCATCCCAGCTCCAGGGATCCTTCTGGAATTGGCACATCCCCTGTTGCAAGTGCATTACCATTTCATTTCTGCCTCTGTCCAACTCTGCCTTCCTTATCCTCTGAGTTATTCTTCACAACGCTGCCCAATAAACCAATGCACTTTCACCTAGAGTCTGTTTCCAGGAATCTTGACCTAAGACAGGGCTCTACATCACCTCCTCTGAGCTCACCTCTGAGTTTAGCAACAGCTTCAGTGGATACTACCATGCAAGCTCAGACTTACCTCACACCGGCCAGGCCCCACCTCAACCATGGGCTTCACATCTATTCACTTTCATGAGGACCTAGGGCCCTCATCAGCTCTGTGAGAAGCCACTTGGTCTTTACATATGCAGAGCCTGGAAACGCAGACGAACTATTGACCTCAAGTGAGCAAACCTAAACTGAGGGGGTATGGGAACTGAGAGGTAAATCATCCAGCCTCCTGTCCCTCAGATGAGTCATCCTGGGATGTGGTCTAGACACCACTCAGAAGGCTGCAGCAGAATATAGCCCCTGAGGCCCAAAGCAGCAACCTCAATAATACACCTTTATATTGACTTTTCCTCCCCAATCTCTGCTTACTGGGATTATCTCCTTATAACTAAGTCCTTCTCTCAGGCTCTGCTTGGGGAGAGACCATACTTCCAGGTACCACCATTGGCTAAGTGGTTGTTGCTATCTCCTACAGCTTTATCTTTCTCAAAACAGAGAAATTTGGGGGAAGTGGGCAACTCACAAATTCTTTTTGATGGGTATATAATGAAAAGGAAAATGTCATATGTCAAAACCTACTATGTGCTGGGACCTATGTCAGGGATATAGCAATGAGTAAGCTGAAACATTTTCCCAGAGGAACCTTGCATTCAGTAAGTGTGGATGGCCAGGGTAAGATGTAGGAATGAGATACACATTGAAAGGTGAAGTGGGAAGAGACCAAGGAAAGAATGGTTCCCTCTCATTAGAAAATCAGCAGGGGGGCCGGGCATGGTGGCTCATACCTGTAATCCTATCACTTTGGGAGGCCGAGGTGGGTGGATCATCTGAGGTCAGGAGTTCGAGAGCAGCCTGGCCAACATGGTGAAACCCCGTCTCTACTAAAAATACAAAAATTAGCTGGGCGTGGTGGCGGGCACCTGTAATGCCAGCTAGTTGGGAGGCTGAGGCAGGAGAATTGCTTGAACCAGGAGGTGATGGTTGCAGTGAGCCAAGATCACACCATTGCACTCCAGCCTGGGTGACAGAGCGAGTTTCCATCAGAAAAAAAAAAAAAAAAAGAAAAAGAAAAAGAAAAAAAGTGAAAAAGAAAAATCAACAGGGGCTTCATAGAAGAGGTGGAATTTGAGAATAGCAAAGTGAGGTGAGGAGAGCCCAGAGACAAGAAAGGGCAGGGCTAGCTAGGATCATTGGGAAAAGCCCAGTTGGGATGAGGTGTCAGGTGTGGGAATGAAGGTCATTGAAGATACAGCTGGAGGTGAGGACTGTGTTGGGAACTCTTGGGTGCCAGAAAGTGGATCCTGGGCATTGTTCTTCTTTCAGACATGGTCTATTGAGGTGCTGGAAGTTATATAGCCTTCAGGATATACACTAAGGCCCACTTAACAAGAAGTGGGGAGAAGTATCCTGACATACAAACCAGCAGGTTTTTCGTTGGTACCAGGAGAAAGTGTGTGGTAGCTGGCAGGCAACTAATCAAAAGAGCTAGCATTTATTGAACAGTTATTATATACCAAACAGTGATCTTTATATGCATTATATAATGTAATCCTCACAGCAACCTTATGAGATTGGTCCTTATAATATCTCTACTTTACAGGCAAGGAAACAGAAATTTAAAAAGGCTAAGTAACTCCCCCCGCTCACCCCGGGTCTTAGCCTTATAGCTGTTAATGTGATCCATGCAGACTGACACGTCCATGCCCAGAATTTAACCATGATGCTGGCTGGGTGAGGTGAGGGCTAGGCAAGACTAGCATCAGCCAGAGCTTTTGAGCACGGTCCAACACCCAGAGGCCCTTTGTTCATCACAGGGTGTTGTGGTGGGGGAGGTGTTAGGAATGGAAAGTGGAAGTGAGGTCTGACCCCTAATTTCAGGATTAGGGAGGGAGGTAGCACCATTTTACCATTACTAAAACAGTCTTCCTAACCTTCTCTAGGTTTGAGCTATTTGATGGCTGCATATTTCATCCCTCTCTTTTCAAGCCTGCAAGCAGAGTAGGAATTCTCCATTCTGAGCTGGGATTTCATGCTTACCTTTATAGCTCCTTGCAGCCATTGCTGCCACTGGCTTTGAATCTCTCAGTTTCCATCTCTTCAAATACCTGTATCTTTAGCCCCTTTAAGATGCTAATAATTTATTTATGAAGCATTATTCAAGCATAGATCCATCTGCTCCATGATGTTCACTCATTAATAATAATAACAATAGCTAACACAAATACCTATATGCATCTTATTTAATTCTCATAACAAACTTCCTTGTGAGGTAAGTATAGTATTACTATCTCCATATTTCAAACAAGGAAGCTGAGATACAAAGAGGCAAGATAATGAGTGCAAAGTCACTCAGTTGTAGAGAGTTGAAGAAATTGATAGAGCCATTTCACTAAGTCTACTTGAAAGCACCATTAAGCTGCTGAAAAGTCAGCTGGGGTGATTGGGTACTCTCTGGGCTCTCATCTCTGGAACTCTCTCACGACAGGCATTGTTCCTGCCAGCAAGATCATACAGATATGCTTGTTTACTGAGTGCCTTTTATGAGCCCAGACCCTTGTCACACATTGTGTCATTTCACCCTTACAATGCCCTGCCAAGAAGGTATGGCTAACATTATCTCCATTTGATAGATTAAGAACCTGAGAGTCAGACAGTATTATTAACTGAAGTTCACACAATTGTTCTCAAAGGGCTCATAGTCTAGACAGGGGATAAACACATTCTTTAAAATAAGTAGATACAATACAGCATGGTCAGCTGATCATTAAGAGCTGTGAGAGCACCCAGGAGGGAACAGTGGTCTCAGCATGGCCATAGCAGGAGAAGGAGGGAGGATATAGAAGAAGAATCTGGAAAGGTGTCCTGAGGTGGCATTTTTGCTGAGTTTCTAGGGAGAGGAAGCATATTCTAGGGGAGGAAGTGGGAGAACGGCATTCCAAGGAGTCCAGGGAACAACTGTCCGGTGAGCTAGTGGTGGGTAAAGGTTGGCATATTTGAGAAGGATGAGTTTTCAGGCATAACAAGAGCACTGGATGCAATGAGGAGATGTAACTGTGGAGAGTAAAGCTGGGGTAAGATCCTGGAGGACCCTACAAGTGCCGCCAAGGAGTTTGGATGGTATCCTGGAAATTACGGGAAACTTTTCAAGTCCTGGAGGAATGTGAGAAGATTTCCATAGGCATCATCCAGAGTGGAAGTGGGGATGCAAATGGAGAAGAAGGAAAAACAGAAGAAACATTTAAGGGGTCAAATAAAAATGTCCTGGGGCTTTTGGTGTCCCAAGACATCAAAATGGCTTGGGATGGGTATGTAATGACTATGAGCAAGGACTTCAACAATGACCCTCCAGTTTCCATATCTGGAGATTGGATGGATGGACGGTGGCATTCATTGAATTAAGAAGGAACAGCATGAGGGAGAGTGATATTGAAATGGCATGTATCAGCTGAACTTGAGGAGCCATGAGATTCCAAGGGGAAGCTGTCCAGGAGGTCAGCGGACCTGAGAAGTGGGAGAGATAGATTGAGTTAATCTGCTCAGCAGATGATTATGGAGTGTTTATCAGGTGCCAAGCACTGTGCTTAATGCTGTTGATTGAGTCGGATGGTTCAGGATCCCACTCTGGAAGCTCATAGTCTATAAGGAAAGTGGACCAGCAAGTGTCCTGCCATGTCACAGAAGCCAAGGCATGTCCTGAGTCTAAGACAGAAGCATAAAAGAAGTGATGCCTAACTCTACTGTTCAGGGAATAGTTTTTTAAAAAAAGGCTTTATGCTTTATATGGGAAGGACCTGAGATCTGAGTCTTGAAGGAACAGAAGGAGTTCACAGCCAGACAATGGAGGAAAGGGCATTCTAGGTAGAGGGCACAAGCACATAAAGGTACATGGAGCCTGCATTCTCAGTATGCTTGGCAGTGGATGTGGGAAGTAGGAACAGGAAGGGTTATGAGTTACAATGCTGAGGAGATCAGCAAAGGACAGATGGCAGAGAGTCTCAAATGCTATGTTAAGTGGTTTGGAATATTCTCTGGAAAGTGGAATCCACTAGAGGAATTTAAGCACGAAAGTTACATGATTGAATTTGGAATTTGGGAGTCAGAGAATAGCAGTCAAAATTATAGGAGTAGATCTGATCTTTCAGAAAAATAAGTAAATAAATTGAAGATTGAAGGTTTATTCCAGAGATAGTCAAAGAACTTCATACCCTCTGGCCCAGGCTGGCCTTGTTTCAAGTCATTATCATTATTAAAAACTAACTTCTATGAAGCACTTATTCGGTGCCAGACACTATTCTAAGCACTTTATATATATTTGCTCATTTACTCCTCATAATAACCCCATGAGATAAGTTAACTGGAAAATGATGGGGCCAGGACCTGGAGCTGGGATTTGAACCCAAGTCATAGGGCTTCAGAACGGATAAGACTTCTCCACTCAAACATGCAGGCCCCTGCAATAATAATATATAACATTTGTGAAGTCTTAATAGGTATCAGGTGCCTTATTTGCACTATCTAATTTGGTCTTCATAACAACCTCATAACAGATGAGAAAATGGAGACACAGAGGGACACATGCAAGTTATTTAACTCGCCCAAGTTGGAACAACTAATAAGTGGCCAAATTTAATCCAAGCATTCTGACTCGAAAGACTGTGCATGTAATAACTTTGCTCTGCTGACTCTGTAAGTTTTCCATAAATACTAGCTGAATTGATAGATGGGTGGTTGCAAGAACAATGTTTCTAAGAATTGGCTTCTGCAGCCCTGAGATCCAAGCATCACCAGGCCAAACACCCAGATGGTGATTTTCCACCAAAGCTGAGGAGCAGAGTGTAGTGCGGCTGGCTCCTACTCCAACTAGCCTGCTTCTGTAGCCTGAACCTTGCAGGGCAGGTGGGCATCAAAGGCTGCGGGGACTGGGTGGGACCAGCCTACAGCCCCTTCATTGGTCTGGCCCCATCAAAGCCACCTGTGCCAGACTCTGCTCCATTCCAAGCCTGGGCAGATCAAAGGGCCCCGCACAGAAGTTGGGTTTCTGGGCAGCTCCGGTTCTGATAATCGATTGTCACTTTGGCAGTGACAGCAGAGTCCAACATGACAAGACTGCCACAGCTAAGGCTCCTGGGGCAGACATCAGAGCACAGCTCCAAAGGCCGGGAAGCTGTCTGAGGCCCCTCTGGGCCTGCACCCCTGGTGGGAAGAGAGAGAGGAACTAGAGAGGCCCCTAAGGAAAATGTTTGGAGCAAGATCACTAGAGTAAAGTTGATGCAGGCAAGAAACCTGACCTTGGCATTTATATTCTTGCCATGGAACCATGAGATCTGATTACTTCATGTGGCTGGGAACAACTGTTGACCTGCCCACATGTGTTTATTCTCATGCACACACATGCACAAACCTAAATATATACACACACTTGAATCACTTGCCCAGACATACATACATTATAAACATAGCCCTACACATGAAGATTCTCACACAAACACAAACAAAAATATTCATATACACATTCTCCTAATACCCATCACACTTGCCTACATATATGTGTGCATATATACACATAGCACTATACATACTTACAGATGCAAATATGTAGCCACACACATATACATGCCTGCTCATTCATGGGGCATACATTTTATAATATATTCTTCCAGTTGCCAGTCTCTATCTCTAACATTTTTCTCTCAAAACGATGAGAATCATCCTCATAAACAGGCTTTAAGTGCAGGAATAGCCTATGGTATAGATCCGGCTGCCAGCCATTCTCCAACTCCTCTGCAGAAAAATCTAGAGGAAATGTCCCAAATTGTACCAAACAGGATTTATGTTAGCTCTTGGAAGGGATTTCCTGCCAATAAGAGCTAATAAAAATATCAGCATGTTAGAATTCTGTTTATTGAGGAATATTTGGTTGCCAGAAATTTGAACAATTGGAATATCAATTTTGCCTCAGTTGTATGCTCTGAATCAATAGATTTTAAAAATATATATTCTGAATCAATAGATTTTTTTAAAAAATATAATGGCATAGCTATAAATCAGACGGATTTATTATAATTTGGGGAGCTGAAAATGCTTTAGTTTAAAAGGCAATTAACATCAGAGTTCAGTTTCATTGAAGATTTAACAAATGAGCATAATTAGGGCATTTGAGTTAGGATAGTGTTTAAGCACCTTCTTGCTCATAATAAAATCACATAACTGAGAAAAGTAGCATGGGGTGCTTTGAAACCAGCCTAGGTATCGTCTCCTCCAGGAAGTCCTCCCTGACTCTTCCCTGCCTAGACTGGAGTGGGCATTTGCAGTTGACAGTGTGTGTGCTGTGCCACCCAGGCACCCTTCAGGACACAGGCTCTCAACCCCTGGGCGCTAGTATTGGGTGCTAATAAGTCACAGGAGAATCTCTCTCCAGGACTTGCTCCCAGCAAAAAGAAGCCAACTCACCCATGGTTATGCCCCATCCCCGGGGCAGTGTGCCACTATAATGACTGGTTGATGTGGAGCTACAAAGGTCTGGACCTTTTGCTTAAATGAGACAATAAGAAAGGGTTGTCCCAGTTCCCAAGCTTCCTGTGGGATCAGCTAAGCCTCTGTTGTGACCGCATCACAGCACAACTTCTCCCTCTCCAGGCTGCATTCACTCCTTCAAAGGTGTTGTTTCTGAGAATGCACCCCAATAAACCTCCTGCACCCAAATCTTAAAAGACTTAGAAACCATCTCCCAGCAAACTTGACCAATGGCAGTGTCTTTTCTCAGTGCACCCACGTTTTTGTGTATTCCTCTCCTTTTCTCACAGCCAATACCCAAATGTCAGCAAATATATTAAAGAAATATCCCTAATCTCATCTCTCATTGCCTCCTTGGCTACGGCTCCAGTACCAGGTGTCCCCTGGCCCATTTGCAATAATCTCCAAACTGACGGCTCTACTTCTGCTCTTGACCTTCACAGTCTATTCACAGCAAGTTATGGGGTAACCCTGTCAAAACATCATTTAGTCAAGTCAATTCTTTGCACAGAATCTTTTCGTGGCTTCCTATCTTTTTTAAAAAACATCCAAAGTCTTTACCATGCCTGCTGGACCTCCATCCTCCATGACCTGGCCCTCTTCTCCCTCTATGCCTTCATCTGCTCCTTCTTCCTCCTTCATTCATTCCCCTCCAGTCCCTTTCCTGCTGTTCCTTTCCTGCTGTTCCTTCAACACACAAGGCCCACTCCTCCCTCAGGGATCTTTGCACTTGATGTTCCCCCTCCCTGGACTCCTGGGACTTATTCCTTTAGTGCATTTAATTCTCTCCCAAATGCCACCTTATCTGAGAGGTCTTCTTTAGCTTATCTAAAATGCCACAGTTCCACACCTGCTGCACTCTGTCCCCTTTCCTTCCGGACATTTCTTCATAGGACTTATCACCACCTAACATATTATATACTCATTTATTATCTGTGTTTCCCAAAACTGAGAGCATGGACTTTGACCTACTTGTTGCTATGTTCCCAGTACCAGACATCGAGTAAGATCTTAATAAATATTTGTTGAATAAATTAATTGGTTTATAATGTTCTTTTGTGTGTCTGTCTCCTTCACTAGACTGTGAGCAACTGGGCTCAGTACCGGATCTTGTTTCTTTCAGCATAGTAAGTACCAAGCCCAGAGCCTGGAACATGCTAGGTGAGGCAAGCAATAATATTTGAGATGAATGTACGAACAAATGGATGAGACCAATGTTGCAGCAAGCAACATTAGTCCTCTTTGGATCTCACTGTTCTATGTTAAATAAAAATGATACTACCATATACCCTATCTACCTCAAGAGGTTTTTGTTAAAAGTTAATAATACACTATACCAACCTCAAAGGCACTTCTGAATAGCCAGGGGTTCCATATCCACGCAAAAGTTTCTGATTAGTCTTTGTGTACTGGCATCCACGGGAAATTGGTTCCAGGCCCCCCTGCGGTTACTGAAATTTGTTCATGCTCAAGTTGCTTATATAAAATGGTATAGTATTTGCATATAAGTCCCACACATACTCTCATATACTTTAAATCATCTCTAGATTACTTATAATACCTAATACAATGTAAATGCTATGTAAATAGTTGTTGTATTGTTTTCTTATGTATATTATTATTTATTGTTATATTATTATTTTTTCAAATGTTTTTGATCCAAGGTTGATTGTGGAACCTACAGATGTGGAAAGCTAACTTATAGGGCCTGAAGGAAGATAAATCAGAGCTTCCAGATCCCATGAGGACTCTATGATGGAAGATTTAGCCAACATCTCCAGGCTGCTTTGAACCATAGACATTAGGCCTTTAAGATATTATCTTTATAAAGCAAGGGTTTTGTATGCTTGCTGCCTAATAATTTCAGATCTTCTCTTCAATCAGCCTATGAATGTTTTCACTGTAAGAGATAATATACCAATGACAGTAAAAACAAGTAATAAAATGGGAAGAAAAAGCTGTCTAATAAATTATAGAACCAAAGCAGATTTCAGAAACTAGCATTTATCAGTCAAGTACTATAGACAGGGAGCTGACATAGAAATCCAGGTTTGGAACAATTCAACAGTGCTCTGAAACAGGGATAGTGGTGGTGGTACAAATCATGCCTTGTACAAAGCAGAGTCCCTTGAGCTCTCTGCCATTTAGGCCAGTGCTCCAAAGATCTCCTACATTGTGGCATGTTGGCTTGTTCCTAAGAAGACTGCTTTATGGGATTTCATACATACATGCACATACTCAACACAACCAAATAAAGTTTTATAAGCAAGAAAGAAACCCCTCCTCCCAATTTCTGCCTTTCACTTTACTAGTCCTGGTTGATGGAATCTGTAGTTAGTTACTGAATCCAGTTCTATGTGTCACTGTTGCAGCCTGGGATCATCATCAAAGGTATGAAGGCTGACATGATCCTTATCTCACTGTCAATGATTTAAGATAAACATGGCTCCCATGAATGGATTGCAGTTGTTACCCTGCATCTCAGTCTTCTCCCCATCTTGGGGACTGTGATGTGCCTGACATTCACTGCCTTGGCCTCTGTGGCAAGCCCCCCTGGCACTTGTTCTTCTGAGACTCCAGTGGAGGTCAAAATGTGGGGATCTAGATTCCCCTAAGCAGAACCAATCACTTTACTATGTCCACCATTTTAACATTTGGGTCTTTTCCATAACAGCTTCTTTGCTATGCTTAGAGCTGCTTTTTCCTCTTCCGGGCTCTCATGAGTCCCAACTGAGCAGCACTCCTACTGCAGGATTGATCATGCAAGGGCTTGGATGTGAGCTGATCCGTTTCACTTCCCTACTCCTTTGTTGGCGTCCTCTAGCATCCTAGCCTTGAAATGGACTCTGGGTTGAGTCATCTTGATTTCCATGAAATTCCCCAGCAGGCTTTAGTGTCTATTCATTTCAGAAAAAGTCAGGAGCCTAAGTAAATAACAAAAAGAGGCCAGATATCAGGTAAGTCCACAATAATTTGGTACCCTTGATTCGGTTCTATATGACATGGACCAGCCATAGCTTACCCTGGCAGATGGTGGCTGGTTCTAGGCAAGGTGATAAAATTCATGCGAAGCTAAACAATACCTGAAAGAGACACAGAAAACATCTCTCTTCCTTATCCTCCAGATTTTACCAGTTGCCAAAACATTTGGATTCTGATCCTTGAAGCTCTCTCTAATCTACTCCCTCATTGCCTCCCCTACTGCCACTGTCATGATCCAGACCTTCAGATAGCCTGCATGTAAAACAGAATAGTAATTTGAAATATTAATCCCAGTGCTTTTGTTCCCATTATTATTTCTACACATCCATGGTCTTTCCTCCATTAAAACTAGAACATAAAGCCTGAGCATCCATTGCATCAGAGAAAGGTAGCTATAACGGAAATACAAAGAGAAACAAGCAAATTAATTATTGATTCAACAGCCAAAATCCTAGCCTGAAGAGTAGACTAGAAAGGATACTTACAGAAAGCATAAAGTTTAAAGATCTGGTAGAATTGGCAGATAGTCAGAAGATTAATCAAGTGAACACCTGTCTGGACCCCTGAGAGGGGTCTCTGTGCCCTGCATGCCTGGTCTGAGCCCAAGAGTGGGAAGCAGGGGATAGTTCTCCCCTTCATTTCAAGGAGCTGAGGACAAAGAGAGCCTGTGCTCCCCTTCCCATTTTCTGCCTGGAAAGATGGAAACCTCCAGAATTTTCCCGTTAGCTACCAGGGAACAGAACAGGAAGGTTAGGTGTAGTTGCTTCAGACATCTAGGCTTAGGACGTAATTCAGCCCTTTTGCATTCCCCACAAAGCATAGGCTGGGGAAATAGTAGAGTCTGGACCTCCCTATCTAGAAAATGAAAAGGCCACATGATGATCTTAGTGAAAAAGTGACCCGGAAGGCCCTGGATGTCAAAGTGTGAATAGATGATAGCCCTTGCCAGCCTCCAACTCTAACTCTCATTCCATGACTTGATGCTATACAATCCATTCCTCCTGTAGAACTTAGCTGCTACCATGGGGAGAAGGAAGAGATGGAGAAATCCCTGAACTAAGATTAAATATCTGCCAACAATGGACTTGGGTTCAAGTTTACAGAAAATTCGCTTCTTTTCTGCACACCTGATCTTATGGGTTAGGAAACTATACCAGCTACCTGAAACTATTGCAATACAGTCCTAACTGGTTCCTCAGACACTACTTCTAGCTCCTCCAGTCTACCCCCAGCAACCAGAGGGAACTTTTGAAAACATGGATATAACCACACCTTTACGGGTGAGAAGCCAGATTTTCAAGCAGGGAGATGTGTTCACATCCCGGCTCTGCCATATGTCAACTGTGTGACCTCAGGCAAGTTATCCAACCTTTGTGAGCCTCATTTCTCTCATTCCATTATGAAATAGAAGAATCCCAAGGCTGCTTCATTGAATGCCATTGGGATTCCATGAGATGATGGAGGTCCTGGCACAGCTTAGAAATTCAGTTAATATTGGCTGGTCCTTACTGTATCATGTTGTTAATCACCTCCTTAGCTTTGTGCACGTGCTCCTCCTTTCCTTCCTCCTAAAAGAAAACCAGAAACCATCTCCTCTATCAATTTATTCCTTGAGGCATAAACTGGGCTGCCTTCCTATGTGCCCCACAGGGTAGGTTTAGGGATTTCTTAGTGAGTGGTATACCTTCAGTCTTCCAAGCCCAGCTTAATCATAGTATTCATCACATATCATCTGGTGACTTCCCCATGTTCTTCAAAGGCCAGAAATAATTCTTGATCTCTGGGCCCCCTTATAACCTTGACCACCCCTTACCCTGGAGAGTGCCCAAGGGACAAAAGAAAGCTCTTCTTAAAGGCCATGGGTAAGGGAGGGGTCAGGGGTCAGGTTGAGGAAGAAGTGAGCTTGCAGTCTTGCCCTCCTATGAGAGTCCTCCAGCCTGAGCCATGGGCCTAAGGCAGACTGGATCCCAGCAGGCTGGGACACAGGGTTTCCAGGTCAACTTTTATCTTCCCACATGGTATTTGTTCCTTTGATCCTTGAGCAGTTCAAACAAAGCTCACTAATCAATGGCTTCCCTCCCTGCCTTTCAGAGCAGATCCTCAAACACAGCCTGCATCTCTCCCTGCTCCCCTCCCACCCTCCAGTTTTCCAGCCAGAGGCATTTGCTCTAAGGCCCAGGCTGTGGCCCACCTATCACCGCTACCCAAGTAGTACAGGTATGATTGTCTGTTTACTTTCTTTAATTCAAATCGCACTAGAGAAATTTCAGGACTCACTCACTGATAAATCATGGTTACTTACCTCTTGTCTAGGCCCTTGGGCAAGGGTGCATTGATGCATCTACTATGATTGCCTGGTTATCTTGGTCTTGGAAGCACCTAGTAATGAAAGAACCCAGAGAAAGATAAACAGAGCTGAGGGAGTCAAGGTTAATCTTTCTGAGCCTATTTCTTCCTTTATGTAACTGGGATATTGTTTCCTGCCCCAACTACTTCACAAGGCTGAAATGAGGATTAAGCAAGTTAATGGCTGTCAAGGTCCACCAGGAAGGATGGAGTTCTAGATACATATTGGGTTCCTCTAGTCCTTACATATTGCAAAAGACTTGGGTAAAGCTTCTGGAAGAGCTAGGCTGACCAATCTTCCTGACTTACCCAGGACTGAGGGATTCCTTGGGATGCTGGAATTTCTGTACTAAAACCAGGAAAATACAAGGCAAACCTGGTTGAGGTTGAGTTGGTCACTCTACACAGAGGTAGCACTTAACCAGTGTCTGTCCTGGGCTATAATGGTGTCCCTCCAAAACTCATGTTGAAGCCCCAGTACTTTAGAATGTGACTGTATTCGAAGATGGGGCAATGAAAGGAGGTGATTAAGTTAAAAGGAGGCCATCAGGGTGGGCTCTATTCCAATCTGACTGGTGTCCTTACAGGAAAAGGAAATTTGAAGAGGAAAAGAGGCACCAGGGATGAGGACACACCGAGAAAAGACCATGTGAAGACATGGCGAGAAGACAGCCAGCTGCAAGCCAAGGAGTGAGGCCTCAGAAGAAACCAACCCTGCCGACACCTTGACCTTGGACTTCTAGTCTCTAGAATTATGCGAAAATAAATTCCTGTTGTTTAAGCCACCCACTCTGTAGTATTTTGTTATGGCAGCCCCAAGCAAACTAATACAGTATCCTTGAAGAAAGAAGAATTATAAAACCTAACAGTTAAGGGGCAGTTAATTGACATATTAATAATTCATTTAGTCTTCTCTTCACAGAAACTCTCTATAGGAGTTATTACCATTTATCACCATTTTACAGAGGAGAAAACTGAGGCACAAGAGGTCAAGTAACCTGCTTCAAAGTCATAACTAGTAAGTGACAGAGGCAGTTTCTTCACTCTCAGTCCTCTAAAAAGCAAAGCCCAAGGTTAAAGTGCTGACATTTAGTAGAAGCAAAATCAGGGCCTTGAGAGTGAGGCCCAGGGGGTGGTGAGAATGAGTTGAAAAGGGAAATGAGGCAAGAAAATATGCAATGTGATGCACAGCAGCTGGCCACCACCTCCCCATGATCCTCCCTGAGACACAGCAGCTTGCTGGGTAGGTAAGCAGCAGCGCTTGGAATTCGTCTACATCATTTGCAAGGAGAAACCATCTCTAAGGGTAATGGAGAAGGGAAGGGGAGAGAAGGGAAGGAGTTGTTGACTTAAGTTTGCTTACAGCTGCCTCCATACATATTATAAGTTTGGCCTAAAAGTTTCTCCATACATAGTGAACCATAAACTAACTTTATATGTAAACAGACTGTAACCTACTCTTGTAACAAGTACCAGAGTCTCAGCCAACCGCAGGCAGCTGACTGTTCAAAGCAGGTTCAAATAAGGCAAAGGCCCAGCTGTAACCAATCCAGCTGTTTCTGTACCTCACTTCTGGTTTTGCTAGGTCACTTTCCTTTTTCTGTCCATAAATATTCGACCATGTGGAGTAGCTCTGAACCTATTCTGGTTCTGGGGGCTGGCCGATTCGCAAATCGTTCTTTGCCCAATTAAACTGTGTAAAGTTTAATTTGTCTAAAGTTTTTTCTTTTAACTGGGTATTTATGTATTTGGCTCCTTCTTTTTCCCTTTCCCTTTTCTCACTGGTCCGAGGGATCCCCACTATGGGAAGCTAACTCCCCTGTACTTCCATCATCCAAGGCCCATCCCTAACATTTGTGGCACCTAGAGCAGGGATACCAAGGAAGGCTGCTGCAGACTAAGCTGTGTTCCCCAGAAGTCATATGTTTATGCCTTAACCCCTAAAGTGATGGTATTTGGAAGCAGGGCTTTTGGGAGGTAATTAGGTCATGAGGATGCATCCCTCATGTTGGGATTAGCATCTTTATAAAAAGAGACTCCCCTCCTGCCCCCTGCCATGTGAGGACACTGCAAAAATGTGGCCACAGCAAGGACAGCTCTCACCAAAAACCAAATTAGTCAGCACCTTGATCTTGAACTTCACAGCCTCCAGAACCATGAGGAATAAATTTCTATTGTTTATAAATTACTCCGTCTGTGATATTTTGTTGTGGCAGCCAAAACTTACTAAAACATAGCCCAAGCTAACTACAGACTCAAACACCATACATCTAAATATTTAAATGTCACGCATCAAGAAAGCAAACTTGAAGAATAGAATGTTTTCACTCTTTCATATTATCAAATGCATCTTTATAATGACCTAAAAGTCCATATTACCTGGTGGTAACCTGGAGATGGGCACCCTGGGGTGTCCATGAGGGGCACTTCTCAAGACTTTGAACTTAGCCATCCCTCCTGCCTGCTGGATTGTGTCTTCACTCCTCAGAGCAGGGCCTTGTCTTTTTCTTAGGAGGATAATCATAAAAGTAATAAATAAATGCTCCATGTCTATCACATTAAAGAAAGAAAGGTGAACAAATACCAAAGAAAGCATTTTCATATAAGACACTCAGAAATATTATCAGCTTAAGCTGAAGAATAAGAAAACAGGCTCAGAGAAGGAAATGATAAGGTGGAGGTGACAGAGCTCAGGGTTTGACTCCAGAATCCAAGTGTATTTTAATTATGGCACATTGAGGCTATCCATAGTAGCACTAAATTATGTCCATTCAATTGGACAGGCATTTATTAAGAGTGTTTCTGTGCCAGGCATCGATTAGCTGCCAGGATACAGATGTGGACAAGATCCATCTCTGCTGGAGTTGCTCACAGGCCACAGGGGAGATGGGCAGGTGAAAGTAGCAGTTGAGCAGTGCCAGCAATAAAGGCACAGGGCATGTAGTGAGGACCCAGAGGATGGTCACCAGGAGATGATGACACTTGACTTTCAAGGCTGAGTGGGAAGCAACAAAGAACAGAAGAAAGAAGGCCCTAACAAGCAGGAGAAACAGAGTGTGAGCAGGTCAGGAGATGTGAGAGGCAGCATGATCCTGGAGCTGCTTGAATTCCCCTGAACTTGGAGCATGGGTGAAGGTTTAAGGGTGTGATTATTGGGCCTATGAAAGCCTGCTTAGATATGAGGGGAGCCCCTGTCGGATTTTGAGCCAGGAAATGACCAGATCAGAGCTGTGCTGTAAATCTGTATCATGCACCTTTCACTTTGTACTAAAATGACCTCTTCCCTTGTTTCTGTTCCCAGACCCTGTCTTGGAGCTCCTTAGGGAAACGTATTCACGTTATTGCCCCAGTGCCTTGCGTAGTGCCTGGTATTCATTTGCTAAATGAGTGAGTGAATAAATTAATGAATGAGTGAACAAACTCTGCTACCTAGTTGTATTCTGCTATTTTGGCTTCCTTCTTTTTTCCTGCGCTGTTCCTGATTTTAGTTGAGGATTAAACATGGGCTCTGCAAACAGGCCCTAAGGCTGTGAGTCTGTGTGTGTATGTTTTACATCAGCCAAACCAAATAAACAAACACATGGCAGAACCCCAGGCATGTGGCTCCCTCACTTGGCACAGCCAGCTGGCACGTGGCTGCCCCTCCCCAGCTTCCCAGCACCTCCCCCTGGAGTCAGGATGCTGCCTAGAGGCTTGGCTGTGGATTTGACAACCCCTCCTTACTTCCTCTGCAGCAGCAGCAGGACTTCAGGCACATGCTGATAGCCTCCATTTTAATTAGTGAGAATTTGAAATCACTTCTGTCTTCAAACTCTTCTGAGAAACAGGGCAATGACCACAGTACCAGGGAGAAGACAGGAAGATGACCCTACTCTCACCCTCCAACTGTGTTTCCTGCTCCACTATACTCATTCCAACTGGACTAACTGTCCATTCTTACTGACTGATCCAAGTAACCCCTAGAGTTTTCTTCTGGGGGTGCACTCTGGGAAACTCTAGGGGTTAGCTAGATCTCTAGGGGTTACCTGAATCAGTCAGTGCTCAGCTCTTTAAGCGTCCCAAATCAAAATCAGCGCTCTCAGTACTCATCTCTACCTCACCTGCTGAGGTCTTCCTGAAATTCCCCAAATCAATCAGTGACAGCCCCATTTCCAAGGGCACCAATCACAAAGGGAGCCTAATTCTAGACTCCTTCTCTTTCTTCACCCCAGCGATATTCACACGGCATTGACTAGTTCACTACCAAACTGCTTTAGCAATCTGCATCTACCCTTCCATCCTATCTGCTACTGTCCTATTTCATCTCATCTATCTAGACTTTTGCAAAACTGCTTCCTACTGGTCTCCTTGACTCCAGTATCTTCTTTCTCTAATGTCTTGTTCCTTCCAGCCACCATATTGATCTTTCTATACTATTGATTTCATCCGTCCACTCTCTTGGCAAAAAACAAAGAAAAAAACCATAAATGGTTACTATAGCAGGCATTGTGTGTTGTTCTTCAATCACCATTCTTCAGTGGTAATATAACTCCCACATTTTCGGTGGCTATTAACAACAAAAACTGTGTCTTCCAACCTCCTCTGAGCAAGGTGTGACCATGTGACTTAATCCTGTTACAATCAATGGGATTTACATAGAAATGGAGTGTGCAACTTTAACCAGTGTCCTTAAAGAGTCATAATGTGCTCTTTACCTTCTTTCTTCCTTTCTGCAGGATGGAATACAGATGTGATGGCTGGAGCTGGAGTAATCATCTTGGGCCATAAATGACCTTAGCAGTGGAGGTCATGCACAGCAAGGTAGAAACAAACCATGGAACACCATGCAAACCGTGGCTGTTTCTTTCAAACTTTCAATGAGAAAGAAAGAAACTTTGATTCTTATTAAGCCACTGCTATTTCAGGATTTTCTAACCCTCCAGCTGATCCTAATTTTAATTAATTATCACCTACAGCAGGGGCTAGAACACAAATGCCACCAGGAGCCAGATAGGCAACATAATTTAGTGATGCCTACAGAGAGCCAGAGTCTAGGAATGCATTTATTTATTCATTCATTTTTACTTATTTAGTCATTCATTTTTTCATTTAACAAGTATTTACAAAGCTGCATTATGTACCAGGCACTCTTAGGCATCAAGAAGGAAAAGATAAATGGGCTCAGTCCTTTCTTAGAGAAGATCTGGGTCTGGTTGGGGAAGACAACATTTTAAATAGATAAATATAGTAAAGTGCTATGAGACTGTAGTAGCTGATCTTACAAATAGCAACAGAAGCAAAAAAGAGAGTGAAGCCCCTTCTAAAATCTGAAAACAAAAATTTCATGAAAGAGGTAACCTGCTTCTCAGAAAATAGGTAAAGACGGAAATTCCGGATAAGCAAAGGTTAGGAGGATTTGATTCCCTGCTATTGCTATTGCAATTCCTTTCCCCTTCAGATAATTGCAAATAATTATTTAGAATAAAGCCCGAGTGGGCTTCTCCTCCATTCTCCCTCCCACCCAATACCTCCTGCCCTCCAGAAGACAATAGGGGGCTGGCATTATTGCAGCCTAAGGAGCAATAGGATTTGGTTGCCGTTAGTTCTCCAGCCTTTATTCTCACTGAGTTCTTTACTGGATCTGATAATACTGGGAAATCATAGCTGCTTCTGGACAGCACCACACCTAGCAGACCTGATGTTTGGGGACTGCAGGCATGTCTAAGAGTCTGACACATAGTAGGTGCTTAGTTGAATTTTGATGAAAAGAAGTCTTCCTGAGGGTTTTTGTCTCTCTGCTCCAATACCTCAAGTAAAAAGTCCTAGAATTTTGAGTGGTATTCAGAATATTTAACAATCCAGTATTGCACAGGACTGACTAATGAGGTCAGAAACGGGGTAAACCATTTAGTATGTGGACCCACCATACATGAGTCCTGCCTGGAGGAGGGTCTTGGAAATGACAGCATAAAAATGACTTACTTACCTGCGTTTTTTTATTACCATTAAAAGGGAAAGGTTCAAAGCAGGAATTACAAAACCACAAGGCACAGGTGGTGCCCTCTCACTATCTTTCACTTTGCACTCTTTGCTACTTAATCTTGGAATGCATCCCTACTCAAATTTTACTGGAGTCCAAGGGTGTCAGAGTTCCCAGGGGCCAGGCATGGGGTGAATTTGAGCCTGCAGCAGATCAAGTCACCATGGGCCTCCCTGGATTCCCAACAGGGCTCAGAGCCCAACTCCTGGCACAGTGGCCCTTTACATTCTTCAAAAGGAGCAGCAAATCCCTGCTGCAGACTCAGCATGAGTCTCTGTCCTCATTCCCTTTCCATCTTTTACAATGTCTTACACTCCTAACTGCCCTAAACATGTGTTCCACTAGGAACACTTACCTGGTGTATTTTCTCCTCTGAAGCACTTTCCTCAGGGGAAAACTCTCTTCAAATAATGTCTTAAGAGAATAGAAAACAACAAGACTGAGCGGCATTTGTCAGCCGATAAGGGCCTTAGAAATAACTCCTCCAGCTGTTCATTTCTAAAAGTGGAAAGCTGAGACCCAGAAAACTGGAGTGGTTTGCCTAAAAACACACAGAACACTTTCACAAAATTCTTCAGCAGTTTGAAGTGTGTGTACTTTCCAATCCTTTTCTCTGCCTATACCTTGTAAACATATTTTGAACAGATGGAACCGTTATCCACCACAGTTAACCCCAGGCACACACGTAGTCATCATGGTACAGGGACTATTTAGGGGCCAGGCCTTCTGGGAGCCTCTTTGGACCAAGTGTGTCAGGAGGCCTGAGTAGCTCTAGAAAGCCATGTGGAAGGGGATGCTGGAGAGTGGTCCTAAAAGCTGCAGAGAGCCCGGGTGATAGAAGGGGGCTGGGCTTTTCCTCCCCGGTTTGAAGCTTTGAACCTCTTGGGCCCAGTAGGTGGTCAGCAGGGTTGGGAGCATTAGCATTTGTTTTTTCACTTTGATCCTTTGTCTTTTAAGTGTTGTGGAAGATCTGGCTGGCAGGAGCCTGACTCCTCCAAGAAGAAGGAGGGGGACACCTTGATTGATCTGAAGAAGAAAATGAGCATGAAAATGTGTCTTCAATAATAGGAAGCCCAGTCTCTTCTTAAAGCCCATTAATTGACTCATTCTTGACCCCACGCAAGTCATGTCCTTGCTCCTCCTGCCTCTAAATTTTCTTCGTCTACAAAGTGGGAGGGTTGGTCCAGTCCAGTGATTTTTCAAACTTCGCCTTTTAGCATCAGAATCTCATCTTTTTTCTTAATTCATACGCAGATGCCCAGTACTCAAAGCAAAGCACAGCTGCTCTGACTGAAGCTGGAGACAGGGATCTCAGCCTATTTGGCCCCCATCCTGAGGGCAGCTGAACCCCCAGACTCCAAGGAAGCCCTGGCAACACAGTTTAAAAACCTGTGGACTAGATGATATTTAAGGGCCCATTTTGTTCGAGTTTGTAATTCTAGATTTGTCACACAGAAAATTGATCCATGTGTAGCTGTTTATTCCATGTATCTGTAGGAAGAGAGAAAATACGGAGCCTCCTATTCCACCATCTGGCTGATATTGTCTCCCTTTATAATTCTAAAGTTGCCAGGCAAGGTGGCTCATGCCAGAAACCCCAGTGCTTCGGGAGGCCAAGGTGGGAGGATCACTGAAGGCCAGGAGTTTGAGACCAGCCTGGGCAACATAGTGAGACTTTGTCTCTAAAAAAATTAAAATAAATTCTAAAGCTAAGCCCTAGGAATTAGGGAGGGCAGGGACTCTAGTTCAGCTATATAAATGAACTGATTAAAAGTCAGAAATGGAAAATGATTTACCCAAGATGTAGGGCAGACTCTGTTTAAATATTTTAAATCTTGTTTCCTGGCTGGGTGTGCTGGCTCACGCCTGTAATCCCAGGACTTTCGGAGGCCAAGGCTGGTGAATCACCTGAGGTCAGGAGTTTGAGACCAGCCTGGCCAACATGGTGAAACCCTGTCTCTACTAAAAATACAGAAACAATTATCTGGGCATGGTGGCACATGCCTGTAATCCCAGCTACTTGGGAGGCTGAGGCAGGAGAATTGCTTGAATCCGGGAGGCAGAGGTTGCAGTGAGCCGAGGTCATGCCACTGCACTCCAGCCTGGGCAACAGAGTGAGACTCCATCTCAAAAAAAAAAAATCTTGTCTCCTGTTGTGCCTTCATGTGGAGATCATGCACTCTAGCCAAATAAGAATACTTCAAGCTCCCCAAATGCGCCATTTTCTATTATTTCTCCATGCCCATGTAAATGCTCTTTCTTCTACCTGCCATTTAGTAATTTATATTCTCATCAGACTATTGAAAATGGACATTTATTTTTAAACTTGGCTCAAGGGCACCTCTTCTGTGAAGACTGTCCACAATTCTACACCCTTTTTTTTTCTGCCTGCATAATGCTGTAGAGATGCTTGCATCATCATCCATCACCCAGAGGGCCATAGTCAATTTTGGCTGCTACAATAAAATACCTTAAGCTGGGTAATTTATAAACAACAGAATTTTTTGCTCACAGTTCTGGATGCTGGGAAATCCAAGATCAAGGTGCCAGCCAATTCGGAGTCTGGTAAAGGCCTGTTCCTCATACCTAGTGCCTGCTATGTGCCTCACATGGTGGAAGGGGCAAACAAGGGACCCTGGGCCTCTTTTATAAGGGCACTAATCCCATGATGTGGTTCAGATATCAAATCTCAGATTGAAATATGGTCCCCAGTGTTGGAGGTGGAGTCTGGTGGGAGGTGTTTGGGTCATGGAGGCAAATCCCTCATGAAATGCGCCCTGCCTGTAGTAATGAGTTCTCACTTTAATAGTTCACGTGAGAGCAGGTTGGACACACTTGCTCCCCCTTGACCTTCCACCATGACTAAAAGCTTCCTGAGGTCTCACCAGAAGCAGATGCTAGTGCCGTGCTTTTACAGCGTGTAGAATTGCAAGCCAAATAAGCCCCATTTCTTTAGAAATTACTCAGTCTAATAGCCAATTTCTATTATATATATTATAGGAATTGGGTTAGATAGATAGGAAAAGTTTTCCCTTTCCTCCCCATTCAAGGTGAACTTGATAGAACTAGAAGATCTAAGAAGGAAAATTTTTTTTTAAATGGAGGGGCTTTTTTTTTTTTTTTTTTTTGCACCATCTTTTGTATTCCAGATGGCTTGGGAGTGATGCACACTCCTTTTTTTTTTTTTTAGACGGAGTCTCACTCTGTTGCCTAGGCTGGAGTGCAGTGGTGCAATCTCGGCTGCAACCTCGCCTCCTGGGTTCAAACAATTCTCCTGCCTCAGCCTCCCGAGTAGCTGGGACTACAGGCGCTCGCCACCACCCCCAGCTAATTTTTTGTATTTTTAGTAGAGACGGGGTTTCACCCTGTTAGCCAGGATGGTCTCCATTTCCTGATCTTGTGATCCGCCCGCCTCAGCCTCCCAAAGTGCTGGGATTACAGGTGTAAGCCACCACACCCGGCCCCAATGCATACTCTTTCTGGTAATGAATTGAAATCTCATACCATTCACTGGTCACAGCCTCACATAATTTCCATGACAGCCTTCAAAGCCACATCCCCACAATTTAGCACTACTCAGAGCACAAGAGGCCTTTGCTCAATGGCCTATTGATATCTGCCTGCTTTCTGCAGACCAAGATCTTGGGCCAGATGTGAGGGGCAGGTACAGGGATAGGGAAAAAGTTATATTCAGATATCAAAGGAGAGAACTGAAGAGTAGTTACTTACCCTAAGTCTCCTTGGGATGATGGTGCTTCCACCACTGAGATCTCTAACAGAGAGGAACGGAAAGAGGCATTGTCTACGGAAACCTGGTCAAGACGTTGGTAAATTTCCTCAAGCTTCTTTTCACTCTATGATAGGCCAGAGTTCAGGTCTTTAAAGAATGTTGAGTTTGCACTATTTGCCAAGCACCATGCTAGGCTCTGGGGCATCAAAAGTGAAAAACTACATGCCTATTCTCAAGGGTCTGCAGGCCCAGATATACTGCACAGGATCCCTGAGATCTAAGTGCTTCCTCACCAGAATTATCAATGGAATTCTGAACCAAAAGTGGCAGAGAGGGAATCAGTTTTTCTGGCTCCTTCATTCTTTTGTCCACATTCTTTGTTGTTCACTGATCTGGTCATGTTTTTATTTGAGAACTGAAACTATTTGCAGTGCATTCTCAGTCTTTCATCGGCAATTGCTCAGTTTTACTGACTTCATCAGCTGTGCTTACAATACTCAATTGTATTTACATTGCTTTAGCCTCTTCTGTCCTCGTTTGCCACTGAACCAGCACATAAAAATGCAACTCTAGTACAATGGAAACAGACTATGATTCTCTTCAATGATGTCTCTCATTAATAACTGTGGCCCAAAGGAAGAATCAATTAAATGAAATAATATATACAACATATTAAGACTGTGTCAGGCATGTAGGAGGCAGCCAATATGTGTTAGCCATTGTCATTAGAAATATATACATATCTTTCAAATCGACGGTTACCTGGAAGAAGTCCCATTATTCAAAGTCCTTCTTGGCTCTCAACATCAAGTGGCCTCTTGACTATTGCAGCTGGGGTTTGGGCCACCTGCTTCCGACTGCTGCTGGTTTCTCTGATTAGCATTTTCATTCCCACCTCAAGTGGGTCATGTCTGCTCTTCACTCATTACCCCACCCTTACCTTGAACTGTCAATGGAGGTAGAGAAATGTGCATTACCCATTAAATTTTAATCATACATTGAGGGCAATGTAAGGCCATTCCATTCAACAAATGTTACGAGCACTTGCTGTGTGCTGTAAGCTGTGCTCAGTGTTGAAGCTATAGAGATAAATGAATCACAATGCCTGTCTTTCAGACACTCCAATATGTAAACAAAGTGAAGAATATTGACTACATTCAGTTGTGAATAAAATGTTCCCTTGCATTATGGTGAGTGTTTCTGGACACTCCTGTTTAAATGGAACCATCTCAACTACAAAGAAGACCTAGCAACATCCCTGATTTTTTCCACAATCAAAACAAAACAGTATGGCATAGTATTTAAGGCAGATAAGAGAATTGTTAAACAACTATTTTAACTCACTCCCTCTATCACCTCCTATGGGAAAAGTGCTCTTTTGCCCCCATTCATCTTGGGCGTGGGGCATGATTCTGTACTGGTAGAAGAAACAGTGTCTAAGTTCTGAGCCTAGGATTTGAGTAACATTATACGTTTCCACTTACTCCTCTAAGAGCTTCAAACCTCCTCCATGAGAAGAACATTCCCCAGAAAACTGCTACTGGATAGCCTGGGCTCACAGTAAGATGTGTGGGACAGAGCTGAACTTGACTTCAGGCCTGAAACACCCATCCCAGCCCCTTGTGAATGCATGTGCTAGACATCAATGCTAGCTTTTTTTGTGTCCTGAAATCCTGTGGTTGTTTGCTACACAGAAAAAGCTGCCTAATTCTGTGTTCAAGATCCCTTGCACTTTGCCTACTATCTCTAGCCTCATCTCTTTTTAGCCATACCAAACAACTCACCTCTTCCCAAGCCCACTGTGTTCTTTCAAATTTCCATGATATTTCTTGTGGAGTTTCCTCCGTCTGGAATTGTCTTCTTCGTCTACTCAATGTTCAAAGCCAGAATAAAATTCACACATTTCACTTTTGTAATGATGCTTTTCTCTATCCATCCTTCTCTGAACCAAAACACAAAAAACAAAGAAAAAACTAATAACAGTTTGTTAATTCATTCAATGGGCATATGGTCAGGGGCATGCTCTACAGCATGTTTATGGGCTTCTTCCTCTACGTGAATCCCAAGCTCTTTATCCAAATCCATTATAAGCCCTTGTCACTTTGCACTGCAACTGGCTGTTTAGAAGGCCTGCTCCCACTAGCCATTGTCTCTTCTAGTGCGGAGGCTCTCTCTTTTATCTCTAGGTCTGGGTGTGAGGACACACACAAAGTAAATGTCAGTTGAATTCAATCTCCCTAAAAACTTACCAGTTGACAGGTAAAAATAGCCAGTTCTCTGGTAGAGAGAAAAAGAGGTCAGAAGGACCCACAGCTGGGGCTGATGTTGCTTCCACCTGCAGGCCTGGCCCTGCCCCAGTTCCAAACCAAATCTGACTAAGGCAGGAAGTCCTCAAGCATCTTCAGAATCCAGTCCAATGGGGCTTAATGTTGATTCTCTCTGTTTATTAGCCTCATCTGTGAGTCATTTCCCAGGCACTGAGTTCAGGATTCCACTGTTTTTCCCAAGTTGCCTCTCCATTGGTCTGGCGTGGGGGTGGTTTGTGTTAACCACCAAGCTTCTGTGCTGCCCTCCCGTCACCTCCAATTAGCTAGGGTACCTCTAGAGAACTCAGGTTTTCAGCCAAGACTTTTTACTAGGTGCTTTCTGGTGTAAGACTAGCCTGTTTGGTCCCAAGTTCAGGTAGCTTCTCTAGCCACCGATTTCCTCTAAGGGGCAAGAGGGACCTGCTTTGCTCCTGCCAACCCCTCTCCAGTTAGTGAGGTTCTGCTCCTGATGCTCAGCTGGTCTCTGGGAGTTGCTCTCTATACCAGCTACCTTGGACTTTGACAATTGAGTGTAAAATCTTCAATAGAGTTTGGTTACTGCAATTACCACTAAATATTCAGCTCTTTGAGAGTAGGGACTTTACTCCAATATATGGATGGGGCCTGTTTTCAATATGCCACTGAAAAAACACTGAATGAATAAATGAAACGATGAACACCCAGCCTCAGAGCTCCCCTTTCATAGGATAAGGGAACAATAGAGTGAAAACAGCCATTTGAAACAGTCTTAAATTTCATGTCTGTCTCCCTCATCTTCTTCTTGTCTTGCTGATCCTAGCAATTCCCATCTCAGCCTAAGCTCCTGCATCTCCATCACACTACCCCCAACTCCTAACCCCCAACCAGTTTCTCATCTTAACTATTTTGGCCACTCCCTTTTGGCATAAAGATGAATGTTCCTTGTGGAGTGAACATGTGTGAACCACCTGTGAGGTATGTTCCCATCTGCTGAGGTCTGGAACCATTGTCCTTAAGTCCTGCTCTCAATGGAAGCCCTAGAAAAATATGTCAACCATTTACACTCTGTCTCCAGGGCCAAATTTGAGTGTCAACTCTCAACCATAAGTAGAAAGGGCTGCACCATGGGCATTTTGCCTGTTTTGACAGGAGAACCTCTGCTTCTGCCTTTAGCCCCTGCATCTATTTCAGCTGCATCCCTTGCTCCACCCGAAACACACACCACACCATCATACTGAGGTGGTTGAGTCAAGGGAACCAACTGGAGGAGGCTTTGGCAGAACTCAGAACTTCCCCATTGCCCTCTAATGCCAAGGTGATCAGCCCAGCCTCACTGTTAAATTCCAATATGGGATAGAGAAAGGGAGACAGCCTAGGAATCTTGCTCCCTCCCCTGGACTGCCGGTTTCTGTTCTCACAGCCCCTGAAGCAAATGATTCTACTAGGAGCCCCCCATATAAGATCCCACCCCATCTAGAAAAGGGGAGAGAAGTCTAAGACCACACCCCAAGTCAAGCAAGAGCAAGTCCCCATCATGAGGAATGTAGACCTTTAGAACTGGGACCAGTGAGAGCTTCAGAGAGATACCAAGAAGCAGATGGCACAGGCAGCATTTATCCTTCACTCAAGAAACAGCTCTGAATTTTTCAGTGCAGATTCAATCAGCTGCTGAGGAGTCCCCAGCTCCAGGAGCTGCAGGGCTGGCAGTATGTCCCTAGGAAACAAAGTCGTGGAAGAAGAGTGCCTTTGGAACTCTTGTGAATCACCTAATCTCAGAATCATGAGGACTAAAAGGGCCAGAGAAAAATTGCAATCTAGCTAATCCCCTAAAACATCTCTGATAGGAGGTCTTTTTATTTTAGAACACCTCAGTCAACAGAGACCTCGCTACTTCCCAAAACCATACACAGTGTCACACATTGTGTTCTTTCTTAAATTGAGCTGAAGTCTGCTTGCATGTCAGATAAAGTGTTAGATGATCTCTCAACTCCTCCGTCTAAGCTCCCATGATGCCCCAGCTCTGGGGGGCCCAGAGCATCCCCCAGATAGTCTAATAATCCCCAGTTTACTACATTTTTCTAAAATGATCAGGATCTTATTTCTCTTTAAATGTCCCTTTGGGGCTAAGAAGAGTGTCTAATAAGAAGATAAAGTTGTGAGTTCAGAAGCCCATTTTAGGTCATTAAAATACTCTGATGTCTTCAAGGAATTTATTTACACCCCAGCCAAAGGGGAAACATCACCCCAGCTTAAGTTTGCCAGTTCCCCCCAATTCTGGGTCAGTGCAAAGGACAGACCCCACCCCACAATGCTCCCTTTTCCCCCTCCTCCACAACTTCACGTCTGCACACACTTCTCATCTCTAACACCCCTTTGCCACTGGGGCTGTCTTTTGTTACATGCAAATTTCACATAAAATCCTTCAAATGAAAACAGGTACTTTTCATTTTGCTCCCATAAACAGACACTTTCTAAATATTTAGACATCTGTATATAATGCCCTTAAACTGTTTGTTCTGAAGCATAAATAGGTATCTCCGTGTTTGAGTTAGTGTCTGATATGTTTCTCATTTAAGGAGAAAACATAAAAAATAATTGGAATAACTACAGCCAGGAACAATGCTTACACAGCATGTCAGTGTCTTTTATTGTGTCTTAAAGTAAAAGCTTCAGTTGTAAGAGTCTTTCTCCCCCATCAAACAGAAGCACAGCTCTTGTCTGCTAACCCTCCACAGGACTCAGCTGCCTCAGGGCAACGGGGGCCAGCAAGCAGCCCCCACTTTAGAGCCTGATGTGCTGTCTCATTGCATTTGCAGTGCCTTGAACAGTACACTGACTCCCCATTCCCCATCCTCAACTGTTCATTGCATGGAACAAATTTCTATTTTAGCTTCAAGGTGGGGAAATTGTGACCCCTTCCTCAGCCCATGAATTGCTCACAAAGCAAATGAGATGAGGAAGAAGGACACCAGCCCATGTAGATCTGCCCTTCAAGTTTTCTCTCATTAGAGTCTTTACCAGAAAGGTCTGGGACTGCCCATCCACGCAAATGGGTCAAGAAGTTCGGTTGGTGGGGACTGGAATTAGGGAGCCAGCTGGGATAGAGATCCAAGCCATTTTCTCCCATCACCTTTTTACAATTTTTTTTTCTTTTTACAAATTTTTATCTCCATTTCTCTGACACCAGCAGCTTTCTCAAATGGTCTGACCTACAGTATGAAGAGGTGTGGGATAAGTGTATTACCCTCAAGACCTTACTACCAAACAGGATGTTCCCAATCCCTGAAGCTCACCTCTGAACACACAGATGAAATGTTATATTTTTACTGCAGCCTTAAAATGAAGCTTACACAGATCCTCATTAATGAATGCTGCTCCAAGAGACCTAATTCAACACTCCCTGTATCATCTTTAATAGCCCTGCCAAATTGTTGCCCAGCTTCTGCTTGGACTGTCTGATGATGGGGAGTTCTCTACCTTAGAAGGCAGCCTCTTCCATTGTTGGACAGCTCTGGCTGTTAGAATTTTTTCCCAATAGGCTCAAATGTCCTGTAAAGTTTGCCCATTGGCTCTGTACATTCATTAATTCACTTATCAAGCACATAATGAAACCCTAGTTGTATAAGACACTTTGTGCTTGAAATTAAAGTAAAAATAAGGAAGCTTCTATTTCCGAGATCAGTTAGGAAGACAGACAGAAATGCCAGTTATTTCAGTTTAGTATGTAGATTACTGTAATAAAGGCAGCAAGAATCCAGCAAAGGTATCCGCTGGAGTCTGAGAAAGGGCCAGCAGCTGAGTCTGCAGAGAACAAGGGCAAACTATGCAATGTGGCTTCCATAGCTAGGAAGCAGGACAGACCTTCCCCGCAGATGCAGTCTGGCTCCAGGGACCCCAAGCTTGAGGAAAGCCCAGAACTCCATGTGAGTCCAAAAGCTTGCAGTGAAGGAGTGGACCCTCCTCTCTGATTGGGGAACATCTCCAGGATGGACAGCGATGCCTATGACTCATGCACTTCTGCCATCTGTCTCAACACAGCAGCTGGAGGAATACTTCTAAAACATTAGATCATGTCACTCCCCATTATATTACCCTCCACAGGCTCTAGAGCACGCAGAGGAAAAGCCAAAGAGCTTACAGAGGCCAGTGTGGACTACATGATCCTGCCGTCGTTACTTTTCTGCTTGTTCTCTTAATCTTCTGATTGCCCCCTCCTCTCAGCCAGCTTCCTTACTAGAATGCTCCCAACATGCTCCCACCTTAGGGCCTTGACACTGGCTGTTCCTGCTGCCTGAGACACTTTTCCCTGGATATCTGTGTGGTGCACACCCTCCCCTCCTTCAAGTCTCTGCTTAATGTCATCTTAATGAGGCCTCCCTGACCATGCCTTTTAATACAAAAAATTCCCACACCATATCCCTGATTCCCAGCTCTATTTTTGTGTTCTCTTGACAGTTCTTATTTTCTAAAATATCTTATTTGATTTGTTTATTATGTCTATTTTTAATGTTGCCTCTCTACCCTGCTCCATGGATACACACTAGAATGTAAGTCCCTGAGTGTAGAGACTTTTTTTTGTTTTATTCACTGATATATTTCATCATCTAGAGCTGCACCTGACAGAGAGTAGGTACTTTAATAAAAATTTTGTCAAATGAATGAATGTTATCGGGGGAGAGCTCAAACCAAATACTACTTTGATATTAAATTTGTCCTTGATTTATCTTACAGTTTGTGGAGAACCAGAGTTTGGCCAATAATTCACACACATCCACATATATAGCAAACCTCTCTGACTCATTTAAACTCAAGTAGATTTATCCATTGATTCAGTATTTTATTTAAAAATTATTTATTTCATTCTGATAGATGAGCCTACTAATCTTGCCCCAACTTGGTTTCCTTTTTATACACTTATTGCCTTTTATAAGGGCTTTGACTTATGCTACTATGATGTAAAAGGAACCAATGCAATCCCTTTCTGGACAGGCAGGATGACAGCTATTGGGTCCAAAAACCAAGGAGGCCCATGTCTCTATTACCCAGGGTGGCCTGATGCCTGTAATAACTCCACTAGCCATTTCCAAGGCATAAAGGCAAAAAAGAAACCTCTCATTAAGATAAAATATATGAAGTTGAAGGGTCTCATGGGACAAATCCTGTATAAGCAAAAGAGTACTTGAGTGTGAGTCTTTCTTTTTCTTCTCTGAACTTCATGTTTTTCATCTGTTGTCTTAGTCAATTTCTGCTGCTGTAACAAAATGCCTGAGACAAAATACTGGAGGTAGTTTATAAACAACAGAATTGCTTTTTCTTTTCTCACAGTTCTAGAGGCTGGGAAGTCCAAGATCAAGGCAAGTGTCTGAAGAGGGCTTGTGTTCTGCTTCTGAAATGGCACTTTATTGCCGCATCCTCTGGACAGAACAGATGCAGTGTCCTCACAGGATGGAAGGGACAGAAGAGCTGACTAGTCCATTTGAGCCTTATAAAAAAGGGCACCAATCTCATTCATAATCACCTCCAATGGGCCTCACCTCTTAATACCATCACCTTGGAGGTTCAGCTCCAACAAATGAATTCTGTAGAGACACATGCATTCAAATCATAGCATCCATATAGTGGAAACAAGAAGCATATCTACCCCATAGAGTTGGAGTTGTTGTGAGCATTAAATGAGATCATCTATGGTGTGTGCTTAGCAGAGTGTCTGGCTGATAATAAGGCTACTTGTTAGTAGCTCTGATCAGAAGAAGTCAATATGGCACCTGGAGATAGCTTAGTTCCATCAATTCAAAGTTTAGTCCACCTGCATCCTGGCAGTTCAGAAGGAATATTTGCAACATATAGCCCTCTGAGCCCAGAAGCCCTGGCCTTCAGTAGTTAGCACTCTGAAACATAGTCTCCAGGCCTGGGCTTACACGGCTTCTATGCATGAAACTCTGAGCAGTGTGAGATGGTGAATCTGTGTGCATTTGCTCCTTTCTGTTTCTGTCTTCTGAACCTTGCTCATATACGTTTACTGAGAATTCCACTACACACCCAATATTGCCCAGCTGTCTATTTTTAATGTTGCCTCTCTACCCTGCTCCATGGATACACACTAGAATGTAAGTTCCTGAGTGTAGAGACTTTTTTGTTTGTTTTATTCACTGATATATTTCATTCCAGCCTTTTGGGCTTGAAATGAGTTGTGCCATCATAGGCTTGGTATACTCCTTTCTGAGAGGAATCCTGGTTCTACTTTCCCACCAACCTGTACATTTATTTAAACCCCAATAGGTATTTGTTGTAGGTTGAATTCCCAACAAAGCAGATTCTAAGAGTCTAAGACATAGGGTGTTTATTGAGAAGTGGCCTTGGGGTCCACACCTGTGAAAGGGAGGGGCAGAGGGAGAAGTCTAGCTGTGATGCAGTCCCAAGACAGTCTCAGACCACCCTCTGGAAGCTATGGAGATAGGAGGTCCCTTTAGGGTTGTCCTAGTTGGGTCAAGATAGCCATGACTTTATACTCCTGCACTGATCAATCACTGAATGTGGGATCCAGGGGCAGGGTGTGATCCTAGGTACCTTGGGCAGTCTATGAGAGGACCAACAACTGAAGACCCTTCTGCCAGCAAAACTTTCAGCAGCTGAGGCAACAAGTTCTTCACCTAGAGGAAACTATCTACCCAGTATGCTGTCAATCTTACTGGGCTTTGGCCTAGATTTTTTATTCAGTGTACTAGTTATTTAAGCCTACCTCAAACACTAGCTTATTTGGCTATGGCCCAAAAACTGTCCAGTTCTTTCTGACCTCTCTCTTTGGGAAACAGAATCACCATCCTGGCTCATTGACTGGTGTGAGGCTCTGACTGGAATCATCTCTTCAGACCTCAATGCCAGTACCTGTTGGATTTTGGTCATCGCTGGCTGCTTAGAAAGTACAGCTCGCTTTGTCAGCTGGGACCTCCTTGGACACTGACCCTAGCTAGGATAAAGCTTAATTTCCATACTCATGGACTCCATGCAGTGGGCCCCACTCAGGTCACAAGGACTCCATAATCAAGTCAAAATCTTTGAACCTTGTCTCTGGTCAAAGGGACTAAGTTTAGGTTCCTTTCACCCCAATATTTTTACAAAATAACAATATAAATTATAATAATATCAACCCCTCTCATTTTTATGATACCTTTTAATTTGCAGAGTGCTTTTTCATCTGTGCCTTCAGTTTTGTGCAGAACACTCCTGGAAGATAGGCATTATTCCTGTTCCCCTTCTCCAGCTGAAGTTCAGGGTGACTGAGTGACTTGGAGCATTGCCCCATAAGTGAAGTTGGGAACTAAATTCAAGGGCTTTGAATCCCAATTCTTCATGCCCTGCCTACTTCCTGCTGCTTCAGTCACCTCAGCTTTGTGTCCTACCCACTCTCTCCTCTCCTTTACTCTTTCATTTCCTCTGCTCAGTCTCCTTTCTTCCTGGTCTAGCTGCAGGCAGAAACTCTTCTGAAGATGCCAGGTTAAATAAAAGAACAGCTTTATTTATTAAGTTCAGCAAAGAGGAGTGGAGGGGAGGGATGTCAATGGTCATGTGCATTTAACAAGAAAGCCTATAGAGGGGCTTGTTTAACACAAAGACTTCACAGTTGTAAGAAAAAGGCCAACAAGCCCCTCCACATTCCCTCAAGCAAGTGACCAGGCAGCATGACTAGGCAGGGTCAGGCTGGGCATTCCAGTCCAGGAAGACTTAGGTTCAAATACAATCCACTCTTCCTACTTAAGCTTTGTGACTTCTCTGAACCTCAGTTTTCTCATCTGTTAAGTGAGGTTAATATTCCAGATAATGCATGTGAAGCACCGAGCACATTGCCTCCTATGCATCTGTAGCTTAGAAAATGGAAGTTCCTCCTCCTTCTTCCTCTGCCACCCCTTCCTGCAGCCCAGCAGGGAGTGATGAGAAGATGGCTTGAACTAGGTAGAAAGAGCAGAATATTCTCAGACCTTGGCATGCTTGTTAGGCTTGTGAGAGGAGCAGAAAAGGGAGAAGGGGGCATGTGGTATGAGGAGAGGTGGGGAATACAAACCTAGTTAGCCATTAGGCAGATGCTGGGTCACACTAGGATCTTTGTAGGACACAGCTCGGTTTTTATTTTAAGTATAAGGAGAAGCCACTAGAGGTTTGAGAACAGGGAAGCAATGCGATCCAGCTGTCGCTATAAGATCATTCTGACTAATGGTGGAAATGTTTACAAGTCAAGCCTCCTTTCCTATTATATCAGCTCTTCCAGGACAGGAAATAGGATTTTAACTTTTTTTTCTTAGATAGTTTGTTAGCATATTAGTTTTCAAGAACTGCTGTACTAAAATACCCTAGGCTGGGTAGTTTAAGTAATAGAAATTTATTTTCTCATAATTCTAGACACTAGAAATTCAAGATCAAGGTGTCGGCAGGTTTGGTTTCTTCTGAAACCCCTCTCCTTGACTTGGAGATAGCCACCTTCTTGCTATATCCTCACATGGTCATCCCTCTGTCCTAACATCCTCTTCCTATAAGGACACCAGTTATATTGAATTAGGGTCCACCCCGAGGACTCCATTTTAACTTAATTACCATTTTAAAGGCCCTATTTCCAAATACAGTCACATTCTGAGGTCATAGAGGTTAGGACTTAAACATGTGAATTTTGGGGGTCATATAATTCAGCCCATAACAATTACTGAGTTAGTTAGTTGATTACTCAGTCATTTAGTAGACTGAATAACACAGCTAAAATAAACTGAGTTTGTGAATATTGGCTGGTGTCAGGCTCTGACTGGAATGATCACTTCAGGCTCTGACTGGAATGATCACTTCCGTATTGTGTAATGCAGTGTTAGGCACACATCAGGAACTCACTAAAGGTTTGTTGAATAGATTCAGGTGTTTGGCATAGCCGTATAAAAAACATATAAAGGAAAGCTCCTTTTGATCCATATACTTTGGTGCTGTATGCATAATGACTGTGTCCTGAGACCAAGGATAGACTTTCATCCAAAGAGTTTCAGGTACCTACAAAACTTCAAGCTCAGTCAAAAATTATTACCTGGTATAAGAGGCTCATTCACTGCATCCCTGACTGGAAGCCCACAGCCACTGCTTGAATAGCACCAGGGATGAAGTCCATCACCTCAATGGGGAGCCCATTCCCTCCAGCTCTGGGTACAAAAAGAGAAGGGATAGCAAACATAAATGCCCAGGACTCAGGGAAGAAAAATTACTTGAGTAAAAGGATTGAGGCAGTGGGGTAATAGAAGGGGAAGACATCTATAGTTCTTTAAGGGTAGCAGGGATCACTCATCTCTAGCTAATATTCTCCATGAAGAAACATGTGGCCCTGTAATCAGACTTCCCAATTTATCCAAAGGACCAAGAATTCTAGGTTCTAATGTGAAATATCCTGAACTTTATAAAATCTGACTAGTTTAAACTAACAACAAAAACAACAATGATAAAAAAAAATAGACCAACAAAGAATATCTAGAGCCCAGATATTTTCATGGGTCACCATTTGGAGATTTCAATTCAGAATCATTTCTAGACTATATGGTACTTCTGTGCAAATCTAAAAAAAAAAGGTGTCACCTCTAAGCAGATGCATGGTTTCAGGAACAAAATAAGGCTGAGATTTTAATCCTCAATCATCCCTCAATTGGAACTTTGTGAAGCACATAAACTGTCCAATAATATGATTCTCTTTGGGTTATGATGTTGAAACCAACATATCTATTGGTCCTAATTCTGACAGATTATAAAACCACACAGTGCCCTTGCCTCTCCCCTTTTTATTACCAATCACACTTCAAATTACTCATTCAAAGTTCATCTTTCTAATTAGATCACAAGCTCAAGGCAGGTAGGAAATCTCTGGTTCCCTAGTTCATCCTCAGTAATAAACACAGCATCTGGCACAGCAAAGGCATCCAACAAATATTTATTCAGTAACTAAGAAAAAATAAACACAGAACAAGTCATCCCCCTTTTCAGATTTGAGAGAATCACAGATTCGAAGTCAGTTATTATAGCACCCTGGTCTTCTCTATACCAAATGTGCCCAGTTCTTTTACTTATTCTTTATAGGGCCTGGGTTCCAGACGTCTCACCATCCCGGCTAGTTTCTTCAGGACGCAGTCTAGTTCCTCAGTGGTATTTCAAAAATGTGGCTCAACACTTCAGTCTGTGACTCTAGTTACCAAAGGAATGGGAACTCAGGTTTACTCTATTAGGCATCTGATAATTTCTTCAATCTATGAAAAAACCCTCAGGCAGAAATCATTATACCATTTTCTCAAGAAGAAATGAAGGCTTCTGGAAGTTAAGTAAATTGTCTAACCAAAGTCACATTGTTTGTAAGCAGAGGGACTGGGATTCAAACTTAGATTGTCTGACTCCCCAAAGCCATGGTCTTTCTACTATGCCAGGCTTCACTGTTCCGTCAAATTATATTTAACTGCCAAGTTAGAGACTGTCTTGGGTCCAAATATCTCAAGCATGAATGAGCTGAAATTTTCCAAGCATGAAGGGTCAGACCAGGTAGCTGGGTCCATTGAGAGCACTGCAGCAGGCCACTCCATTGAGAACCAGGTGTCAGCCTCAGAAAGGGAAAGATGTCTTGGGCCAGGACAGCTGAAAGGATGTTTATGGGAAGAAAACCTGGCGGAGATTAAATCCTGTGCACCCACAACCCCCATGATCTCAGACTGCTGTTTATGGCCAGAACAGCAAAAAGCCAAACAGAAACTTTTTTCTTTTTCCTGGTAATAGCTTTTGGGATTTATCTTAGGACAAAGAATAAAGGTTCCTGACCTGGGCTAACTGCCACTCTCCTACCCCTCATCCTCTCAAAAAATAAATAAAAAATTAACTTAACCCCAAAATGAGGGCAGACAAAGGCCAAACATGTCAACTTTTCAATCTCAGCTTAGTTTCCACCTTGGGTTCTTTAGGGGTTGTCAATGACTTAATGAAGTATTTAAATTTGGGGGTGATTGTTGTCATTCTGTCTTGTTATGAAGGACATTTCAAAACAGCTTGGAAATAAGAGGGAGGCCAGAATTATTCTTTTTTGTAGTTCAGTCATCTTTGAACAAGTTCCCAAAACCTCAGCTGGAAAAAAATCAAGATAATGTTTGCAAAGCCAAAGAACATATCTTCTCTTGTTTCCAGTCTTATTTTTATCTATGAAAAATTTACAGTTAAGACAAGCACATTAAAAAGAGAACAATTGTTGCAGGAGCAAATTAAAAAACAGAATAGACAAACTACTTCTGATTCCATCTTCCTTACCCAAGTACTCTGCCTTTGTGTTTATTTCCTTCCCATCTTTTTTCTTCTGCATGTAACCAGGTTGTGATCATTCTGTCTATATAATACTAGTTTGAGTCTATATATTTTCAATGAACATTATATCATAAACTTTTAAAAACTTACAATCTCTATCATAATTGATAGCTGTATAATATAGTTTGCTTCTTGACTCTAGCATTTAAGCTGCATTTTATTAATGCATTAGATTGCTATTGTTAATGTAATAGATTGCTGGCAAACTAGTTATTGCTTAAATTTAGTTGTTCTTAAAAACCAGACATTTAACCAAATAGGCCTTATTTTATAGGGATCTGTAAATTATACAGAATGCTGATTAAAGAAGAATTAAATTATAGATTACTTGCATTAGAAGAGGATATCGAAGTCATTTAAGTCAAAATTTCAATTGATGATGTTCTCTTTTGTGTTTATGGTAAAAGTGCTCAATTATGAGACACTCTTTCCTACAGAGGCAGCCAGTTCTGTCTTGAACAACTGTGATGTCTTCCTATCTGTAACTTCCTCACTGGGACAAGAAAAAATAAGTTTCCCATAAGAGATCATCACTCTTAAAGGATTGAGGCAGTGGGGTGATAGAAGGGGAAGACATCTATAGTTTGTTAAGGGTATTCCCTTTAAGAAAGCAGTCCCAAAAGTCTCTTGATTTGTATCTAATCATGCAATACATATTAATCAAGGGCCTCCTATATGTCTCACACTTTCCTAGGCACTAGAGATAGAATAGAGAACACAAGATGCATGGCCCCAGCCTTCACAGAGCTTTGATTCCTGTGTAGACTTGGTTTGGAAAGTAAAAGTTACATCAATGGATACCTATCCCAGACCTGAGTGATGAAGAAGGAAGTCCAGAGAAAATACCACTGAAGCTGAAGTGAGAAGGTTGAGTTAGCTAGTTAAAAAATGTGGTAGGTGTTTTAGGCAGAGGAAAGAGTGCATGCAGAGCCCATAGTAGAGAGGCTAATCAGAGATGCAATCCAGGGATGCAGGCAGCATGGGTCTTGCACATGCACATTTTGATAAAGCTTTTCATTGGTGATTCTCTGGCTAATTAGAGCGGCAAATAATGTTCTAAGACTACGAAGCCATAGGGGTTAGAAAAACTATCTAGAGATGATCTAGATCGCTATTTCCCAGAGTGTTTGCTGAGGAGCATTGGTTACTTGGGTGATAAAGGTATGTACTGGGATAAAAGACTTCTGTGTTCAAATGTATTCCAGAAAAACAAGGTTAAATGAAGACAAATAGACGTATTCACTGCAGAAGTTTTTGGAACTTTTCACAGGCACATCAGCATTGTCATTCTTTAAGGGGCATTGTTACATGCAGGGTTTCTAAACATATTATACCATAATATAACTTCATGTTAAGTATCTAATGGGACTTAGTTTCCCTTGAACTTTCTTTGGGGACTGCAGATATAGACCAATCCTAGATTTTTACAAATGAGGCAACTGAAACCTAGAATGGGAAAATAACTTCTCCAAAAGGACACAGAGAAAAAGAATGGCAACCAAGTTCTCGTGACTCTCAGATCCTTGGATGCTCCAATATAATTTAATGTCTCACAGTCATCCAATTAATGTCAGTATAAGCTGGTTTTTGGCATGTACTGGAAGCCTACAATGTGCCTATTGCATTTTATGTGTAATATTGTGAAATGTTCACCACTGCCCTGAGAAGTTCTCTTCTGGCTGCAAAGAATTTGATTAGACATGTCTACCTGGATTACAGCTATCCTCTGCCATGAGGGCTTCTTCCTACTCATTCCTGATGGCTGTACTTAGGCCCTATATCCTATCAGATCTTTCCTTGATGGACCTGCTGTTCAGACAGCATTGTAAGACTAGTGACAAATGGGCTCTGGATTCAGGATACTCCAAAGAGAAGTGGACGTAGTAGTCATTTAGTCTAATTCCTCAGATAATAGAGGACAGCCATCCTCTTTGTAAATATTTGCAGGAATAGGGAGCTCATTACCTCTACTCATTCTGGGTCTGGATGGCTTCCAGAAGGAACAATTATATAAGCCCTGTACAGAGACCAGTCAGAAACCAAGTGTGGAGCTCCTTCCACTTGAACATCAGAGGCATATGGCTGTTGGATGGAAATGTGCAGCTTCAAACACCACCACCTGCTTTTCTCCTTTCCTCTGACTGCACTGCAGAGAAGATGACGGGAACCTACACTGGGAGTTTAGTGTTGGCAGCAAACAATCATCATATTTCACTTGAGGAGCAAAGAGTTTCAAGATGATTTGTTTAAAGAGAAGCAGCCATGGATTTGGCTTTGATTGCTCTTAATTCTCTTAATGAGAAAATCTATAAAGAGCACCAGGAGGAAGAGAGATTTTTATTGTCTTTCTTTTTTTAATGACAAAAAGAGACATCATGAAGAGTGAAGGGGGCTTTCTTGTGGGTGCCAGGGTCTATTTCCCATAAGAAGAGGCTGGCTAAGCCCCAGCTCCCTAGGAAGGAACTCATGAGAAAACGACGCAGTGGGGGAACAATAAAACTTCCAGGGAAGGGTGTGTGTATTCAGAGGGAAAAGAGGAGCAGCTGAGGGAACAAAGAGCTCCTGATGAAATCAAGATTTGTGTGTGGCTTAAGTATGGGGCCTCGGGACAGGCGAGACTGTTTGGTGAAGGAATCTTCTTCAGGAAAATATGGGGAGCTTGCAGACACCGTAAATTTACACTATAGCTTATTCTAAACCTAATAATCACACTGTAAGAGGTGGCAGTAGCTCCCTCAAAGGAAGGTCCAAGAGGCAAGGTTGATTTATGTCCCTGTGTTTGTCAGCAGCCAAGGTGGCCACACCCTTCCTGGGCCCTGATTTTGTGGACAACTGTTTGCTTCTCTAGTGCCTGTGGATTCTCACCTCCCTGGCTGCCTTCAAGTTCCATCCCAGAACAAGGTCATGTCCATTAATCAGCTGTCATAGGCCTGGGAGAGAGCTTACAGTTTCCAGGCCTGGCTTAGTCCTTGCTGATCTTGTCCTAGGCCCAGCCTAAAGGGACATTTCGAGCCAAGGAAATCAGCTTGCTGTCAGTGAACTTGCAGAATGTTAGGGCCAAAGGCACCTCTGGAACAATTACGTTGTTGGACCAATTAACAGATGAGTAGACGGAAGCACAGCTGGGGAAAGTGACTTGCTCAGGTTCACATGGTTGCCAAGAGCCAAAGCCAGATGTTCCGAATCTCATGCCAGCTCTTTCCTGGGCTTGTGACAGACAAGGGCCAAGTGTGAATAGAGAATGCTGTGCTGCCTTCTTGTCATGCACCCCATGTCCACATAACGCACATACTGAGACAAACTCAGCTAGAGCTGGGGGAGGATCATGACACCAAAGCCAGCCTCTGCTTCAGATGATCAGACCACCCCAGGGACATCTTCAGAGCAGGATCACACAGAAAATGAAGTAGTTATCAACAACACCAGCTGGATAGGCTCCTGGCTTCCTGATATGCAGTTTTCTTTAAATATTCCTTTTATGATGTGACTTTTCTAGTCAAGAACTTTCAGAAGCTCTTCATTGCCCAGAATATTAAGCTCCTCTATCAGCCTAGGTTTAGTCAGGAAGATAGAGCCTCTGGGACGTTATGGGAATATAGGATTTAAAACAGGAATTAGGATTCACATCCCAAGTCCTCAGTAACAGAAAGGAAGATTCTGGAAGTCAGTAAGTGACCACTCTAAGTAGATAACATGGGCCTCAGAGTGGATGCTCTTAGATTGTTTGGCCTCAGCCAATAAATAGCCAACAGGCATGTGGACCGTGAATCTAGCTGGTCTTGTTCATAACCTGGATGTCAACACCTAAAAATGAATTGGTACAAAATCAACTACATCTATAAATCCTTGTTATGCGCCAAGACCTTTGTCAGGAGCTTGGGAAGGTACAAAAGTGAATGAATCATGGACTTAATAACATTCTTTTATTCTTGAAACATTTTCTTTGATGACCCTGAATTGTGTAACACTTGAGTTACTCAGTTATATCAGGCACATTTCACTAAAAGTCATCACATTTTTTTTTGTTATATCTTGAAGCATAACTTTGCCAAGGAGGGAGGGAATTATGAAAGGCATAATTGGACACTTTAAGTATGTGAAGTTTATTGTATGTCAATTGTACCCCCAGGAAAGTTGTGGTAAAAAACTTAGTTGCTTTCTAAATTTACTCCATGAACTTAGCTTGTTCATTGTGACACACGTGGAATTCGTTCCCTTTCATCTTCTTTTTGCCTAAATCATTGTTTCTTATGTGGGCTTCTGTGATATTTCCATTAAGTGTGGGTAGAAATAACTATCCACATATTTTTATGTAGTACATACTAAGTATTGTTTGAGGTCTTTCAGGTCAATGGATAAAAAATATAGACAGTAAAGTTCTGGAAAGTCTTAATTTCCCTTCATAAGTCTTTTCACCATATTTTCACTTGTATTGCCTAGAGCTTAACCTTGATTATAATATGGAATCTCTGTAGACAAATGAATGTGCACACATACACATTTCTTTAGTCTTTAATTTCTGTGAATATTATATCTTTAATATTAGCCATGTGGAAACCCAGAATTCAAAGAGAATTATACTGTTCTGAAGAGCAAAGGATAAAATCTATTTACTCCCCTTCTTTCTTACTCTACCAACGAGGGATATGGCTTTATTTCCTTAAATGCTGTTTCTCCTGCTAATTGTTTTAGAATGCTTCTATGATAGCCTCTGTTTTTCTCATGAGTAATATTTTATCACCCCCTAAGGAACTTGTTTTACATTCTCCAATAGGTAGTCTGGAAAGATAAGAAATATTTTGAATCAAAATGACTTAATTGCTAGGGTACTACCTTAAATGTCAGAAGAGAATATCAGAAGTCATTCCACTTACCTTCTAATTTTTATGGGAGTTGTCATGGAATTGGCAATGGGATATAATTGGAAAGGTATTAGAGAAACTACTGGACTATTTTGTGGGATCTCATTTACAAAATCTCTGTGAACGTTCTTTCTCTGGGATTGTTTTATAACCAGGTGCCAGTTATAGTTTACACTTATGATATCAGCTAAAGCTTCAAGGCAAACACTTTCCTAAGGTTTAGAAAGATAGACCAGTCTCTGTTTTCCTTAAATTACTCTGGGACCCAGTGAGGAAATAATGACAGGGGAAGAGGGTCATAGTCATACTCCCTGTGCCTATGGGGACAAAACCCTTTTCCATGTGGTCACCACATTCTTGGGGTGGTATTCATGCATCAAACCAACACCTATCAGCACCTGTTATGTCCATGGCACGCTCTTAGTTGCAGTAAGGATGGCTGGAGGTTCTTGTAGCTGACTAGGGAGGGCAAGGTGCTGCTTTAGATTGGATAGCCCAAGAATTAGATCTTGAGAAGTGGAGATGAGGAAAGGGCAGGTAAGACAGAGAAGGGAAGGAAGCCAATGTCAGTTATTGAGTGGGTCACTGCTGTAGGTCTCGGCCAATCAGCACATTTCCACCTCCTTGCTGTTGTGATTGTTCAGAGATGGGCACTTGGCTTAACTTGGTCTAATCTGTAACCCCAATTGTTTGTTAGTCGGGGAAGTGAGTCTCTGGACATTAAGCAAGGAAGAACATAGACCCAAGTGCAATTGGTAGACATCTCGTGACCATGGAGTCAACCTTAAGATGAAGCTGAACTGTGGATGGTAGAACAAAGATGTAGAAAGAAACTGAATATTGGTGATTTCTTGAACAAACCTACCTTAGGACTCTTCCTTTACAGGAGCCAAAATACTGCCTTGTTGCTAAGCTAATTTGAGTTGACTTTTCTGGTACTTCCTACATAAAGACTCTTAACAGAGATATTGATAGTGTATACAAAGTATTTGGTGTAGAAACTGACATATAATAAGTGAAACATAAATGGTGCCTATAATTACACAAAATGAAGTGATAAACAGAAAAATTCAATCTTACGTCAACCTCTCAAAATTGTGTGTTTTCATTTGTATATACACTTGTACATATGTATGTACATATGTACGTACAAGTGTACATACACGTGTACATATGTACGTACATATACATATGTACACACATGAGCCTGAACCTCAGGCTGTATACATGTACATATATAAAGACATGTAGAGGAGAGTACATGATAAACACTACACTGCCAACTCAACCAGCCAAGCACTGTCCAACTCAACCAGCCAAGCTGCAGAGAATGAAATTCTTCGACATACCACTAAGTCAATAAGGACCTATCTGGTAGAACATCAGGCTCCCATCTCTCCCATTAGGTGTAATTAATCTTGCAACCAAGGACATGGTGGAAGCTCCTGCCCACCTAATCCCACTGCAAAGGCCCATGTCACAGGTCTACTTCTCTCAGTTCCTGCTTGGCCTTCTGTTCCCTGTTGTCTGAAGCTCCAGCCTGAATCCAGCACAGCTGATTACGGCTCTGGCAACTATATCATCCTTTTCCAGTTGTTTTACCCATGAAACCAGTTAGGATCATTTTTTTCATGCATGCACATCCTTTTCCCACGGTGTGTCCACTATGCCAGGTTGGCTGGGGTTAGGGGTAACATTGTGCTAAGAAGTAGTGATCTTCCATAATTGTGGGGGTAGTATCTGCTCTTCCTGAGTCCTCGAATAGTTTTCAGTTCTCTGAATTGCTGCTTGTCAAGATAGTTTGAAAATAAAGCATTCCCCACAGCTATTGTCCCTGGCACTACCACCAATGCCCCAAGTAGAAGGGAAGACCTGAGGTTCAGAGGTTCTTCTCACTTGGCTTGTCTCCATGAAGAAGAGACAGTTGGCACCTACCACCAGGATTGTTCTGCAGTCTCCCCCTGGCATCCCCATCTGGCACCCATGCCCAGAAAAAATCTCTCGCTTCTCTATATCCAAGATCTTCCCTATTTCCCAGTGCAGAACAATTGGCAATTCAAATTCTCATGGTATTCTCCATTGCTTCTAATAGAAAATTAGAAAAAAGAATAGTCTGAAATTGTTACATTTCTTCCATGGTTTAAGAGATCTTCCGTGACAACTTTATTGTATAATTATATATAAATGTGTCTGCCCCTTTCTCTGGACAGAAGGACTTTGGCAGCAGGAATTGCAGTCTCTCTTGTTTATACCTATACTCCTAGCTCCTGATTTGGTATGTGCTACATAGCAGAAACTCAATCAACATTTTAAAGATAAATAGCAAAATAGGTAGATGGATGTGTGGATGGATGGATGGATGAATGGTTAGATGGATAGGTGACTGGATGATAAATTAATAAATCCATAACTGACCCAGGAGTCAAAATAATGCCTCATGGGGCAAGTCCTTTGAGCTAGAAAAGAATAAGAAACGTTGGTATTATTTACTACAGCCTAAAAGATCTTCTCATATCTTTGATCTTATTGATCATCCCAACAATGGTAATGGTGATGTTATTATCTAGTTTACAGATGAGGAAACCAAAGTCCAAAGAGGTTAAAGAAGTTGCCTGAGTCACCAACTAGGTACTGTTCCTCGCTAGGTCTAAAATCAAGTCCTATGTATCAAAGCCCAGACTGTTTCCACCACTGAGCTGCCTCTTACAAGAGAGAGTGGAAAACCTCTAAATTCTTGAAATAACATTAAACATTTCATAGAAATAAATGTTTAGTGTGTAGATTAACTATTTGATGGTAATATGAAAGAGTACAGAGAAAAATGAACATAGGAATAAAATGAGTTATTGCAGAAGAAATACACATTTGTATTTAATGTGATTTTACTTTCTTTTCTTTCCTTCATAAACCACCAACTTGCAACAATTAGGTTGTAGTTATAGGCAGCTTAGAGAAGGATGTTTTGAATTAACAACTAAATTGTCAGGTTTCTTTGTGAAGCATTTTATTGTCGAGTACACTTGGAGGGAATCAGTCCCAGGGGAAGCCTATTTGCCATTCATTTCACTCTGTTGAACAGATGACTTGCCCACAAAACATTCCTTCCTTTATTCTCTCCAGCCCTCGACACTCCAGCCATTTTCTTGGGCCACCAGGACTGTGCACAATATTCTCAGAATGGGAAGGGACCTTAGGAAATGGCTAGTGTGAGTCCTTATCTACGCAGGAATCCTTCGATCTCCTAAAATGAGGTCACACAAATTCTGCTTGATCACTGAGCATAATAGGGTGAGTGTGGAGAAGTGGTAGAAGTTCAAATTCAAGCTTTTCCCTAGCTCATCACTAGCTCTGGGATCTCAGATAAGTTCCATAACCTCTCTCACTTTTCATTCTTTCATGTCAGTATTCAGGACTTGGGTGAAGACTTTATGATCAAAAACATACAAAAAGCCTTGTACAGACCCTGGCTCATGGTCGGTGCTCAATAAATGGTGGTATTCCATTTCTCCCTGCCTTTATTGTTAGAACCCTTAAAATGTTGTGGGAATGTTTTCCTTTGTAGCTTTCTAGTTCTGGTTTCTCTGACCATGAGGAGCAAGTCTTCCTCATGTTCACCTTTCAAATATTGGCAAATAGTTCTCACTGCCCTCCCATGCCACCTTTTCTTCCACACAAAACAGCCTTGGGCTCTTCAGCTCTTTCTCACCTGGTGTGGTTTGTCATCCCCACTGTATCCTGGGCTCCTTGATCTGCATGCATCCTGCTTTGCCAGTGATCCTCTCACAAGGTCCCAATTCCAATCAGAAGCTATGAGGATGGGGAAGTGTCTCTTCTTCTTCTCTTCTTCTACCCCAACTTCAGATTCTTTGCACCTTTGTAAGTTCCTGACTCACCTACTCACTGATGGCCCAGGGTAGGAAAGGCTGTGTTGTTGGATTCAGACCAGATACAAGAGAAGATATCGAGAGGAAGGTAGGTCTTCAGATGTCCTTGATGTGACCTCACATGTGTAACTTCCTCTGTGTCCCCACAGCATCCACCCTCCCTCCCATGTTTACTGGAGAGGGACTCATATTCCCTTGTTCTCTTGTCTTCTGATGATGATGATGTTAAGGATAATTTTACTTCTCCAAGGACTTCTGAGTCCCCAGGACACATGAACACAATCTGTGGATGAGCAAGGACCTGTGTTCACACATGTAAATGACCCTTGATTCCTCATAAACATCAGAAGTTATTGCCAAGAAAGGCCAGTAGTTGGGGTATCAGCCAAAGTGGGTCCTGCTCCATTCCCATGCCAATTATTGATGCATTTGTCAAAAGCTAAGGCAATGATCAAAATCACAAATATGGGCTGAAATCTTTAAGGTGTATCCAAAGCATCTGAATACCTAAAAAGATTTGTGATAAACTGTGGGCAGATTTCTGAGATTTCAACAGCTCTTACTCTAATGTCTGATTTATTTATTATTAGAAAATCAAAGAACTCAAATACTTTATGCTAATGAAATCTCCAGGCCAAGTCTTTAAACATGTAAACTTAAAAGAGAATTAAAGGGAGAGGCATCTAATTTGGCAGCAACTCAAGTATATAAGTTCAGAACCAGGCCCAGAAAAGCATGGGCTAACTATTAGGAGGCAGCTTGTTACAAAGCTGAGTCACCCATGATGCATAGTCAGAGGTGACTGGGGGCAGAGGAGAAACATCAGGCAGGTGCACACTGACATAGTTCCCTTTGCCTTCTTTCCCCCAAGAGCCAGGGTTTGGAGACTAGCTTGTTTCTTCATGCAGGTTATGTAGAAGGGAGCAGACTGGAGACCTGTACTCAAAAATATTGTTTTGCAAACCCAGGGGATTGAAAATCCAACCTTTCTTCAAAATCATTTTGGGTCATTTGGTGAGTGAAAACTCTGAATTAAAGACTGAGTTTTGGAAGTACTCTAGTAGTACATAAAACTTCTGTCTCAGGATAGAAGAGAAAGCAATGCTTTCACTGACTCTGAGCACAACCTGAACCTCAGGCTGAAGATAGAGAGGGTGTACTGACTGGGTACAGAATCTGTGGATGGCTAAAACACAGTGGGATATGACAGGTTATTCCAAGGCCATTGGAGCCAAAGTACCCCCCATGGCCTGTGCCAGCATGTCATATGGAAGTTGTCTTTTTAAGTATCATTTTAAAACATTTTTTGTCTTTTCATGGGAGGTAAGGCATCATATTCTAGAATGAGCTAACAAATGCTTCATTAGGAAACTAACTTTTTTTGGATCCCTTACTTTTTAACGCATATCTCATGTATGTTCTCACAATTAATCCTTACAAAATCCAACCCACTAGATCAAATTTATTGCTCCTCTTTTTCCCCAATGAGAATACCAAGATGCGAAATGTCTCAGAGTGACCTTCTCAAGATCACAGGGATTGGTCACTGAATCCCGAATCATTTCCTTCTAGACAATGCCACTTGGCAGTGCCCTACAAAGGCTTGAGTCCCAAGAAGAGACAACCTGGAGTAGGGAAAAGAACTTTAGACAGATCTACATTCAAAATGTAAAGTTTGTTAAACTCACCAGCTATGAGAACTGGGGCAAGTCACTTCACCCTATATCTCAGTTTTTCCATCTGGAGAATAGAAAGAATCATCCCTTACTTTACGGAGTTGTTGTGATGACCGAATGAGGTGACCACACGAGAATGTTCTGCACGTGCTTAGTGTATATGGTTGGTGCTTAATATAAACACACTGAATCTCATTCAGGCTCCAGGCAGTAATTTCAATAAGGAAGCTAAGAGAGAGGTGCAAGAAAGGGATATGGGGCATCGCAATTGGAGGAGGGCTCTGCCCAGAAGTGTCTGTGAATGTAGATCAGAAGCATGTTTTGCCACTTTTCCAGCTTGGTAGAGATCAGATATCCCACTGTGCGTGATGTCCGAGGGAGAACAAATATAGATGCCCTCATCTTTTCTGAATCATTGATTGCATTTGTCTTGTGAAAAATTCTATTGCTGTCTTTATGGCAAACTGAAAAAAAGTATTTTTGCTCCTCGTTTATCCAAGAATAACACAATCCCCCCGCAAATAGCTATTTTATTATGACCGCAATCAAAGCTGAAAACAATTTCATTTTCCTCCTTTGAGGTCTTCAGAAACAAGTTTAATTTCATAATAAAGTGAGGCCGCACAGGGTTTGTTTCTTAGAGACAGCAGACAGGGGTATGAAGCCAGAGATCCAGGAGTTAGAGCTGGGCCTGTGTTGGGGTGGGGGGCTTTTCTCCAACCTGTGCTCCAGATGGCTTGGAAAGCATTTCGAAAGCCATTTGCTGTGCTTTTTCCCCGCAGGCTTTGACCAAACAGGAAGGCAGAGCAGGGATTCACTTCACTTGGAAGCAGGAAAAGGGAAAATATTCATTCATGCAGGAGAAATCTTGAGCTTCAGCAGGCCATGGTGGGGCTAAAGGACTTCCCAGAGAGGGAAATGGGCACCTCTCGGTGCTGGCAGCTCAGTTGCAAGGCTCTGCCTATGGCCTTCAGCCTGGAAAACAACATTTCCACTTCCACTGCCCTAAACCAGACACCTGAGTCATCCTAGATATTCCCATATCCCCACATGTCTTTAGGTGTTATGTCTTCTTATTTCTCTCTTGAGAGCTTCTTGAATTCACCTGTATCCTTTCACCCACTGCTGCTCCCCTTGCTCAGACACTATTATCTTGCTCTCACCTGAACTATTACAACAGTCCCTGACTGATCTCTGCTTCCACCTTATCCCCATCCATTCTTCCTCCACATCACTGGGTCTCCCTTATATTTTATTTATGTAATTAAATAATTATTAATATAGACAGGGTCTGGGTATGTCATCCAGACTGGTTTAAAGTGGCACAATCTTGGCTCACTGCAGCCTCAAACTCCCGGGCTCAAGAGGCCCTCCCACCTCAGCCTTCTGAAAACAGGACTACAAGTGGATGCCACCATGCCAGGCTAATTTTATTTTTTATTTTTTTAGAGACAGGGTCTCACTTTGTGGTCCAAGCTAATCTAGAACTCCTTGCCCTAAGTGATCTTCCCGCCTCCACCTCCCAAAGCTCTGAAATTGCAGGCACGAGCCACTGCACCCAGCCTCTACCTTGTATATTAGTTCCCTACTTAAATCCTCCAATGTCATTCAGTTACCTTGAGCATTAAGTTCCAATTTCTTAGCCTGGTACATAAGACTCTCCATTACTCGGCCTCTGCTTACCTCTTGAGCCTCATCTTCCATCATCTCTCCACCCTTTGCAACCTAAACTCCAGTCTTGCTCAGCTATTGACACTCGAAGCATGCCTCTACTTACTGGCACTTGGTGCTTTACCTGAAATATTCTCCTTCCCTTGGCAGCCAGAGGAATCCTTACTGTCAAAATCCAGCATCTCCTACTTCGAGAAACCAACCTGGGTCCTCCTCTGTATACACCCTTCAGACTGTTCTATTTTTATTTGCTTATATACTAGTATTATCTATTTGATTAGTACCTCCTTGAGTCAGGCACTTTCATATCTGACTGGTCTTTGTGGTCCCTTGTGACCAACACACTCCTGGAATGTTATGGGAGGGAGGTAATGAAGGAAGGAATGACAAAAGAAAAGGAAGGAGGAAGGGACAGGACAAGAGAAAGAAGAAAGAAGGAAACAGGCAGGCAGGCAAGAAAGGAGGGAGGGAGAGGAAGGAAGGAAGGAAGGGAGGGAGGGAGGGAGGGAGGGAGGGAGGGACGGAGGAATGGAGGGAAAGACTGCTCAACCTACCAAGACATCTCTTCTTGGTTTCCCAGAGATCTTTCCACTTGGAGATATAAAACATAAACTTATATAGAACTCTGGGCTGTTAATAAAACAGCAAAGGAAAGTGTGCATGTGTGTGTGAAGTGTGTGTATGTGTGTGCATGTGTGTGTGCATTCCCAAGTGCTTGCACATGTGGGCTGTGTGATTTGAAGAATGGTGGGGCTGGTACTAACAAAAAGCCTAAATATTGATGCATAGAAGGAATTATTCTTTTCTAAGACTTTCATAAAAATGGGTCTAGATTCTCATTGACATATTTTCCAGCATTTTGTGATGAAAGTTCACAGTGTAGAAAAGTTGGAAAATTGTACTGTGAACACTTATATACCCACAACTTAGATTCTACAATTATAATTTTATAATATTTGCTTTATTATACACTTATTGATCCATTCATCCATTCCTCATCCATGCATAAATTTAACTTTTACATGCATTTCAGAATAAGTTCTAGACACCAGTAGTTTACATTCCTTAGCCTTCAGCATACATGCCATATGACCATTAGATTTGTTTGTAATCCCCTCTTCCTCCAAAATGGTTCTTGATCAAAGCAAGAATATATTAAGACCCTTCCCCCAAAATTGCAAAAGACAAAAGTTAAGCACTAAAAAATAAAGGGATAATAATGGGAGAGGAAAAAATTTTATCCAAAATTTCTGGTGAAGAAAATAACAGCAAGTAAATGCAAAAAATACCTCTGAGTTCCTAGAAACCAAAAATTATATTAAGTATTGGCTTTAATATTCTTGTAACTGCTCTAGTAGGGACAAATTTTTCCAAATTTTGATACTAGGAATTGGTCAGAGGAACATAGGTAGAAAGGGTGCTTAGTAATATTGAAAACAAAGCCAATATGGTGTACCGATTAAGGACCTAGACTCAAACCAGAGGGTTGAGTTCAAGTCTAGTTGTTACCACTTACTAGTTGTATGAGCCTGAGCAAAGGCATTTAACCATGTGAAGATTCTATTCCCTTATCTACAAAATGAGGGTCTCGCAGTACCAGCCTCATCTTGTTTATTTTGTGACTTTAATCAGATAATGCCCATAATTCACTTAATACAATGCTGGACACATAGTAAGCACTCAATAAGTGTAATTATTAAAGGAGGAGAAAGAATTTCTTCAGGGGAGGGTGAAATTATAACGTTAAAGCATAGCTTTATGCAAGCTTTTCTTAGGGTAGATGTGTTAATATTCAGTAATTCTATTTTCTTTTAATCTAGTTAAGTACAACGAAAAAGCTAGGAACTCCTGAGCAATGTGAGAGATATCACCGATTGCTTATCCAAAAATGATCTCTACTTTTTTCTAGACTTGAGTAAAAGCCACAAAGGCCACTCCATGCTCTTTCTGTTTTTGGTATTTGGGGCAGACCAGGATGGCATCCTACAAGATAATGGAGTCTCAATATGGAAGGAGGTTGGATCCCTGAATTGCTGCATGGAAGAGAGCTGCCTACCACCCTGAACATCTACTTTGGATTACTACAGTAGTAAGAAATAAAATTACATTGTGTTTGGGCTATTATACATTGGTTGGCTGTATTCAATACAGCAGTTTAGCATATATTAAGGAATACAATTTATTTATTAAATGCAACATATGGATATTTTGCCCTCCTGGAGTCCCATATCTACTGGAGAATAATATTATATATGAACACATACAACAAGATAAATATAAGTATATTCTCTTAGTCTCTAGTAAAGTTATTTGTCCCTAGAAACTCATCTTTGTTTTCTTAAAAGAATATAAAAAAGTAAATGCTTGAAAGGCCTGCTAGGGCCAGAGGTTGGCTTTCCAGGGCTTTTGGTTCTGTGGCCCTGCCGTGCTGTGAGACAAGAAGAGTATTATGTTCCCTTCCAAGGGCCCAAAGTAGAAAAAAGCAAACTAAATGGGCGAACACAGCTACTGAATAATGGGATCCCTTCCTTACTCACAAAGTCTGCAGTGCTCACTGATGCTTTTGTTTGTATAGTGCTTCCATAAGGAAAATTATTTCTAGGGGGCATCCACAAAGAACTTGTGAGGTCTGCACTCATTTAGGTATGGAGAAAAGGGGAGGCATTTCAGATACCTTCATGATTAGAGCTCTTCCAGAAAATGTGCAAGGAACAAGCTTGGAGAGCACAAAAGAGGAAATGTTTTTCCTAGCCAAGTCAGAGAAAGCTTCAAAGAGGAACTGACTCATCTTGAAAGATAAGTCAGAATCCACCAGTCTAGAAAAGGATCAAGGGCATTCTGATCAGAGAATAATAAATGGATTTTAGCCTTGTTAGGCCATGGCCTTCACGCATTTCCCGATTATTGGGGCTTGGTGCCTGACCCTGTTGCACCACCATAGCAAATGTGGTTAGAATCACCCTTATCACAGCCGCTTGTATTTCTGCCGGGTTACCTAAGGACAGGGACATAAAATTCACTCCGATAAGGGCTTATGTGCATCCCAGCAATCTTGTCAATTATCCCTGGGCTGATTTGCACGCCTGCTCCTTCTCAGCTCCAACACTGGCTGGCAAAGAGGCCACTTCCTTTTATCGGTGTCTATTGTGCTGTCAGGCTTGGTTTACAACACAATAAGCTTACAGACACTTACAATTAATGAGCTTCTCATGAGTGTTCACAAACACATTAAAAATGAGCAGGTAGCAAATTATCTATGGGCCCCAATAATCTGCACTTACATAAATATCCAGTTTTTAGTAGACTGGAATTGTCTAAAAGTCCCTCATCATTTGTCAGGTGGGATGTCAGTTTAATGGGCCCCTGAGCATGTTTATGGGTCACTCTATCCCACTAAACTGTCTAAATTATCTGCCTGCTCCCTCTGCTTCTAGAAACCCACTCATGCCTGAAAAGGTGGCTCCAGAATATAACCTTAGCCAAACTTGAAATCTGGGTATTTGAACTCCTGGTTCTTGGGGAATCCACTATGAAATTCTGCAAAAAGTTCTGTTTTTTTTCCAACATACATATCCACGAGAGCTGCAAATATGGACAATAAAGAAGAAAGCAGTTATGGATTTGGTTGGAGTCTGCCTGCCACTTGCTAGCTGTGTAATTTTGAGGCAAGTTACTTAATGTTTCTGAGCCTCAGTTTCTTTATCTGCAAATGGGGATAAAAATAACAGATTTGACATAAAGATTAAATGAAACCAAGAGTATAAGTAATAGCAAAGTGACACGCACTCTGCACCAATGGTTGTAAGTGTTTTTGTATTAGCTCAGTTTATCCTCACCACAATCTTAGAGGAAAGCACTATTGTGTAACTCCATTTTGCAGATGAGAAAACTGAGGACCTGAAAGGCTAAAGCTTTTATTTAAAGTCATATAGCTGGTCAATGATCGACCTGGGATTCAAACACAGATGCTCTGACTCCAAGCATCTTGCTTATTTAAGTACTGTGCTACGCTACCTGGAACAGTACCTGGAAAATACTTGGTTTTCTGTGAATGTAAGGAAGCTAGAGAGATGAACACAATTTGTGTTCTGAATTTAAGAAAATACAAATCTGTTAGAGTGTATTAGTCTGTTCTCAACAATGCTAATAAAGACACACCTGGGAGTGGATAATTTATACAGGAATGAAGTTTAATGGACTCACAGTTCCACCTGGCTGGGGAGGCCTCACAATTATGGAAGAAGGTGAAGAAAGAGCAAAGGGACATTGTATTAGTCCATTTTCGTACTGCTGATAAAGACATACCTGAGATTGGGAAGAAAAAGAGGTTTTAATAGACTCACAGTTCTACGTGGCTAGGGAGGCCTCACAATCATGGCAGAGGGCAAGGAGGAGCAAGTCATGTCTTACATGGATGACAGCAGGCAAACAGAGAGAGAATTTATGAAGGGAAACTCCCATTTTAAAAACCATTAGATCTTGTGAGGATTATTTACTATTATGTGAACAGCTATTTACTATTATGTGAACAATTATTATTTGGAGACCCACGCTCATGGGTCTTTGATTCAATTATCTCCCACGAATCCCTCCCATAACACGTGGGAATTATGGGAGCTACAAGATGAGATTTGGATGGGGACACAGAGCCAAACCGTATCAAATGTCTTACATGTCTTACATGGCAGCAGGCAAGAAGAGCTTGTGCAAGAGAACTCCCATCTATAAAACCATCAGATTTCATGAGACTTATTCACTACTATGAGAACAGTAGGGGGGGAACCGCCCCCATGATTCAATTGTCTCTACCTGGCCCTTCCCTCGACATGTGGGGATTATTACAATTCAAGGTGAGATATGGGTGGGCACAGAGCCAAACCATATCACAGAGAGATAAGACCATTTGAACTCTTGGATAGGACTATCACTAAGGTAGCCATGTTATTAATTTTTATTGTTGCATAACAAATTACCAAAAATTTAATGGCTTAAAACAGCACCTGTTTATTATCTTACAGTGTCCATGGGTCAGGAGAGCAGGCATAGCTCATCTGGGCCCTCTGCTCGGGGACTTGCAAGGCTGCAGTCAATGTGTCTGCTGGGCTGCATTCTTTTTGGAGTTCAGGGTCCTCTTCCTGCTCACAAGATGGCTGGCAGAATTCAGTTCCTTGCTTCTGGAAGACTAAGGCCCTCAGTTCTAGAGCCTGCCTGCAGTTCCTGAGGCCCTTTCAATAGGCAGTTCACATCTTGACAGCTTGCACCTTAACAGGCCCTCAGGATAATCTCTCTCCGTTTAGTCTGCTAAGACAGTCTTACATATAAGGTAACATAATCCAGGGAGTGACTATCCTGTCACCTTTACCATATTCTGTGGGTCAGAAGCAAGTCATAGGTTCTGTCTGCATTTAAGAGGATATGACTACAAAAGGACATGACTCACGGGTCAGCACAGCATGTGTCTGCCATACCATACAACCTGGTGATCAACTGGGACACTTTGGAGAGTGAAAAGATGCTATTCATAATGATTCTGGGACCACAGACATAAACCAGGACTGTCCCAAGAAACCAGGGAATATGATCATCCTGGCTACAAACAACACAGGCAGTTTAATATGAGACTAGTGGAGGCAAAGTGTAATTTTGACCAGGTGGATCTGAGAATACACTTGACCATTGATCAACATGGATTTGAGCTGTGCAGATCTACTTATATGCAGATTTTTTTCAACCAAACTCAGATAGAAAATACAGTTTCCCAGGATGTGAAACCTGCATATACCATATAGGGAGGGCTGACTTTTTGTATATATGGGTTGTGCAATTTTAGTGTGGGGGGTGGTCTGGAATGAATCTCCAAATATATGAAGGACAACTGCCCTTTATTGAACAAATTATTATTTTTTAATCAGGTTATGAAGGATGGGTTTAATTTCTACAAGCAGAGTATCCTGGCAGAGAGAGAAGTTTGGGCAGAGACATAGCAGTGAGGAGGAATAGGTCAGGTTCTCTGAATGAGGGAAGCCAGGCAGAGAACTGCAAAATGTGTATAAAGGTCTTCATTCCCAGAAAGTGAGCATAGGGATTTACATTGCTCTGTGCTCTTTGGCTGAAGTTTTTGGGGAGAGGGCACCTCTCTAACCCTTAGTGTCTCTTAGATCTTCTAAAAGACCTGCAGAAGAGAGGAGAGAGACCTTCAGATTTCTGCATCCCAGGAGGGTTTCTCTTGGACACATATGTCTATCAGGTACCCTTCATTTCATTATTCCTATAAAGAAAATCCTAGAGGAAGGAGCAAAAGGAGATCAGTTAAATCCATAAATTTGATTAATGATTTGTTAGAATTAAAATTAAATAACCACATCAGCCCACAGATCAGCTCTGCAATTGTCTTATTCAGAGTTGTAATGGGTGTGCATAATTCATTCTGTAATTGTTCCTTGAGAGCACTCTTCTGTGTAGTACTATGTGCTTAGCTAACCTCTATTCCTGCTTCTGGGGTGGTCTTGTTAATTTTCCATCCAACCATCCCCTTCTCTGACTTAATGACTACTCTGACCTCACAGACTTCATCCCTCACATAGGCAAATAGGGGTGATCCTTGAGATGGCCACAAATGGGCCCTAATATGGTTTGGATGTTTGCCCCAAAACATCCAAATCTCATGTTGAAATGTAGTCCCCATGGTTGGAGGTGGGGTCTAGTGGGAGGTGTTTGAGTCAGGGGGGCAGATCATTCATGAAAGGCTTGATGCCTGCCCCATGTTCATGAGGGAGTTCTCACTCTATTAGTTCATGTGATAGCTGGTTGTTTAAAGAGCCTGGCATCTCTCTGTTGCTCCCTCTCTTGCCAGGTAACATAACTGCTCTCCTGTCTTTCTGCTATGACTGTAAGCTTTCTAAAGCCCTGGCCAGAGGCAGATACTGGTGCCATGCTTTTGCACAGTCTGCAGAACCATGAGCCAAATAATCTCTTTTCTTTATAAATTAGTCAGCCTTAAGTATTCCTTTATAGCAACACAAATGGAATAATATACACCCTCTGCTGCCACTAGTCCACTGGTTAGGTGACACTTGCTGGCATCATATGGAACCACTTCTGGGAAAGGGTCAAGGAAGATACCCTGGAGGATGAGCCATTTGGTTCAGATGGGGTCTGTTGCCAGCTCAGGCTCCAGCTGAGAAAGGTGAGATGGAGACACTGAGCCATAGCCATGACAAGCTCTGATGGCTCCTCAACTTCCTACTCAAGAGAAGAGGATGAGTCTGTATTGTGTGCCCTTGGGGAGTAGGAGGCAGGTCCACTTCACTGGAGCAAGGAAAGAAAAGAGGGAGCCAGGCAAATCCAAAGATCTTGAGCACATCTGTTCCTCTCCATTACAAAGCAAAAGATAAAATTTCCCTGATATTCATTCATTCCTTTTTCAACAGCTATTTATTGATCTTCACTTATGTGCCAGGCATTGGACTTGGTACTGAAAGCTTAGTGACAACCAAAACAAAATTTCTACCTTCACAGATCTGACAGTATCGGGTGAACATTGAGAGTAGAGAGGTAACAAGGAAGAAAACAAATAAATACAAAATAGAATAAATGAAGTGGGGTGGTGGAGGGGCATACCTGATTAAACACGGGGAAAAGAAGTTAGCTCTAAGACAGTGACATTTTATTTGAGATGTGAAAGATAAGAAGCGGCCAGTAATACCCAAAGCATCTCAGACAGAGGAAAGAATGTATACAAATGTCCTAAAGTGGGAAAGAGAAGTTGGAAAACCCCTGAGTGGTTGAAGTTTCTGAGTGAGCAAGGGGCTGGCTCAGAGTGAGACAGAAGTGTGATCAGAACTAGTTCACAACAGACTTGTAGGCCAAAAAAGTTGGATTTTCTTCTAAGTCCAATGTTAACCTCTTGGAGGGTTCTGAAAGTATCATGCTGGTCTATTTTGAGGCAGTCAGGTCTGAGTCTTGGAGATGCTCAAGGAGATTTCCCCAAGAGGGAGAAGTCAATTGGAGAAGAGTCCTCATCATAGGGTACTTAAGGCCATGAGGTTAAAATCAGAATACTGGGCTGCCTTCTTGCCACTAGGGTTTGTGTTATCTCATGAGCATAGAAAATGCAGCTGAATTTCTAGTTATTCAAAGTTTTGTAACAAAATTTTCTGCCTGAGGAGAGGAAAGATCAGCTATAGAACTGGAGAATATAAACATTTCCTCCAGAAATAAGTATGCTTCTGTGCTGTGTCCAGCAATGTGGCATAATGCAGGAACCAGAGGCCAGATGATGGGAGTATTTCCATGCTGAAAGCTATCTTGAATTTAAAACAAACATGGAGAGCTGGGATCACTGAAGCCCAGTTATGGCTTCATGGAGATTTTTTTTTTTTTGCTCATAATTCTATTTTAGTGCATATTTGAAAATTTTCAGAATAAAAAGTTAAGTACAGGGACAAAGAAGAGAACTTTCAAGTTAAACATGTATTAAATATTATCTCTGATAAAAGCAAAGACTTATTTAGCACCCACCATGTGCCAAGTACTGTGCCTAGTACTTTACTCAGAGCAAGTCTGGGAAGGAGATATCATTATCTTCATTTTACAGATGAGAATACTGAAGCTAAAATAAATTAGTGGCAAAGTCTGCGTAATTCTACTTCTGCATAGGATGCCATAGGTATAGTCCATGAATACAGGCATATGTTGAAAAAAAGTATTCAAACGTTCATGGCAATGACAAAAACCAGATACAGAAGGGTAGTCTCCTGTGGGAAAAGTGGAATCAGACATGGATCAAAGATGAGTACACAGGGGCAGATACTGTACCCGAAGCAAAAGACTGGAAGCAAACATTACACAATGTAAAATCTGATAAAGCTGGTGGTGGTAATGCTGGTATTAGTTATAGGGTTTGCTATACATTTCAGAATGTTTGAAATATTCATAATAGTAAATAAAATTAAACAGATGAAATGTGCACAGGCCTTGGAGACAAGTTATGGTTTTGATCAGCAACACTAATTCTGCCCAGGAAATGTCAGTGGGTGAATCTCTACACATTGTAGCCACAACATGAACATTAAGAACATGAGGACTGAACTAACTTCATCCTGTCTCTAGGAAACTGGGCACTGGTTGATAAATTTACATCTAAACAAAAGGAAGTTTACAGCTCACAAATACAAGTCATGCTGAAGTTATGGTCATGAGAAGCAGTGTCGGGCAGGGCCCAAAGAACTACAATACAGGAAGGAGAAAAATATCCCCAGTTTGAAAGAGCCTGGTCTCTGGACCCACACAGGCCTGGAAGGTGAGCTCAAGAAGGAAGGTCTTCTGGGGATAAAAAATATGTATGTTAAATGCTCCCTGCCTAACAAGAACTCTGTTAGGTACTCTGCACACATTATTCCATTTAATCTTCAAAACAACCTAAGAGATAGCTATAACTGTACCCATTTTAGAGATGAGAAAAACTGAAGCTCATTAATAACAGATTAAATGACCTGCCCAAGATGCACAGCAGTAATTTGAGGCATCCAGATTCCCACCCAGATCTGTCTGATTTTAATGCCGCTGCTCCTTCCATTCCATCAAGATGCCACTCTGCAAATTCATTTCACCTGAGTCCCCTGCTGCCTGCTGAGATGGTCTCCCTCTCTCTCTACCTGCACCAGCTCAGCAGGAGCAAGGTCTGTTGCCTAGAAGACCAAGGAAAAAGAAGGTAGCGAGGTGGCAGAAGACAAGTCAAGAGGCAGTGGGAGTCGGGACTCCTTTTCAAAGGCAGCATGCTGGATGATTTAGATCGTGCTCTCTGGCTTTGACAGTCTGGCCAGGAGGAGTATTCCCAGTCATTACCAGGGAGACTAAGAGAATGGCAAGACAAATATCCCAATGGTCAGGTGCAATGGCCACAGGATTCTCCTGAGAAGGTAAGTGAGGATGAAGAGGGTGATCCCACTGCTGGAGCAACTTCTATAGTCAGCAAGTACCCCTGGTTTTCACGGCAATGTGTTGACTGGGCCCGTAGAAGAAAACAGAAAATAGGAAAATATGTCTAAAGGGGAGAAGGGCATAGGAAAGAGGTAACACAGTCCACGGTTGGGGATGGTACTGAGAACAGTTCCAGAGGTGACACCCACTAAGAAAGGGATTTCTAGATGCCTAGGGCAAGTGATCTCCCCAGCAGGGAGCACCTGTGGAGATGGAAGGGACCGCTTGCTTCATGCCTCAAACATGTTTAAGAATGGTGACATTCACAATTCTTTTCCTTGAACAGCAGACTTTTTAATACAAAGGGACTATTACTTTTACCTTTTTCTCAGAAGGAATTTCCCAGTGGAAAAACAAAGACCAATGGTGTGGCAAACACTTAAGCATGTAAATTCACTCCAAAGAAAGAGTTAAAGTGCTTTCTAATATAAATTGGTTTTCGGTATTTCAGTGCCAATATAATTAGATTGTAACAAGCAAAGCCCTGTAACATAACACAGCGAAAATTTGAAAATTTGATTCTGCCTGGCAAACAACCAAGTCCCTGCGTGTGCGCAAACCTGACATTAATAAGCTACAAGAGATTACATGATTTAGAAAAGAAGCACTTGGTGTTACCAAATCAAATAATAGATCTCTAGGCTATAATTAGGAGAATTGGGACTCAACAATGAAGTCATAATACTGTAATTTAGCTGTGAGTAACAGAGCCACGGAGTCACATTAGGAGGTGGGATAGTGTCTCAGTGGTGTGCAGCTCCCAGTGGGGCGGCAGCTCCAGCACCCCGCACGCAACCACCTGTTGGCGCCATGAAGTCACATGATGAACCTTGGCCCTCTGTGGCTGCGTGGGACCCTAGTGCTTCAGACACACAACTTTAAAGATGAAGCTCCCCAGGGACAGCTGAGGGGGCAGAGCTGCTGCCAGGGCCATGTGGGCAAATTGCTGCCCCAGAGTGCTTTGGGAGCTAACAAAAGACACATTAAACACGCAGAAACATAAACAAAGCAAAACAAACACTGTACAAAAAAAAATAGAAAGAGAATGAGAGAGCCCAGCAGCATCATTTATAGTCCCTGAGCTGCAGGGGATTGTCAGGTTGGGCAAGTGCATTTTTCCTCTGAAATAGTTTCTATGTAGAATAGGCAGAGCTTTACTCCACCAGCTCCTGGCAGAGTAACACAATCTGTGCTGTTAGGTCATAAAACCAAATAATTTCACGTGGAAAAGAAATCCTAGCAGGGCTTCTTAACTTGGAGTCCCCCAAGGGGGTCTGTGGATAGAACTGAATTTCAATATAATTGGTTTTCTTTGTAATCCTATGTATTTTATTTTATGCCTTTTAAAACATTATTCGGGTAAGCGGGTCTGTAGCAGATGCTGGAAGTGCCCCCTTGCATAGCTCTCCAACCTTTCTACATGCCCCCAGGTGGCTTCCAACTGTCAGTGTCTGATCTCTGGGTCTAAGGACTCTCTACCTCAACAACTATGCAAGGAACCACTGCCTGGATGCCCACACATGGCAGGCTGGAGGTACCAGGGTATTAACACCCTCAGGAGTAGGTGTATAATTACCCCAGCTCCCTCACCCTTCAGGTAGAAAAATTCTGAGAAGTGGTTTCGTGCCTTTTCCAGAGTATCCTGCAGGATTAAGCTCCAGTTTCCCAATTTATTGGCTTTCTTTCCTTTTATACTTCTCTATAGGTATTTTCTGTAACTCTCAAATACATTACTTGCACTTAGAATCTGCTTCTGGGAAAATCCAAACAAAGATAGGGTTCACGGGTCAACAGACTGCCAAAAGGATTCATGGTAATTAAAAAAAAAATTAAGAAGCCTTGCCAGGTATATCTCAGGTCCTCCCCTTACTCCAATCACCATTTCACAGATTAAGAAACTGGGGCAGAGAGAGCTAAACACCTTGTCTTACAAAAGGGAGTTATAAAGAATGACATTAGCGTCTTTTTGGCTATTGTTGCTCTTATAATCATGTCTTGCTTACTGATTCATTTTCCACATTTAACTTTTTCAACCTGATTTCTCTTCTTTCGTTATTCTTTCCCAAATTATATCCATCAGCAGCCATAGGTCCAGCACTGCAGGCCCTTTGACTGGATGCTCTTTTCTGTTCTGGCCTGAATGCGTTTGGCAGGTGACTTGCTATGCATGACCCTATTACTGCAGCAGCTGCTCCTAGGACTGAGCCACAGCAAAGTGTGGGAGAAGAGTCTCTCCTACCACATTCAACACAAATACCGTCTCCAAACATTTAGTTACCCTTGGAGCCCGATAGCACCTGAGTATAAGCTTTTGCTCTTCCAGGATTCCACAATAGGATTTAGCACTGGGATGAAAAGTAGTGTGCTTATTTCATTTACATTTATATCATTTCCCTATAAAGGACATTGTTCTAATTATGATTTTAAACAACTTCTGGAAATATTACACTATAATAAAGAGAACATATTAGTATGTCAGGTAGAAAAATATGGAGATACAATTATATTAGGAAGCCAGGAGTAAAGTTACACAGAAATAATGTATAGCCATTTTAATAATAATAATAATAACAGTAATAATTATGCTATTTACAATTATTTTATGTAATCTTCACCACTTCCTCAGGATATTGGTATTATTGTTTATAGATGAGGAAATTTCCTTGGGTGAGGAAAGTTCCAGAAAGTAGTTTAATATATTGACATTAATTCTCAATTTTAAAAGTTAGCTTCTTCCTTCTATACTTCCCCTTCTTATAAGAAATTCCCCCTTCCCCTTCTTCCCTCCAAATGGGAGAATTAATCTTGGCTTGCTGTGAGGACAACAATCTGACTAAATTCTTTCTTATCTCATTTTGAATGACTTGTCAGGTCTTTCTATGACTGTCTCCCAGTTAGTTAATATGAACTTCTAAGTTTTATACGTTTTGACATAGAAAATAAAACAGAAAAATCTTTTCAGGTATTGCGGATAAGTTGTCTTCAGGCAAGGTGGCTTTTCAAGAATTCCCCAAAGCTACATCCAAGATGGTCAGGATGTCCAGGCAGGAAGCAAGTATCAGACAAGGAAACAAAGAAAGAAAACCTAGGCCAGACTGAATTTATTTGTGGGCCCTAAAAGACAATTTCTTTGATACAACAGCCTTACCCTTTATTGCCTATTTCTCAGCACTGCAACATGATAATTAAGAAAAAGAAGAAGAAATCTATGTGATTTCCCTATTCTAAAACTTTTGTTAGATCATCATTATTGAGTATTAAGATTTAGTTGCCCTGAAGTTTTTAATATATATTTTAAGTAATCTAATTCCACCTTAATAATAATATACTGCTTTACAGTTATACATGAAGATACCATATAATAGATTATCCCCAATTCCTCCTTCCCTTTCCTTTATGCGTTGCTGTCATTCATTTCACTTATCCACATGCTTATCCAATATATTGCTACTACTATTACTTTAAACAGTCATCAATTCAAAGTAAGAAAAACTAAACATTTTTCTTACCTTCATTTACTCTTTCTCTGATATCCTTCCTTTCATTTTGTAGACCCAAGTTCTAACTTAAATAATTTTCTTTCTGTCTGAAAAACTTTTTATATTTCTTGTGAGGAAGGTGCACTGGTGATGAATTCTCAGTTTTTCTTTATCAGAGAATCTCTTTCTTTCTCCTTCACTTTTGAAAGATAATTTTACTGGGTATAGAATTCTAGGTTGCTATTTATTTCTTTTAACACTGTAATTACTAATTCTACTCTCTTTCTACTTGCATGGTTTCTGATAAGAAGTCTGCTACAATTCTTATCTTGTTCCTCCATGGGCAAGGTTCTCCCCAACATCATCCCCTACACAGGCTTCTTTCAAGAATTCCTATTTTTTTTCATTTTTTGTTTTTTAGTGGTTTGACTACGATATGCCTAGGTATAGACCTTTTGTATTCAATGAAACTCTTTGAGCTTTCTGAATCTGTGGTTTGGTCTATAATTCATTTCTGAAAATTATCAGCCACTATTACTTCCAATATTTCTTCTGCTCCATTCTCTCTTTCTTCTTCTGGTATTCCAACTATACATATGTTATACCTTTTCAAATTATCCCATAGTTCTTGGATGTTCTGTTGGGTTTTTACCCACTTATTTTTCTCTTTGCATTTCATTTTCAGAAGTTTCTATTGACCTATTTGAAAGTTCACTGATTATTTCCTTTCTCATGTCTACTGATAAGCTCATCAAGGCATTCTCTATTTCTGTTACAGTGTTGTTGATTTCTAGCACTTCCTTTTGATTCTTAGAATTTCCATCTCCCTGTTTACATTAGTCATCCATTCTTGTATGTCGTCTGCTTTTTCCATTAGGGCCTTTAACATATTAATCATAGTTATTTTAAATGCCATGTCTGATAATTACAACATCTGTGTCATATCTTAGTCTGGTTCTCTTGCCTGCTTTGTCTCTTCAGACTGTGTGTTTTTTCTTGACTTTTAGAATGCCTTGTAATTTTTGTTTGTTGAAAGACTGACATGTGCTGAGTTGTAGGAACTGAAGTAAATAGGGCTTTACTGTGAGGATTTATGTTAAGCTGGCTAGCACTGGGGCTATGTTAATATTTCTGTAGCTGGTGCTAGAGATTTCAAATTCCTCTAACGTCCTTGTTTTTGTTTTCCTTGTCTTTGGGTTTTACTAAGTATTCTTTCTTGGAGACAGTCAGTGACCTAATGGTTCTATTGGCTGTGACCCACTGTTATTGTGCTGGAGCCCTGTTGGTGCAGTGGTAAAGTTTGTTAGGATAGAAATATTCTATAACTTATTAAATCCTGGTATTTAGTAGGTGATCTTTTAGTCTGTGGGCTGTAACCTTCACAGGTGTTTCTCTATTGGTATGGCACTTTTCCTTCTTAGATGACACAGGAAGGCTAGACAGGTCTGGTGTGGGAGGAATGAATGATCTTCCTCTGGGTAGAATGAGGCTCTGATGAAGTCTTTCTCCTCCCTCCCCCCGGTTGCACTCTGTTATGAAGAATGAATGCTCTGGATATATCTCACGGTGGTTATTCTTCCCCTTCTTTTGCCAGAGCCATTAGGGAATTTTTCTTGGCTCTTCACCATGAGAGGCTGATGGCATTCCCAGAGGCAAAACCCATAAGAGTGTGGTGCTTCCTCAGACTGCAGCCCCCAGGAGTTTCCTGCTCCCGTATTATAATGCCCACACTCAGCCTCAAACAATTAATCAATATTACCATTTTACTGTTCCTACCAGTTCATGGTCCCAGCAGCTTCTGTTCCAGCTAAGCTGATCTCAGCTCTGTCTCCCTGGATCTACCTGTTTCCCCATATTATGGGATATTGGTTTACTTTGTCATCTTACTTCGCAGATGAGTCAAGAAAAGTGACTGACTTTTAGTTTTCTCAGTTTTTCCTTACGGAAAGGATGGAAGTGATGAATTCTAAACTTTTTTACATGTCAGAGCTGAAACTGGAAGTCCAGCATTGAGATTTCTTACTCTAAAGTAGAAGAAGGTATGGACATGGAAAGAGAATACTATCACTTTCTACCTGAGGGATTTGGAGAGAAAAAATAGAAACAACGGGAGAGGAAAAGAAGGTCTGATGCCAGGGTTTTTATTTTTCCTCCTGCTCATCTCAAGGCTAAACTTTAAAGGGGAGTGACTTAGAAACATTCAGATGGGGGGAGGGAGAACATGGGCAGAGGAAGAGTATGAAGCAGTATTCTGCCCTGCTTCAGTTATAGGACTCTGGGGAAAGAGTACCTGCTGGCAGCTGCCCCCCTCCTCTGATACTCTCTGGCAGTACAAGAGAGTTAGTAGGAACTGCTGGCTTACTGCTTTCCTGAGTTTCTCTTGGTTTCCGTGCAGTATGTACAAGACTCAGAAGTTCCTGAAAAGTGATTTAAAAGGCAGCAGATTTGGGATGCAATGGACTTGTCGTAGAGTCTGCCATAATAAAAGTAGAGATGACTCCCAGCAGAAGATAAAGAATGGATGCCAGGACTGGTGGTATCCTGGCAGAGGCAGAGCTGCAGCTGAGTCAACAGTGCCAAGGAGAGCTGAGATGAAGATCAGTTAGCCAGGGAGGGCTACCAGGTTCAGATTAAACTGAAAGAGTGAAGCAAGGCAAATGAAGGCACTTGCCATGGGCTCAGCTGCAATGGGACAGGTGCCATCAGGCAGAATAACACACTACTTCTTAGACCAGAGAAGCTAGAGGACAGTACAATAATGCCTCATGGATCTTGAGGGCCCTTCTTCCCGAATAGCACAAGGTCCCAAATAAGACCCTCTCCTCCACATATGTATACCCAGATGCCATCTTGATTTGTAGCCAAAGGTAGGAAAACAAACTCCTAAAGAGACTCTTTAGATTATTCTGTCAGATTAAAATTACAGATTGAACTAATTACTTTTTATGCTAACCATTAGGCAACACATGAAGAATGTCAGAGAAGTTTAGAAATTTAAATAAAATGCATGTTCTCTGTGTCCATCTGAGTTTATTTGGGGATTTGTGACTCCACTACATTCTCCTGTCCATTACCCTGACTTATCTTCTTTATAGCACATCATGATCTGAAGGTTTCTTATTTATTTGTTTGATTTGTATGTCTACCTCAGTAGAAAGAGAGCTTCAAGGAAACAGTAGCCTGGACTTTGTCTCATTTGCCACTGGGAAGCTGACCCTGAGAACAGGGTCTGGTTCACAGAAGGTGCTCAATCAATACTTTTTGAATGAATGGTGCTTTGTAAAGCCTCTTTGTCAGGTGAGACATATGGGTGTAAGGACTGTGAACCTCAAATAATTCAAATAATTATTTTAATTATTTAAACCTCATAAATTATTTTAATTAATGTTTATTAAGTGCCAAAAGCACTATACATATGTAGACTCTTTTAAATACTTACAACAACACCATGAAGTCAGTAATATTATTATCCAATTTCTAAATGAGAAAATGAAGGCACAGAAAGTTTAGGTAAACTGTCTAGGTCACAGAGCCCACGAGAGTTAGGGCCAGGGTTTCAAACAAAGCATTATGGCTCCAAAGCCTGTACTCCCATCCACCATGCCACACTGCCTCAAAATCTCATGTGTGGCCTCAGCTCACCGCCTCCTTCCCCTCCTCCCTCACACCAGATGAGCCACAGACGGTTAAGTAGGCAGCGAACACTTCTCAAGATGTTTTCATCGATTTTGCCAACACTCAGCTGCTTTATCGGCTCTGATGAAACATTTGTGACAACCACAGCAATTGCAATGATCATTTCCATGCTGAAAACATTTGCCTACAAAGCAGACATTTTCTCTTCAAAGTAAACACTGGTGCTGCTGAGAGGCGGCTGCCCATACCCACGCCGCGCATACTGCTTCCTCTAAATGCCTCGAAGGCAAAATCCCCCCAAGCGATGATGACAACAGAGAACAGGATGTGGGCTTCTCCTCCAGGAGACCTCGTCTGACATTCTCAGGCCAGTCATGAAGTGTCTCCCGTCGTCCCCACCTGTGAACCCGAAACCCAGCCCTTACTCCACACATGCTAACAACACTAGGCACAGAGCAGTCACCCTTCTTGATTATGTGTCTGGTCTCTGTCTTGACTGCATCATGAGGGTATGGATGATGCTTTATTGATGTTAAGCCCAGCACTCAGTGCATCTCCTTCATTAATTAGTTGTAAACAGAAGAAGATGTTGAAACCCCCTGAAGCTGGTCCTATTGAGTTCAGAGGAAAATAAGATAGAAGCCAATAGTGTTGGATAGAGAGAGGAAGAACCACCTTAGAGTAGAATTTCCATGAATATGTTTCCATAAGTCCTACTCCAAAAGATATTAATAGGGCATTTGGTGTGAGGGTGGGGTGGGGAGGCTCTCATTGCCAAATAAGATGAATACATGCAGAATTAAGTTGAATTAAAGCAAAAAAAAGTCTCTGTCTGCAAGACTTCTCAGAGCCTTTGGCATGTCAGAATGCCTGGTGAATCCCTAAAATGGGCATGAGTGTATAGCATTTTGCAAATGCATTTGACCATAGGCCTGTTTCTTTTCCGGGTGTTTCAGCATCCTAGTAGACTATAAAAACTAACTTGAAGAAATGCTGTCTGCACAGGAGAGGACAGAACCTCCTCAGTTAATGTTTTACATGGGCATGGAAGGACAGATCACAGAAAGCTGATCATTAGCATGGCTGAAGTCTTCTTGAGAATAGAGAGATCCAGACGGCATCTCTGTAGGAACAGCCTCTCAGGCACATGGAAGAATGTACTGCAGACATAACAAAATGGACCACTACATGCTAAGTCCCATGCTGGGTCTTCTCAGAAAACTAATTCAGCCTCCGACAGCCCTGGGAGGTCAGTGTTAATATCCATTAATGAGGAACTCCAGGACTGTGGAAGCTGGCCAGTGGACTTTTGTGGACAAGATGGGAGTCTTCCAAATACAAATCCAATGGCTTCTCTACATTACCTAGCTGCTTAAATAAAGACGAAAACCCAAAATGTGTGAGCAGTTCACTTCTCTTTCAAGGCTCTGGGGTCTGAAAGACCATCTTCTCCTTGAAGAACCTGACCAGAAACGAGCTTCACCTGGGGTAAGATGGAGACCCCCTCCCCCCGCCCCCTCCCCAAGTCAGAGAGAAGCTCTTCTCTTACCTCATCTACACACCAAATCACGAACTTTGCCAGCATTCTTAAGTGATTGTGACTGTTTCGTTTTCGAAATATCAGTCGGCCTGTTCGAGTAATTTTATACTTAAATTATTTAAATGCAATCTATCCATTGAAGCAATTTCCCCTGCACAGGAGAAGTGTTTTCTTTTTTAGGGAACTGAAGCATGATAAATAAATGAATAAAGACTTGTAGCTGTGTCTCTCTCTCTCTCCTGAAGAAAGCACTTCAGCGGCGAGTCCCTCTTGTCAGAAATCTTGGAACTCATAATATTCCCTGTGGTTCTGCCGCTCAGCATTAAAAATAACCAAAGACTCGAGTCACAGTTGTGTTTTTTTTCTAGACACGAAGCACATTTTACGCCACAATGCCCGGGATGACACAGGGACAGTGCAGAGCTTGCTAATATTCTCTACTGCCTCTCTCCCCAGGCCTGCAAGCAGTTAGAATGGCTTAGTGGTGATCACAAATGCTGTCCCATTTGGAAAGCACTTCTTTAAGGCAGCACCGATTAAAATTCATGAAAGGCGGCTTGCTTGCATAAATAAATTAAAAGATGCAAAACTAAAGTTTAAACACCCATACACAACTAGCATTTTGCAAACACCATATGCACTGCGGTTCTCAATTCTGGGCTGTCATGCAAGAAGTAGGGAAAGAGGCCTCATTGGGTTTGAATGCATAAAACTGGGAGCACCTTGATCACCTTTGGCACAAAGGAGTCTCAGCAGCAAAGTGTGAACTAACTGATTTACACCTTGTCTAAATGCATATGAATTTTAGGGGAGCATGTCAATATCTGGAGAATATTGTTAAAAAAACTAAAAACAGAATGAGCACAGTTTTTGCAATCATAACAATGCCAGGTCCTAGTTCTTAAAATTACTATGCTATTTTGGGTAAATCATGGACAGTCTCTGATGCCCGGTTTTCTCATCTGTAAAATAAGCATAAGACAACTAACCTCTAACCTTAGTTTGTGGTATGGAGAGTAAGTGATATGCCATACTTAGGTCAGCCGGCAGAGAGGAGGTGCTCACAAACGTTTAATTCTCCTCTTCCTGTCTTTATCTTACATTTCTACAGTGGTGGCATTGTGAAAAAGGAATGAGCTCTGGGGTTACAAGCTTTAGAGCTGAGCCCCAGCTCTGCCATTCACTGGCTGTGTGACCTCAGAGAACTGATTTCATCTCTCTGAGCCTCAGTTTCTTCCTTCATAAAGTGAAGATGTTAACATCACCTCTCTCCCAAGTGTACGTAACATCTATGAGGTATCTGGACCTTTCAACACTATAAGGTAGACATGACCAGCAACCTTATCACCATTTCCTTAGTGAAGAAATCTTAGAGAAGATTTTATTTTCCCTCCAGAACTCTAAGGTAGAGAGTGTGTAGTGCATACATTGTCTCTCTAAGATAGAGAGCTCTGGAGGAAAAATAAAATCTTCTCCAAGAATACATAACTGTAATGACATACCTCACACAGGTTTGGAGTTCAAATTTACACTATCCATGTTGTTTGGTGACCCTGCCCACCCCACCACCACCCTGTCTGACCTCGCAACATAGGAAATTAACAAAAAATAAATAGGTCTCACCATTGCCTTAGCATCATCAGGAAAACGATGCTAAGAGATGAGACAGAGTGAGCCCAAAGTGACTTAGCATGTACAACAAAGACAGGACCAAAAAGCAGATGAGCCTAGCTCCCCCAATTCCACTGCATGTGAGGTATTGGCCTCCTCCCACTCCAGTGCCTTTTTGCTGACTCTGAGGCAGCTCAGGACCTGCCTGGGAGAAACCTGGTCCAGGTTTCCTTCAGCTGTGGGCATTTAGAGGCCCGCCCCATCCTGATGGAATGAATATGATTTCATCCTTAAGCTCCAAAGCTTTGCTGCCATATTCTGATTATTCAGTGCAGTTGGCATCAATGGGATACATTTCAATCTATCTAAGGAACTAGTATGCTCTTTTCTGAACACCCTAAGCTGCTCTTCTCAGAGGGGGAGAGGCTGGAGCTGGAGTTCCACAAAACCTTCACATGGGAGAGGTGAGTTCATGGGAGAACAGCTTAAGTAGGCTTGAAATATGTTCCCCTTCATGAGTTGGTTGGGTGGGGGAATCACATGAGAAGCCTGGTAACATCCATCTGGCATTCTCTATCTGGAGCTCTCTAGCAACATATTAAACCTCGGGGATCACTAGGAATCAGGGCCAGACCCAAGGGGGAAAATTCTAAAACACATTGTATCTGTCAGTAGTCTTGGAGGGAGGCAAAAGAAATAAATTCTGGCTAATAGAAGCAAATTAAAAGTGTGAGAGGAATTTATAAAGAGGATATCGGGGAAAATAGTCTTCAATAGGTAGAATGGTAATCTGAAATTCTCCTTCAAAAAACACCTAGAAATGCTAGAAAGATATGTTAAACAAACTGTATTTTAGCTTTTTTTTTCTTTCCTTTCTTTTTTTTTTTTTTTTTTTTTTTTGTAGAGATGGGTTCTCGCTATGTTGCCCAGGCTGGTCTTGAACTCTTGCTCTCAAGCAATCCTCCTGCCTCAGCCTCTGGAATAGCTCGGGTTGCAGGCATGAGCCACCATGCCGGGCTATATTTTAACTTTTAAGAGCTTGTAAGAAAGTAAAAGAAATCCCTGGGGCAATTAAAATAAAGAGGAAACTAGAACCTTGTGAGCTGACCCTGAACCGCCCTGGTACGTAGGTAGGGAGGTGTGAAAGAGCATGGGAGGTGCCAATATCATTGACCTAAAAGCTTGGCTTTTTATGCCTACCTTGGAACAAAAGACCAAATCTTAACACCTGAACAAAGACATCTGCATAAAGCCAGAACACTCAAGGGATTACACCATGTATAAAAGAAAAGACTTGAAAATCCACTCAAGCTAGTCTCTGTGTACAAGGATGCCTGTCTGTACAGATTGAGCTCTGGAGGGAAAATAAAATCTTCTCTAAGAATACATAACTGTAATGACATACCTCATACAAGTTTGAAGTTCAAATTTACACTATACATGTACATTTTTGGTGACCCTCCCCACCCCCACCCCTGCCCTGCAACACAAGAAATTAACAACAACAAAAATAGGTCTCAAACAAGAAATACTTTGGGGCACCTGGCAGATGCAAGGTTTATGTCATTATTTTCCTTATTTATGTAATTCACAGTGAAACACTTAACTAATACAATGAGGAAAAAATCTGAGTCAAGACAGTAGGAAAAATAACAGGGCCATGTTTTCAAGAAAATTAGATAATATAAATATTGGAAAATTGTAAAATAATAGTCTAACTCATTAAAAGCAAAAAGAAACAGAACATGAGAAGTGAGCAAGACATTAAGGAAAAGAGTCAGGCAGATTTTTTTAAAGATCCAAAAATCAGTAATAGAAGTAAAAATTGTTGCCATTGAAATTTAAAAGAAAAAAAAACCCTCAATGAATGGGTTGAAAACTCACTATAAAGAGGGAAAAGAGAATTAGTGAAATGGGAGATACATATTATAATGAAAATGTGGAAGTCCAAAGAAAATGTCTCAGACCAGTAAGAAAAGAAATGAGTTAACTGACTGACAGAATACTTCTCAACAGAAATAGGAGAAAACAGAATATAGTGGAGTAATAGTTTCTTTTCTTTTTTTAGAGACATGGTCTTGCTCTGTCACCCAGGCTGGATTGCAGTGGCACCATCATAGCTCTCTGCAAATGTGAACTCTTGGCCTTAGGTGATCCTCCCATCTCAGCCTCCCAAAGTACTAGGATTACAGGCATGAGCCGCCATGCCCAGCCAGAATAATATTTTCAAAGTACTGAGATAAAACCACTGTCAACCTCAAATTCTACATCGATCTAAATATTTTTCTTCAATCATAAGATTAAAGATGAAGACATTTCTGGACACATGAAGACTAAAGACAAATACCACCAATAGATCTTCATTTAAAAAAATTACTGGTCAGGCGCTGTGGCTCACACCTATGATCCCAGCACTTTGGGAGGCCAAGGCGGGCAGGTCACCTGAGGTCAGGAGTTCGAAACAAGCCTGGCCAACATGGCGAAACCCTGTCTCTACTAGAAATAAAAAAATTAGCCAGGCATAGTGGTGGGCACCTGTAATCCCAGCTATATGGGAGGCTGAGGCAGGAGAATCACTTGAACCCAGGAGGCAGAGGTTGCAGTGAGCCAAGATCATACCACTGCACCCCAGCCTGGGTGACAGAGCAAGACTCCACCTCAAAAAAAAAAAAGAAAAATATTACAAAACACTATATTTCACAGAGCACATTGAAAGAGAAGAAAAAGTTGAGCTGCAAGAGTGAAAGGCAAGCAAAGAAACTGGCAAATAAGTGGGTAAATCTAAATAAATGTTAACTTAGTAAGTAATTATAATAATAACTAATTTCAGGATATAAAAACAAGGTGAAATGAAAATAGAGGGCAATAATGTAAAGTGGGAGAAGTGAGACTGGTCTTAAAGCAGTCAAGGTCCTTTTGTTGTATATTTTATATAAAAATATATATTTTATATATGTAGTATATATAACATATATATGATATATACATATTCTACATATATATATATATAAGTAATCCCCCAAAAATAAACATACAAATCCATAAACTAAAAGGTAGAGAATCTCAAATTGGATTTAACATAAAGCATATTGGGAAATTAAATTACTTCCGATAAATTTAGATTTGTAAGTTCAAGTTTTGATGAGACCCTTCTACTCTAAACACTTGGGCAATGTTAGGAATTTTAGGGGACAAACACATCATTCTCTTTACCCTCCTCACCTAAGTTCAGTAGAAATTGAGATACAGACACAGCAGTTAGACATACGGAGATCAAAGTATCATTTTATTACTGATCACAACTCTGTTTTTTCCTTAGGTGTGCAACGACATACTACATGCTGAACCCTGGAAGGTGGACTGAGTTGCTCACCCAGTGACAGATAGTGCTAGGCAACCTTAGGCCTTCCCCTTCGGGGACAGAGTCTTCTCCTGTAAACGTTATGACATGAGGAAAGAAAGAAGAATCCATGCTTTCTACAAGATGTAGATAAGAAGAGAGAGAAGGAGGGAGGAAGGAACTGGGCTGACCACACTCATCCCATGCAATAGAAGCACTGAAGTATTGCCATGGGACAGAAGACTTGATTTTTGACTGGGAACATGAGGGTCAGTAAAAGCAACTGTGAAAACTATCAGATAGGGAGAGGCAAGCACCAAGAAATAGAAAATAATATATAGCTAAAAATAAAACCTGCAACTTGAGATTATCCTGTTGACCAAAAGTATAAAGCACATAAAGAAAGCCAAAGCTAATGAAGATAGCCAACAAAAAGAAAAATCAGGGCATGTGTTCTGTCCACATAAAATTGATGTTCTTAAAGCAGTTTTCCAAAGATATTAAAGCAAATGCATTTTAAAATTCTCAAAGAGAACAACAAAGAAATAAATTCTATTAAATAAAGAGCAAAAAGTGATGAAATAAAAAAGTGGGAAATGAATAGATATATGTAAAAAGGAACCGATTCACAATTCACATTCTAAGAGATGAACAGTGGAGTCATTGAAATAAATTATTCAATGAATAAATGCTGAATCAGACACAGTTGAAATGAGAATTAGCAAACTAGAAGATAACAACAAGGAATTCAGCCAGACCTCAGCAGAAAGAGAAAAAGGGATGATTTTTAAAAAATTAATGCAAAGAACAGTTTAGGGAAGTAGAGAATGGACTGAGAGTCTCCAACATACATCTGAGTTCCTGATAAAAATCATAGAGGAAGTGAAAGGGAAGTAACGTGATAAAACAATAGAATTCTCCAGGACTGAAAAAAGATATGAGGATTCTAGTTTAAAAGTAGAGAACTGGGAGCATTCACTATACTTTTATCCCTTCCTAAATTTCACTAAAATGACAGTGAAGGGATTTTAGAAGCCATACATTAACAAAGCAAAAAAGAACAAGAGAGAAGGCAATAGCAACAAAATTTTGGAAGCTAGAAATAAAATAAGACAAAAATCTGTCTTAGTGAATTTTGGGATGCTGAATCCTAAACCAGCAGTGGGAAAAGTCAAGAGGCAACCCAGTTTATATCACAAAACTAGCTAAAGGCTCAGGATTTTACAGCAGCTGAGAACTTCTGGAAACTGGGGTAAAGATTGGGCTAAAGACAGGTGAATTGGGTAAAAAATCTGTGTGAAAATCAATCAGATCCCACACCACTCCTCACAGTAGGGCAACTGCCCCTGTTCACCCAGCCAAGACTGGAGTCCTTTTCTCGCAAGCAGTGCTTCTCCTGTTGTGGACCCAGGAGCAGCAGCTTCAGCATTACCTGGGAACCTGTTAGACATGCAAATTATTGCACCACAACTCTGACTTAACTGAGCAGAAATTTAAGGGGTGGGACCCAGCAATCTGTGATTTAACAAGCTCTCCAGTGAAATGTGAGAGCCACTGTTCTAAAACAAAGGGTGTTTGTTTGTTTGTTTGAAACAGAGTCTTGCTCTGCCACCTAGTCTGGAGTGCAGTGTTATGATCTTGGCTCACTGCAACCTCCAACTCCTGGATTCAAGCAATTCTAGCACCTCAGCCTCTGAGTAAGTGGGATTACAGGCACATGCCACCACATCCAGCTAATTTTTGTATTTTTAGTAGAGGTGAGGTTTCACCAAGTTGGCCAGGCTGGTCTTAAACTACTGACCTCAAGTGATCCACCTGCCGCAGTCTCCCAAAGAGCTGGGATTACAGGTCAGGGATTTTAAATGGCAGAGCAGTAAGCATAATGGAGATGGATATATTATATTGAAAATAGGAACATTTGGTAAAAGTGTCCTTACTGAATGTTGAGGCTCAGCATCATTTTCTTCTTGACTCTAGAATGCTGGCAGATAGAATACAATATCATCTCCAGGAAAGAGACTGAAAGGGACTTCTCTGGGGAGTCTGACAAAACGCAACCAAACAAAAAGTGAAAGAACTTCAGGTACTGACAAGGAAGGCTCTCTGAGTAAAAGCCCAGCCACCCTACCTTTAAGCTCACAGTTGACAAATCTTATAACGTGTCTAAAGCCTCTATTCAGGTTTGAAGTCCTACATTCCGAAATATGGTCAGACAACCAAGGGCTGTCAGACACCCAGATATCTAAGGAAAGCTTCTGACATCATAGATTTCATTTTAATGGTACACCATGGAGAACTAGTGAGAAGAAAACTATAAAAACACCTGTCAGTCATATCCTTAGAAAATTAATACTGCAATCATTCCTAAAAAAACTGAAAACTGAGAATATTCAGAGAACAAAAGGGAGATCAGGGAAATTAAAAATATCACAAAAATGAGGAACACAATAGGAAGTTTTAAATTAGAAAATTTCCAGGAAAAAAAAAGATGAAGAGAAGACTACCCAGAAAGTAAAATATAAATAAATTTAAAACATAAGTCAGGAGATCTAATAACCAAATAATAGGATTTCTAGGCAATTTGAGGAAATGAAACAAATACAATTATCAAAAATATAATTCAAGGAAAGTCCCCAGGACAAAAGAACCTGAGTTTCCTGATAAAATAGTTTATCAGGGCAATGGATTAAAAAGAAAATTTTAAGGACTTATGGCAAGACATAGCATTATAAAATTTCCAAATAATAGGAACCAAGAGAAAGTTCCACAAGTTTCCAGAGAAAAAACACACCACAAAGGCTCAGGAATCAGATTGGCTTCAGGCTAATATCAAGCTGGAGGTTGGAAAACAATGGAGCAATACCTTAAAAATTCATTCTATTCTCAAACTATTAATAAGGTGTAAAAGTAAAATAAAAATATTTTTAGATCACAAAAGATTACTTTCCATTCAACTTTCCCAGAAAGCCACTAGAGGATGCACTCCAAGAAAAAGAGGGAATAATGGGATAGAAGATGGTGAAGGTAGATCCCAGGAAGAATGCTGTGCACAGGCAGAGAGAGATCATAAGAAGTCAGGAGCCTCCTGGAGAGAAATTGCTAGAAAACCTCATGTAAATAAGTCTTGAGAGATATACATATTGGACAAAGGGTTTGCAATTTAGTTACTGATTTCTACATGTAATTCTAAGCAAGTAGGGGGAAAATGATAAATATTAACCATAGAAAAAAACTAAACGTTGTGAAGGAAACGAAAAATCAGTTTGCTACATGAATCATTTGTAAAGGTCATTGCCTGAAGATAATAATATAAACACTGAATATTTATCTCTCAAAATGATAACATTATCATATTATAATTAGAAGGATGTGGGGTTTGGGAAGAAGATGAGTGGGGTCAGGAGAGCAAGGAGCTAAATTCTCATCTTCCCTCATGGGAAGTCCACAGGTAATGCCTAAACCGAACACTGAGTAAGCAGCAATTTGAGTGTATTACTATTAATAAGGGCATGGAAGTAAATAACAAATCTATTCGCTTTTTGGGGTGAAGTGGTTGTCTCTGAGAAAGAAAACATGAGGAGATGGGGGACAGAGAGCTTCTATTTGGTATAATTGACTCTGCAAAGCTGTTTGATTCTTCAAATTTTATTCCATAACTAATATGGCATAATTTTTGTAATTTGACTGCCATATCTCAAGCCCTGTCAGACTAGGAATTATATCTTGGCAGCCACTATCACTGGAAAAAGAATGACCTTGGGCCAGAGATTTCTAAAGCTATTTGATTCTTCAAATTTTATCCATAATTAACTTTAAAAAATAAAAAATTCAAGGGGAAAAACATAGAATTAGATAATAGGCCTGTGAGTTGGGTTTCAGCTTTACTTAAAGTATGGTCATCTCTTGGGGGCAATGTATCTAAAGAAGTGTGTTAATTTTTCCCTCTTAAATTAATTCATTTTAGAAAATATATTTTTAGAAAGAAAAGAAAGATCATTTTACAGATGAAGTAAAATGTTCCAAGGAGATCTCGGTCTTTTTACTGCTCTCGGAAGACAACACAGAGGAAATGAATAGGAACCATTTTTCTCAGTTGCTCAGAGACCTTGTTGAAGTAACATGAGAACTACTGAGGGCATATGAGACATGCCTGACAATGTCAAAACAGCAAGCAGCCTCATCTTCCATTTTATATTTTGAAATAGGAAAGAAAACAGATGAAATAGCTTTTTCATTATTTTCCACAGCCCAAAAGGAAATTCACTTCAATTTTAATAACATTTCTATTTCTTATTTATCATCATGCAAACCTTATAAAAATTGCAAAGTCTAAATTTGAGGGATAGGGTGGAGGGATGAAAAAGAAAATGTTTCTGTCATCTAGTCTTTTTTTATTGAACTAAAAATAAAACCTATGTTGCTTTTGAAGGAGTAAACAGATGGATAATAGTTAGTTCAACAAATGGCCGTGAAGTGTCAGGAAACCGGCTCAAGGCTATGTAGCCAAGAACACCCAAGGTCACACCACAGAACTGGTCAAGTGCAGATGCAAACCCTGCCTTACCTAGCCTTGACGCCATAGATTCCACTCATGACATAGCCAGCGTGAACAACGTTCAGCACCTCTCCCACCACAGCCAAGAATGATCCACTGCTCTTCAACCACCAGGTCTCGAAGAAACTCTTCCTCCTGGTCCCCATTCTTTGCATCAGTAGCTCCTGATTTGTATCTTAGGTTGTGTTTTCATTGGTTATACCTGTGACCTACAACCATTCTACAGTTATAGGAGCTGTAAAATGCTAGGAAATAGAGCCTCTGGCATTTTCAACTACTCACCAAGACTCATAAAGGGGAAGGGCATTTAACATCGAGCCACGGAAAGCGACAGAACAATGACTATCATAACTTGAACCCTATCAGATGCTGGTGAAGTACATGAACTCTGCAGTCAAACTGACTAGGTTCAAATCCCAGCCCTTTTCCTAGAGCTACTGAACCAAGTACACTCCCAGCCTAGGGCCTTTGTCCTGCTCTTTCCTCTTTCTGAGATTCCTTCCCCTCCGATGTGGGATTATTCACCTGATTCATTTTGGTGAGCCATATTGTTTGAAGCCATATCCTCCTTGCTTTCTTTATGTTCGTTCCATGATTTATATGTATCCCTAAAACTTATTACCATGGGATAAACTATATCACATACCTGTTGATCTTCTTCCTTACTGTTTGTGCCCTACTCTACCTACCCCACTTGGCTGTAGGCCCCATGAGGACAAGAGTTTTGTTTGTTTTGTGCACTGCTGTATTCTCCAAAACCGAGAACAGTACCTGGTGCATAGTGGACACTCTATCAATATTTTTGATTGAATAAATGGAATCAGCCAGCCAAGTCATTTCTTTGAACCTTAGCTTATCATCTGTAAAATGAGTTTCATAATAGAAACTGCATCATAAGGTTGTTTGAAAGATTAAATAAGATTAGCGTCTGCAGTGAGATGGTGATAGTCTCCTTACCCATCCACCTTGCATTTCCTATTTCCATCTCAACCTACCCGCACTGGGGCAGTTAAACTAAAGCCCCTACTACTTTAGGAAAGCTGTCATGGTAGGACCAGACGACAAAGGGATCACATTCTTGGTTTTGAAGTTCAATGCTCTCAGTCCAGAAGTAAGACAGAAACTATTTAGAAGAATATGTGATCAAGCAGAACCAGTTTTTCCAGTCTCACTACCCATACCCATAAAACTTTCCAAGGTAGGGAGGAGGGGAGAGAGTGCCAGAGAAAAAGCAAAGGACTGTGGCCCTTCCCCTGGGCCCCACCTCCCCTCCACAGGTGTCAGCTGCAGAGATGGAAAAGCGGTCAGGAGAGCTGTGGATACAGAGGAAAGGGTCCATTACTGTGCTCCCATCTGGACTTCTGTGAGATGGCAACTCATGGGGGCCCAGGAACAGATAGCAGAGATAGTTCCATGGGGCTCCAGAGGCAGGGGTCCTGGACACCCATAAGTCTCCAGTATTCCCAGCACAGCACTGGAAAATAGCCAGCTCCCCCTGTGTAGCATGGGATGGCATTAGAATTAGGAGAGAAAGATGACATATCAGAGAAAAGGAGAGACTATGAAGCCAGGACCAGGTGGGACAGCAGTGCCCACACACCTGGGAGAGGGTGCCAGTGACCAAGACCAGGAGTCACATCTTGGCAGCCACCATAATTGGAAAAAAAATGATTGTGGGCCAGAACCTCAGCCTTTTCTCAACTCATACCCATGCCAGGATACATCTCAACACCAGAATGCATATGCCACACCAAGGGGAAAAAGAGAAAGGCAACAAGTTTGAATGTATTGAGCTTAAACCCAAAGCAACTTAGAAAACCCTGAGAGGACCCAGATTCCTTAGTACTAGAATTGGATATCTATCATGCAGAACGGGGGCTTATATAAACATATAATTAATAAAAATGAAGTCATAGAACAAAAGAGTTACATTTATTTAATTCAATGATTACATGGCCTATGAAAACCGGGCTTGCCAAAATATGTAAGGAACTTATTAGTGTCTGGCATTTAGTGAACAACTAAACATATGGAAGCTGCTGTTATCTTTGTGATGACCCGCTGGGCACCAGTCCATTCACTTCAAGCATGTCACCTCTAATTCCCACAACAACCCTGTAAGGAAGGTATTTTATTATTTCTCTTCTGTAATCATGAAAAATGGGACTTGGAAGGATTCAATGATTTGGCCAAAGTCACACTCTTAGGAGAGGCCAGAGCTTTGAACCTAGGTCGCCTGATTCCATTCCAGGTTTCCACATCTCACACTCCCTCTTAGGGGATGGGAGTCCTGCTTAGGTCAGGAGACACTTGCTCTGGTGAGACAGCTGGATGGAGCTGTCCTGGGCTGGTGGGCATTGCCAGCCCTTGAGAATGCTCCCATCAGTTATGGCAAGGACCCCAGGCTATGAACAGCAGTCCAAATCCAAATTGGCCTCTCCAGGGTTACCTACGTAGACAGGGCTTGCTTTGTGATGTAGAGAGAATCCAGGGGCCTGTGGACTTTGAACTGAGACAGTGGTTGATTTCCCTCATAGGTCTTCTAATCACTCAGCCCCAAGACCCTCAAGTCACAAAAGTGTGTATGAGAAGAGCAAAGTCCTCCTCTGAGAAGCCTAAAATAAAGAGTTGAGATACCAGAGGGAGGAAAGCCCTACCCACTTCAGCTGGGGCAGTATCTGGGCACTGCAGTCTAATTCCAGCTGCAATGATACCTCATTCCTTCTTCATGAGAGCAAGAGAGGCCCAAACACTGGGTCAATGTCCCAGGTGGAGCCACAGAACCCAAATGTCCACCAGGGAGCACCAGTGAGTCATATGGGTCTTTGGCAGAGATGTGAGGGAACTGGTGGGGGATTCAGGGTCATTTCCAGGTTCATAACCAAATATCTTTGAATTTTCCTCACTTGGGTGCAGGTGGGCTAGAGAAACAAGGGACAGGTGCAGTGACTTCAGGGTCACTTTGCTGTGTTTCATCCTCTCCTCCCACAAGTAACACACACACACACACAGACACACACACACAGAGGTACATATGTACATGCCATGCGGAGCCCTGAATCCAATCTGCTCTAGCAAAGCCTGCTTTTTCTGGAATAAAAATGGTCCTTCACTTCCAATAATTTGTTTGAGTTGTTATTTAATAGATTTCTTTTGCCTAATCCTCTCTTGTATCTCCTGATTCTCCACAGCACCTGAACAGTCACCCGCACGTGATCTCCTGGTCCCTTCAGGCCCCCGCTCTTTCTGATGCTTCCTCTGAATAACAGGCCTGAGTACAAACTCACATCAGAGGTGAATGTGCCCTGCTTTGGTCAAATAGTCTCCCAGGACAGTGCTGTCCAGGAATCTCCTTGGCTGCCACCTCCAACCAGGAAAGACCCAATCCAATCACAGCAAGAGACTACCTGAGCTGTGAATCCCCAGGCCTCCCTTGACCAAGTACAAGTGACCCACAGCATGAGGAGAGTGAGGGTTTGGGAAATAAAGCTGCAGACTCTGGAGGGGTTTTGATTTTTCAAGAGGGCTGATTACCAAGGTCACAAAAGCAGGTACCAGAGTTGAGGCCAATTAAAACTGCCTGATAAAGTTTCATCCATCCCTATTGTATAAGATCTCAATGTTCAAACATGACAAAGGGGTGGAGGGTGTTCTTTGAATGGACTTTTATTGGACAGAAGCCTAGGAGAGCAGAAGCAGACCCTTAGCACTAGGAAATGTAAAGAGATGCAGCAAAATCCTCTGGCCAATAGCGTGCCCTATCCACACCTGTATTCACTACACAGGCGGGAATGGTTTATGTTCTAAAAGAGGAGTGGTCTCTGAGCTTAAAGTGCATCACTAAACAGACAGCTGAGAAGCCTTCTGCCTCCAGTGGTGGCTTCTCTGAACCATGATGTCTTTATTCTCATAAAAGCTCACCTCTCTGGCAGAGAAATTGCCCAAAGCCAAAGCATCAATCAGATCTCCAAAAGCTCCGCGATAGTAACTAACCATGACTGAGCTCTTTCAAACAGTCAGGCCCTGTCCTGGGTGTGACTTGGTTCTCAAGCTTTGTAACCCTTACATCTATCTTCTGAGATAGGTACCATTTACTATCCCCAATTTATAGGTGAAGAAACTGAAGCACAGAGAGGTGAAGTAATTGCTTAAGGTCACACAGTTAGGAAGTGACTAGGCTGGGATTTGAACAGAGTGAAGCCACCTCACCACACTGCCTTCCCTGGGGTCACTTCTATTACACCCCTTAACCCAATGTGTTGCCACTGTTTGCTCATTTATCACCTCTACCCTTGATCATGAGCTCCTTGAGGGAAGGTACTATGTGTTATTTATTTCTATATGTCCTCAAACCCAGCATAGGATGTGATTCGAATAGATGTTGAAAAATGTTGAGTTGAATGATGGGCCTATCCTTTAAAAGCTTGCACTACTGCAGAAGAGAAAAGTAACTAAAAAAAAAAAAGTCTGTTGAACTCTTGCCATGCAAAAAGCACTACACGGAGTACATTGCACATATTGTCCCCTTGAATTCCCTGAAATTCTCTGAGAGGTAAATGCTATTTTTAGCTCAGTTTCACAGAAGAAAACCTGTGTCACAGAGAATTTAAGTGGCATATACATGACGCCACAGCTGGGACTCTCCTTTAGACATTTGACTTCATTGCTGTACATTTTATTTATGATCTATGTTGTTGCCCCTGTGCTGTAAGAACAATGAGGAGCCTAAGGAGGAAGGACCTCCTTCCACCCAGAGGATCAAGAAAGTCTTCCTGGAAGAGGTAGCACCTGGCATAGATTTTTAAGGATGAGTAGGATCTGGAACTGCACAGATGGGCAGGCAAGGCAGGACACCCATGCAGAGGAAACCATGTGAGCAAACACACAAAGGCAGACAACTGCCTGCAGCATGTGCAAGAAAACCAGAACCACTTGCACTTGGCTGCAGCTCAGTATGAATGAAGAGGAACATGTGAGATTGAGTTAGAAAGGAAGCCTGGAGCCAAATTGTAGAGAATTTTGAATGATAAGCTCTGGGGTTTGAATTTTAGTTACTGGGCAATGGGGAGCCATTGAGTGCTTTTGAGCAGCAAGTGATATATTCAAGTTGTGCTTAGGGTGATTTAGTAACCAGAAAGAGGACAGCTTAAAGCAGAGAGATACAGGCAGGATAAAGAGCAATTAGGATTACTAGAAAGATGGGATCAGTGTCTTAACCAGACCTGGAGAGGAGAGAATTGAAGCAATAGATAATTTGATGCCAGATCCAATTATTTAGCAACTAGTAAGGTATAAGGGCTATGAAGGAGGAAAGAGTTAAGAGAGATGTTAAGGTTTCCTCCTGGCTCAGAGGATGACAGTTCCCTTAGCAGAGTGCATGTTCGTAGGAGACAGACCATGTCAGGGCTGGTGGATGAAGCTAATGAGCCATTTCCCCCACACTGGGAGCATTTCCTAAAGGGTCAAATCTAAATTCCAGGTCATCTGCCCTCTTAGCAGGGAGAACTCCAGTTGGTAACACAGGACTCAATTTCCATTTCTTAGACAAATTTTCTTTCTAGATTTGATTTACACAGAGTGATGTATATTTCAGATCAGTGTCAGGCATCAGTAGCCACCCACACACACACACACACAAACACATGCCCACTACCACTAGTGACCAAGAGCTTAATGAAAACTCCTCCTCTGTGTGAGCCGCATTAGTGACTTGATCCAGTAATAGAAGACAAGCCATACAAATTGAAAACTAAAAACTTCCAGATTCCATCCTGCTTTTCCTTATGTCACTTATTTTATGCTGCATGAACTGGATATTAGTTTCTCCGTTTCGCTGAAATGTCGGATCACTAGGGTAGCTTGAGCAGACTCAATTTCGCTTCGAGTAATAGAGTGAGATTATTCAAAATTATTTCCAGTGGGCTGAGCCTGCCTGTTCTTTCTGTTATGAGAATAGAAGTAAACAACTCGCCACCATCCTCGCGAGCTGACATCCTTGACACAGTGCCCCTGTTCCTAGCTCCTTAATCGCGAGAGCATTTTGGTTTTAGCTACGCTCAATTAATTCATCCAGGAAAGGGTCCAGTCTGAAAGAGTTGATTTAAAGTGAGATAAACTGGGCAACTGCTTGGAAAACCAGATGATCCCAAATATGTCTTTCATAGTGAGAAAATGAAGAGCTCTCTCCACATTTAAAGCAGTAACTTCTCAGCAGCAGTTTTCTTTTTCCTTAAGAGTTTAAGCAGGAGCAGGAGCAGAGGCAATCAATGGAATGCCCCTCCAGGGGTATGAGAGGGCAGTGCTGTTGGGGATGAGGACACCTCCAAGCCCCCCACAATCCCTGCTGTGCCCCTGGGTCTGCTGAGACCAGGTATAAAGGGCTGGGGAGTCCGAGTTGAGTTTTTAATCCCCTGCTAGACACAGCTGGTTCCTCTCTTGCAGTGGAACACAAAAAAGCTGAGCTAGCACTTGGGAAAGTGAGATGTCAACATTTTTTGCTCAAATTTGATAAGCAGCGGAAGATTAGCACCTTCCTCAAATCTCGATTTCAAACAATGTTCCTTTCAAGTCATCCAAATTGGCAAGAAAATCTAGGCCCTGCAGAAAGCCCTGAGGCTTGTGGGGAGAGGACAGAGAAGGGAAGATTGGAGCAAGGGAAGGAAGATGTGTTGTGACCAACCCCAAACTCACAGCTTTTAATGCAGCAACATTCACGTGGGGGAAGAAGGAACCCCCACCTCATGACTTTTCCACTGTAGGATCCCTCCCTGGGAGGACAGACAGTGAAGCATCTGTCCAGTGGACAGGGGGACCCAGGCCCTCGGTGGCCTCAAATCACCCCAGGCATCTGGCTTCAACTGTGCCGAAAGCATTACATGGCACAAACAAGCTGGGGAAATCAAGGACCAATCAGAGCATTAAAAACAGGCTTTTCTAGCCTCCCAGGGAAGGCTAAGGTTTCGGCCCTGCTGCCATCTCCTCACATTTTCCACTGATGTCACCCCAGGCAAATAATTGGTGGAGAGAAGACTTAAAGGGGAAGAGAGGGGCTATGTGAACAGAGCAGTGGAACAGGGAGAAAAATAGGGCTGGGGCTGGCCCCAGCTGTGACCACGGGGCTGTCACTCTCACTTGGTGAGCAGGGCTGCGGGCCAGCCATTTGCTGCAGAATGAAACCTTCTTCTTGTTCCCTGATGGAACACATACTAGCAAAGGTATGCTTCTACTCCAGGGAGGAGAGACCTCTGTTTCACACCAGACCTCGTTGCTTAATCCCAGCCAGGAGGCAGCCTGGCAAAGCAGGCAAACTGAAGCTGTTGGGAGTCCTGGCCCTACTTCTATGGTGCTGTGTGACACTGGAAGATCCACAGCCCTTCTCTGAGCCAAGCTGTACCTGATGCTTGGCCAGTGACTCTGTATAATGGGCTGTTCAGTGCCTGTGTTACCAACAGCTCAATTTGAAGGTCTCTGCAAGTAAACTTCTTCAAACCATCAGAATTCAAGAAATATTAATTAAATGCCTCTTATGTGCCAGGCATTGTGCTAGACACTTTGCCTAGCACATAATTATTTAACTTATGTCCTTAAAAACAGTTATCAGTTACCTGTTCTGTGTGATCACTTTGCTACGCACTGGGCATAAAATAGTGCCTAGCAAAGTGCTAAAAAGCAAAACAGAGTCCTTATTTTCTCAGAACTGATGTTTGAGCTCTCTCGTTGGTACCTGGCAACACTATGATACAGTATTATCAGCTGCATTGTATAAATGAGGAGATAGCAGCTCAGAGAGGTGGAGTGATTTGCCCAAGGTCACACAGCAGTCAAGAACAGAGTCAAAAGAGGAACCTTGGTCTTCTGGCTTAAATCCATGTCTCTTCCCATCACACAACCCTGAATCCCATGCACACATTAGCAGGGGATACTGAAGCAATCTTCCCAGCCTATTGGGAAGAAAGAAAAGAGGGGAGGTAAATCCTTGCTCTGAAATTCTCACAACAAACACATTTTTGTAAATGTTGTCACCAGCCATCACTCTCCAGGAGGCCAAAGCTCTGACCCACCCAAATTCTATTCCTCTGCTCCAAATATTTCTTATGCCAACCAGGCAAGAAATGCTGAAGGGGCAGACCAAAAAAATAAGACTCTAATAATAATAGGCTTACATTAAACCAAATAAAGTCATTCTGAAATGACTAAAGAGAAATAGCAGAGGAGAAATGCCCCTGGGCTCACACTCTGTTTATGCATTGCACATTATACCTTTTCATCACAATTACCTAAAGTGGTACATTTGTACTTCCATAATGTATGGAATTCATTACATAGTTTTGCAATGAAATTATCACACTGTGCCTGGGACATCTGCACCCTGTCATACATCATTCTATTCATTTCTAGTTAATTTAATCCCAATATCTGCCCACATGATAAGACAGATGTTCAGCTATGCTGCAGCTTCAGTGGTTTTCTGCCTTGAAGAAAGTTGAAGCCGTTGAAAGAAATGACATCTTTTAGACAGAAAGCTTACAGTATTAAAAGTTGGGAGGCTTTGCCACTTCACTATTATTAGCTTTATTATTTTTCGGTCTATCGTAGTAACCTCTGCTGTGAGGATCAACATGTGAGATTAACAGAGGCACGAGGTAATGGGGAGTATTTCTATGGCCACTGAAAATAATCCCCATCAAAACTGACTCAGAAATATCTGTATGTCACTCAAAAAGAAAAATAAATCTAGACATTTCATACTATTAGTTACATTTGCTGCTTCAAGGGGGAGGAAAGGAGACTGCTCTTCATGAGGGTTTCTCAGTGGCCTATGCCAGTCTAGACATTGACTCACATAATCTCCTCCACTCCTCACTGCCACCATGGGAAGTGGCCACCCTGGTGATCTCCCCACCAGGATGCATGACTTGCGTCCCCCCTGTTTTCCACCACTTCTCTGATCCAGGATCCCATTCTAAAAAATGCAGGGGTTCTGGAAGACTGTTTCCCTGGGGTGTGAATTCTGGCTGCTACACAGTGTGTGGGTAACTTGGGGCAAATTACTCACCCTCTTGGATCCTCAATTTCACCACCTGCATAAAGTAAATAACAGCCACTATTTCACAGAAATGTGAAAATTAGATGAGATAATACATATAAAGTATTGTGCACCTGTTTGGATCAATCATGTAAGTAACAATCTTCATAATACTTTTAACAATAAGAATAACACTTTTCAGATATGCAAAGTATCTAGCATAGTTCCCACCTCATGGTAGACTCTAAGGACTCAACAGATATTACTATTATTAATACTACTACTATAATTGTTATTATTCCACAATGAATCCTGCTACACCAAAAACAAGTTTTGCCCCAGCAGCCACAAGTTAAAGTCATTTCTAATTTTTGAAGTGGTCAACTATTGTCCTTATTAGTTCACATAATATCTGCAGTGGACCCTGGAATGCTATGTGCTAATGGCTATAGGTAAGAGAGTCACAAGTGAAATAAAAACATTATTTGGAGCTGGGACAGAAGGGTATGAATGTATTATTTGTATCACCTTCAAGCAGGCTGCCCTTAGAGTACAGGAGGAAACACTGCACAACGGATAAAGAATCTAATTGTTCCCAGTTCCATTCATTTGAGAAACATTTCGTGAGCCCCAGCTGAGAGTCTATTATGCTGTGCTGGACTATTATGTGGGACAGGACCGCTAAAGACATACTTTATATTAATATGAACATGTACATATACATACATATATACACATGCATATGTACATATGCACACATACATATACTTATATACACACATACATATACACATGTACATACATACGTATACATATATACACACATATATGTACACATATACATATGCATTTGTTTATATGCTATTGTTTCAGTATAGAGATATATTTTAGCACAAAATAACTGACTAGACCATGGGTCTTGATGGGGCTATTCATATTTTGGGGTGCCCTACTACTTTAGCATGTCCATTGCAAAATTGCAGGCATGTTGTTAGGAGGTACATCCTAGCACCAAGTGAAACTTGCGAATTCAATCCTATTGAATTTTGTCAGCAGAAAATCTTCAATGTCCTTTTCCTACCATCTAGAGATAGTTCAGTACACACTCTCCATCCTCTTTTCTTATTTCTTTTCTATTCTGTTCTGATTTCTCTTGTTTATATATTCATGCCATCATGATATTTACCTTCCACATTGTAATTTATCCCTGTGCCACCTTCTAAATACGCACACCCACATGCAGTGTCTTTCTTGTTTTTCTGCCTTCTAACTTGATCATAGCCACAGCAAGTAGTTTTTTGATGGTTTCATTGAAGTATTGCCTAAAGTCTGGCTCTATACCCATATCTGCCACCCTTTCCCACCACTGAAAGTTCCCCCGGCTTGAGTCACTCTTTCTGGTATAACTTTAAAGGGAATGGAGTACTCAGCAGAAAACTACAGGTGACCTGGAGTAAGGGAAAGGACAAGAAGGACACAATGGTTCTGTGTCCTCTCATCTAATAAGAAGCCTAAAGATGTGGGATTCCAGATGGGCCAGCAGTAGACAATAGATTCAAGGATTGAGCCCAAACAGAGTAAGTAAGTACCCTCACAGTACTCAGGGTACTGAGCAATGCTGTAAGCGATGGAGAGCAGGAATGGCACTCAGGCAAGCCATTCATGACCACCAGGCTTTCCCGACTCAGCAATATCAATGCAAAGCCAGGATAGAGAACAACCTGGTTTGGTGGCCAGAATTGGGAAGTCATGTTTCTGAGATGACCACCTCAAGTGGCATGGAAAAATCAGACATAAAAATGGCCTTAGGGATCATTTAGTCCAACTCTCTTTTATAGAAGAGAAATGTGAGACTGAGAAAATATGCCACCAGCCCACCACCTCTTCTCACTGTGAGCATCCATCCTTTTGACTTGTGTCCCAAATGCCTCTCCCAGTGGTCGGCCCATGGTGGATGTTCAATAACAGTTCAATGACCTAAAGTGAGCAGAGGCCGAGAGCTCTAAGGGTACACCAAATTAGGGGCGGAGTGCTCAGTGGAACTCAGATTCCCTGGCCCTGATGACTTTAATTCTGGTCACCAGACAGATCAGTCTTTCAGAGTCATGGACCCAGTGGGCTCATAGTCAGGAATAACCTGCTGGAGGGCCAATCCCATCACTTTCATCACTCACAACATTGCCCATTATCCCAGTCCTGTGACATTTGCCCCTCTTGGCTTAAATTCAGAAATCTAAGGTCAAATCCCTTTACTGTTTCACTGTCTTTAACTTGAATGACTGGTCTGCATCACTCAAATATATATTCCAAGATTATATGTTTCTGTTCACTGCTGAATTCCCAGTGCTTAAAACAGTATCCTGACATAGTAGGTCCTTCACAAATATGTAATAAATAAACAAGTGAATGAATAGCCCAGGCATTCAGTTAGGTTCCAGCTCATGGGCCAACAACCATTTGAAGTAAATTCCTAGATTTCTGCTTTAAGAAGAAATCTAAGGCAGTTCCTGGGCTTCCTGGGAAAGAATGTTATGATTAATTAGTAATGCCTACCGTGGTCCCAGGAGTGTGGTGTGTAGCCTGGGTATTTGCTATCACCAGATAGGATAATTAAACGGTGGGAGGAAAAGAGAGGGAGAAAAGCATGCAGTTTGGCTTTGTGGAGGGGACAAAGAATGGGAAGTAAAAATCAAAGGTGGGATGAAATATAAAAGCCACTACCTTCCAGCTCCAAATTACTCTGATGAAGATGCTGACATCATAAAAGAAGACATGTTCATGGTATCCACACAAGTCTTCCACCTGAGGCCTAGCTAAGTGCTCCTGCCAGTCCCCAGGGATGTCTGCTTCAGGCGGCTTCCCTCTTCCCTCCTGGAGCAGCGTCCACTTTCCAAGTAGCAGAATCTGAATGAGCAGGCAGCACTTTTCCAAACTAGAGTACAGCCCTGCCTGGAGGCTGGGTCTTATTAATAGGGGGAACATAGCTCAGGTTCTGGGGTCAAACAGATCTGGCTTCTGTAACAAGTTCTGAAAACCATGGCTTTGTTTGACATAGAAAAAACTATATATCTTACTGATATAAAATGGGAATGATAAAATGACCCAACCACAGGAGTGGGCAAAATGAAATAATCTCTATAAAGGGATTAATTCACTTCATATCTTTGTATTAGGATCTTTTGTTTTCAGTTTTATTTTGCTTTAGACCAGCCAATTATAGGCAGCACCAGTATTGTTCCCAAAGACCCACCATTGCTTAAGTGGATGGAAAAAAAGGGGCCTCCCCTCTGTGGTTTACTGCAATAGTAGCTGCTTTTTCTAGATCCTGGAAGCCAGCTTAATATTGAGTTCCCTGGCTGGGAGCCTCCAAATAAGCCCTGAGCATATTGAACTCCAGCTGTTGAACTGAGGAACAGCTGGAAATTACACAATTGACACCTAAATGGAGGCGATGATCCCTGCACAATCACCTTCGATTACCTGCACGTTGCTTTCCGCCTCAGCCTTGCTGATTTTCCTGTGGTCGCCCAGGACCTTGCTGACTTCTGAAGCTGGCCTGAGCTTGAACAATGTCTGTATGGTGGTGGTGGTGATGGTGGGGCTGTGTGTGTGCATGCATGTGTGTTTACAACCGAGTCTCATAGCCAAATTCACACAGAGCCTGGGAAGTGCACATTGATTTCTATTATCTGTGCCTCTGTTTCCTAATGTATCAAGAAATCTGAAGCATTCCTTCAAACACATTGGGCAGAACAAAACCATTCTTGGCTGCTTTTCAGCCCTGGAGCTGAGGCAACAATGTTCCTGAGAGACTACGTAAGGAAGGCAGAATGGTGCAGTAGGAAAAGCATACACTTTGTCTATTGCAAAGGCTAATTCCCAGCTCTACCATGTTCAGCTGTCTGACCTTGGGCAAGTTATTTATTTTTTCTCTCTCACAGATGCTTTACCCAAGGTCACATTTGGGGTTACTAACTCTAAAGTCCATTTGCCTAACCACTAGGTAATCCTTTGCCTTCCTCATTTTCTGCACCAATCCAGTCTAATCCCATACAGGTGTCAGTCAGTGCCTGTAGGCCTTGCCTAGATCCTCTCACCATACCTCTCTACCATTCCCTCCAACACAAACTGGGGAGGTCTTCATGGTCCAGGAAGAGGTAGGAGCCTCCCTGCATCCTTCCTGGTCTCTCTTTTCCTTATAAAAAGCAAAGAAAAGAAATAAGCATTTATGGTATAACTAAACTATCTGCCAGGGGCTATAATTGCTGATAAATCCATCAAGTGTCATTCCTGATTTATGGATGAGATTTCTGAAAATCACAGAAGTAAAGTGAGTTACCTGTACTCACACAGGTAGTGAATGAAATGGCAGCTGGCTTTAGTGGCCAGCCAGGAGTGAAGAAGCAGAATCTCCACCAGATGGCAAGAACACAGGCCCCTGGACTGAAGCTCACCCGCTAATTTTGTGGCAGCAGTATGGGAAGAAACCTGTGGGGATGACAATAGACACCAGGTGACTGCAGGAGCAGTACTTCAGGCTGGCAAGGAAGGAACTACATGGCAGGGCCCAGGACAGCTGGTTAAGGAATGGCTCTGAGTGCTCATGCAGCTCTGCCAAGGAGAGGAGGGAGTGGGGAGGTAGTGGAAAGTGAGGTGCCCCAGGGATGAGGCTTAAGACTTATCTTGTTATTTTTTCATTGTTATTGAAGTGCATGTCATGTGACTTTCCCTTCTTAGGCTGGAGCAGCCTAAAGGGAAACATCCAAAACACATTTCCAGAAACAGCATCTTGATCTTCTTTGTGCATTCAGAGAATATATGTTGAGTGTCTGCTTGGGGCCAGGCATTGTTTGAGACTCTGCAAATACAGGAGAGAGCAAGACAGATGAGTTCCCTGCTCTCATGAAGCTTTCATTCCTGTTAAAGGAGACAGATAATAAAAACAAAACATGTTAGCTGGGGGCTCTGACCCTGAGCCCGTACTGTCTGCCAAGTGGGGGCACTGGATATCTGTGGGAGATAAGAGGAATTTCTTTGATTGTCATAAAGATTATCTCTGTCCCTCTCCTCCCCACCCTGGTATGGAGGTTGAAATGCTAAATACTTTGCAAGGAAAAGCTCATTTCTACACAGTGAATATTTGCCCTGCTCAAAATGCCAGATGCACCCTGGTTGAGGACACTGTGGAAAATGCATAAAGGAATTAGAAAGCTCTGGATAGTGACAGATGCTGGACAGGAAAGAATACAGAGTAATGGGATAGAGGCAGGCAATGAGATCTGTTCTAGACTTGGGGGTGTAACAGGTTGAATGGTGGACCCAAAAAAGATATATCCATGTCCTGATCCCTAAAACCTGTGAATGTTTCCTTCTTTGGAAAAAGAATCTTTGCAGATGTGGTAAGTTGAGGATCCTGAATAAGGAGCTCATTCTGAGTGGTCCAAGTGGGCCTTAAATCCAACAACAAATGTCCTTATAAGAGAAAGGTAGAGAGAGATTTGAGAAAGACATGAGAGAAGACCCACAGAGGAGACAGTGATATGTTGATGAACGCAAAGATTGGAGTGATGTGTCTACAGGTCAAGGAAGGCCAGAGATTGCTGGCAGCCACTGGAAGTTAAGAGAGAGAGACATTGAATGCATTTTCCCCCAGAACCTCTGGAAGGTGCGTAGCCCTGTCAGCACCTTGATTTCGGACTTGCAGCTTCCAAAACTGTAAGAGAATATATTTGTGTCAGCAAATGAATTCAGGTGGTCCGAAAAGCCTTCTCTGAGGTCACATATATGCAGAGAGCTGACTTCCCAGTGGGACCAGCCATACAGCGAGATGAAACACCCTAAAGATGGCTTTTCTTGGTTTGAGGAGAGATGAAGTCCTCAGGCCAAAAGATTCAGGCAAGAGGCAGAATAAACTCATTAAACCTGGTAGGCAAGGATTCAACTCCTGGGGCTCAAATTCTGATTCTGTTGCTAATTAGTAGCTGTGTGACCCAACAAGCTGTGATCTGTGCCTCTTTTTCTCACCTAAAAGGGGGATCAATCATAGTGCTCCTCCAAAGTTGAAAGGAATGAGTTAATCAACAAAGTGGTTGGCCTGGAGTGAGCTCTCAATAAATGTTAGCTATAATCACTATTATTATTATTATTTGAAGTCACAAATGGCCTGAATTATCTTTCTTGATTACCAGGACTTAAGCAGAAAGGCTGAGGCTGTTTGCAAAACCATGAGAGAGTTTCTTTTTGTTAGCTGAGTCTTCAAGGTTGAGACTTCCCATTTCCAGACAGTGTCCTTGGTGGGGCGGGAAGGAAGCCCCCAGCTTGCTAGAGGACTGGGCTGCACATCTTGCAGATTTCCGCCTTTCAGAGACCCATGTACACACCACTCAGCTCCCCTTAAAGGCACAAAGCCGCCTGATAAGCAGATGACTGTCAGCTCCTCTTATTCCGCACCTGAGGGCCTGAGGGAAAGGAGAGGCCCGCTGGAGCTCTGCAAGCACAGTCCTGCACTGCACACCTCCCTGGGCTCCAGGAAAAAAAAAAAAGAAAAGTCCTGATGCAGACGAAATGATTCCAAGAGGAGGGGCCAATGCCCTCTATCAGGCCCCTCCCAGAGAGGTCTGACACTGATGCCTGGCTCCTGCACAATGACCTTCCCTACCCCTAAGGAGGGGCAGGGCAAGGGAGAGGTGGGTCCCTGCAGGGTAAGTGTGGATCAGCAGGGAAAGAATGCAGGCTCAGGCAGAAGAGGCCACTGGGACAGGTTGAAGGCTTAGCAAAGGTTGAGGTGAGGACGTGGTTAGGAAACAGATTCATTTATTTAGTATGTGAGTAGTTATGGTGAGCCTACTGCATCCCAGGCAAGAGCTTGGTTCTGGGGACGTAAAGACAAACTAAATCAGATAGTCCTGCCCTCCTGGTTCTTACAGTCCAGTGAGGAATCAGTATCTAACCCAATAAACCCACAAACAAGTGTATAATTAATTACAAAGTCAGATAAACTTGTTCAAGCCACCGCAGTTTCCCCAGCTGTCTCCCCTGGGGCTTCTTGGCAGACTCCAGAGCTCTCTAGACTTAGCATTCAGTCCTTAACTCCAGTTCTGGTCCCTACCTGCAAAATACATGACTCCATTCCCTTTGTCTGCCCTAGGCCCATAAAGGGGCTTCCCCTCCTAACTCTCATTCAGCTGCCAGTGGCTTACTAGGTCCCAGCCTTAGTCTCTGAACTATTTTCACCCTCCAGGCTTTGCAGATTTACTCTTCCTTTTTTGGGTTTTCTAAAAGAGAAAAAGTAACAATTACCTAAAGAAGAAGAGAGAGATCACTTTTAACCCAAAGGATATTGTTGCAACAAAAATCCTGTGCTTATCAAGTACAGATAAATTTCCAGGTGTGGGCTGGGTGTAACACCGAGATTTGCACAAACATTCCATCCTTTCTTTTGCCTCTCACAGTTTTAAGTTTGTCAGGTGCTGGGCTTCTGTTCCCCAGAGTCCAGCCAAAAAAGATAACTCAAAGGCTGGTATCTGCTGTTAAGGTGAAACACCACTCCCCAGCGCTAGACTCCACCTCCTGAAACGCCAACACTTTCTTTGCTTGCATTAATTTTACTATTTCTACAGAATAGAAAGAGTCATCATTTTTAAAAGTGGCTATTTATTCTCTGGTCATTTCAACCATGGAGGTGGGTATACTCTGACAAAGGCTGGCAAGCAGGACAAGGCCTGGGTGGGGGTCATGAAACCAGTAATTATCAGGATTGGAGGCAACAGGGTCATTTTGGAATTGACTGCTGCCTTTGACACTGGATGGCATCACCACTGGACCTGGGAGTTAATATGGATCTAGGATTAAAATGTCATATGAAGTATACAAGTTTGTAGGTAAAAATGTATCTCTGTTCTCTGTTGTTTGCCAACACATCTCTTAATATCTGTTAAGGCTGAACGCTAAGGCTGATTTCCTGATTATGGAGGTCCTCTGATAGATATTCCATCCTAGGTATTTTAAATGTCATGCTTGTGTATATGAGTGTTTAAATGGCATGAGACAGAGAGAGAGAGAGAGAGAGAGAGCATGTGCATTAAGCATTAGAAATGGGTTCTGTAGACCCATCCATCTATCTGGCAAAGATTTCAAGGCCCAGTACATGCAGATGTAAATCAGACACAAAGAGTTCAAACCTAGTGGGGACACTCAGTGTGTATACAAATGATAATGGCACAAGGCATAACACAAGTGCTATGAACAAGGTCCAAACAGAACATCACAGAAGTCTGGAGGGAGGGAGAAAAATTACCTCTGGTTAAACTCATAGGCATCACAAATTTCATCTGTCCTTGAAGATTTCACTAAACAGGTAAGGCCTTTTTAGACAGCCTGCACAACATCCACAAAGCCATGGAGGCGTATAGGAGGAAGAAAGTTCAGAGAGTGAGCCAGGAAATCAGAAAACCCCTGCCAGTAACAAGTGTTCCTTGCAAGAGGGGTCTCCTGGAGACTTTACAAGAATGTATCTTTCCATCCTTCCACCTGTCACTTCCCACCCTCCTAAACCCTCACCAGCTAAAACTCCTCTTCATCCTCCTTCTCAACTACAATGACTATACCACTATCTTCACCTGGACTTCCCACAGGTGCTTTACCTGTCCTGAAGGTGGTCAGGCCACTGTTGGAGACTACCTCCCTGAGGAGGCAACAAGATCCTAATCACCGTAAGTATTTAAACCAAGGCAGAATGTCTCCTTGTTTGAGATATTATAGATAATATAAGTGTCTGAGTGTTCTAAGCCAAAACCAGTAAACAAATAATAGTTGGTGATGTTGGAGTGGTGGTGAGCATGTTGAGGATGACCACAAGAGAATGTGCACATCAGGTGAGAGGAGGAGGCTAGAGACCTTGGAACCTGAGAGAGGCAAGCAAGGATCCAGGGGAAGAATGTGCACATCAGATGAGAGGAGTGGGCTAGAGACCTAGGAACCTGAGAGAGGCAAGCAAGGATCCAGGGGAATAAGGGACTGGCTCAAAATCATCCAGCTAATGCATGGTAGGACCCAAGTCTCTTGAGTCCTTTTCACAGCACTGTGATGCCTAAATAGCGTTTAACATTCAAACCTGGGAACAATATCCATCTCCATCTGCCTAAATAAATTGCCGGTTGCTAAAAATGGCACCACTGGTTGTTAGCATTTATGTTAGAAATCCCGAAGTTAAAAATAGTTTTTCAACATTATGGATTTTTTTTCTTCAAAAGTTATGTTCAGATGATTCTATAATTTTGGCAATTAAATGCACTCTCATTATGTGTCCATTAGTACTGACTTCCTGTCCATGTGGAGAAGTGTTGTGAAAAAATTAAGAACTCAGGCTCTGGAACAAGGCTGCCTGGTTTTGTTTCACAAACTAAGGTGTAGAAACCTAAACAGGATTCCTAACCTCTGTGTATCTCGGCTCAGTCACCTACAAAACAATAATAAAAAAATAGTGGCCGGGTGCAAAGGTCCACGCCTGTAATCCCAGCACTTTGGGAGGCCGAGATGGGTGAATCAACTGAGGTCAGGAGTTTGAGACTCGCCTGGCCAACATGGCGAAACCCCATCTCTACTAAAAATACAAAAAATTAGCAGGGCATGGTGGTGCGTGCCTGTAATCCCAGCTACTCGGGAGACTGAGGCAGGAGAATCACTTGAACCCAGGAGATGGAAGTTGCAGTGAGCTGAGATCGCGCCGCCATTGCACTCCAGCTGGGCAACAAAGCAAGACTCTGTCTCAAAAAAAAAAAAAAAAAAAAAAAAATAGTACTTGTCTTATAAGATGTTGTAAGGCTAAAATGAGTTAATACATGGCAAATTGTTAGCATAGTGTCTGGTACATGGTAGCAGTACCATAGAAGTTTGGTTCTATTATTATCATCAGTGATACTGTTATTTTACAGAGTTGAAGCTCTCAATCCTTATATTAAGAGCTCAGGATCTGATGATAATCGAGCATGCTACAAATGATCCTTGTCCATGCATTTCTACTCCATGTGACCAGATCTGAGTTACTTACTCAACCCCTAAATCAATTATAGTCCTGGCAGTAAAGAAATGGCATATCCAAACATGTAGGAAAAGAGAATTTCAAAGAAGGACTATTTATAGAGGTGTGGAAAGGAATACAGAAAACCAACAAGGGGTGATACAGCACCCAGGGCTAGCAACAGTGGGAGCTGCAAGCACTGCCCTGAAGGAGCAAGTAGAGGGACTAGCTATGGGAGCCTAAGGAGGGAGCTAGGGTGTCAACAAGAATCATTAATAGGAGCTATAGCCTCCAGAAAGAAATATCACCATCTCCAGTGCTCTGGCTGAGAAGCAGCCAGGTGCCATATTCCATTTTCCTGCTGCAGCTCCCCATTGGTCAAACTTAACCACAGTCAGAGGTCAACGGAGTCAGAGTAAAGCTGTCCAAAGAGGCCATCCTCCTGGGGCACAGAGCTGAATCGAGAAGGGTAAAAGGCTTAGGGGGGCCAGTGGAAAGGATTCAGCACAATCCCTCATTCATTTTGCTATGACGATCTACAGAAAATTTACCAATGATCACAATATGACCCTAACCGTAATTAGGACAGGAGTTCTTCCTTTAGCCTGCCCAACTGAAATGTGGCTTATGAAAAACTTTTTGTCTCAGTATTTTCTGTACAATTTTAAATCCTACTAAAACTTCACTGCAATCAGATTTATGAACTAAGTCAAAATAAAACGCACACCAGCCTTCAAAAGATATGAACCCTGGTACCTAAATTCTGGGTTCCATTACTAGTTCCACTTCTTGTCAAATAAATGATCCTTGGGACTAAGTGAACTAAATTCAATGGCAGTGAAGACAGAAAAAGTAAGGTGTGAGAAACACTTAAACAGCACAAACAGGCCTTAATGAGTCCTTAGATGTTGGAGGTATGAATGCTTAAATGCTGAAGAGCAAAGTGGAAGAAGCCAGGACTGTGTGAAACCATTCACTGCGTTAGGGGATGCAGGAGAGGAGATGGCTTCTCTTTCTCTGCAGAAGCACCTATTATTTCTACTCCTTCCTCAAAGCCCTAAGGTCTTTGTTTTCCTGGTAAATGGCCTCAGAAGGAAAAATTTATGCTGATGACCCCTTGGCAGCTGAGGTCTATACTGGCCCAGGTCCCCAGCACAAAGCTGCCACCTTGGAAACTCAGCAAGTAGTTTGGACTAACTCCCGATTAACTAGGAACTTTGCAATCTCAGGAGAGGGATAATTAGCACAAGTGGTACAATTTGGCTGGGTCCTCAACTGAAAGCTGCAAGGAGACAATCAACATCAAAAAACCTCCTGGTCCGGAAGTCTGCGAGGAAGTGGCTAAGGATAGAGAGATTTTGATTTTGTGCTTTTAATTTCCAGCTGAACCAGGCCCTAATTGGAACAATATCATTTATTACAAATTTGTCCCCATGTGGTCTCTGGGTTTATAATCTGCTACAGATAAGGATCCCTACCATGGAGTAGTTTATGACTATGTCCTCTGTCTTGTGTTGCAGTTACAAGGCAGTGTGGGATGGCTTGTTTTGCTGCTAAGATATCAAGTGCAGCTGGCAAATTTATTGGGTTTGCCCTTCCCTATCCAAACAGATTATTCTTCTCTTTCTCCCTTGCTAATGGCACTCCCTGCAAAGAATAGCAATAATTAAGAAGTCTGGTCACCATTGTCCTCAAAAGAGAGAGATGTTCTTTTAGAACTGACTCCCAGTGAAAAAGCTTCCCAAGGATTTACCTGGGCTGAAGACTTTGTTGACACTTCCCTGAACCAAGTGATAAACATCTATTAAGCAGCTGTGGTATACTGGAATTGTGAGGACACCAATGCACATTAAAACATAGCCTCTGCCATTAAGTAACTTAGAATTAAGTTAGGAAGACAAATGCATACGTTCAAGCAGATGACCAACAACGTGAGTCCACTGGAGGACCTGGGCTTCATTCTGACTTCACCAAGCTGAGGCTCGTCATAGAACATCTCTGAGCCAAGCAGTCCCAGCGTCTTCCTCTGTAAAAAGGCACCAAAATGTCTAGCTCGTAGAATTGCTGTAGGAATTAAAATGAAGGCTGCTTGTGAAAGTACTTTAAAAACAAAAGTATTTGTTATTACTTATTGCAAATTACAAAAGTAAGCTAGAAATAATTTCAATTATGCAAAATGCAAAAAATAATTTTTGGCATTATCCACGGATGAAAATTATCTAATTATCTAGAAAGTTGCTTGGGATAACCAGGAAAAAACCCATATTATGCTCTTAAATAAAAAATCAAGAATAAAATTTCAGCATGGTACAATTTTAAGTTTGTAAAAACAATGTATGGGAAAAAATGCAAAGAGAAACATCAAAGTGTTAAATAGTAAATGTTAAAATGATGACTTCTTTGGTAGCAATAAAAACACCTAGCATTCAGATCTTGATTTCTAAATATCATGACCCACTAAAAGTAACCAGGAATCTTTGACGAAATGGCTAATTTCAGGAATGGAACTGCGTGAGTATAATTTGTGTTTGGAAAATTGTCTTGTCCCAAACAGTATGGAAGTGCTCTAAAAGTAATACACAGATATCAAAAGGACATAGAAATCAACTTGAAGGAATTCTCATTGGCCAAATCTAGGACTGTTTGAGGATCTGAATAAATAATAGAAATAAATCATAACTCATGGAATAAAATAAGAATCCATTAGCCCATAATGAAAAAACATAAATAAATAAATAAATAAATAAATACAATTGGAGAGAATGGGAAGCTTCTTCCCTACAGTAGGAAGAACTTTTGTTGCCAGCTAAGAAATATACACAAAATTATAAAATTAGAAAACCACTATTTGGCCACCATAGTACTAGGTGATTCAAGCAAGAATTATCAATATATGTTAAAACTAGCAGGTAAAATTTTGATGAGAAACAGGATATGAACTTAGTTTCAAAGTATCTTCTCAAAAATACTTATTAATTTCAAAGTGGAAAATAGTAACTGTACATGAATAAGCCTATAGATACCACCTTAGCTAAGTAATTAAAGTTAACATCCTTAGTAATGGGACAAATCCATATCCTGTGGCTGATATAATGCAATGAGAAAGATGCAATTTTACTTCTGTAATGTTCATGCCAAAATTGCATAGTTTGAATTCACATATGAGAAACGAAGTCACACCCAAATGGAGGGGCAGTGTACAAAAACTGATCAGTGCTCTTCAACAATGTCAAAGTCATGAAAGAAAGAAACCAAGAAGAACAAGGAGCTAACCATCCCAATTGAAAAGAAACTAAAGAGATATGATAACTAAATCCAGTGCATGATTCTGGATTAGATCTTGGAGTAGATTTTTATTCTCTTGCCATAAAGACATTATTGGGACAACTAGAGATATTTGATTAAGATCCATGGATCAGGCAATAGCATTGAACTAATGTTAATTTCTTAAGTTTGATAAAGTTTAGGTATGTAAGAGTTTATCTTTTTTTTAATGGAAATACATCCTTGAGTATTTAGGAATAAAGAGGGATTAGGCCTCCAACTCATTCTTAATTGATTCAGGGAAAAAATAATAATAGATGCCTATATGTGTATATATATATATATATACACACATATATACACACATACACAAAGATATATTTAGTGAGAATGATAAAAATATATGTGGTAAAATGTCAATATTTATGGAATCTGAAAGAACAGTATACAGAATAGGTTGTGTTATTTTTGTAATTTTTCTGTGTTATTTTTGTAATTTTTCTGTAAGTTGTAATTAATTATTTAAAAATAAGGTTAAAATATAATGGTGTTGGGCAGTGGGATCATTCTTCTTTATACTATGCTTTCCTCTACTTCTCAATTTTTTAGAGTTAATATGTAGGGCAGGTAGAAAGATCTAGATACATATACACATGAGAAATATAGTTTTTATGTCACCCATTAGCACTACTCCCATTGTACTTTATGTACTCCTCTAGTGTAAAACATTGTCTATAGTCAAATTATCCCTGTTTCTTTCAGAAAAAGAGTACCTTTCACTTCCTTCAGCTTCTGAAGGACAGAAGGTAAATTCTGATAAATAAGAAAAGTAGGTAGAAACTATTCAGTAAAACTCTAGAGATGTAATTCAGGGGACCTGAGACAAGACCATCCTGTGTCCCAAGAGACTACTAGTCCAAAACCTAGATGTATCAGTCAAGTGTATGACTGAAGCAAGACTGCAATAACAAAAAATCCCCAAATTTCAGAGCCTTTTATCAATAAAGACTTATTTCTCATTCACATTACCTGTTGACTGAAGATGAGCTACATTCTGGGCTCAGTTGTACATGACTTCCTCATCCTGGGATCAAACTGGGAAAGTATCCTCCATCTTGATTTCATGGCAAAGGAGAAAGAGCAAGACAACTAATGGAAACATTCAAGGGGGTTTAAAGCTTTTCTTCACAAAGGACATATGAGAATTTTACTCACATTTCATTGATGAGAACCTATGCTACTCTTCCTATGGGGATGCTCTGCAAATTACATGGCAAGAGGCAGGGATATCAAATCTTCTGGAAATGAGGAAACAAAAATTGGAAGCAATGTTATATAGTTAAACAGTATGTATTTTTCTCATAAGTCTTTGCTTTCCTCTCTTCTGCACATAAAATTCACCTACTCTCCAAAGGAGAAGGCCAGAAGTCTAAAGGAATATGACATTAAATCAAAAGCCCAGGTTCTTATAACAGTCTATATACCAAATGTGATAAAAATGTGGCTCCTTTTGATCCAGAGACCTATGTACCAAAACTAAAACAAAACAGTTACCTTTTCTTTCTCAAACTCCACATACATTTGTGGAACAGGGCCAAGAAAGCTGCAATAAACTCTCCCATTTGTAAAGGAGAAGAATGAAAAGATGGAAGACATCAAGTGGTCACTGGCCTATAGCTATTCCGAAATGTGGCTGGGCAAATATTGTAAACCCATACCCTGGGGTGGGGAATATTCTTTGTTTAGATATCAGGTCTGCTTCATGGGTGCAGGCATTTCTCTTCATGGCTCTTGGATTCACATTTTGATAATTCCTTTTCTTTTCCATTATTCTCCCTAAGCACATGTATAGAAAATATTAGAAAATATCTTCTCCTTGAGCGCTGGGTGGCAGAAACTTAGGAGCCCTAAAGTTATTTTCTGTGTTTAACAGCCGTAGTCTCACAATTCAGGCTAATGGCCCTTTGGAAATAAAACTGTCTCAAAAACATTATGGTCCTTTTCACCAACCAACTTTTTATGCCAACTGCCACACTTGGAATTCTTTTCTGGACGTGCGTTTCTTTCTATAACTAATTGGAAGGACTTTACAGTTATTATACATTAATAAGACAGAAGACCTTTCTTTCCTTTCTTTGAACTATTTTGTCCAATTTAAATCATGTACTAGGGGTCACCTTAATAAATTACAGGATTTAAGAAAGAACATGGAGATCACATCCTTGATTTGAACTTTGCCTTGAGACCATAATATAATAAGCTTTTGTTGCTTGACATGTTTCCAGTTTAACTTTTATATGTTAAATACAAGAATCTGTTACAACCTACAGATTCTGAAAGTTCAAGACTCTCTTTTTCTTTTTATTCTTGCTTTAAAACTAGCCATGTCCTTCTGAACTCATCTCTTCTTTATAGTATCTTGTCATATCCTTTTATGAACAACTAAGTCACACATGCCTCATCCCACTGGCCAACCTTATCACCTAAAGCCACTGCTTCATTAGATAAATTATCTGTCTTGCAAGTTATCTTATGGTTTTACAAATGTTTAGTTATTTCCTAATGTGAGTCATAATGTTATCAGATTCAATAATAGTTTCCTCACTACCCACTGCTTGACTCTGAAGCTAGTTACATAATTTTGTTGTTTTTGTTTTGTTTTGTTATGGTAACACCCCACTTCTGGTACAACTTCTGTATTAGTCAGCTTTTACTGAGTACAATCATAGTAACTCCCTAAAGTCTCAGTGGCTCCTAAACATAAAATTTAAGTTTGCTCATATGTAATGTGAGCCTTACCTAATGACAGCTGACTTATACACTTATGCACTGGGACTGTAAGTTCCAAAGGAAGGCCTCAGTGCTTCAGAGATGGTATTATAGTAACCAGGAAATCCGACAAGAGGGAAGAAACTTTCTCCTTCTGCTGCTTTTCTTAATACAGTGAATGACTTCACCATCTATCTAGCTTCCCAAAGCTACAAATAGATAGATGAGTAATCCTCTATTTCTTCCTCTCCTTCACCCCCTACACTCTCCAGTCATCAAGTAAAAACATTCCTGGCAACTAGAACATTACCTGACTCATTGTGTAGTCCCTCTAAACGTTTGCTGTTTTTATGTTAATGCACAAAAATATATGATCAAAAAATATATAAAGTTTATGAAATCCCTATTCTAAAGCAGGGCCTATTTTTATTTTTTTTTTAGAGAAAGGCTCTTGCTCTGTTGCCCAAGCTGGAGTGTACTGCCACAACCATAGGTCACCGTAAGCTCAAACTCCTGGGCTCAAGTGATCCTTCCACCTCAACCTCCTGAGTAGCTACTACTATAGGCACGTGCCACCATACCTGGCTAATTATTTTATTTTATTTTTTTTGTACAGATGGCGTCTTGCTATGTTGTCTAAGCTGTACTCAAACTCCTGGCCTCAAGTGATCCTCCTGCCTTGGCCTCCCAAAGCACTGGGATTATATGCATGAACCACTACAGCCAGCCTGAAGCAGAGACTATAGCCCCCACAACTGTTAAGTGTTAATACAAGGAACCAAACACAGGTCTGCATCACTGAAATGTTCCTGTTCTTTGTATACCACCTGCCTCTATTAGTCACTGCTTTGGGACTAAGTGGAGGACCATAAGAATAGACCTAGGCAGACCGTAGACTGCTACTAACTCATCTCTACTTGTGCATTTAAATATGCTATGTATAAGGGGCAATGTGGCCTACTTATTTGGTAGGCCCAGTGTCATTTTCATCTTCATTTGAAGGACTCCAGAGCATCACCTTCATTTAACAGAATCCTTCTGAGAAGTATTGGTCCCTCTCTCTAAATTCTTGGATGACCCAGGATGAAGAACCTTATGTTGTTTATTTTATAACCTGGCCATTATTCTCATCAGCCAGGAAATTATGAGAGTAGCCACAGCACTGAGAGCCTTGTTCCCAAGAAATTGATCACAAACTGTAGTAGGTGGTGTTCAAAGATCAGATGATCTCAATGAATCACATCTTTCAGTATTTATGTCCTGATATAGTCTCCTCCCACAATGAAACTGAGTTGGCCTGTGACACACTTTAACCAATAGAGTACAGTATTATATTATGCCAAATCTGGGCCTAAGCTTTAAGAATATCTGGCCATATTTGCCCTTTTAGTAGCCTTGAGTTGCCATTTAAGAAGTCTTGCTGCCTGCTGGAAAGTCTACTTGGAGAAAGCAAGTGGAGAGGCCACATGGAGAGAGTAGTCCTAGACTACACGAAGACAGAGAGAAAGATCTGCCATCTCAGCATCCCAGCTGAGTTCAACTTTCAGCCAACCTTTCTTGATTCTCCTGGTTATAGTGAAAGGTCAAATGAAGTAAGGTTTGAAACGGTGATGTGTAAGCTGGACAAGCACACAGGTTTGTGTTACATTCAATTAATCATAAGAGTGTGTTGAGTATTGAGCTCAGCCAGGCTGTGGTAGATAGTACGGGGAAGAGGATACCAACCCTATGCTGAAGGATTTCCCTCTGGGGAACAAAATGAATTTCTGTGCAGAGACACTGCATGCACAGACATTCTCCCACTCAGGTCTTGTCAGAACCACAAGGATGGAGGGATGAAAAGAAGGTCAGGACTGGGGAGTGGGACTGGGGATGGTGTGTGCCACTGAAGGTCAGAACACATAATGAGGTGGTCACGTCACCTCTCCTGGGGAGGCAGATTTGTTATGGCACTTTCTGGGGAAATCAACTAACTTGTCATGGGCTCTGTGAGTGAAACCCCATTTCAAGGTAACAGGGTCTTAGAGGACAGAAAGGAAGGTGAGGTGGCATTAAACCCAAGGTGCTAGAATTCTGACCAACCTTTCTCCAGGGGACACAGGGAAATTTTGAAGCCAATTATCCTCCTCTGCAGTAGCCCTCCATTCCTAGAAATGCATTCTCATCCTTGGAGAAAGATCAAAAGTTTCTGGAAAAGAGCCACAACCAGGAGCAAGACTGGTGAGATACTAATAGAGAGAGCGAGAGAGTGCCATGGATTCACAATGTGTGGTGCCAAGAACTAAAAAGAAAATCAATGAGGGAAAGTCAAATTCCCTCCTGGCCATGGCAGCCTTCAGGAGGCAGAGCAGCTGACAGGCTGCTGGAATCACTAAACCGATGTCCTGAACAACCAGTCAAGGCTGCAACTGAGCTCCATTCTCAGTGATACTCCATGTGGCTAGTTCTGCCTTGTGAAAGAGCCCTTCTCTAGACTTAAAGAATTCTAGAATGGGCACAGCTTTAAGAGCCCAGCCAAAACTGTGCTGCTTTATGAGCATCTCAGTATGAGCTGTTCATGGTTATAACTTGGACAGACTTATCCCAAGGCCTGCTAGGACCTCAGCAGTACAGACTATGAGATGAAAAAAAAAAAAAAAAGAAAGAAAGAAAGAAAGAAAAACAAAAGAAAAGAAAAAAAAGACTGACCCTGCTCTAAGGGTCTAAGGGGGAAAGCCAAAGGCCCTTTTCACACGTACAAGTGGTGAGCCCAAGCTTGAATTAGGCTGGAGTTTTTGTGAAAGAAAATCTATTCAGGTGGCCAGTATAGCAATAAGAAATCTGGTTTGCATGGATCCATGTATCAGGAATACTGAGAAATCAGCAATTCAGAGAGTACATGGGGCCACAGATAACCTCCAGGCCTACCAACTAATGGGTTGAATGCAACAAGGCAAATACTAGACTCCTTTAGATACAAGGATAAACCTAACAAATATTCTACCAGTCTTGGTCACAATTTCCTGAGGGAACACACCACTGCCTACAATTTAAGAAGTCAAGAACTGATCATCCCAGAAATGGAGTGCTCTCCTTTCCCTCCAGTTTTCTGGAACTTTCCCACTTAGATCCATTCAATCTCTGCATACACATAGCCATATCAAAGCTTGGCTCATGTTCTAGGGGACCAGCTGTCAATATATGACTCTATTTGTATTTGATGAATTTTAAAGTTTTTTTTTTTTCTTTTTTCCTTTTTTCAGAGACAAGATCTCACTTTGTCACTCAGGCTGGAGTGCAATGGTGCAATCAGAGCTCAAACTCCTGGGCTAAAGTTATCCTCCTGCATCAGCCTCCCGAGTAGCTGGGACTACAGATGCACGTCACCATGCCCGGCTAACTTTTTATTTTTATAGAGACAGGGTCTTGCTACATTGCCCAGGCTAGTCTCGAACTCCTGGCCTCAAGCAGTCCTCCTGCCTCAGCCTCCCAAAGTGTTGAAATTACAGGCATGAGCCACTGTGCCTGGCCTAAAGTCCATTTTAGTGCAGTAACTAATGACTCAACGCTTCTTTCCTCCTACCGATGCTTAGAACTAAAGATGCCTCCCCAGGTTGAAATACTACCTTGACCATGTTGATCCTTCCCTTGAAGGTCTAACAGTTCGTTGATGATTACCTCATTTCTCTACCCCAGTCCGACAATATTCCTAACCACTGCCTCCTTCTCTCCAGCAGGTTATACTGAAAATTTTCTGATTCTATTCATCCCTGATATACATGCCTAGGCCTCTTCTCTGCTCAGGTAAACTCTATATGCCTCACAGAAGTATTTTAATGAAGAAATCAAGTGGAAATCTAGATCCAAATTGCCCAAAAAATTCCATAAAACAATTGTAGTTCTAGAACCTGTTTTCTCCAAACAATATTTTACATAGTGGTCTGGTGTGTATAAGTAACAGATAAATGCTTATCTACTGAAGTAAGGGTAGGGAGAAAGTTTGCCAGGGGAGATCCTTAGGCCTCCAAAGGACTCCCAGACTCCACAGGAAAAAGAGAAAGCACCACTGACCTAGGCAAGTCACTCAACCTAGACTAAGTCACCTAATGTACAAAGGAGAAAACTAAGGCCCAGAGAGTGGAAGTAGTTTTCTCAGAGTCACAGAATAAATTGGTATCAGAGTCTAATTCAGAAATAATGTCTGTTCTGATACCATACTCTGTCTCTAAAATTTATCCAGAATATCCATGGAATCAGATAATCAAGTTTATCAACTACCTCAATTTGACTTGGTTCATCTAATTTGGGAAATGTGTAAAATAACAAATCCAACATAATGTCAAATCAGATTTTATTAATTTCATTGATCCCTATTAGAGTCATCACAAACATTTTATTTAGGAGAATCAGAAAATGCTCAAATTGAATAAAAATAAGTTGATTGTGTTAGATAAATAATTCAAATGTGCTTTGAAAAATGCATTTTTTGTAATAAGTCATTGAAATCATCTTTCTATGGAAAACTACGTTAATAATTTAAATAGACTTGTTAGTGTATCTGTTCATGATCAATGCAAAGGGCTGCAATCAGCACTTGTTTGAAGCATCCATAGAAAATCTAGCAGGATATGAGATTTGGCAATACCTGTATGGAAGGGTGAAGTTAGTCTAGGGACTCAAGTTTTATAACATGCATATGGTGACCATATTTTCTAAATGAGAAATCAGGACACATGTTTGACAAGTAAGAATATCCTTATGGGGACAATGGAATAGATATAGCAACCAGGTCTGTTGCAGAGAACCTGGAACATATGGTCCAGAAAGACAGTCTGCAGAGGCAGTTTTGTGAGGCTTGTCTCCTTCACAATTAATCGTCTTATTTCAGGGTTGGGAAATTGATGTGTATTCCCAGTAACCGGGTCCTTAACTTTCACTTTGTCCTCCTAAGGCAAACTTTACTGAAAAAGAAAGGTCTTTGAAAGTTAAAGTGCTCTAGAAATATGAATGAGCATAACTATTAACAAGATTATAAATATAAAATTAATTTATTTATATATTGGACAAAATATTTATGCATTGATCAATTTGACATACATTTATATGCCTATTTTGTATTATGCTTTGTATTGGACATTGAGGACATACTGATGAGCCAGGCTTGATCCTGTTCTCATGAAGTTTACAGTCTAAAAGATGGTATACAAATACAATAATAATCACAGTATGGTGGTCATATAGTCATAATGAACAGTCTAATTGCCATCCTTTCATCCATTTTTATGTAATATGTTAGAACAAATACACTTATTAATAGCTAGATAATAAGTATGTAAGTTTAGATACGTAGCAAGTGTGTAAATTACAACAAATCACTTCATTGCTTTGAGTCTCACTTCTTGTGCTAGGCAGTTTTTCCATTGTTATAAAAAAATACCTAAGACTAGGTGATTTATTAAGAAAAGAGGTTTTATTTTGGCTTCTTGTTCTGCAGGTTGTACAGGAAGCATGGTGCCAGCATCTGCTTCTGGTGAAGCCTCAGGAAGCTGGCAATCATGATGGAAGTTGACAGGGAGTCAGCATGTCACATGGGAAGAGAGAGGGAGCAAAAGAGAGAGGGAGGAGGGGCCAGGCTCTTCTAAGCAACCAGATCTTACATGAACTCAAGGAGAGAACTCCCTGATTTATTGAGAGGACAGCACCAAATTATTCATGAGAGATCCACCTCCATAATCCAAACACCTCCCACCAGGCCCCACCTCTAACACTGGGAATCACACTCCAACATGAGATTTGGAGGGGACAAACATCAAAACCATATCAGTTCCCTAACATGCGGTGTAGGGATAATTAATACCTTCTCTTCATAGAAGAATAAAATGAAATTGTGCATGTAAAATGCTTTTTACTGAGACTGCCCTACAGTTTGCTTCTTAATAGTAAAGGTATACAAGTGAAATGCAAAAATAATGTCAGTTTATTAAGGCATTTCGATAAATAATCTTTATAGAATAGGTTCTGAGCTCCCTAGAATGTAAGAGTTTAATAGCTCTTAGTCCAATTCACTCAGATTCAGAAAGAGGTGACTTGCCTCAAGTAAAGAATTGTTCTGCCTTACTACTGTTTGAGTAGCTCTCCGGTAAAAATGTGATAGAAGTTGTTATACTGAAGTCTAAACAAATCAGGCAATGGAAAGGCTCACTAGTTATCAGTTATCTTTCAAAGAGCTGGGTCCTCATACAGTAAACAGGAACACTTTTGCACGTGGGAGAGGGATCCCCACTTTTTTTTAGGAGAGGAGGATTTGAGGAAGGTTAGATATCTCACCCTAGGGCCTAGATGAGTGGTAAATGGCTCTTGTCACAGAAGACAGGTCTAGAGGTAGGATGATGCTGTGTCACTGAGCAAAACGTGGCTTGTCAGCCAGATATGATCATTTTTTAATGTACAGCCTGAATGCGTGCCCCTTTTCTCATCTCCAGGTTTAAAAAAATCTTTGTGCGAGCGGCCAAGCCTTTTACAACTTTGTAGAAGACTATTAAGGTGCTGTATGCAGTAGTCTAACATGTCAGTTTCATGTCCTTAGGATAGACAAACACATATTCAAATTTTTATATACATCTTTTTTAAAATCCAGGAAGGTATGCCTCCCACCTTATACCCTGGTATGTTGGTCCTTAGACAGAGACATGTATGTGGTTGGTCTTCCAACAAAAGATATAAGGATGACATCTTGATGCAACATGCTACTTCCACGCCACTACATCTCACAAATATCTTGCTGAGGACCACCAGTATGTAGCCCAAAACTGTATCAGCTGCCTAAATTCCAGCTAATGATGGACTTCCTTCCCTTTTCTCCCATGTAGACAGTCAAAGCAGTGAGTTTAGTCCCCACCAGAAACAGACAGTGGGTAGTGAAGGAACAAAAGTCATTCTGCACGCCACATGCAATTCTGAAGAAACCATGGCTGAGTCATGAAGAAAATGGTAGAGGTTGCCAGAGGAGGAAGCAGGAGGCACAGGGCTTTGTGTGCATCTTAGAGGCAGCGCCTCAGTCTGTGGTTCTCTGCTGGCTGCATTCCAGAGGGCCAGACTTCAGACATGTAGGCAGTGGAGACAGAAAAGGAATTCTCTGGAGGCCAGAAAAACCAACCGGCTACCTGAGAACTTAGCCACCACTGACATGGACAGCATTCTCACCATAACAACTAGTTAAAGGTAGTAAACCCTCTCTTATTTAACTGGCAAGTGATTAAGACTGTTCAGTTTTGCTTTCCACAGAATATAAAATGAAACAAGTTTCCAGAAAAGAGAAGTAACCCCAAGTCACTCCCTGAGTGAAGCAAGAATTAGATGAGACATCCTATGTTTAAATGGAGCCTAACAATAAGTTGCCACATGAGTCCTTTCACTTTCATTATTCCCACACATCTAAATCCCTTTCTTCCCTTCTTATGTGAAAACTCTTGATAAGCAAGTTTCTTTCCAGGGGGGAGGGAAGATAATATAATTATTATTGCCGTGATATCCCAATGTTTACATCAATGGGCTCAAACTAGCCATGCCAACCCTTCTGGGGGCTGTGTGAATTCATGTACTCAAACAGTAGACATGCTCGCTCAGAAGTCACACCTGCTACCTGTGTGATGCTACCTGATCCTGGTACCCACAGGTAAGTGGACAACCACATGAGTAAAATGATGAGCAACAGTTCTACTTCCTTTGGAAATGTCTCTTCAGAAAGTTCTTGTCTTCTTCCTCCTTCCTCACAAAAGTTTCTCTTCCTTGACATTTTTCTTTAGCAGACCTTATGTTATAATAGAACCACAGCTCCTCAGCCTTTGCTGAGTGTAGCCACATCTAAAACTCTGAGACCAGTTATGTAACCAAAGCTTTAGCTCTCAGGTAGACTGCTTTATGCCAGTGGACTTTCATATTTGTTGTCAGTAGTTTCCAAGTCACTTTCAGCCACCTTCAGGAATTTATTCCTGGTATCTGTCTCACACACACACACACACGTACACACACACAGGTGCAGGCCCACACACTCAAATAGTTACACCGTGGGTGCTACTGGTTGATTGACTCACACTTTATAATTTTCTTAGAACAGGGGCCTGTACATCATCCTCAGCTCTCTTCCTGAAGAAGAGCCAGTCCCTCCTGCCTCTTGGCCTGAGTGAGCCCACCTGCATTTCCAAGAGTTACCACATCATTTGCCCTGGAAAATTCTGCTGACTTCGAACAGATATTCAGAGTGTTTAGGGGAAAAATAAGACACCTTAACAGCATTGCCAAATAACTTGTGGGGAGGGAGCCTCAGAAATCACCACAGGCCTGAGTGGGAAGTCTATGAATCTTTGCAAAGTAAAATCCTTTTAGCACAGGATTCCTCCAGGCAATGGAAAGTGCCCTTGAGTATATAAAGATGGATGCTGGTCTGCTGTCCACACCTCAGGCTGTGGGAGAACGTGTGTATTTTTTAAAATGATGTTTATCAGGTCTAGGTTGTTTTTCCAGCTCAAAACTGAGACATGAAAATGGAATTTTTAGCCAGTAACTCATACATTTAGATTCCTGGTTTTTAGGTTTTGGAAAAAATGCACCTAGTTGTTTTCTTATTACAATACTGCTGGTTTTGTTCACCGGTCCGTGTTTTTCTTGGACTGTGGTAGAGTGGAATGTTTTAAATTATGGCCTTTTGCTTTTTACCCTCCGATGTCTACTAAATAAGTCCATCGTCTAATTCTAAAATTGTGAAGCAGCAAACATGCACTTGTAGCCAACAAAGCTACATTTTTATTCCAGAAAGGGTACTTCTGTTCTAAATTTACAGCAAAATAGCTCTGGAGACAAAGGCAGGATTTTGGCCAAACCAGACATGCTCTTTTATATGGCATGTCGCTTCCAATGCCCTTGCTAAGTACTCTACCTTGCTGAAGGCTTCTTTTCACTATTAAAATCTATAGTAAGTGTTTTGAAGTCTCAGCTGATGTCAAAAAAAAGAATGAAAGAAAATGTGCTATGTTTTGATTTAGCCGTTAAAACAAAGCTCAATTACAACAAAAAATAAACCCACTACTCTGTGGGATGAAGAAACTTGATATTTGGAATCAAAGACTAAGTCATATTTTAGGCTTTCCTTACCAACAAAGTTACCAATCCAAAGCAGTTGTAAATTAAATTTAAGTGAAATGGATTAAACCCCTCTTGGTGGAGCTACTGCAATTTGGCTAGACTCCTTGTCCCTCTCTTTTCTGCTATAATCTTTTTTTTATGCCAGGGGCTGGGTCTGGATGCTGGATGACCTTTAATGCCTCTTCCCGATCTGAGATTCCAGAACTTTATAGTACTGAAACTACAAGGTACTCTGAATCAGTAATTCTAAGAATCTCTGATTCTCTGCCTAGGTGTATCTCAGACATCATCACAGGCCATAAGGTGGTCTCCTAGTCTTTTATTATTATTATTATTTATTATACTTTAAGTTCTAGGATACATGTGCAGAACATGCAGATTTGTTACATACATGTGCCGTGGTGGTTTGCTGCACCCATCAACACGTCATCTACATTAGGTATTTCTCCTAATGCTATCACTCCCCCTGTCCCCCACCCCCCAACAGGCCCCAGTGTGTGATGTTCTCCTCCCTGTGTCCATGTGTTCTCATTGTTCAACTCCCACTTATGAGTGAGAACATGCAGTGTTTGGTTTTCTGTTCTTGTGTTAGTTTGCTGAGAATGATGGTTTCCAGCTTTATCCATGTTCCTGCAAAGGACATGAACTCATCCTTTTTAATGGCTGCATAGTATTCCATGGTGTATATGTGCCACATTTTCTTTATCCAGTCTATTATTGATGGGCATTTGGGTTGGTTCCAAGTCTTTGCTATTGTGAACAGTGCTGCAATAAACATACGTGTGCATGTGCCTTTATAGTAGAATGATTTATAATCTTTGGGAATTTACCCAATAATGAGATTGCTGGGTCAAATGGTATTTCTAGTTCTAGATCCTTGAGGAATCGCCACACTGTCTTCCACAATGGTTAAGCTAATTTATACTCTAACCAAAAGTGTAAAAATGTTTCTATTTCTCCACATCCACTCCAGCATCTGTTGTTTCCTGACTTTTTAATGATCACCACTCAAGTTGGATTAAAGACTTAAACATAAGACCTAAAACCTTAAAAACGCTAGAAGAAAACCTAGACAATACCATTCAGGACATAGGCATCGGCAAAGACTTCACGACTAGAACACCAAAAGCAATGGCAACAAAAGCTAAAATTGACAAATGGGATCTAATTAAACTAAAGAGCTTCTGCACGGTGAAAGAAACTATCATCAGACTGAACAGGCAACCTACAGAATGGTCTCCTAGTCTTTAAAAGGAGGCATGGGTGATTGTGAAGTAGAAAACCAGAGTAATTGCCACCTTGTCTTCTAAGTAGGCATCCAATTATTGATCCTGATCCTGCCAACAGCTGGAAAATCAAAAGTAAAACAAGAGTCACTTGTTAGAACTTTTGACTCTAAGTTCTTGTAAGTAGACAACAATAAAGCCATGAAGATGCTGCGTAATTGTTTAGATTCTAAGAAGAGTTTCAGAGTTAGTATTTCATTCAACACTTGAAAGAAAAAAATTCAAATGCAGACTAAAAAGATTCTGGCAAGCTTTCCTTCTCTTAACATTCTTTTTTCCTTTTTTTTTTTTTTTGAGTTTGAATTAGTCAGCTTAACTACTATTTGAAAGTTGTGAGTTGGGAAGAAGATTATGGCATTGCTGTTCCCATGTTGACACTGGTGTGTCTTGGAGGAAGAGAAGAGATGACTTTATTCACTGTCCACCACCTCCCTGCACCCAGATTAGCTTCAGTTAATCAAAGGCAAGACTCTTACTGGTATGCAAGTCAATGGGGCGAGAACACATTTTCCTGTGTCATTAGAATGCCATATGAAACCAATTCCACTTACAAGGACTCCTTTCTTCAATCCTTGCTCTAAATCACTCTTCCCTTTTTATATCTACTATTTACAGATTAGTACTAGAATTTTGGATCTGGATGGAAAGTTCTACTACAGGAAGAGAGGGGGGAAAAACTGTTATGTTAGCAAAACATATTCTGCAGAAATCTAATTGGTCTACCCTGATGTCCTCATCAAATACTTGTTTTCTGTCACCTCTTTAGTGCCTGCTAGTTTTTGACCTTGGTGTTTACTCAAATACTAACTCTGGTATTCACCTTCCAGGCCCTTAAATTTGTCCACTGGACACAGCTTCTCCTGTTGTCTTCCCAGCCCCTCCTGATGGCCACAATGTTTGCCTGCTGTAACCTTAGGACCCACACTCCCTCTTATAATAGGCTTAACCCTAGTTAGGGTAAGACATCATGGAATTCTCAGTCTTTGGATGCTAAGAGGGAGGGGAGCAATTTTTGCTTAAGCAAAGATGCTGTCAAACACTAAATGATCTCTAGCCTATCAGCAGTATTTAGCAGTGGTTTAGATCTGCTTTTAATACAGCTAGTATGAGCTTACTCAATACAGATAACAAAGCATTACCTCCTTAGATCTGAGCAATATACTTCTATAAATATAACCTTTCAGCTTTTTTAGCAATCACAACACTATTGATTTCCTCTGACTTTTTTACTTATCAAAAATGCATAGGACCCCATCCCCCAACACACACATGCACATACACAAACAAGCTTTTTACAATCTTAAAATTAGACAATTGGCTTTTCCAAAGCTAAATAAAAGATTTTACATTCATTTGTTACATTGAATCTTGTATATTGCATCAATTATTCTAGCTCTCCAATATTATTTTGACCCCGATCCTACCATCTAAATTTCAGCAATTACTCTGAGCTTTGTGTCATCTGTGAACATGATGCTCATGAACTGAACAAGCCTAAGATGTCTCATGAGACTCACCACTGAAGGGACCAGCTTCCAAGCTAATACAAGTGACTCCTAACATGCTAGAAAGAGCACTGGAGAGAAGATGCAAATTGGCTTATACAAGTCTCCCTTTTCTCATGTGGTGATTTTTCCTGTCTTCTTCTCAGGATTGTTTGAGGATTAAATAATTTTAAGATAGGGCTTAGAAAAAAATGTGTGTCACATAAAGAGTGTGCTTTAATATTAGTTTCATTTACTACTTGGGTAAAACTTTTCAAATAGCCAGGAACCAGTGTAACTATACTATGATCTATCCCACCCTTGACTAAAGGCCTTGCAGAAAGCCATCTCTGTCTTGTCCATGGTAATATTGCTCGAAGTCTGCCAAAATACCAGATAACAAGGTTGCCCTTCAAAGATGCACTTGAAACAATCAAGTGAAACATCACTTTATTGTCTTTCTCTTTTTCACAATGGCCTTGTAGCAACTGTCACAATGATATGAATTCAGAAATGTAATTATTTATAATAATAATGGAATCCCATATTTATGCAGACTTTTAGGGTTTTTAGGATACTTTCACATGTATAATCAAGTCGTCTGTTACTCATAGCAACTCTATGCACTTAGGATTCCCAACCCTATATTACAGATTAGCAACCTGATATCTGAAGAGTTTCAATGGCTTGCTCATAGTCATAAAAGCAGTAATTGAGCTGGTACAAAACCCTGCTCTTGTCATGGTTAGTTTGGCACTCTTTACTCCACCCAAGTTTATTTTGGTTGTCAGAATGACTAAAAGTCCCAAGGGTTACCTCTGAGTAGAACCCTATAAGAGGACTTGGCTTAATACCAATAACACCCATTTCTTTATGAATTGCACAGATTCACTTATCAGATTAGCCCAAACAAAGAGCAAAATTCTAAGGAATGGGTGAGTTTTCATGAAGAGAGAGCAAGGAGGACAAGTCAAAGGCAAAAGAAGTCGGTCTAGGCTGGGGTATAGCAGCAAGAAACCCAGAAGGTGAAGGTCGGCAAAGTGCTAAGTAAGGGCCAAGAACCACTGGAGACGATCTTTGTCAACTTCACACCTGCTTCCCAAAGCCAGCTATATGTATAACTTTTTGATGTACATGCTTCTGCCCAAAATTTTAAATAGCGCCTTTCAGCTCTCCAGCACTCTCCTTGAGCTTTGGCACACTCCTCCAAGGGTCTGTATTGCTCACCCGCATGCATTTGCAAAGTAACTGCTCATGGACTGTGCCAAGGAAAATATATCCACAGTGTGGCCATGGTCAGAGGCTAGAAGACTTGATTTAATACAGCAGTGCTCAGCTTTTCATGTTTTCCTCTACGGACCTCAGAAAGTCCTACAATGGCAACAGCAGATAATCAGAGGTTCTGATCTGCATGAGATAACCAGGATCACCAGGCACAAAGAAATTCCATCCCAAAGTACAGAATCTTGAAATATTTGTAGGCTGCTTGGTCTTATTTTCGGCAAGTGTGCATTTTCTATTAGGCTTATTTATTTATCTGAATATTTGTTTGTATGCGTTCGTGCCCCATTTCTTTCCACTACGTGTTTGAAGTGATCATACAGCATAAATGCAAACACTGAAACAAAAATAAGTGAAATGAAAAAGTTGGGGCATAGAAGTATAATGGAAAATCAAGACCAATATAAGAAAGTCCCTAAATATGTCCACCTTTAGGATCAGCATACGTGCCATGAAAGGACATCTTATTTCACTAAGACTGTCCTGTAACATGGGAAAAAAAAATGGAAGTAAAATCAGTTCTTTGGTTTTCATTACTGAAAAGGGGGACTTATGTTGGACTTTTTGCAACACTGAAAGTAAGACTTCTGTTTAACCTAAGATTTTCAGACCTCAGAGCTTCTACACAATAAAGCCAAAGATTCATTCTTCTCTGGGCACCTGCTTCCCAACCCTAACAAGTCCTTAATGAGTCCACCAGTAGTAACGGCAAAGAAAACAGACCTCTGGACCACACAGCTCTCTTGTTTTCTCCCCAGAACTGGAATTTGTAGGGAGAAAGCAGGACACCACCCCTCCTCCACAGCCACAGGCAAACCTTATAAAAAGGGTGTGAAACCCAAGAAATCATTCCATCGCTATGGTATACACACATAGGGGCTCACATGTGCTAGCAACTGTGCCAGAATATTTACGTCTACAAATAACCAACTTGCCAAAAGTTTAAAAAAACCAACGATAGAATTAATATTCAACTCTAGGTTTTGCAAAAGTGGCAAATTTCAATAAAAGTGCTGAAGTGAGCTGAAATATACAATAAACCAGGGGCTGGCAAATGTTTTCTATAAAGTCTTGCAGATAGTTAATATTACAGATAGTAAATATTTTAGGCTTTGGAGATCATGTATTTCCATCATGATTATAAAATTCTGTCATTGTAGTATTGTAGTTTGAAAGCACTCATATGCAAATGAATGAATGTGGCTGCACCCTTTATTTACAACAACAACAACAAAAAGGACAAGGGCTGGATTTGGCCCACAGACTACAGTTTGCTTACCCCAGATAAAAATAAAAACAGAAATGACAAGCTCTAGTTTTGAACAATGACCATAAAGTCCAGCTTTAAGAGCTGGCATGAATTAAAGATGCTATCTCTGAGACTCCTAAAGTTCCCAGAACTCCCAACTAGAGTGTGCATCTCCACCTTTGCTTCTCTTCAAGCCTCTTCCAGAAGGTGCTGGCCCTGATAGTTTCTATGCTGCAAATGAATGGAGGATGATGAAACATGAATTCCAGTCAACACACTGATGACATATGCGGCTTGATACACAGTAGGTGATTATCTATGAACCTCTCACAGTCTTTTTTTAAAGTGCTGATGGCATGCAGGGGAGGGAGGATGTGATTATCTTCACCAGGCCATCAGCCCAGCAGGAAATCCTAGGCAAGTCACTTAATCTGCCCCAGCTCCATTTGTTTTCATTAATAAAATGGCAGCATACTACTACCTCGTGGAATTATGAGAATCAAACTGGAGGAAACATGGGAAGGGCCTAAAAGCAGTGTGAATGAACCAAAATAACAGGCTGAGAACTGGTGGCCCAGGGGACACAGGTAGCCTGCACATGTTCTGTTTTGTTGTTGGTTTGGGCTGAGCAACAGCAGCTCTCTATCATGGAGTGCATCCTCTCCAGTTCATCCCGACGCCCACCACTTCCTATCGTGCTACCTTGAGTGCACTTCTCTAGTCAATGTTACTTGCCTGAACTGTGTAGATATTTGAGATTTGGACTCCTGGACTAAATTCTCCTTTGATGCTTCTGACATTTTATAAGACAGTATGAGGCTTTGATGCGTTCCCTTCACTGTACTCTGTGCTGTGGAGCCTCACAATGATTTCCGTATGAGAAACTTGAGTCTGAGTAACCTTTGATTGTAGATCAAAAATCAAATGAACCAGGATCTAAGCTAGGCCATTTCTACTCTGTAGGTTTCAGGAATTTCACTTTACTTTCCTGAGTCTCAGTTTTCTTATATATCAAATGGGGATAGAAATATAGGAGGTTATTATGGACTGAATGTCTGTGTCCCCCAGAAAATTGAGGTGTTGAAATTATAACTCCCAATGTGACGGTGTTAGGAAGGGGTGCCTTTGAGAGGTGATTAGGTTAATAGTGTGAAGCTCTCTTGAGTGGTGTTAGTGCCCTTATGAAAGAGACCTTAGACCCCTCATTCTTTCTGCCACATGAGAACACAGCAAGAGGATGACCATCTATGAGCCAGAAGTGTGCCCTCACCAGACACTGAATCTGCTGAAGCCTTGATCTTGGACTTCCCAGACTCCAGGACTGTGAAAAACAAATATTTGTTGTTTAAGTCACCCCGTCTATGGTATTTTTTAAAATAGTCACCTGAAAGGACTAAGACACAGGTTAGATGAGAGGACATACCTACTATCTTAGTTCATTCAGGCTGCTAAAACAAGGTATCACAGACTGGGTGTTTTAAACAAGAAACATTTATTTCTCACAGTTCTAGAGGCTGGAAGTCTGAGATCAGGGAGCCAACATGGTTGAGTTCTAGTGAGGGCCCTCTTCTGGGTTACAGACTGTCATCTCTCATTGTATCCTTATACAGCAGAGAGAGTGAGAGAGCTCTCTGTAGTCTCTTTAATGAGGGCATGAATCCCACTCATGAGGGTTCCATCTACATGATGTAATCACCTCCCAAAGGCCCCGCCCCCTAATATCATCACCTTGGGGGTTAGGACTTCAACATATGAATTAGTGGGGGACACATTTAGTCCACTGCACGTATTAATAATATAGTACGCAGCATATAATCAAGGCTCAATAATTGTAAATCCTGCCTTCTATATGTCCATCTTCACTGATTTGCAAAATACATATGATGGCTGCCTTCCTTATGGGCAATTTTTAAGAGGTCTAGAGATGCCTTTTGTGAGTAGTGGGGAGATGACGAGCTGGACTGAAGCCACCCTGGTTGTCATAGTCCCCTGGCCATGCATTTCTCTGATTCTCTGCCTTTTCAGAAGACCTTTCTTCCCTGCCTACTTAGGTCTATAACTCCACCACCAGCCTGGGGTCTTACTATCAAACAAGGGGCTTTGGCATGAATCTACCCACCAGGCAGTAGTTGCAAAGCCCTTGAAAGTCTTCTTTCGATCAATCTAATACCTTCGGTTACAATATCTTATTGACGCTCTTCCTCTCGGTTCCTTGTTGAGCAACAAGGGAGAACATCTTATATTAACAAAGAATCCATTAATCCTAATTCTTAAAGGGAATTGTGCACACTAGACTAGAATATCAGTTAGGAAAGACAGTAGACATTGCAGAATTTCTCCAGCACCCCTTACAAGTGACAAATAGCATCTGATTTAGTGCTTCCAGTAATGAGAACTTTGCTACCTTCCAAAGCAGCATTTTTGGACAACATTGCAGAGAGAGTAGTTCATGCCCTTTATCCATATTGTTCGGATCCTTTTGACTCTTGCTTCTTGTTTAAGCAAGGTAGTCACTATCACTTTCAGCTTTAAGGTACCCACAGATTGAGCAGCATGACATCCATGACTTCATCGATGACCTCAACAAAAATATGAGCCACAGCAGTAACTTTGTACAGGTTCTGTTGCCTGCACTAATTCTCCTCTCAGCTGCTTTGAGTACAGTCATTTGCTCAGGTATAAAACACATGTATATCCACAAGATATACTTTCTAAAGGTCTCTGAGCAGAACCATATCCAGACGTGGAATCTCCTCAATAATTAGAAAAGACTAACAGGGACATTTAATCACCTGGTCACAGCCAATGGTCTTAGGCTGGATTTAGAGAAACTCAGGCTGTGGACAAATGGTGACAATAAATCTCAGTGCCCTGGGCTGGATCACCAGGGGTGTTGGTTTATACTCATCAGGCAAATTGCAGAGAAGGAATATTATGACCTAATAGGCTGATTTTCAAACACTGCTAGAAGCCTCATATATCAAATAGACTAAGACAGAACTTCTCTGAATCATCTACATGGGCCCATATCTACCCATGAGGCCCCTTAAGCAACTCCACAGACACTGTGGGAGAGACACGTTAGAGAATAACTAGCCAATCATCAGTGCTGGACAGATCTCAAGGCTGTCATTGACTTGCTGTTTGATTCTGCTCAAGTCGCTTCTGCACCTGATTTTCTGTAGCTATAAAATGAAGTTAATGGAAATAAGTTTTGTTTCAGTTCAGTAATACTATAGCTCCTTATATTACATTTTTAAATCTACGAACTCTATTATTATGCCTGGGCCATCAGAGAAAGTGATCTCTCTAACCACGGTACCAATGGAAATATTTGGTGGAGAGAGGGGAGATGTTTCTAAATGATGTAGCAGTCTTGACAGCCCAAAGTATAATTCTTTGTACAACTCATAACTTGAAGCAATTGTTTCCACTTTATAATTTGTGCATAACAAGAAATCTGTTTGGAGAAAATTAAACATTTTTCCTGTTAAGAGAGTTCCTAGTAAATGAAATGTTTTGTTCTGAAAATTATTTTAACAGAATCATTGCTTTGCAATGAGGCATCTGATTTTTTTCTTTTTAAAATGTTCACCAACTTTACTAAACTTGGCGTTTATTTCTCTACAAAATAATAAGTGCACTTTCACTGTAGAAAATGCAAAATTACAAAAAGATATACAAAATATAGTAAAAAACTGAAGAATAAACAAATAACAACAAAACCCACCATCAAGATAATGGTAAATATTTTTCTAGACTTCTCAATATCAGACTCTTGTTTTCTGCCCAACAATATATAGGTAGTTGCATGTTTTTAAGGGTAAGATAGATTTTAATGAAATTTGAGAAACTGTTATATAAAGTCGATATTATTATATTTCATCTATACTCCAGTGCATAGATTCACCACCATAGACTTCTGTTTTCCCCTTTCTGTGGATGTTCACATTGTTTCCACTAATTCACTGCTAGGGACAACTCTTTAACAAACATACCTGTATACTTGCATTCTATTCCAATTATCTCTATAGAATAAATTTGTATTCATGAGATCACAGGACACGTACATTTTAAATCTTTACACATCGTGCCATCCAGGTAGATTATACTTTCATAACTATCAACTTATATTTGAACATTCTCATTTCCCTACATCTTTGCCAACTCTGGATATTACCTCTCTTTTCCCTCTTACCAATCTGATGTGGTACAATGAAATCATTTCATAGGTTTTGTGAGCATTTATTTTACTGGAGTTAAGTTGAATGATCTCTTCAGATGTTGATGGGCATTCGTATTTGTCATTTTCTCAATGGCTGCCTGTAATTTTTACCCAAGTCACCATTGGATTATTTGGTATTTTTCTTGCTTGAGAATGTTTTACAGTTTACTTTTAGAATTATAACTTTAAATACTTTTTTGCATCAAGAAATGTTTACCATAGTCAATCTCTTCCTTTATAGTTTATGAGTTTTGTGCTATGGCCTCCTAAGCATAAGAAAATAATAATGTGCTTCACTATTTTTTAATAATCATGACTTTAATTTTTGCATTTAAATATTTGAGCTGATTGAAATTAATTTTTATATAAAACATAAAGTATTAATTCATCTTCACTCTTTTCCCAAATGGTCAACAAATTATTCTAATACTACTTGTTAGTCCTTGTTTCTCATCACTGATCTGAAATACCATTTTATCATATAAATATGTTCCCATATTTATTTGAATCTACTTCTGAACTAATCTATTATAATCAATTAAACTATCTTTCTAGCCCTAAAGTAATACCATACCATTTTAATTAATATAGCTTTTTAGATTTTTTTTAAAAAACAAATATATGGTATTGTTCTTTCTAGTTAATCTTGCATATTTATCTTCCAGAGATGAATTTTAGAATAATTTTGACAAGTTTTCATTACCAAGATATGGATATATTGTTTGGGATTTTATTAAATTTAATTCTTTAAGAGACTCTTTATAATATTAAGACTGTTATTGTCAGAACAAAGGAAATACCTTTATTTTAGTATGTATCAGTTTTCTTTAAGCACACCTTGGAAATTTCTTATTGAATTTACTTTATATGTTTTATGGCTTTTTGCTACAACAATTGGGATTTTATTGTATTAATGCGTAGTTTATTGTTGAAATGTAAGAAAGCTATTTTTACATTAATAAATGATCCTCCTGACTGAACACTTGATCTTTTCTAATAGTTTTTTGATTATTTTGAGTTTTCCAGCTATACAACCATATCATTTGCAAGTAATTATTGTTGTTTTCTTTCCAATATTCATATTCACAGCACTCCATAATGATAGTGGAGATAATGTTGTATTCATTTCTACGACTGCCATAACCATCTATCAAACCTTAAACCATACAGAATTATGATATTACAGATCTGGAGGTTACAAGTCCAACACATGTTTCACTGGGCTAAAATCAAGGTGTCAACAAGACTGTATTCCTTTCTGGAGACTCTGGGGGAGAGTACGTTTCCTTGTTCTTTCCAGTTTCTAGACACCATGCACATTCCTTAGCTGTGGCCCCTTCCTCCATCTTCAAAGCCAGCAACATTTCATCTCCTTATGCCTTTCTTCTGTGGTCACCTCTGCCTCTGTCTCCCTCTTCCACTTTTAAGAACCCTTGTAATTACATTAGGCCCACTTGGATAATACAGGAAAAACTCCTTATTTTAAGGTCAGCTGATGGGCAATCTTAATTCCATGTGGAAACTTAATTATTTGCTACATAACCTAACATATTTACAAGTTCTGGGAATTAGGGCATTAGGACGTAGACTTCTTTGGGGGACTAGTGATTCTGTGTATCACAACAGGTAGCTTTGTTTTATTCCCAGCTTGGCTTTGTTTTAATCTCAACTTTAATCAGAATGCTTTTATTCATTCCCAATCAAGCACTTTTCAACATATGCATATATAAGAAATTGGCATATCCTTTCTGCCTACTTCACTAAGGACGTTGTTATTGTTGTTTTGTTTTATAATCAAGAATAAAATTTGAGTTTTATCAAGTTTTCAACAACTAACCAAAATAATAGTATTTTTTTCACTTTTGACTTGATAAGATTCTAAATTATATTCATAGATGCCATAGTACTAACCCATGTGTGTTTTCTTAGTGTAAACCACTATTGATCATGGTGTAAAATCTAAGTTGCATGAGAGACAGAAATTTTGTCTGTTAATTTATTGTTATATACCTAGATCCTAAAACATAATAGAAGCTCAATAAATATTTGATAAATTAATCTGCTAATCAAACTGTTAATATTTAATTTCTTTTGGATTTTTACATCAATATTTATAAATGAGATCAAATTGTATTTTTCAAAACCAAATCTATTGATAATAATCAATTGCACTCCCCCCATCATGTTAAAATGAGATGCTCTGGGAATTTTTCCCCAATCTATGACAGTTAGTTTTGAGATCTTGTTATTGTCATTTTGTTTTTATTTTAACATTTTTTTTAAAAAAGCTATAATCTTTACAAATGATTTTTTAACTATAATCACTCCAGTTTTTAGGCATAATTATGTTTCATACTTAATGCCCAATTCAGCCCTTTTGTACTCAGATTTTCTCATTCTTGAACACTTTTACTTTCACTATTCTTAAAAATCTTGGGGTTGTCTGAGCTACATCTTCAAGTAGATTTTTCTGGAAGCTCACATGGGTTAAATATTTCCCAAGACTTAAATATTTGAGAATAACTTTCTATTAGTTTTACACATTGGTGGTAACTTAACTGGTTATAGAATTTCTGTTTCTTGTTCAATTTTTTTTTTGACATCCTGAAGTCAACCTGACTTACTTTTCCCTTTAAGTAATGCAACTTTCCTGAAGTTTAAGAAGAGATATTTTTTCCTTTTCTTTGAAATCTAATAGCTTCATTAGGCTATGTTTGGTGGGATTTTTTTCTCTTTTAAGTTTCCTTATATAAGGAAAGCCCTTCAAACTAGAATGTCAGTTATTCCTTCAAATCCGAGAAGTTTTCTTCTCTTAGGTCTTAGATTATATTTCTATTCCACTTGAAGTGCTCCTTTTCTTTAAATACCATGTTTTGCTCTCCCTATCATATTATAATATTGGTGGATATGTTTGTCTTTTCTTATTTGTTATTCATTCTGTTATTTTTCAATCCTGTCTCCACACCACTGACTTAATATTTTCAGGTGTTAATTCTGGTATTTGGGAGCTAATACTTTATTTTAAAATTTACAGAATATTATTGTCACTCTTCTTATCTTTCCTCATTTCTACCAGCTTTCTGTTTTAATCAGTTGTGTAATCATCAATATATCTCTCATTCCATAAAGTCCATGTTTTTCTTTAGGATGTGAGTTAGTTGCAGCTAACATGTTTTTCTATTTCCTTGACTATATCTTCCTTCAAATTTTGCTCTATTTGTATTTTGCATGTAATGTTCCATCTATTTGTGCATGTGTTTATTTTTTCCAATTCTTATTGTGGTTTCCTACTGCAGGAATTTCTTTTCATTTGTCTCTGAACAGAGCCATTGTATCTGAAGCTGCTTCTTTCTTGAGTCGGCGTGGATTTCCTGTTGTCTTGAGCAATATTTGAATCTTTTCCTTGGAATATGAGCTGGAACACCAGAATTTTTTTTTTCTTTGGCCTAGTCACTGAAGTGCCCAAAGGGTGTGGACAAGGAGCTGGGGTTTTGTATAACCACAATTAAAGAATTTTGTCTTTGCTTTCTTTCTCTGTAATTTTTGGAAGTAACTGAGGATAGCACCACTCTGTTGGTGACTCAGTTCCCCTGTCTCATGGAGGAACGAAGCTGAGCTTTGAATCTGGGTGTGCTCCTCTCTCAGGGTGACTGGTTATAAAAGATGCTGTCCTTGTTGCTGTCCCTATTTCTCACATGATTTTGAATCAGTTTAGCTGTGCATTGATTTCCACACCATACTAAGCCTGTGTTTGCTGCTGCTGGATCAGCCCAGGCAGTGAATCCTAAGAAATTACCCCTCAATGCCTCTCATGCCATCTGTCCTGCTAAAGGTCAGAGGAAACATTGGCAGCAATTCCAGCCAAGATTTTATAGTGCATTTTTATCAACACTGGAGAAAAGGTTCTTTATAGGAGGTAGTTCCCTGGAACAACCTGCATCTTAACCCCTGTGCTTCTAAATCTGGACTATGAGCAAATTTCAGCTTTTCTTTCTCTTTTTTCCTGCTCTACTGCAATGTTGTTGCTAAGGGGAGTCAGGCATTTGTGCTAGGCATCTACTTTCAGTACTGTCCAAATTGTTCTGAATCTGAAAAGCATTTTTCACAACTCTCAGAATATGACTTCCCTAATTTTGGCGAATGGCTTAGTCTGCTATATTTGCTTCAATATTTTTCATTTTTGTTTATTTGAGAAGGGAGTTTCATGAATCTTCTTTTTAGGATATCTTTTATTGATTTCTTTTTAATATTCTAATTCCAAACTCTTTTTTAAAATTTTTTATTCTTCACTTCAACTTGTACTCTTTTACAATGCACTGTAATAAAATTACAGTATATTAAAAACATCCTACTATTTTTCACTTTCTGTTTATGACTCAGATTCGCTGTATAACTTTCTTCATATTGCTTCACCTCTGTGGGCATTATTTTGCCCAGCTGCTAAGCAACCAGTTTGCATCAGGCGGTCTCTCAGTACTCTCCCAGTGCTTGAAGTTCATTAAATGGAAAATACTAACCCTGGGTTTCTGAGAATTGCCACTGTCCTTGGTTTAGGAGATGCCTAGGGAGGGAGTGGAGGGGCAGGAAGGTGTTGGGTTCTAATCTGTAACTAAATCACCCTGGATGTGAGAGCACACAAACTGTGAACAGCATAGGAGACATATCTGGAATCCCCTGCCCCAAGACTTTAAGAGTCTGACAAACAATCTCAAAGGAAAACAATGGTTCAGATTTCAGCCACTGGTCTGGAAAGTTAACACATCCACCTGGCAAGACTCCCAAAATCATAGCAAAAGGAGACTTTGAATCTGAAATTCACATCTAAAAATATGTATTCTTTGAGAGCTGAAGTGAAACTTGATCCAACAGAAACCATTCCACTGTCCATTGGCACTGATTCATCAGGAGTTAATCATGGCCAATTCAACCTTCTCTAAATGCAGTTTAAGAAAATAGACAAGTATCTATCCCAGGAATTTCATACAACCCAATTTTGTTTCACAAGCAGGTCCATTCCCAAAGACGACAGATAGGCTGCCCTGCTCCACAAAGATCTCATCTTATTTTGCTTATCTGGAGCCAAACGCTAACCCCATCACTAAAGGATGCAGGGCCTCTGAATTTCTTGACAGGCAAGATTCCCTAGAGCATGGCATTCTTGTGGTCTGGATGGTCTTGAAAAATCAGAGAAAGACAGAGAGAATGGTGGCAAATGGGGGCCAGGCTGAGAGTCAGGCAAGGCCCTCAGGGAGGTTTATGCTTCAGTGTCGTCGAGATTGCTGGTTTGTTTTGAGACCTTCAGTCCCAGTAACCCTGAGATCAGCTGGAGTCTCTCTGCTCCCTTAGCGTCTAGACAAAAATGAGTCAAAATCTCATTTTACGTCTTGCATGAGTCTATGGCAAATTCTCAGGGGACTTAGGTACTTTAGGCATGTCCATACCAAAAATGACCTTTACCATTCCACCATTAGGGGTGTCCTCTGACCACTTTTTGTATCATTTTCTGCTTCCCATAGTCTTTTAGGCAGAGGAGGCTAAACATTATAACAAACAACCTCAAAATCCCAGTGGCAGTCCAGTTGGGTATTTAGAGGAAAGTCTTATGCAGTGTTCCAGGAATCCAGTCTCCTCTCTAGTGGTTCTATATTGGAGTTCACCTCTGAATCTTCTGCATCCAGCTGTGAGACAAGAAAACAAGCATGGAGAATTGGGTATGGAGAACCACACAGGATGTTTCAGGGGCCAACCCATAAAGTGGCACACATAATTTCTACCCAACTCTATTGGCCAGACTTGGTCACATGGCCCCATCCAACTGTAGAGGAAGCTGGGAAATGTAGCTATAAGTGGTCCCAAAAGGAAAATTATATTTGATGAGAACACAGCATTGTTTCTGCCATACCATCTTTTGGGATCCTCTGTCATGCTTCTCCCTCTTCCATCTTCTTCCCATCTCTACCTCTCAGGGTCTCATGTAGAAGAATTTAAACATTCTTGTGCTCTCATAATACTCTTCCTCACCAAACATCAACATGACCTCATGATGCTACTCAATACAGCAGCCACTGCTTCCAGAGTTGGGCTAAGAATTCAAATCTATTTACCTTCGAATCTAATTATCTATTCACAAAAGCGGAAAATGAAACCCTTAGATTTTATAAGTGGAAGAGCTTGAATTTGAATCGGTATCTTAAGTTCATCACTTTTTCTCCTACATCATAATGTCTCATCTCTTTAGTTAGAATGTAGGCTCAACATTAGAAGAAAGCTCCTGCTGTAGCCAACCCAACCAGCCCAGCACCTGGCACAGAGAAAGACATTTGTCAGGTGACAGGATGCTCAGTAACTGTTGAGTGGAGCAATATTCTCAACAGGACAACAGGAGGGGCGTTCTACTTTGGTGGCCATGAAATACCTCCCAAGGCAATACAACTTCATTTACCTTGGTTTAATTGAGGCCAGTTGGAAACAATAGGGCATCTTCTGATGCAATTAAAAACACTGCCCATAAACTGTGAAAGTTTTCTGGCATTCTGTAGACCAGAGCACTATTTTATAGCCAAGTTTCTGAACACATTTTTTTCAAAGATGTTATCGTGGAAAATGTGACAACAACAGAACTCCAGGGGCGTGAACATGCTGTTGTAATTACTCCTCCAGACACAATGAAATCAACCCAAGTTAATTATTTATCAAAACCAACCCACTCTCTGGAAACATCTTTGTTTTGGCAGAATATTTCCTTTCTCCGGAAAATAGGTCAATGGTTTTTTCCTCCCACGTTTCTTTATCATAGTATCTGACTTTCAGAATTAGCTATTTCAAGTACTGAGACATCCGCCAAGCACCCAGGTGGGCTGGCAAGAGTGCAACTACAGTCCTGGGGTTTCTGATTCCTGGATTCTTCCTGTTTCAGCGCTTCTCTTCAGTAAGGGTAACCCTGAAAAAGGAGAAGGAAACCAAGGATTATTTAAGTTTCTACTATATGTCAGGCCCTGTAAGAGGCATAACTATTATATTGTTTTGCTTACTCTCATGAGACAGTATATCCATTTTATAGATAACAGAATTAGGCCCATAGGGGTGAAATAATTTCGCATGCCATTCACATCTAACTCCGTGTACATAGTCTCCCATGTCTGAAAAGGAGAAGTATGAACTGTGTAAACAAAATTGGTATTGAACTAAGAATTGACTCTGATGATTTAAGTAAGCCTGTGGGGCCAGACTTGAGTAGTGGCCTTGGATATACCAAATGAGTTCCTCTACATCAGTTTGGCACCTTTGACATCATTGCTTTACTTTTGCCCTACAGACTTCCCTAGATTGCCCTGGTATATTCTTTACCTTTCTCCTTCCCATCTCTATTCCTGTCCAGATCCAGGGTAGCCTACTTGAATCAGATGCAACAAAACAAAGGGGAGGAAGGTAGAAAGAGAAGCAAGATGATTGAGGTACTGGGGAAGAAAAGAGGAAAAGAATTCTATTTTGAGACTTTCCAGACCTTTGAGATTTTGCAGTGAGCATCTTATGTTTCCACAGAAAGAGCACTGAACTAGGAGTAAGGAAATTTGGGTATGAAGCTATCTCTGCCACTCTTCACTGTCTTAACTTAGGAAAGTCTTCTACGTGGGCCTCAACTTTCCCATCTGGACATAACAGTATAAACTTTTCCACAACTCTTAGTGCAGGGTCTCTTGATATGTCTTTTATTTCTCCAAACTTCATTTCAAATAGTCTAGAGCTTCTAGCAACTAAACAGGTAACTCAACCAGCATCATACCCTCGAGCACTCCACTCTCTATTTTTCCAAGAATCTTGAAGATTTGTACAATCAAAAAGGAGCCTACGGGATCACTTCTGAGCAAGAGCGCTGCTGTCTGCTCTTCAGCTTCCGATCTTGCTGGCAAAGCTTTTCCCTGCCACACGGTGCCGCTGTAGAGCACTGGCCCACTTCCCTGCTGCTGGCAGGGCTGGTGCACGCAGAACAATGTTTGGCTTGTCTCAGTCTCTGGCACAGGCCAATATGATCCTCTGAGGGAGGGTGAACCCTGCTTGACTCCACACCCACAGGGTCACACTTGATCCAGGGGTTTGCTCCTTACTGAATCCTCAAACTCAGTCTTTGCAATCACACATAGACGTTTCCACCTTATTCCTGCCCAGCCCCAGAGATGTTGTGCCCATGAATGAACCATAATATTCAGATTAATAATCAAGTTTGTCTGGGCCTGATCTCAAAGCAAGACTAAGCATTGCTAATGATTCCTAGGTCCTCTTTCACAGATTCAGAACAGCTAAGATAAGGATGTGTGAAAATATGTGTATTTTCTATGTGTCATACATGATTCTGGTATGACATGTGTCAGATCCAAAATTGGAAAGTTAGTGTTTTAGAATATAAGAGGGCTACCCACCCTCAGAATTCATGTATAGGGGGTAATATCTTCCATGAGCCAATCATCTGTGCTCTAACCCACTCCAAGCCTAGCACTCATAGAAGCTTTCTTGTCACTCTCTTGTTAAAGCAGCGAGAGTCAAAACAAAATTGTATGCTTTAGTGGGTCACTTACCAATTTAGGATATGGAACTTCCATACAAAGTTTGACCTGGAAGGTCTCTCAGACAGACTTCCTACTATTAGAGTCATTTACTGAAAGGAGTGTGGGAGATCTTTCATGATGAGTGACTCTGAAGCAGAGAATTGTGATGAGAACTAACATGAGGAAGAACAAATTCATTTGTCGAGGATAACTTGACACTTAAACCAAAGGAAAATACACTTTTTTACATTTTTTACAATTTTTATAGGTTATAGCTAGTGTAGCAGAGTAAATAGTGCTCAGCACATATCCCAGGCACTCTTATATTTCTCAGGCTTTCTTGCAAGGCTTGCGCCATGTATCTAGTTTAGAACAAGTGACCCTGAGTGGGAGTGACAGGTGTCACTTCTGATTCAAGGCCATTAAACTCCTGTGTACCTTCTCTGTCTCTCTTCCTTTTCTGCAGAGCTCTTGGAGACCTTGCATTTCAGATTGTGCAGTTACAAGATAGTGTGATCTTTGTCAGCTTGGATCCCTGAGAGACTACGTGAAGTAAAACCCCCTCTGATGACTGATGTTGATATTGTAAAATAAACCTTCATGTTATTAAGCTATTAAGATTCCAGAGTTAATTTGTTACTGCAGCACACCTTAGTCTATTCTGACTAATATAGCTAAAGTGGTAGAAATATTACTAAACTTAATCAATCAATTTATTTAACTAATAGACTAAAAAACATTATGGAGTCAAAGGCTAAATATTTCTATTGAATCTTGAAAATTGTCAGTATGTGGCAGGTCCTATAAGTGATCTGTGGCCACCAGTTTTTCATTTCTTAGCATGAAGGAGTGAGGATGGGAACTACTATTTACTGATTTCTTTTTTGCCAGACACTGTATACAAATTACTACACTTAATCCTCCCAATATCTTATGAATTAGGTCTTATTACTAGTATATATATGAGAAAAGTGAGGTTTATTAATCACACATTGCTAGTAAATGGTAGAGCCAGGATTTGAAGACAGGAGCATCTAATGCCAAAGCTCTCTTTATTAATATTACATAACCTTTCCAACCATAGCCATAACTCTAGAAAAGTAGAACTTCATTAGGACTACTTCCTAATGACTAATGGGGTAGGGAATGGATTGCTCAAGTTCTCTTTATTTTTCTGCCTACAGTTTACAAAGGCATCCCCCAACAAGTTTCTGTACATCTGGTCTCTCCCTTTTAAATATCCCCTGACACAGGCTGCCTACAAGATAATTCTAAAACACATATACACAAATATAGACATGTTGCCTCTAGGCTGGAAAACCTCAGTTGGCTCCCCTTGCCTGCAAGGTCAAGTTCAAACTCCTTAGCTTGACAAATATAGCCTTTCTCATCATCCTTTTCCCTGCTGCTGCCCCGCTGAACTGGATTCTTCAGATATTCCAAAAGTGGGGGGGATCTCCAGGAACAGTCACCATGGTCATTCATCTTCATATTTTTGCTCAAGCTCTTCTCTCTGATATGAATATACTTCCTTCTCAAAACCTGTTATTTTTCTCCATATTTAACAAGATCCAGCTCAAATGACAATTTTTCTTTCAAACATTTACTAACAGAATCAATAACCACCGTCTCAATTTCCCCTACGCCATATATCCCCCACAAGATCCCTTGGGAATTTAACACATTATTTGGGCTTCTGTCTTCCCCTTGGCATTGGGGTTAATTAACTGTATGTAAGCTCTTGATTTGAATGCTGGTTCCACTTCTTGGAGACTGTGTGACCTCGGGCAAGTGACCTAACTAAGCTTCAGTTTCCTCATCTGTTAAAACTGGAATAAATAATAGTGCTGAGCTATAGGTTTGTTTCAGTTGATGAAATGCAATGGATAATACAATGCAAGTGCTCACTGTGGTGGTGGCATATAAGGAGGATTAAATAAATACATATATTTCATTTATTATTTTATTTATTCTTATATCCCCCATCCATAACACCATGCATGGCCCATAATTGGTCCCAAATAAACATTTATTAAATGAATAAATGATTGAATGAATAGTTGCATCCATTCAGGTGACTGAGTAGAGTAAGAAGTTCTACCAGAGGCACAGAGATCTCCTTGAAACCATAGTATTACATACCAAAGTCACTGTTTTGTTATTATTTGTATCTGGGCCTGCACACATACACTCCAACTCTTCAGCAAAAGCTGGTCAGCAACTTGTATTTAACTTCAAAGTGAAAATTGCTTAGTTGAGCTGAGGATTTTCTTTTTCAAATCCAAAGCCAGCGACTACCTAGATTGTGCAAAACTTCCCCTGCCTTCATCCCTAACTGGTAGCTCTTTGTTGGAGATACCAATCAGTAAAGCATGGACCACTGACCATGTATAAGGTATGATGTGTTTGGTGGGTATCTAGATGGCTGGTGGAGTGTGTCTCAGTTCCCAGAAATGATCTAGAACGTGCCTAGCATGTCAAAAGAGGACAAAAACATCCCTCTTCAGGGATATCATTGTTTCTTCATCCACTGCATATAATTTAGCAGGACCACCCAGCTGATGAGATGAGACGAGGTAAGGCCATGTTTGTATTGTGCTGCTCATCATCTCCAAAGGGCTTTTCCCTCCTGGACCACTGCTACCTTACATTGTTTTTCTAGGTCTCATCTTAGTTTCTAGGCCTCTTTCTCTGGCTCCTTTCTCCCAACAGTGAAGTCAGACATATGTCCTCAACTTTTCCAACATTCCCTTCCCCTATTTCTGATGTATTCTGTCTATGGGAAGTAATCTCTGATGTCGTCTGTATCAGGAATTCTTGTAATTCATACTATTTAAAAAATAAAACAAAACTCAAACCAACTTAATGCACTTGTTCACTGAATGAAAAAGCCCCAAAGTGGGGGAAAGAGCAGTCCAGTTCCTCTGCAGTCCTCCAGCTTCTGCCCTCCTCTCGGTGCTGACTTTGCTCATAGGTCAAATTTGCCTTCAATATTTCAAGATGGTGACCAGCAGCAGTCAGGGCCAAATTCTTCCCTATTCAATTCTGGAGGGGAGAGAGGGAATTTCATGAGCATCAATTCAAAGAACTTCACTTCACTCTATTGGGCCCTGGGAGAATCACTGGGTCTTTTTGGCCTAACCCTGGGTTACCAAAACCAACCTTTTGCAAAGTGAGGAATAGGGAGTACCCTGATTGATTTATACCTGTCAAAGTGTAAATCAACCCCCAGAGCTGGGGGTAGAATCAGTCTCTCCTGAATTGCAAGGCTGACGTACCATGGGGAAAGAGTAGATGGAGGTCAGGGACCCAGCCACAAGGCCCGGCACACTGCTCCTTGTGTTCTTCCCTTACTCTTTCAATTCTTCATATTTGCTGCACTCAAGTTCAAATGAATTCCCACACTTCTTTTTTAAGTTTATTTTGTGTATAAGAATAATACATGTTTATTTAGGTTCAAGAGAAAAGCAAAAAACAAAACAAAAATATAGAATGATCCATTAAGCAGAAGAAATGAAAACTTTTTGGCTCACATGCTAAATGGGTCTTTTCTGCTGTGCCTGTTTTGTATAGGGTTCACATGCAGGTTTCACACACAGGTTTGATTTAACACGATGATGCCACAATTTCCACACATTGTTGGAAATATTCTAAAAGCTGCATGTTCCTGCATATATGAATGCATTCCATGTTTCACAGAGGAAACATGGTTTACTTAAACATTCCTCTGTGATGGCACAACAGGCTTTTCTTAATTATTCATTTTGATAAGCACTTTTATAAACATCTTTAAATTCTGCATTTTTTCCTTATGACAAATTCCCAGATACCCATTCCTGTATTATTCTCTAAAACAAGTATATCATTATAAACTCCTTTGCACTGTGTAAGAGGGCAGCTGTTTCATTGTCCCTATACATGCACTAGGTATTCTTTTTAATCTTTGCTAATTTTGGTAGAAAAAGAAGTGGCCAGGGAAATTGTGCATCTGCTTACTATTTTAATTTTCATTGCTCTGATTAGTATAGCAGAGACTTTGTGCAAATGTTTATTAGTCATGTATTTCCCCTTTTTATGTATGTTTATATCTTCTCCCTATTATCCATTGATTTTCACAAATCTTCACACAGTAATAATATTACTTATTTGACATTTGTACAAATTTTCCCAGTTTTTACACTTTAATTTCTTAATTTTTCACATACAAAAGTAGTATATATTAATCATTCAAATATATCCATCTTTCCCTTTGGTACTTGTATTGGTTTTAATATTACAAAGCCATTTCTAATTCAAATATTTAATCAAAATTTAATTTTAATTTTTCTTTCATTTCTGTGGTTTGATCTTTTTACATATAGCTCCCAATCATATGTACTTCAAGTGTCCTTCACACACAAGGTCTTTACTTAAGCATTGCTCGGTGAATCTCAATAAGCAATGTAGATCCATCCTTCATATATGAAGAGGTTGGCTGACCCCTTAAATCATCTGCTTTGAGAAACTTCTCCTAGATGGGCAGTTTGAAAGAGAGAAGATAGCCTTAGAAGTGAAGGAAGAACTGGTTTATGGTCCCAAATGTTGGTCTTGAGGCTCAATTTCTCCATTTGTAAATTAGAGACGTTTAACTAGATTGTCATTAACATATGTTTCAGCTCTGACATTTGTGGTCCCAGAAAGTCCTTTTTCCATTTCTACGTATGTCTCTCTTCTTCCTTTTTCCCCTAATTCCTCATCTCATTCTTAGGATGACTTCCTAGTTGCATTCCTGCCTCAGAAGTGTCTTCTATGGTGACCTCCAAGTTTCTACATTCTCTCTTGTCTAAAACCAACCCATCTGCACTTCTGTTGAGGGAAGCAGCTATAAGCTGCTCTTAGTGCCAGGTGGCCAATGATTGTCTGGGAAGTGAACATCCCATCCAAAGTGGCTCATCCGTTGGCCAGCCAGTACCCCAAGAGGCTGTCCTGAATGGTGCTCTCCAATGGGAGCAATAATTAGCTAAGTCTGTCACACCTCCGCTCCACAATGTGGGCTGCAGCACATACACACAATTATCTCCTTGACCTTGGGTTCTGATTGGAGCAGAAAGAAGCAGAGGTGCTGTAAACACAGGACATTACAGAGACCAGGAAAGCAGTGGGTCCACAGGGCCATCTTGGTTTGAAGCATAAGCAAATCCAGTTCTGGTCTACACCATCCTTATTAATAAACCTCTGTTGTCTTAAAATGATTTCTGTTTCTTGCCAATAATAATTTAAGCAACACTCCCTGAAAGGTTTCCTTCCCACTCTTATTTATATCCCTTCATTTGTCTGTCTGGGGAGGGGCTCAGCTGCTGCTGCATCAGCCAGAATACAATAAGCATTTGGGGTTGTGAGATGACTTACTGGACATAAGGAAGTTTGTAACACTGAGAATGTGCACAGGGGCGTGCACATGCAGAAACATCCCCCCAGCTTTCCCTGCCATCCCTGATATGACACTTCGTGTATACTCAAAACACATTCACAATCTCAGCTGATCCCAGAGAGGTCTTTAAGTTGGAAGGATGCACTTAATTGTGGAAAGGTACGGCTCTCCTACCAGGCTTCCTGAGAATTGTTTTATAGAAACATTATCATTGTGCCCAGGGCTGGCCCCAGGCAACACTGGGAAGTGGGAGAAGTTTGCATTTGGCTCTCCCCGACACCTCTCCAGGCCTGCTCTCTCCTGCAGACTGCCAGCTGCGTCCCGACCTGGATCTTCCCACCCCACTGTGTCTCCATTAAAACACCACCCTGCTCTGTCTCCCACCTCCTCGGGGCTCTGCTTTTGGCTTGAAAAATGCCAGTAGATTTTTCTTAACAGGAATCTTCTGAGTCAGAGCCTTAACCCCAAAGTATTGTCAAGTTGAAAAGGTTACTTTGAGCATTAAGAATCCTGTCTGTTTAAAGAAGGCAACAAATACACAAAGCTAGCCCCAGACCTGCCCTCTGGTTACAGTCTGGAACCTGAAGCCAAGTCTGGCGGGCCCCATGCTCCTTTATTGCTTTTTCTGCTTCCGTCTCCCAGGTCCTCTGCTGCCCATTTCCTGTGTAAAGCTCTGCCTGTCCTGCTGGCCCCAATTCTCAGTGCTACAGTCCAGCCCATGACCATCCTCCCCCATTCCTCCCTCCAGCCAGGTCACCTCCCTGAAGCAGCCACGCTATAAACTACACCCCATGGGGAGGTCCCCCTTATGGGGCTCCAACCAGGTCCTCCCACAGTATCCAGTCAGAAGTGGCTCTAAGGCCGTAATCCTAGATCTTCAAGCAAGCTCCTGGCAAAGCCTCTACATCTTATCATCCTGAGAATAGAGCATATTGATGCCTCAGTCTCCTTACCTGTGAAATAGGAACATGAGCTACTTCATAAAGTTCTTATGAGGTTACTGTTAAGCACCTGATGCATGTAAAAGACATGGACAGTGCCTGGTATGTAGAATGTGCTCTGAGTCTTGGCCAGTAGTCCTAGGAGTCATATTATTCACCATGATATTAGTACATGTGTAAGAGGGCCTGGCCCTGCAAGTGAATTGTGGCAGGGGCTGCCTAGGCCAGGTGGGGGCAGCAGAGAGCTATCTGAGGGTCAACTGGGACCAGTGGGACCACCTGGGAGTCCTAAGTGGAGGGCTGGATGCAAGGCAGGTCACCAGGAAGAGCATGGCCACATAAGAAGGAGTGATGAGAAGAGTCTATTCTAACAGGCTCCCTTCTAACCTCCCTGCCTCCTATCTTGACCTCCCCCAACCTCCTGTTTACACTTTCCTTGAGTGATCTTTCTCAGTTGCTATTCCAGTTTAGTCACTCTCTTGAGGAAAACACTGGGTGATTCCTTTGCCCATGGGGAAAAGACTAATATCCTTAGGCTGATATCCAAGGCCCTCTAAGAAAACTAACCACCGCCTCCCTACACCCTACCTTAGTTGCCTCCATGCTTCACCTTCCTCCATTCCCAAACATACCTCCAGTTTTCTTGTCTTTACTAAAGATATTTTCATGCATGTCAAAATCTTATTCTGCTTTCCACATTTAGCTCAGATGCTCTTTATCATGAAGTCTTCCTGGTTTATGCCAGTACCTAATTAAAAAACATCTCTCTTTGGCTCTCACTAAGTCCTTCACATCTGATTTTCTAGTGATATCTGTTACTGTCAATATTATTCCAGAATAATAAATTATTACATCTCTCTCCCTGGTGCAAAGAGCTCTCATAATCTGTCTTCTCTTCTGCAAAATGGGGTTAATGATAGCTTCCTTGTAGGGTGTTGAAGAATACAGGGAGATAATGCATATGAAGTACCCAGAACTGGGTCTGGCACATGGGAAGTGCCCAGAAAATGTTATAGAGGTTTCATCACTGTCACAATCATGATATCATCAACATTGTCAATGTCATCATTATCATTATCGTTATCATTAGAGGAATTCCGCCTCACGGTGGCCAAGAATTTGCAGGCTTATGTCCTTAGCCTGTCCCTAACATAGATTCTAATTTACAAAGAAAAAAAAATACTAAAGATTGCTTGTCCAGGGCAGAAATAGCAAATTTGGATCACAGGGATGAAGTGAGGCTTCCTGGAGCCACACAGCCACAGAGAAGCAGGATGATCTCCTGCTGAGGCAAAGTGAGAGCAGGTAAAAGAACAAACTAGCACAGTGACAAGAGAAGAAACTTTTTTGTTGTTGTTTAGAAAGATAGTGATGTTTTCAATAAAAATTTCAACCCAGAAATTAAAATTTAAACAATGTAAGTGCCTCCGAGAATCTCACAGCAGCGAGCAGTCCCTTAATGGTACTATGCACAGCCTTTATTTTTTAATGTAGAGAAGGAAAGGATTTGTCATTAAAGTTTAAAAATAATCAGAATCAAAATCCCTTTTGTTCCTGTGGGCTGGCAGAGCTGAGGGGCTGATTGTGTGTGCTGAGTGGGTGTCCAGGAAACAGTAGTCATTTGTGTGCGTGTGACAGCAGTGGAGTCCAAATCTAAATTTAAGCAAGTGTTGGCCTTCTTGGAACCCATAATTTTTGGATCAATTATCCCGGACTAAGTGTCTGAGTTTCTTGCTCTCTTTCTTTCTCTCTCTCTGCTGCATTTAATAATTACAACACTTGAGCCAATAATTTGCCGACCAGCTGCGGTGGCCTAACTGTCTGGTTCACTCATAATTTCTGGAACTTGATACAATCATGGCCTTTGAGCCAATTAGGGTAATATTTGGTGTGTTGGAAGTCTGTTCCTCACCCTCCCACCATCTCGCCAATGTGAGAAACAAACACCCCGTGTCTATCCTACAAGAGAAATTACGTGTTCTCAGATCTTACCCAGCCCTTGGACCCATGGATTTTGTCTGTCCCACTCCTTCCCGCAGTTTGAAAAAGAAAGGCAGACTGGTGGCCTGAAAAGAACCTGGTTTGAGAATCAGAAAGCCTAACCCTGCCACTAAATGAGCTATGTGGCTTTGGCTTAGTAGTCTACCCTCTCTGAGTATCCGTTTTCTGTTCATAAATGTAGCAATAGTGATTCAGGGCAGAGGGGCTGGAGTCAGCTACTTGAATTCAAAGCCTGCCACTATCACTTTTTAGCTTTGCAACATTGGGCAAATTACTCCATCTCTCTGGACCTTAATTTTCTTATCAGGGACCATTATTAATTTCTTAATAATGAAGATAATTATAATATTAACTATATCATGTAGTTTGTGAGGATTTGATGAGTTAATACAAACAGAACCAAACACACACATACTTCTAGAGTTTAAACTCCATACAGGCATGGATTTTGTCTGTTTTGTTTACTGCTATCTCCCCAGGACCTAGAAAAATATCAATAATTTTCCTTAGATAAATGTATGAATAAATGAGGAGACTGGTTTATATTTATTTGTTCACTATTCACTTCCAGCTTATTTCCAAAAATAATTTTTCATGGTTCACAATAAAATCATGTTTACCACAAAGCTATCACAATGAAACTAGAACATCAAAGCCCAAAATAAGGAAGTAGCAAGCAAAGGTCAGATGTCCTTTCACTCAGAGCTTCCTGGCTACTCAAACACAATTAAGCAGCCTCTGAGAATCCTTCCAACTCTAACATTCCTGGAGTCTGAGTTTTGGAGTCAGAACCAATATTTCTAACTTTCAGTGTGACCTTTGACAATGCCCCAATTCTGTGTCAGTCGATCATTTTTTCATCTGTAAAAGGGGGAGACATAACCAAAGAAGCTAAGACCCATTCTTGAAATCTAGCCTTTCTTTTTAGCAAATGGCCACAGGGATGTAAAGATAAAAGAGAGATGATTTGTACCATCAAGGAGCTTACAATTCTCCAGGAGACACAAGGTACATAGATGCATAACTCTCTAATTCAAGCTAGGAAATAGTACTTAACTAAGAGTGTTAGCAAAGGCTAAAAGAATGGTGAAGAAAGAAACATATTTCCACTTAGGAGGATTTCATAATAGCTTTATTTTTTATTTATTATTTTTTTGAGACAGAGTCTCACTCTGTCACCCAGGCCGGAGTGCTGTGGTGCGATCTTGGCTCACTGCAGCCTCAGCCTTGGGCTCAAGCCTCCCGAGTAGCTGGGACTTCAGGCATGCACCATCATGCCTGGCTAATTTTTGTATTTTTTGTAGAGACAGGGTTTCACTATGTTGCCCAGGCTGGTCTCAAACTCTTGAACTCAAGCAATCTACTTGCCTCGGCCTCCCAAAGTGCTGAGATTACAGGCATGTGCCACCATGCCCAGCCTTGATAATATTAATAGCTTTATAGGATAGTTACAGTTTGCAATGGTTCATAAAGAATATTAACAGATATTCATAAGAAAAGGATTCCTAAAAAATAAAAAGAAGATTAGGAAAGGTAGGGATAGGGAGGTATAAAATTGTACCCTATCCAATAAAGCTAACATGTTGGGCAGAGATAGGGGTGGCAGGTGTGTGTGCTGACACCCGCCTCCCCTTTGCCTATAGCAGACCTCACTAATCAATCCAAGAGCTTTATCCTGCTAAGTTAGGATGTGGCCTCAGAATTCCTCTCAACACAGTGTTCCAGGCAGCCACTCCCAAGTGCTCAGAGTTGGTACATAGAATGAAACTTACTTGCTCTCTGGATTTAAGGTTTATATATGTCAGTCAATAGTGGAAAATAAGCCTAAACCAAATGCAGAGGGCCTTGCAAGTCAAAATGTCAAGTTCAAGTATATGAATAGTCAAAACATGTGCTTGTTCCTTCACATTCAGCTGCTCCTTACATTGGTATGATAACCATGGAGCCTATTTGCAACAGACATTATTGTAATATATATACACGGAGCCTGCAGGAACTGAACCCATTCCTGCTGAGGATTTCTGTGAATTCATCTGGAGCATAATCCACCTCCCAGGCTGCACAGTGCCTGGCTTGTGCTTAAACAAGGCATGCACTGTAACACTGTTCTCACATCACGCTGCGGGAAGAAAAACAGTGTTGGGGACCTATGCCAAAGTTTTCAAAAGGGCTGCCCTAAAACGTAAATGTGGCCTCTGTAGGTTCTTAGAGCAATGCTAGCTATCATCTCTGTGGTACCAGGGCCGGCACAATTATTCTATTACTATTCAATTGCTGCTCTTAATGAATGCATCCCTGTGATGGTTCCATTTAACCTTACTCCAGGAAAAGGAAAATCTATCTAAAGAAACGGGAAATAGAATTCCATGAGCTCATGTCTAGTGGGGAAAGCAAAAGGCATCTGAGGGCTGATGGGAAGTGAATCATATTGTTCCTCGGCTTCAAGTGTAACCCTATCCTCCTGCCTTCTTTCTGCGGACCTCCATTCTCAGCCCCATGGTGTGAGGACGTTCTGGCAGCAGGAAGTCAAGGGAACCCAGGCCATGGAGTGGCCAAGACTTCTGCTTCAGGTCCATGTGTCCTTGAGTGAGTTACTCTTTATATCAGCATCTGGTTATAACCCATATCCCTACAAAATGGTTTCCAGGTGGCTCGCCTAAACATTTTTAACATCATAGAAATAAATCAGATTAAAATAAAAGATGTACATGTATTAAGAAGACCAGATGAAGGAAGTATAAAAGCCAGGATTATAAAATAAAACCTGCAGTAAGGCAGACCATTCCATATTCCTGAGCCTCAGTTTCCACATTATAAAATAAAGGAGTAATAATAGCTTATTTGTAACATCATTAGGAGGACAAATTGAAATATTCAAAAAACAGGAAAAATGGATTATAATGGAAGAACTACTGAACAGGTTGTCAAGAGACTAGTGCAGCTCTGCTTGTGAACTGGGTGCTCCCTGAATCAGCCTCTCTCAGCTTTAAGAGTTTCTAATTCTATGAAGTGGGGTGCCTGAGAGGAGTGAGGGAGCAGGAAAAGAAGCAGGAAGCGATGAGGAGAAATGAGATGACGCCTTCAACTCATCAACTAAAGGATTATTGTTAATTGTATCTTTGGAATATTTTTCTCATGACTGTATCAGGAACAATGATTGATTTACAAATATCATTTGATCACCTCTTCTGTGCCTGGTCCAGGAAAGAAACATCCAGGTGGATGCCCTCGTTTCTGGTAGGCCATGCCCAGTAAGGGGAGGTGGGAAGGGACAGCCCACATGACTATAATGCAAAGCTTCCTGAGCCCAAAGGAAGGTATGGATAGAAGGTTACAGGTGAAGGGGAAGAGAGGGAGCCTGTCCTCCAGATAAAGGAAGATTTCCTGGAAGAAGCTATTGAGTCTGCCCCTGAGAAGCTTTCTACAATGAGGTGTTAGGGGAGGAGGGTGGAAGAGTGAGTTACTCTTTATATCAGCATCTGGTTACATCAGACAAACTGAAGTGGGAAGACTGAAAATCACATGGGACTTGAGAGAAGGGGAGACATTTATTGAGCTTTCATGGGCTTTTCATCAATTTCCCTCTTTTATGAGCAGCACCTAAATTCACCCTTGGGTAGTTGCTATTCCCCAACTGTCAGTCGACCCAGTTTGGATTAGCCTGATCCTACCCCATCTAGCTCCAAGGAAAACATATGGTCCTAGCCCAGCCAATGAAGATATTTTATTTCCTTTGCCACAGCAATTGGTTTCAAGATGAGCATGTGTCTCAAGTCTATCCAATGAGATGCACATTGAGACTTTCCCTGGATACACAGCAGAAGAGAAGCTCCTTCTACTGGACTTGCTGAGCTGATGGAATGTTAGCCAGGAGCTGTTAGTGTTAGTGGAAGTCTTGTCATAAAATGAACCACCCTGAGAATGGCAACATAAAAATAATTCTGAGATATAAAACAAGGTGAATTCTCAACATCATTTGAGCACCTAGATCCAGCCATATCTGAAGGCAATATCTCCTGGCACATTTTAGCTTTTGTTGTCAATAAATTTGCCTTTTACGTAAGAATGATACAATGGACTTTGGAGACTTGCGGGGAAGAGTGGGAGGGGGAGGCAAGGGATAAAAGGCTACAAATATGGTGCAGTGTATACTGCTCGAGTTTGGGGTGCACCAAAATCTCACAAATCATCACTAAAGAACTTGCTCATGTAACCAAATACCACCTGTACCCCAATAACCTATGGAAAATTTAAAAAAAAAACAACATCTAAAAAAAATTAAATTTATTTGCCTTTTATTCTTAAGCTAATTTGAGTTCCGTATTTATCACTCACATCTCAAAGAATCCTGTATAATATAAGGGCCCTGATCCAGATGAGCTGTGGACTTTACCCATGGCTGACAGCACAAGCACTGCGGCCACCGAGAGAATGGTCTCAGAAGAAGCCTTAGCAGTCAATGACCAAGGAACCCTAACCTGGGAGAACAAGGTGAAGGGTAAATCTGAGAGCAGAGTATAAGATTCATTAGACAGAAATGCCAATTTATTGCAGTTGAAGAAACATTTCTCTATCAATGGGAGAGAAGATGAGTTGGAGGAAAGACAAGGAAAGTAAAGGCTTTCCCTCAAAGGCCCTCCTGTCAGGTCCTAAAAGCAGCTTCTCCCAGTGTGTCTGGGGAGTAACAGGTCTTTCACTCACTTCGCTATGGTAACAGTGGCCATGCAGTGCAATGAAGAGCATAGACTTCAGAATCAAACCCTCTTGGTTTTGAATCCCAACCCTGGTTGATAACTTCCACTTTTTGCTAACTCAGTGACCTTAATGGTTAAAGCTTAAACTTGATAAAGCCACTTAAATTAGTGACTTCATTTCTCTGAGCCTCAGCTGCTTCTTCAATAAATGTGAATAGCCATCATTATCTCTCACTTGACCATAGCAAGAGCCCCTTGATTGGTCTCAACTAATTATCCACCATGCAACCAAACTGACCATTTTAAAAGCAAATCAAGTTATGTCGTTCACTCCCCTTAAAACGTTTCTGTGACTTCAGTCATCATTCAGATGATGATCCAAATTCATATAATAGACTTCAAATCTCTGCGCCATCTAAAATCAAATCTCACTTGCTGTTCTAGTCTCCTAGATTCTCTTTTCCTTGCTCCTCTCAGTTTATTGACAAAGAGTTAATAATATTAAAAACTAACATTTATTGAGCACATACAACATGCCAGCATTGTTCTAAGTATTTTACTTGAAATAATCCTTATGATGCTCATATAAGGTAGGTGCTATTATTATCCCCACTTTATAGATGGAAAAATTGAGGTGCAGAAAATTGCTCAAAGTCATACAGCAAAGAAGCACTTCAGCCAGGTTGCAAATCTAGGTGTTGGCACCCAGAGCCTGCATGTTTAATCACTATATTATGCTGATTCTCTACAGGCATCCCGCAAGCATTTTCCCACTTTGTGGCTGTGGTAGACTGAATAATGGCCCCCAAAGATATTCACATCCTAATCTCTAGAAGCTGTGACTGCTACATTATATGGCAAAGGGACTTTGCAGATGAGATAAAGTTAAAGATCTTGAGATGAAGAGATTTTCCTGAATTACTCAGCTGAGTCCTAAATGTAATCACAAGTGTCTTTATGAGAGGGAGATTGGGCTACAGAAGGGCAACAGGTAACATGACCATGGAAACAGAAATTGGAGTGATGAGACCATAAGCCTAAGAGTGTCAGCAGGTAGCAGAAGATGGAAGAAGCAAGGAACAGATTCTCTTCCGGAGCCTCCAGGAGGATCCATCCCTGCAATGGTTTCACTTCAGCCCAGTGAAATTGATTTTCAACTTCCAATGTCCAGAGCTTGTAAGATAATAAATTTGTATTTTAAGTCACACGTTTGTGGTAATTGGATACAGCAGCAACAGTAAACTGACACAAAGGCATTAGCACAGGCTGTTTCTTCTGCCAGGAATGCTCTTCCCCATACCCTTTGCCTTCTTTAACTCCCGCTTACCCTTCGACTCCTGGCTTCCATGTCACCTCCTCAGAGTAGCAGGACTCTCCTATTCATCTTCCCATAGCACTCCAGACTTCTCCTTCTTCTTCTTCTTCTTTTTTTTTTTTATTCTTTTGGAGACAGGGTTTTGCTCTTGTCGCCCAGGCTAGAGTGCAATGGCGCAATCTCAGCTCACTGCAACCTCCACCACCTGGGTTCAGGTAATTCTCCTGCCTCAGCCTCCCAAGTAGCCGGGATTGCAGGCATGCGTCATGACACCCAGCTAATTTTTGTATTATTAGCAAGAGACAGGGTTTCACCATGTTGGCCAGGCTAGTCTTGAACTCCTGACCTCAGGTGATCCACCCACCTCAGCCTCCCAAAGTGCTGTGATTACAGGCATGAGCCAACCCCCCCGGCCCAGACTTCTCCTTCTTAATACTAACAACATTGCAATTCACTGTCAATGACTGTTGCTCATGCAACCAGATCCAAGGGACAGGGTACAGTATGTGTCTGTCTTGCTTTTCACTGTAACCCAAGCATCTAGCCCAGAGCCTGGAGTATTATTGTTCTCAAATATTTGTGGAAATGAATAAATAAATATAATTTCTCATAGGACTGTTGAATTCTTTCAAAAGATCACAAATGTAAAGAACTTGGTATAGGGCCTAGCATATAATAAGTTCCCAGAAAAGTAGAGCTCCATGTGAGTTCTGGGTCTATCTGTGTGTCTCCTGTGTCTTTGGAACAGAAGCTCAGACATGAAGGTCCTGATCTTGGGCATGTCCCAGGCAGAGTGCTCTGTGATGTCTCCTTTTCCCTAATCTCCAAATACTGCTCCTCTTTCTTACAATTCTGGTAGTCACACAGGTTTAATGGCCACTCTGGGCATATTTTAGAAAGGAAAGGATCAGGGCAGTCCTAGAACACCATGAGATATGAAGATATCTGCAAGACTGCCTCCTGCTTTAAGACTACGGCAAGCCCTTTCGGCCAATCTGCAGTGCAGTTGGAGTAGGTTATTCCAGCTGTTTCCTGGCTATGCAGTGTGTGTATGAGCCTCCAGCTGGGCCAGGGACCAACTTTCCAGGCCCAGATGAATTCTCATCATTGCCCAGGGATCCTTTAGCTTGAGTTTGGTTCTCAAGCCAAGGCTCTGACAGCTTTATTAGCACCTATAATTCAATGTAAGCGTCGATGTGTTGGGAAACACTTTGAGGCTATCTTTTAAAGTCAACTTAATTCCCTCTCAAATGTCTCTTTGTTTGCCAAAGTGCCAGCCAGAAGACTTCCAGGTAGGCAGGGAGATGAGCTCCAGACAGGGGATCAGCGGGACGTGTCTGCTGGGCGCCCAAGTCATTTTGCTGGTAGCTGATGTCATTTCCAGTTAGTGGGCTCCTGGAAGAGGTGCCTGCAGATGCTCAGATGACATCATTGGGGACCAGCCTGTCACCAGGGGAGATAACAAATGGAGCCCAGCTCTGAGTTCCTGCTGCCCCAGGAAGTCACAATTCATTTCTTGGCCTTGCTATAGGCCTGGAGAGTAGACACCCTGTGTTTCCACCCTGGCCAAGTCCCAGAGAACCAGTATGCACCCTCCTGCTGGCTGCTTTTCCACAACAAAACCAAGTGGGACATTCTGAGTTTACCCAAAACTGTTTGGCAACTGTAATCATAGAAACTGGACAAGCTCGATGTAGTATACACTATTGGTCATCTGCTGACACCCACTTACCGTTCCTCCTGGGCTAATAGAACCCAATTTTTTTTCACATATGCACTCTCCTCCAGAAGGGATTGGCCTATTCGCATCCTCAAGGGATAAACTGTCATTGTTCTAAGCCATTCATTCATTCATTCATTCATTCATTCATTCAACAAACACAATTGAGCACCTATTTTGTAGTGGACATTGTTTAGGCACTAAAGATAAAGTCATTAAAAAAAGTCTTTGTCTTCATGAAGCCTTAATAAACACACAGTTATATATTATATAATAACTTTGCAATGTCAGACCAAACAATAAATGTCATGAAGAGAAATAATGCCAGGTAAAGGTATAGAGAAAAATAGGCTTGCTGTTTTAGATAAGGGGATGAGGGGAGGTGATATTTGAGCTGAGACATGAATGAAGGGAGGGCACCAGCCTGTGACTCTGCAGGGGAAAAATGTTCCAGTCAAGGGCAACAGCAGGTGCAAAGGCCTCAGGGTAAGAATAAACCTGCACGTTGAGGAGCAGCCAGAAAGCCAATGTGGCTGGAATGTTACAAACAGAGGCTGGGTCATAGAAATGGCTTTGGATTTTGCTCTAAATGATGGGAAATCACTGGGGGCTCTTCCACAATTTGTAATTTCAGAAGATTCCCATGGTCACTGTGCAGAAAGCAGACTAAGGCAAGGCAAGAACAGAAGCAGGTGACCAGGCTACGTGGAGTACCAGGTGGTAGCTGGAGAAGTAGTGATAACTGATTGGAATTGGGAACGATTTTGAAGTTTGAAGCAAAAGGATCTGCTGATGAATTTGGTGGCTAGAGTGAGAAACAAAAGAGTGAAGGATAACATCAAAGTTTTGAGATAGCACTACCAAGTAAATACAAGTGCTGTTAACTGAGATAAAGAGCACTGCAGGAGGAGCACTTCTGGCTGGGACGGGATCTAGGGCTGGGACTGATGGGTACTCAGTTTGAGGTGCCTGATAGACATGCAGTTGGAGATGTTAGATAGGCAGCAGTGGGAGAAAGGAGTGTGAAGATTGGGAGAGAGGTAAGTCCCATGCCTCCACCAATGAATGGCTTAGGCTTCAGTATGGGGGGGCAATTCTAGCCAAAGGGATATGGCTGTAGGAGGCCTCTGGGTAAGATGTCCTCATTTCTAATGAGGATTTAAGATTGCTTGGATGTTTAGATGGATGGATGGATGAATGGATGGATGGATGGATGGACGGATGGATGGATCTCTAAGTATCCATTTATTTCCAGTGGTCATTCAAATCTTAAAGGTACAGTGAAGTCTAAGTTAGGAGACCTGGCTTTAATCCCTGATATTTTTTACTAATTAATCATAAACCTAGGCAAAAACACCCCCTCTCTGAGTCTCAGTGTCCCCACCTGCACAATGAGGAAATTGGACTATATTGTTTTTATGAGCCCAGCTAGCCCTTCTGTTCTATGAAATTGTAAGAACATGGACTTTGGAACCAGAAGCTCTGAGAGAAATGTTGACTTTCCCCTACTTGATGTGCAATCTCTAGCAGTTCAAGGTTCCTCTGTGTTGCAGTTTCCTCATCTCTGAAGTGATGATTTATGGTCCTTCCCAACATTAATTTCCATTAAGTCACAGCATAGTTTCCTAGTTACTTGTGTTGATGGAAATAATGAAAACCTCTAGGAAAGCAGTAGTTAGGAGGAAGCCAACCCCTCAATGCAAACACATGCACACACACACATACACACACACACACAGTCTAGAAAAGGAGACCAGGCCTTTCCTTTCAGAGCAGCTACTCCCTGGCTCCGTCTGAGTATAAACTCTGGTCAAGGTGGGAACTATGCTCTTCTTGAGGCGAGCATGGTTGTTTCGACGGCTCTTAGCTTCCCTTGGCACCTCATTCCCAGGAGTTAAGAGCTACCATAAGAATCTCAAAGCTCAGTCCTGCTGGGTCCTGCTGTATCTACAACAGGGCTTGGGATGAATAAAAGACATTAAGACCATAAAGCTCCTGGCCCAGACTTGGCACACAGTGAGTGTTCAAACTGTCTTGTACCTCAGGCCCCTGTGCCCAGTTAGCTAAAGGCACTAATTAACTAAAATGAACAATAATGAACAATAATGGTAGAATATAAGGCAGTTTTAGATTTCAGATTTTTAACATGTTCAAATGCAGAAATCCCTGGGCTATTTTATTCATGTAAAAAGTCTAACAATAATTGTTAATTTTTGAAAACAAATCAAGCATAAAATAAAAGACTAAAGGAAACCATTCTCTTACCATAGTTTAGACCATCTAGTCTAACAGAAATTTCTTTGCTCTGAAATGATATCAATTTCCCATTGCTAGTGTTGTCTGATCAGTATCATATATGAAGGTTGATTAATAGGAAATGGGTAAATAGGTATATTATGACTTAATCAGTGCTTTATGTTTGAAGACTTGATCTTTCAAAAATCTTTTATTTTTAATGAAAAGGGGTGTTCAGTGTCGTAAAGGTTGGGAGGCAGCAAGCTAAAATGTCGAATGTTTTGACAGGGGCCTGCTGGTGACTATATCCCTCCCTTTGATGTATGAGCCCTAAGAACCTCTGAGCTATGTCGATGTGTCCCCAAAGCACAGATCCAAGGGAGAAAGGGGAAAAGACACTCTGCTAACAGTGGCTAATGTCATTTCCAGTTAACTGGCTTTTGGCAGATATGGTACAGATGTTCAAATGACCTCATTAGGGACCAGGATGTCAACAACAAGAGAGATACAAACAGAGCCCTGCTTAAGATTCCTGCAGATTCCTTGGGTTTGGAATCCCTTAACTCATTTCCCAAGCATTCCAAAGGGTGGGAATTTCAGGCGATGGCATGTGGCATTATGAAGAATTTTAGGGAAGATGGAGCTTATATTAGTTAAGAGAGGCTAGCTTTGCTGCAATAACGAACCCGCAAAGCTCTGTCTCTCTCCCCTTCTATTTCACTCTGTGGGTTGGCCTCATCCTCTGCTATATCAGATGATCTTCCTGCAGGCAGCATGGAGAGACTGGGCACAGCCTCCAGAGGTGGCCGGGTTTACATTCACTTGTATCTCTCAGCCACATATGTAAAATCCTAAGGAAGGACCACGCTGAATCAAGGTTCATATATCTGCTTCCCCTACTAGACTATAAGGCTGCAAAAGGCAGAGAATGAGTCTCACTCTGCTACCTTCTGCAGTCTCTCTTAACCTGGAGTTGCCCTGTAAGGGACACTAAGTAAAAATTGTTCAGTTGAATAGATTAGCAAACCACTCAGCACAAACCAAGAAGAAAAGAACTAAACACAGAGAAGACTGACAACAGGGGTGATTTAGAAACAGACTAGTCAACTGTTGATCAAAATTTTGTTACATTCAACAACAGCAGCGATTCTGAGAGCCCTGGAGATATTTTATCCAATAAACTCTTTCCAGAGCTAATAATAAAAATTTCTTGCATGGTGGTTTACAACACAATTTTACATCCCCCCCACCCCGCCCCGCATTTTTTTTAGCATCACTTCAATACAATTCAACAAACAGTAATGAGATTCTTCCAGGTGCCAGGCGCTGTGCTCAGTGGTGGGCTATGGCAGTAGAAACAGGTCCTTGCCTCAGAGAACTCTCAGTGACTGTAGTACTAAAGAGAGAGATTAAATAATTGAAGAGATAATAATAGCTGATATATTTACCGAGAGCATTTGCTATGTGTCAGACACTAGACTGGGTGCCTAACACATATTAACTCAATTCATGCTTACAATAATCCTTTGAGACGGATACTATTATGAGCCTTGGAAGTTGGGTGACTTATCCAGGGTAAGCAATTGACAGAGCCAGGATTTAAACCCATGTAGTTTGGCTCCTGAGTCTATGCTCTTAGCCATCATAACTGTACCACCAGCCAACCACAGTGTTAGGAGAGTTAAAATGGAAAGTAAAGGGGTTGAGGAAGGCTCCAGCATTTAACCCAGTCAAATATTAGAGGCACATCTGCCAGTCTAAAATCCAGTGTCCTTCCCGCCAGCCTGGGTATAAAGGCTCAGTGCAGTGGCTGCGTTATTAGCTGCACTTACAAGTCTCCAGGGAGCTCCAGATATAACTCCCCATTGGTGTTCTCCCAATTGTCTGAGCATAAATAGCCAATAGGTCCTCTCCATACCCCACAAAGAACTTAGAAACGAATCATCCTTCTGGTAATTGCATTAACCGAATGTTTTTGTTTGTTTGTTTAATTTAAGAGTTAAAACAGAATGACCTTGTCTTTGAAATTGTGAAATAACAATTAGAAGTTATTTGCTTATATTTATATTTAGAATTAAAGGATATTCATATGAACAAGTACAAAACAGGGGTGATGGGGTTGGCAAGGGAATGAGGGCCTTCATAGAGATGGATTATTGTTCATTCAACTGTAATGATTAACAATTAAAAATCCACTCTTGCAGTTCCCCATGTCAGGGGAAGGATAGAAGTTTTTGTTGTTGTTTTTTTTGTTTTTTTTTTTTTTGGTGTTTTGTTTTGTTTTGTTTTGTTTTGTCTGAAACAATAAGTAACCTCTTTCTTTCCAGGGAATGCATTAGAATAAGGGGTTTCCCAAGACCTGGACAAAAGCCAGGATATTTGGGAGTCAAAGTCCCCTGCCCCTCCTTTTGGCCTCCGTCCTTGTGGGTCCTTGTAAGGTAAGCGCTCAGGCTGAGAGCTCAGCTGAGTGGGGAGAAGGGGCTGACCACCTGGAAGCCTTAACCCAAAGAGGCACAGTGTAGGTTGGGCTGGGTGGCAAAAGCAGGGCAACAAAGTAAGCCCAATAATAGCTCACCCTTAGCATTTATTGAGTACTTACGATGGCTGAACATGAGTCTACACACTTCACATTCAGTAGTTCATTTAATTAGGTTGATAGAATTAGTATCCCCATGTTGCAGGTAAGAAAAGTGAGGCACAGGGGTTTGATGTTGCTCAAGACCATACTTCTAGGAAGTGGAGGATCCAGAATTCAAACGCAGGTAGGGTGACTCCAGTGTCAGCACCCTTCACCAGGATGCCACAGCAAAAGGGTCATCCTGAGATCACCGCTCTGCTGATTTGGATTTTGAGACCTTCTCAGGATTCTTCGGAGAGCACCTCTTTTATGAGCTCTGCTGGCCCCGAACTTGATATTCTCCAGTGATTTTTGGCTTATAGCTGCCTCCTTACAAATTGGCAACTAATTTTAACCCCGGAGCTTCTGTTCCTGGGTAATGTGGTGGGGAGGGGACAGAGAGAGAGGAAGACAGACAGACAGACAGAGGTAGGCTGGCTATTATTTTAGAAGAAGTTAGACAGCAATATAACCAGCCTCTCACCCAAGTGATAAAAAAGTCATTGTTGGGGCATGTTTGCACCAAAAACAGAGAGAGAGATTTTCCTGAATCATTTCTAATTTTTTATTTAGGCTTCACACTTTTCCTGGGGCCTCTGGGCAGGCTTCCAGATCCCGGTATCCATAGTTGACTCTGAGCTCCCGAGGTAAGTGATCTGTCACTCCCAGGCCTGGGGAAGGGTTGGGCAGAGGCCTGGACAGACTATGCTTGGCTCAGCACCCTGACATTGTACATACTAATGCAATGTGAAGTAGCACGTCTAAATAGCCTGTCCAACTTTTTTGATGTTCTTGAATCCACAGATGGGATTCATTTCCACACTGTTCGCAAAACGTAAACGATACAAGGACATTAAAGAGCATTAAACTACTTGATGACATTTTGGTCACATTAATAAAAAGTGGCATTTTTAAAACTACCAGAAAGAAAGAGAAAGAGTTTGGGGGTGGAGAGGGGAGAGATGAAGAAGAAGAGAGACAAAGCAGGGAGGGGGAAGGAGGAACAAGAGAGGGATTTGAATTCATCTAAAGTATAAAAGAAATGCTGGCAGTCCCAGCTCTTCTCAACCCAGTTGGGACTTCATTTAGTATGACATAAGAAGCAAATCTTTCTGGACAGATCTGTGGAACACACCCACACTTATATAGTGAGTGGTGCAGACAGACTAAGATATTAATGTTTCCTTCCAGACTGATTCATTTGGCCAAAATAAACTCATATACCACTGAGACATGAGTGAGGACAAGAGGAACATCAGACTCACCTCCTCCAGGAAGCCTTCTATGAGTACCTCCTCAGGCTAGACTAGGTGTCTCTTCTCTGGACTTCCAGAGGCCCTACGCTTACTCTCATCATAGCCTACATCATCGCGGCATTTAATCACTGATTGACTTGCCTAAATCCTCCCTAGACTGTGGGTTTCTTGAGGGCATAAGCTAGGGCGAGAAGCATACATTCAAAGAGACGTACGTCTCTTCAAATTGTTGGGGTTCAAATCCCAGCTAGCCCTTGTATTGGTTTTAAGACCTGAAGCATAATTAGTTAAGCTCCCTGGGTCTCAACTGCGACATCTATAAAATGGGGTAAAAGGAAAACCCAGTTCATAGACTTGTAATGATTCCTAAATGAGGTAATGAATGAAAGGCACATAACCCCATGCCTGGTACACACACACAGGACATATGGTCTATATTAGCATTAACATTATGCCTAGCACCCCAAGCAGTTGGCACATAAAAGGCACTCAATAAATACAGTACTGTTAAATCAATGAATCTCAACAGACTCACTTAGAAAAAATCACTTCCCAAGGGGACTAAGGAATTGGACATGGAGCCATAGAATGTGAAAATGGGTGGCAGAGACATTTAATAACTTATCAAGTCCTGGGCACCTTGTTTTAAAATAAAAAACCAGTACTGGTCTCTCTCTGGAGTGCCTCGGGAGGTGTCCTGCTCTCCTAACAACCATGGCTGGTGAAGGAAGGGCGAGCAGTCCCAACCCCCGCCAGCAGCCCATGCCCCCCTCCCCTCACCCACTTTTTTGGCAGAGCTCTCTCCTTCCAGCCCTGGTGGTTACATTAATTGCTAATGACAATGGCAACCTTCACTCTGTGTGGTTTCCTGCCCAGATTCTGGATCCTTTACAAGGCTCCCTTTTCTTTTTTCCCAGATAGGAAATGCAACCCGAGACGTGTGAAGAAAAAAACAGTGTGCTTATTGTCATAGCCTCCACTTCTCGGCTGGGCCCGGCTGTGTGTGCTCTGGGGTGCCTGCCCCGCCACAGGGAAGAATAAACCCAGACTCAAATCATAGGAAATTCATCAAATGTGCTTCTCAGAGCTCTGTCTTTCAAGGTCTGTTTCCTTGCCATATGATCTCTATAAACCAAATCACTGTTAGCCAGGGCACAGGACCAGAGGCGCCGGAGGCTCATGGATAATGAATGCCAAATGCATGTGACAATAGACTGATCAGAAAGCAGAATAGAAATTTCTGAGTTGTGCTTTTATATATGTATACACACACAGACAGGCACACACCTATGTGTGTGCACACACTCAAGCACACACACATGCATGCATATCACACACACACACACACACGGGTCAAGCACACAATATATCTTAATGTATAAAGGCCAGTTGTGGTCCTTGGTGCCAGATTCAGATAACTCATCTCTCAGTTACTTTGTCAAGACAAAGAAGCCTGTGGATCAGAAGGATAAAATGGAAGAGGAAAACAAATCAGAACCCCGTTTAGCTGGGGACACTCAATGTGGAGGAGGCACAGATTTGACTTTGAAATTTAGGATGCCTTGCACTCAGCAACTAACACAGGACACAGCACACAAGGGGGCCTCAACTGAAAAATGAAAATCAAGGACTTATTCCTGGGCACCAAAGGTAAGTGGGAGAAATTGCCCTAAACGGAATGAATTATTGTGTGATCTTTTCAATAATGGTTTTGACCCCTCCTAGGTCTGACCAACCCCTTCACTCACTAACCAGTTTCCAGTGTGACCAAGACAGAGAACACAGGACAGAAACTAGCAGGCCACCAGCTGAAGGCAAAAAGGTAATTAATGTTATAGCCTTTTAGATTCTAGAAAATACTGCACTTAAAACTGCAAGTCAACTAAGCGGCTGTCGGCAACCGATAAATGCTTCCATATTCACAGGCATCAGCAGTCTTCCCGTTACAAAAAAAGTAATAATACATACATATTAATGGATCACATTTTGTCCTTTGGGGAGCATAATTTTTAAAAGGGCCAAGGCAGCAATAATAGTTCCTTTAAAAATTCTAAATGCTGTAATTGTTTTCTCTGAATTATGGTGCTAGGATTTAATTAGTGATGAATGTTCGGTATGGGGTTTAGACATTTTTGATGAATTCAGCCAAACAGAAAAGTAGTCTTGTCCTTATTGCTCCCACCCGGGCCCCCGCCCTCTTTTCTTCCTTAGAATCCTGAAATGTGCGTGTGCAAGAGCACATGTCTACGAAGGGATTTTATTTTCTGCAGTTTCACTGTAGCTAAGAAGGAGATTGCCTTAACCACAGTTCAACAAGGAACATGAAACATGGTCAGTGAGGTCATGCAATTCAGCACAAGTTTTGAGGTTTTCTGGTTATAAGGAGGAAAAATAATAAAATGTAAATGGTAGAAATTTCTTTTTGGCGATGTTCTTATCATTAGGAAGAAGTTGCCCATATCTTGGGCCTGGTCTCCTGGGCTTCAAGGGCTCACGGACCAAAGGGCTAAAGGTGTCAGGGGAGAGTGGTAGAGGGCAGAGAGGAAGGACTTTCTTCATTCATTTGACGAATAACCATTTAGCAAGACCTGCTGGGTCCAGGCTCTGAGCTGGGCATTGCACACAGGGCCCTGGCAATGGAGTCCCTGCCTGGGGATAAATACAATTGCTTTGTTCTTCTCCAAACCACTTCTTTGTAAAAGCAGCTGGAGAGAAGCCCAGACCAGCAGCCATCCACACAGGCAGAATCAAGGAGGCCTACATAGCAGGGCCCCTGGGGGCCATGCCTACCCCTCCCATCCACCTTCAGGACTTCTTTCATTTGAGACCTGGAGGCTGCTCCTGGTTCCCAGTATCTTCTATTAACATGCAAATACTCCTGGGAAAGGTCACACCTTGAGACCCCATCAGCTAACCTCTTGCTCACCAGTTACTTCTTAGCAAGGATTAGCAGAAATAGAACACCAAGAGAAGGCCTGGGGGTGAGGGCTGGGGGGAGGTGAGGGCTTATGGGGAGGGAGGTGAAAGACCTTCCTACTGCCAAGATTTTCCTGGACAGTCGAATTGATTTAATGCAATACAATAAATCAATGATATTATTTCAATAAATGTTGATCTTTTTACACTGCAAAACAAACTAAAATCTCATTTGCATACCACCAAAAGTATTACATTTAAATTAATTCGCAAATTAGGTATCATTCTGGGTTCCACCACATGTTCCAGATAGAGTATAGGAACACAGAGTCTTCCCCATTGCCCCGATTGTGCTACAAATAGCAACTGCTTCACAATCTTGCCTAAAGTGTAAAAATGTTGCCCCCATCCCCAAATGGCAGACCCAGGTGGTCAATGGAGGTTTTGTTCACTCTGTCTAGCACCCCTCTTGTTTCTCTCTATCATCTCCCTCCTCAATTCCATTCTTCTTGCCTCCCATCTCAAAACCACCCGCCTCTACCATAGGCTTCTCTAGAGTGCTATTGAGGCCCAGTGGTTTAGCTGCTACAGAGCTTTCATCACGCTTCCCAATGAAGTCCTTAAAATGCCATCCTGGAGAGGGTTCCCGGTTAAAAGCATAGGGTCCTGGATCTGTCAGAAAGACCGGAGTTCAAATTCTGGCTCTGCCATTTTTAGATACTGGAGACAAGTGACTTTCCTCATCAACTGTCTTTTGAGAGGATTAAGTGTAATTATAGTAAGTGCTCAATAAATATTTGTTACTGCTGTTGTTATAACACACTATCTTCTTTATAAAATGAGATTGCAAAATAATGTGCAGGTAATTTTCTTAAAAAGCACCATGGTGAGTATGTCACCAGTTATTCCCTTAAGGAAATGTTTACTTTTTTAAACATTTTTGTCATGGATCATAATTGTTATTTATTTTTTTTTATTCATTCAACGTTTAGCATAAGCCTACTATGTGCAACACACTGAGGTAGGTACTTAGGACACAGAGATGGGTAAGCCTGATCCCTGGCTTCTGGGAACTCACATCTAATGGGTAAAAACAGAGTGAGAAGTAACAGATATCCATAAAAAGCTATGAGAGGCTGGGCGCAGTGGCTCACGCCTGTAATCCCAACACTTTGGGAGGCCGAGGCGAGTGGATCACGAGGTCAGGAATTCAAGACCAGCCTGGCCAAGATGGTGACACCCTGTCTCTACTAAAAATACAAAAAAAAAAAAAAATTAGCTGGGCGTGGTGGCAGGCGCCTGTAATCCCACCTACTCAGGAGGCTGATGCAGGAGAATCGCTTGAACTCAGAGGGCAGAGGTTGCAGTGAGCCGAGATCATGCCACTGCACTCCAGCCTGGGCAACAGAGTGAGACATTGTCTCAAAAAAAAAAAAAGCTATGAGAAAACTCTGTCATTAAAGAACCCACTGTCTGGGGATAGTTGGTACAACATCCAGAGAGGTATTTGAGCTGAATATTAAAGAAGAAGAAGAATATTAATATTTATTGCAATTTATTGGGACTGTTCTGTGTGCCAATCACCGAGTAGTGGTTTATCATTTTACTGGAGTCTACATAATAACTACATAAGGTGAATACTTTGTCATTTTGCAGGTGAGGACACTGAGTCTTAGGGAGGTTAAGAGAAGTGCCTATAATATTTCTGTTGGTATATCAAAATAATTGAGATTTCAACCCAGATCAGCGTGGTTCTGAAGGCCATACTCTTCCTTGCAAACAAATGGGCCAATCAGCGACTCAGGTGAGAAAAAGAAAAAAAAAATTGTCCTGTGACTTACAGGCATGTCTTCACGGTTTTTTTAAATGTAATATTTGATACATACAAAATAAATTGTTGATGCATTTAAGTTTCTATATTTGGATATATAAATGTATATTTATTTTTAAAAAATTATATGTACATAATATGTATACATGTATGATTATTTTTTAGATGAATAGCTTGTCAGGCATTTTGATACATAGAAGAAGAGGGTTATATCTGTACCAAATATGATAATATTTTTATACATATTGGTAACCTTCTTTCTCACTTAACAACAGTCAAGAATGTATTTTTGATGTCAGCAAATCTATGTCTATATCATCCTTATTAATCCTGTTACATGTTCTTTGAATGGATAGATACCATCATTTATTTAACCTATTCTCTCTTCAAACATTTAGCTTCATTTCAATTTTTAAAATTGTCATGAATAACGTTGTGATGATCATCCTTTGCACAAATGCCTTTGCCTATTTATCTAATCATTCTCTTAAGATAAATTTTTGGAAGGGAAATTGCTGGGTCAAATGTTTAAGATCATTGATGTGTTTTGCCACATTGTGGCAAATGTGAAATGTATTTGAAATGTATTTGCACATTTCATCATGTGCAAATTTATACTTTCATTAACAGTTTATGAAGGTGGCCTGACATTTTGGCTTTTGTTTTATATTGCTATGTTTCTTTTTTTTTAATCTTACTGATAAAAAGGATTTAAAGTCCTTTAAGTCTGAAGGCTAAGAACCCTTTGTCTTTCACACATTCTATAGTGTATTTGCCATACAGAAATATTTCATTTTTATATAGTAAAATGTATATGTTTTTTATGGTTTCAGCTGCTGATGCAATATTTAGGAAAACTTTCCCTAATCGTGATCATAAATTTCCCTTTAGATATTTTTGTGGCCTCAGTTTTTACATTTTATTTTTTAATTAATTCAGAATTTAATGGTGTAAGGTAGGAAGAAAAAATCCAAATTAATATGTTTTCGGGTACCATCTTTTGCCCATCTCTCCACAAATGAGATATTACTTCTATTATATACCACATAATAGCATGGAGGAGTGTTCTGTTATTTTCTGCTGATCCATTCATCTATTTTTTTCACAGAATTATGCTATTTTAATTATTACTGCTCTATAGTATATTTAATGTCTAGCAGGGCTAGCCTCTTCTCATGGTTTTTTTTTTCAATAATTTTAATATAGTCTTTTCCATTTTTTTAGTTCCAGAAATGAGGTTATGAGGTAGAGGATAACTTTTGAAAGTATGACAGTAATATGCATGACAAGGGGTGTTGTGGTTTTTAAAAAAATAAAATCAATCTCATAATTTCATAGCCACACTCAGTTCATTTCCATGAATGATGTGATTCTGGCACTTAGAGTCTGGCATGCTCTATCTATCACTAAACTTACTATATTCTGTTTGCCAAGGACCTTGGCAGGAGCCTTTGTTCATTCTGTCTACATGGAAAGCCAATATAGCATCATAGTAGGAGTGTAAGATCTAGCTGTGTGACCTTGGGCAAGCTATTGTACCTCTCTGAGCCTTGGTGTCCACATTTGTAATAGGAGAGTAACAACACACTTCCTCATAATATGTGAGCTATTACAGATGGAAGGCATTTAGAAGGGTGCCTAGCACAGAGTCAATGAACATTAAATACTCAGTGTACATTAACTAGTGTCATTGTGTACCAGTGGTCTTGTCACTACAGGAGTTTGCTGACTCGGAAGGGGAAGATTGAAGGAAAGACGTTAAATCAGGAAATATGGGTTAAATAAAATGAAATTTCACAAGCCTTTGCATATGTTTTTATGACTGAGAAATTATTGTTAAGTTGTTATTTCTCATGGCATCCAGGGTGCTAGGTCTTTAAAGCAAGCTGTGGCCTGGCTACAGAGGGGCCATGTAGTGTCAGGGCACACCTTCCACATGAGGACCCTGAACAAGCCAGTTCATCTAAACTTACCGCAGATTTTACATAGCACTGTCACTTTGACCTTTGACAATCTAGTCAGCTGAGAGCTCAGATTTGCTGTCAGACTTCAGTTCTCCCTCCCGCCTCTGCTCAGAGCAGATCTCTGCTGCTGTCAGCTGAGAGTCCGAGTATGGGTACTGAGCTCGGCAGTCAGACTGCTCTGAATTAAAAGCCCAGCTCTGCCACAAACCACTTCTGTTTTGGTCCTTTCTGAAGTTTTCTTCAACTGAATAATGAGTATGTTATGCCTTCCCTGCCAGTTTACCATGAGGATTAGGTGAGAATAATATACAGGAAAGCATTTTATAGAATGCCAGGCATACAGTAGGTGCTCAGTAAATGTCATTGTATCAGTAAGGAATGTTTGATTCTAAGTAACAGAAAATCAAATCCAAACTAGCTTATACAGTGAAGAAAAATTATTGGTTCTATAATTGGAGATCCAAGAAAAGGCTGGAATTCAGGAGTAGTTCAATTCAGTTGCCTAACCATGTCACCTAGAATTTGTTTGTCTATTCATTTATTTGTTTCCTCTCTTTTCACCCTGCTCATCATATATTCAGTTTCTCTCTAAAGCTCTCCCTGTCTCATAGTTCCAAAATGTGAGCAGGTATCCAAGGAGAACAAAATAGGACCACACCCAGATATTTCCCCAGATGAGTTAGAAAAAGCTCTCCCAGAAACCCCCAGCAAATTTCTTTTCTTGTAATTCAACAGCCAGAATTGGGTCATGGCCAGTCCCTGAACCAATAATGATGACCAGAAGAGAGATTATGCACATTCCCTGGTCTGAACCACAAGCCCTAGATATAGAGTCACATTTTTACCAGTGCAAGAACTATGTCGAGACAGAAAGATGGAAACTGAACCAAAAATCAGAGTAATTACAGAAAGAAGGGGGAATGGATATAAGGAAAAGAACTATAATGTCCACTCCTTGTTTCCCCAATCCCCAGCAGAATACAGATGAGTGGATGGACAAGTCCTCACTGAAACTTGAGACCTCAAACTTTTGATTGGATACTGGATCAATGAAGGGGGGAATGCTCAAACCACCATGTAGTGACTAAAAATATGCTTCCTAAACAATAACAGGGAATATAGCAATAATAATAATGTACATAGTTTTAAAATATTTATGCCTTTTTATTTTTATTTTTATTTTTTATTTTATTTTATTATTATTATACTTTAAATTTCAGGGTACATGTGCACAATGTGCAGGTTTGTTACATATGTATACAGGTGCCATGTTGGTGTGCTGCACCCATTAACTGGTCATTTAGCATTAGGTATATCTCCTAATGCTATCCCTCCCCCCTCCCCCCACCCCACAACAGTCCCGGGTGTGTGATGTTCCCCTTCCTGTGTCCATGTGTTCTATGCCTTTTTAAAGATCAAAAATAGCTTTATTCAAAACCACTTAAGAAGTAACTATTTGGATCTATGCTGAAGGCCAAATATCAAGTCATAGGCACACTTTTTTTTTTTTCTCTTCAATTCCTTCTGGCCCTGGGACCTTTCTCTTTCAGTTGTTCCCTTTCTCTCTGCTTCTCCTCCTGCTTCCCTTTCTCTCTCTGTTTAGATTTTATTAGCCTCAAGTACCTGGGAAGAAATCTGGAGTGAGAGGGACAGAGGTGCCCCACAATGTGGGGCCCAAGACCTGAGTGGCCCCAAGTGAATCCTCAGCCCATTGCCCACTGCAGAGGAAAACTTAGTCTCCCCAAAAGGTTGAATGGCCGAGCCCTTCATGCCTCTGGGTTGCTAAGCAACAAACACTTCAAGTTTGGAAATCTTTATCCACACCGGATATATTATCCTGGCAAATTGGACTTTCAGATCTGGCAGCAATGGAAAGAGTAACTTTTTTAAAAATAGAGACAATTTAGATGATTTCAAAGACATCTGGTCTCTTTTTCCAGCAATGTCTGACTCTTCTCTTTCACTAAGCATATTGGATCCAAACACTTCACATGTACAAAAGCACAAGGTCCCCGAAGAAAGAAGTGTTTCAGTCGCAAAAAGCCGACTCACAGAAAGTGCTGCCAGTTGGAAAGGCCTAGAACTGACTAAGGCAACAGCAGCAGGGCATATGTTCTAGTTTCCTCCCTCTATTTGACCCTTCTTTTAACCTGGTTTCTTCCAAGTGCCCCTTCCCTCTCACTCTGATCCTCTCTGGTACTAATTCTCTTTCCCACCCTCTGTCTTGCATTCCCTCTTCTCCTTTCTCTTTTCCTCACTCCCACCTTTCTCCCAGCAAACTTCCATCCAGTTTTCTTTCTCTCTATCCTTCCTTCCCCAAGTTAGAGAAAACACAAGGACAAGAGTCAACACAATGACACGGGCCAGGATCCTGGGTCTTCTTCCTGCTTCTTCGGTGGGGGATGGAGTTGGTTGTTCATTCCTCCTTCACTCCTAAACAGTCCACAGGAGTGAACTTGTGGTTGAGGTAATCTCAGGGCACATTCTCCCTCCGCTGTGTCCTTTAAAAAAAAATTGAAGACAAACCCAAACACCAAATAGCTCCTCCACCTGCTTGCTAATGTCTAGAATTCCTCCAACAGAGGACATTACATTCCAGAATTAAAGACCAAGTTTCAAACATAAATAATAAACAACTCACATCTGGGCAGCTCTTAATAGTTTTGAAAACACGTCCAGCTGTTTCTCACAAATTCCCTCATTTGACCCCCACAATAATCTAGAGATGGAAGCATTATCATTGCTATCATCTCCATTTCAAAATGAGAAACCTGAGGCTTAGTTTAAGTACCTTTTCTGAAGTTACTTAAGGTGTAACCCAGATCCATCTGACTCTAACGTCCACATTTTTCTCCATGCCACTTACTTCTCCAAGAGGGAACCGTAGTGACTTGGCATGATGAGAAGCCTTCCCTAAGTTCTTCAGACCCCAGATTCCCCCTTGATCTCTACCTCTCTGAAATCCTTGACTTGTGATTATTGCTGTTGAAACCTGTCAGTGGGGTATGCTGCCACCAGATGGCAGATGACACTCTGGTTTCATGGAGAGCTCCAGACTTTTACCATAACTAAAAATGGGAGTCAAGTGTTTTTCCATATTTTTATCTCCTTATAATCAAAATTATAGTTCACTAAAAAATAGCCAAACAGCATTCCACATCTACAAAGATGAAGATGACGTGAAGCAAAAATATATACAGTTGTCCCTCGGCATTCTGGGGAATTGGTTCTAAGACCCCCTACGAATATCAAAATCTATAGATGCTCAAGTTTCTTACATAAAATGATGTGACATTTGAATATAACCCATGCGCATCCTCCTGTATATTTTAAATCATCTGTGGATTACTTATAATACCTAATACCATGTAAATGCTATGTAAATAATTGTTACACTGTAATGTTTAGGGAATAATGACAAGGGCAGTCTGTAGATGTTCAATACAGACACAACTATCCATTTTTAAAAATATTTTTTATCCGTGGTTGGTTGACTCCACAGATACAGAAACTATGGATATGGAGGGCTGACTGTATTTAAAGGAATAAATTTACATGATATACTTATTTGATAAATTTGATAAATATATTTATTCGAGAAACATACATGATGTATTTATATACATGATATACATACACCATATATTATATATATAATGGACCTTGACTATTAACAAGCCTAACTCATTCACAGTCTACATCAAGTTTCTGAGATATTGGCAAAGGCATTTTAGGGTTATTGCCTTCTTATCCTGGCCACTCACTTCCCTAAATACTAGCCCAACTGGAGAAGACAGAATGGTTCTCAAACTTTAGTGAACATCAGAATCACCCGGAGGGCTTTGTTAAAGCACACATTTCCACATCGCAACTCCTGAGTTTCTGATTCAGTAGGTCTCAAGTGGGGCCTGAGAATATGCATTTCTAACAAATTCCCAGGTGATGCTGATGCCACCAATCTAGGGACCACATTTGGAAAAGCACTGGGCTAAGGCAAGACACCCTGTTTGACTGTCGTAAGTTCCCCCTTTTCCCTTGCCTCTTACCAAGAGTGTGGAGAAGAGAGATTGAGCTCCATGGCCTCCTGGCCAGAATCTGGGGTCTTACTGTGAATGACTAACCAACAGCCTCAAATGCTGTGGCTGGCACAAATTAACTTTGGGTCACTTTCAGTACATATTTCTGCCATTCATTGCCACCTTCTGATCAGATGTTCTCTGATATCAATGCCTATCAGCAGATCATTAACTATACCGACAGGAAATGCTAACATCTATTAAAGCTGTCAGCACTGAGGTAAGCAATGCTTTAATTAGCTCATCTAATTGTCGTAATAATTAATTGAGAAAGACAATATTATTAACCCCCTTTTACAGATGAGAAAACAGAGGATCAAGATTACAAACCCAGTACATTGCAGAGCCTGGACTAAATACCAGCTTTTGTCTATCTTCAGAAGATAAGCTCTCAGCTTTTAGATACTGACTCTTAAGTTTCCAATGTGGATACTAAAAGTTAGATTCCTGCCTCCTCAAGTCAGTTTCTTCAGGCTCCTGTGGCTTCCGTTTTCCCAGCCTTCTCATTTTCCCTACTGGTCTCTGTCTATGCCCACCAACCAGTCAGGACATCTCATGTAGTCTCTGTCTAAATCCTCTGCCTTAGTCCACCATACTGGATGAAGAGGGGAAACATTTAGAAATGAAGGTCCCAAGGTTTCCCAGAGTCTTAGGCAGCAAAGATAAGTTTGACTGTATTCCCCAGATGATACTTTCTATGGCAGAGAAATGGAATCAGATACCTTATAATGAGCTCTAACAGATGTTATGTTGGTGAGTTGAAGCAGCATTCCTAAAAATCTGTCCCATTTAGAAACAAACTATGCAGACTTAGTATGAAAGAAGAAAGAAAGAGAAAAGAGAAAAAAGAGAAAGGAAGGGAAGAGAGAGAGGAAGGAAGGAAGAGAGGAAGGAAGGAAGGAGGGAAGGAAGGAAGGAGGGAGGGAAGGGAAGGAAGGAAGGAGGGAAGGAAGGAGAGAAGGAAGGAGGGAAGGAAGGGAAGGAAGGAAGGAGGGAAGGAAGGAGAGAAGGAAGGAGGGAAGGAAGGGAAGAAGGAAGGAAGGAAGGAGGGGAGGGAAGGAAGAGGGAAGAAGAGAAGTAGGGAGGAAGGAAGGAAGAGGGAAACAAAGAACTAACATAGGAGAAAACACAGCAAAAGAACAAAAGGAAATTCTTCACAATTATTTTATGTTTTATAATATCTTAATAAGCATATAAATTCAGGAACATAAGGGCTGAAAGACAAGACAATGAGATTAAAAAGAAAAAAGGAGATTGAGGATCTAAGGAAACAAATTGAGGACCCACACCACATCATTACAAAACTAATGCAAAAATTAGAGATAACAAGGAACAGGTATATTCCACTGAAAATAAATTATTTACATGGATGAGAGTCTGAGATAATCACAGTAAAGGTAGATTAAAACAAAAACATTAGAGAAAGTACAAAGAAGCTAATAGATTTTTTAAAACACCTAATAAAGAAGTATGCAAATCCAAAAGTAAAATTTTAACAATCATCTAAATAAAGAAAAAAAATTGAATATGCAAGTTGAAAGACATACCATGTTCCAGGAAAATTTAATGCAGACAGTTCAAGATAGATACATACAAGTTAGTTAAATAATGGCACTTTGAACATTCATACAGTCAGGAAAAGCACATCATTATAAGGGGTTCAAATCAGGCTTGCCCTAGCCTCTCCCACAGCAACATTTCATGCCAAAAGACAGTGTTCACAATGTCTAAGGGAAAGAAAGTGCACCCAGGATATTATGGCCATACAAGAATGGTATTAAATAAAAAAGCAATGAACTTTCTCAGACATGAAAAACCAGGAATACAGCACCCATGAGCCCTTCTTGAACAAAACTATGTGACAATAATATTCAGCCAGTTAAGAAATAAAGAAAAGAAATAAACTTAGGAATTGAAATATCATGAAAAAGCACTAGTGGTAGGTAACAAATCTATTTCCTGAATTAAACAATACCTCTCTATGAAGCCTGCTCCATCTGCCTTATTTACTATGGCAGAGTGTGCCCCACCTTTCTCCAGCATTCGTGGTCTACCTTACTTTGCTTTACTTTTGGCTTTGGTTCTAAAGAATGGCACCCTATATTTTACTTTTTTGTTTGTTTTTTGTTTTGTTTTGTTTTGTTACCTTCTGCCCCATAGAAGTTAATCGGGGGAGCTGGGATTAAACACTTGCATGAAATATGGAAACTATTCTAGTCATGGAGCAGAGCCTGGGAGCCATACATCTGAACAGTGTAAAAATAACAAGGTAACTAACAAGACTTAAGTTTTGTTGGGAAGGGAGCTGGAAGAAATCTGAGCACTAATGCCCTTATCTTTCACAGCCCAAACACAACTGATACTAAAATTGAACCATGTAGTTTCAGAAGAAATGATGACTGCCACCTTTTGATGTTTTAGATAATCATTTAATTAACCTGAGAAGATTTTTCAAAAAATACTATGCTACAGTAAAGAAAAATTTATTCAACAATTTCTATAGTTTTACTTTGGTATATTTTTTTCTGTTGTATTCCAGTAAATTTAAAGTTAATACTTCATATTTTAAGATAGCATTTACAGTTATGATCTCATTTTTATTAAAGTGTTTTTAGATACGTATGTGTATGAATACAAAAACAATAGTGATGATGTTTATTTATTCTTAAGGAGAGCTATTTCTGAGTAGTAGTATTTGGGTTAATTTTACTACATTCATGTTTCAACTTTTTTCTATTAATTATTTTTCATGAGCATAAACCTTTTTTCAAATATAGTAGAATGGTCAGTCTTTGTTTTAAAAAAAGGAAAAAAAATGACTGGGAACATATATGTCAAGATATTGATGTAGATATAGATGTGTTAGTGCACATGTTGGAAGTGATAGAACTTGAGCCTTAACCTTCGGTTAACTTGCATTTCTTTCTGCTACCAAAACTCCCTCTTGGACTTGCAATATGAAGTGAAGAAAACTAACGCTAACTGGAGAACCCACTAGGTGCTTTTCCATGAACTTTTGGTTGCCCCTAGTGTAGGAATAATTTCACTATTTTAGAGGACAAATTTGAGACTCACATAGGTTGTGATTTGCCTAGTTTTGTACAGTAGGAGAGATGATAATAATAATAATGTAGTGAGTACTCTATGGAGAATCTCTCTTGGTCCATTACAGCAGCATGTAATGCCTGTCATTTTTATTTATTTTTAAAATGTGGTCCAGAGAGATGACTTATATTGTCAAATGTCCCACAGCTAGAAAGTGGCAGTGCCAGGACTAGAACTCAGGTCTGTCTCAGACTCAAGCCCATGCTGCTCTCTCTACTATGCTCTCACCAGGCTGGGGAAGAGGAGTGGCCATGCTGACCACCCATAGGGTCTCAGAGTGATTGCAATTTGGCTGCTTGGACCCTGCCAGAGAGCCTCAGAATTTCAATGTATTCAGAGCTAGGAGATCTGTGGGTTGCCTCAGTCATGAATCTTCCTGTCCCCTCCTAGATGTCCCTGCTGAGCTGAACAGGCAACATGGCAGCTCTGATGATTTCCCAGGGTAGATCCAGGGCCAGTCCCCTGGGATCTCAGGCCCCATCTCAGCAAGCATTTACTAGGTGGCTCTGATACAAACACCCAGCCAAGAAATAGTCCCAAATAATGGCCAGGTGAGTGTAGACCATAGCTCCATCCAATGGGTGTCAGGAGATCTGGATTTCCATCCGTCTTCTGCCGTCTCTTTGTGGTGTGACCCTCAGGAAGTCACTTGATGTCTCTGAGCCTCATTTTCCTTCTCAGCAAAATGAAAGAGTTTTACTACTGGACAGCTTTCAAAGTTCCCAGCTCAATATTTCTATGATTTAGTCAGAGAATGAGGGTCTCTCTTCGTAGAATCTGGGTGGTTGGTGGCGGGGTTCTCTTTGAGAAGGTATATAGCAGCCGGGGAGGGAACCAAGTCAGCAAGGAGGAGAGGGCTGGGATTACCCCCCAGACAGAAAGGAGCAACTTCAAGGAGGTGGGCCCTCAAGGCCGTGGGAAGGGGTCTTCAACACAGACCTTTTCTTTCCTCCATCAGGTGGGTCTTGGCAGCTGGGATGCAGGCGTGCATGGACCACAGACCTTTAGGAGATTATCTGCTAATCATGGCCTGGACATGAGCACTCAAGAGGTGTTGCCTGAAGAATGAGATGCTTTTTTATGATGCAGTAAAAGAGAGGAAATCGCCTTGGCCTCTTGCCTTGTCCTGTGCTAAGTAAGCGGGCAACCTGAGCCCAGCCTCCCATTGGCAAAGGCTCTGAGAGCTCAGAATTTCCACCAGGGGCTGCCATTTCATAAGGAGGCTGTGGGGGGTGGGGGGGCGGAGTGGGGGCAAGAGAGACAGGCCCTGTCTCCAGACATTCAGGAGAGGCCGAGGATTGCTAAAACGACACTGAAAGTTTAGAAGAGCTAGGGTCACACACTCTACATTAGCAACATTATATTCTCACAACCGGAGAGTAAATCACTGGCCCCATTTAGGGAAAGAATTTCCCTCTAAATGCTACTATTGGAATAATCAATTATATCATCTCTGAAAAGTAGCCCATGCCCAGAACCAACTCTCCTCCCACTGACAACTCCCATTCACTTTCAGGATATCTAGTGATAATTTTCCCTCCAAAGATAAAACAGTGAGTTCTGCCAGTATTTCCCAACTGTCAGCCAGGAACTGTGTTGAGCACCTTAGCACTCGTAAGAGTTAACGCAGTGAGCCAACATGGATCCGGTAGCTTTACATGCATTAACTTATTTAGTCCTTACAACAATGCAGATTCAGTCAAATAAAAAACAAAGTTAATATTGTTATTCCCCCCATTCACAGATGGGGACACCAGGTACCAGAAATATTAAGATGCTCAAGGTCATACATACAACTGGTAAGTAGCAGAGTCAGGAATCAACTTCAGGCTGGTTTATGCTTTTAACCACCGCACATCTGCCTCTCATCATTTATCATTGTAAAGGTAGGTATCTTGGTTCTCCCTCCTTCCAACACCATGCTTCCTCTTAACACATGTAGGAAGACCCTTTTGCCTTTATTTCACTCTCTCCCAGGCTCCTTCCCATGGGAGGGATGGCTTATTGGTGGGTGCCATGGCAAGAATGTGAAATTCATTGGTCCATCCCCTTACAATAGATGGAGGTGATGGGTGGCTTCCCTCGGTGCTGTTGAGTCTCTGCAATTGTCAGGCTGAGGAGCTCTGTGATCCTCCATTCAAGTGGCTCCATGAGGATCTGTCCTGCAGACCCAAGCCCTCCTTCAATCAGGCCCCATCTAGACTAGAAAGGCAGGTTTTGACTCTCATTCTGGTGCTAGTTGTGTTCACCCTCCTTCTTTGCTGATAGGACCCCCAATATTGCATCTCAACTCCTAGGTCTATTTCTCAGAATCTGGATGGGAAAAGCAGAAACCAGTTAGCTCTGCAATGCACCAACAACTTCCATCTCAAGAGTTCAAGCCCCATTCCTGGGCGACTCCATGAAGTCTGTCCTTCCGTCAGGTTCCCATGCCCTAGTATTCCCCAAAGGCCAAGAGAAATGTTTTTACCAATGTGTCCCGCATGATCCCTGCTCAGCCAGCCCCTTGCTCAGGGCACTGTCCACTCCTGGGTTCAGTCCAGCTGTTTCTTAACTCCAGCCTCACACTATACAGATGCATTCTCTCCAGAGCCCTTTGCCCCCAAGTCTAGACTTTAGTTCTGACTTAATTCTTCAACACTTAGTAAGAACAGGCAGAACTAAATGTTTAGCAGAATCTTGGTGAGGAATTGAGAATAATCAGAAAACAAAACATGGATAAAGGAAAAAGAAAGAAACTTCAACTGAATACTAGGTATTATGGCTCCTAATAAGCCCCCATGAGGAAACCCTCTGGTCCCTCTTTCCTTAGACTCCCGTATCCTTGCCTGTTGCCATATTACAGGGGGCCCCCTACCATGAAGGGCCTCTGGCCATGTGCTTCTATTTTGAAATATACCTTTCAAAACTTTTTGGGAGCTCAAAGAAAAAGGGGAAAAACTCCCCACCTCCAGTGCCCTCATCTGTCCTCCCATCAGTGTCCAATTCACCCTCTGGCATGCCTCACCACCCAGGCACCTCAACTGTCCTCCTGAACCAGCAAGGAGAAACAAACAAAGAACACCAATGTTTTCCGCCATGCCAGCCAATTCCCACGCTGGCAGCAGTCCAGCAAATTGTCTTCTCAGTTGGCATTTCCCAGGCAAAGCAGTTTATCTTCTCATCATCTCAACCTCACTATTTGAGAAACAGGAGCTGGGCATCACTTTTGTATAACCCAAAAGTCCATCAAAAGGCTTATCCAAGACCAAAGCGCAGACTTCCTGCAAAAATGACTACTCGTGGGAGCAATGGGAAAGATTGCTGGTAGATTTTTTTAAAGGAGTTTGTTTCTGCTACACATGATGCCAAGACACCCAAAAAGGGGCTCTCTGCTTTCTGAAGTTATCATTTTCCTCATTTTGCAGAAGAGGAATCCAAGGTTTAGACAATTTAAACAATGTATCCATGATATCCTTGCCAATAACTGTTGAAGTAGCTAATAGACACAAAATCAGTCAGAATTCTCACCACCAAACTCTGCTTGGAAGAGACAAATCACAAGTTGCAGACTTGATGAGAGCCTGGATGAGTCCTGTCCCCTCAGGAGAGTACGGAGTGGAAGAGGTGGTGTCTGAGGGCTGTCTGATGGGGTGGCCTCCAGGACTGTGATTCTGTGCCTGTAGTGGAGTGTGTCCCTTTCACTCCTTGAAGACAAAGCCCTTCCATACCAAGATGTCCATAGTCTGCAGTTATTCACCTGACTCAGGTGAATTCTGTCCTGTTATTGGAGTCAAAGATGAAGGGCCGATGATCTCAAGTTCATCATTTTGAATTCAGAACCCATCTTTGCCAGAGAAGCCTCAAAGGCAGCTGCTGCCTAAGATTTCTAGTGCTTTTGTGCAAAATTCAATCTGTTCCCTAGGAAGAGGGACAAGGGAGAGCAAGATACAGAGCTTGATTTTTTTAAAGGAAAAATTAAGAATAAAGAGATGTTTTTGGGTGACATAGAAAACATGGGAAACATGGCATTTTTGCTTAGGTCCAACAAGGTGCATTTCACTCCTCACACTATTATGTCACCAGCATCTCCCACCTACACCTCTCTTGACCTCTATTCCCATCTTCCTCCCAGCCCATGAAGCACACCACTTTCCCAGCCATGTCAAACCTTTCTTCCTTCCTTCCTTTCCTCCCTTCCTTCCTTCCTTTCCTTTTCTTTCTTTTCTTTCTTTCTTTCTCTTTCTTTCTTTCTTTTTCTCTTTCTTTCTTTTCTTTCTTTCTTTCTTCTTTCCTCCTTTCTTTTTCTTTCTTTCTTTCTTTCTATCCTTCTTTCTTTCTTACTTTCTCTTCCTTCCTTCTTTCTATTTTTTCTTTTTCTTTCTTTCTTTTTTTTTTTTTTTGAGACGGAGTCTTGCACTGTAGCTCAGGCTAGAGTGCAGTGGCGCCATCTCGGCTCACTGTAACCTCCGCCGCCTGGGTTCAAGCTATCTCCTGCCTCAGCCCCTTGAGTAGCTGGGATTATAGGCGCCCGCCACCACGCCCGGCTAATTTTTTTGTATTTTTAGTAGAGACGTGTTTTCACTATGTTACCCAGGCTGGTCTCAAACTCCTGACCTTGTTCTCTGCCCACCTCAGCCTCCCAAAGTGCTGGGATTACAGGTGTGAGCCACCACACCTGGCCCAAACCTCTCTTTCAAGATGTTTTTTCCTGGTCACTTTTCTCATTGCCTGAAATACCCTTCCTTCTCTGCAAAGTGGTTAATTCTCATTTGTATTCCAAAGGTCAGGTAGGCTCAGTATCACCTCCTCCAGGAACCTTCCCTAATGCATCCTTTTTTCTGGGTCCCATTGCACTCCATGCCCACACATCCCTCTACCACAGCGCCCCTATGTCACACTGCCATTCTATCTATATTGGCCCATGCAATCTTAGAATGCACTATTAATAGTTTGAAATCTATCATCAAACGTGTCTGAGCCAAGTCCAACTCATGAGGACATATTTTTTAAATGTCATAGGCCCCAATATTAAAATAACTTCTCCAATTGCTTTCCAATTCTATTCTTCCCATCACTGTCATGACCTACATCTAAAGGAGAGATGGAAAAGACATTGTTATGTCCACTGATCCTGTAACTTAACTTCCCTTAGTACCCAGATAGGTTGTTATCCTTATGACCCCATGCCATGCACCAACCATCCTGAATTACCTAAAGCATGTTTATATAAATGTATGTATATATGTATGTATTTAATAACTGCAATGGCCTGGCACTGACCAATCAGAACTGGTGCTGGCCTATCAAGCGATGTCTTGGGACCCTGATGCACCAAAGGTATCAGGTGTGGCAGGTGATGAGGAGGGATCTGGCGCACATCACGGGGACTGTTTAATTTACTTAACTGGTATGGAAATATTACAATGTTTTAACCAGAATTCATCAGAAATGAGAGCCTTAGAGATGTTATGAACCAGAAAGGGGCCTAGATACTTACCTATTCTCATTATTGTTCACTGAGGCTCCAACTGGCCCCAAGCTAAGATACCCACAGACCTGTAGAATACACGGCAAATTTTCAAACTGTTTTCTGTTTTGCCTTGAGGAGGTAGTGTAAGAGGAGTGGGAGTAAGATCAAAAGTTCAGAGTTCCCTCCAATGCTGTCTGCCTATCAGACCTTCACCGGCCCCCTTTAGATTCAAGTCTCTGAAACTAATCTTGTTTCTGTTCCTAAACAATGTTCAAGTCTTGGGTTGAGAGTTATGGCTACAGTATTCTCTCTTTTCCTAGAAAGAGAAACTTTAGATTCTCAAGATAACTGATAAGATTCTCAAAATGACTGAAAGTACTTACTCCATTGATGGTAATTTTATGATTTTGTAATACCCATTCTTTTCAGTTATTTGTAAAATTAAACAGATAACACATGCACACATTCTTACAAATTAAGATAATACCAATAAAGAGAAAATACCCTTTAGCTATCCTTTCTCCACTCTAACTCTCCACAGAGTTAACCAATACCACCATTTTATCCTCTGTCCTTCTCTGCTTTCAATAAGTATCTACACGTATATATGCGCATACAGAAAAATAAACATTTTGCTTAGTTGCTTGCTTTTGTTTTGTTTTTTTACATAGCATTAAATGAATTATTCTGCAATTTTTTTTTTTCATTTAAAATACGTTTGACCGGCCGCGGTGGCTAACACCTGTAATCCCAGCACTTTGGGAGGCTGAGGCAGGTGGATCACGAGGTCAGGAGTTCGAGATCAGCCTGGTCAACATGGTGAAACCCCGTCTCTACTAAAAATACAAAAATTAGCCAGGCATGGTGGCGAGCACCTGTAATCCCAGCTACTTGGGAGGTGAGGCAGGAGAATCATTTGAAACCGGCAGGTGGAGGTTGCAGTGAGCCGAGATCACACCGCTGCACTCCAGCCTGGGCAACAAGAGTGAAACTCCATCTCAAAAAAATAAAATAAAATACATTTTAAATATCTTTTCACCTACATTGTTTATTTTATTAATAGCTCTGGCTTGAATTCCATAGGTTAAATATCTCATACTTTTGTTAACCATCCTATAGGCAGGGCTGTGGTTTTCAGGTTTTCACTATCACAGACACTATTTCAATGAGCATTCTTGAACATGCCTATTTGGGCACCTGTATTTTTTCTGTAGTAGATTACTAGAACTTCCTTTGCTGGACAAAAAGTTATGTGCATCTTTACTGAGTATAAGCTCAGTACCAATTTGCTCTGTTATGCCAAATAATGTTTGACAGTACTTGCTTCTTAAAATGCTTGCCAAAATTAGATGATTTAACTTTTCTCAATCTGGTGGATAAAGCATAATGTCTCTTTATCATTTTAATCTGAATCTTCCTCACTATTCGTGAAGCTAAACATCTTCTTCTAAGGTTGTACATCATTACTTTTTCAATGGATTGACCATTTGTATTCTGTGACAGGCAGACTGCTAAAATAGACCACAAATGACCTTTACCACTTGGTTTTTATGCCCTTGTGTAATTCCCTTCCCTTGAGAATAGGCTGGACCTAGTGACTCGCTTCTAATGAATAGAGTATGGCAAAGATAATAGTCCTGTCACTTTCAAGGTCAGGTTACAAGAGGCCAAGCCTTCTGTCTTTTTAGCACTCTTTCTCTCTTCTCTTCAGTCTGATGAAGCAAGCTGCCATATTTGGACTTTGCCTATTTTTCTATTTTTTGATGTGTAGGCATTCTATGTAACATAGCTGAATATTCTTTGTGTGTTATATATGTCACAAATATGTTCTACCAATCTTGATTATCATTAACTTTGTTTATGGTTTTTTTTGTTATATCAAACTTTAAATTCTTAAAGTCTTCAAGTGTCTCAGTCTTTTCTACTACAGGTTTTAAATTTTGTGCCTTGTTTAAAAAGATCTTTGCTACCCCACAGTCATAAGCACCATGATAATTTATTCACTTCTTTCTCACGACTTCCACTCTAAGTTCTATGAAGGCAGGGGCTCTGAGCCTTGCTCATCTCTGGATTCACAGCCCTGAGCATAGTGCCTTGCAGGGAGCTGGCTTTCAGAAACACTTGATTGCATCCATGCAGATGGACTTTACAAGTCCGCGTTCCTCCCTCTCAGTGAGGTGTCTAATCTTGATTCCTGGGCTGAAGTGTGTGCATATCTCTGTTTGGTCTTTGCTAAGAGAGAGAACAGATGCCCTTTTAAACCTTCCCACAGCTTCCTCCCATTGCCCCATCAAGCACATTAATGCATACACTTCTTTGTAACTGCAAAATTTTGGCTCTTAAATATTGCTGGTGTGCTGAAGATCTCGCATTCTAAAAGGAAAAAAAAAAGTGTGTGTAGGGGGGAAATAATCTCAAGATTTTACTTAAAGTGCTGGTAAGGCTTCAATGCCAAGAAATGTAAAAATTTACAGCACGAATTAAAGTTACCAGAAGACACACCTGAGGAGAGACTGCCATGCTGAAAACAAGCCAAGCCTCAACCCCCACTGAGGCATTTACATGAAGTCAGAGGCTAGCAGGAGCAATGCCAGTGGTAGAGAGAACTCAAAGGGGGAAGAGCCAGGCCAGGCCAGGGGACTTTTACCACATAGCACAAAAGAAATCGAGACCTAGAGAGGTGAAAACTGTACCAGGCAACTGGGATATAATTTAATACAGAAAGGGGTGATTTGAGATTATACACTTTACCCTGCCATCAATGCATGTATATAAAAACTGAGTCCTAGAGAATGAAGTGAGTTGTCCACAATTAGGAGCAGAGTGGGGATTAGAAACCAGTTGTCAGTTTCCCGGGTCAGGGATCTTTCCACACAGTTCCAGAGAGGAAGTCCTGGCTCCAGGCAGAGGAATGAATGTTTCACTCCACATTTCTAGAAGGCCCAGAGTGAAATATCCCTTTTCCTGGGGAAGTTCGTAGGTGAGCTGCTGCTATCAGCTAGCATTTACTCCCTAGGCTGTTTTGGGAGAAAGGGGTTTTCAAAAATCTTGTAGCTGGGAATTTAACTCAGGCTGTATGGACTCTGAGTCTACTCTCCCCACAGGCAGAGGTTGGCTGTATGGCCAAGTAGAGTCTAGGCCTAGGCCACTCAGCCTCGTACCTCAAAAGTCAGGCATTGCCTTAAGGGGAAGAACAACCATGCCTCAGGCATGGTTGTTCTGGAGTATGGAGTGGATTCTACAGCGGTGGGTGGGTGAAGGAGCTCAACATCTGATCAGCACCACCAGTCCCTGAGACAGTTTGTACAGATTAGAAAAAGGCACCCCTTCATCAAGATGATTTACTACCTGCCATCTGCCAGAAAAGTACAATACATATACAAATCAACAAAGACAGGATATGCATGGCGCGCCCTGGAGTTGCACAATGCACACCCGTAACAATCGCGTGAATCAGCCTCTGAGCCACCCTCACCTCACTCTCCTCCATACAGCTGTGCAGGTGTTGTTCTTGGAGCCAGCAGAGCCAAAGACATTCCAGCCTCAGGACATCCTTTATGGTGCCTCTGGCCTTCAACTTCTGCTCTGTCCCCATGGGTGCCACCTCTTACGGGGCAAATAGATTTTTCTCCTAGATTCTACAAGATTCAGAGATCACCAATCTGGAAACACTCCAAGAAAACAAGTCTTGCATTCACCAAGTCCCAGCCCCTTGAGTGCAAAGCAGAATTGCTCCTGAGCCTAGAATAGACCAGTGACTTCCTAGGCCATGGCCAGCCAGGCCATGCCACCATTAACCTCTGTGTAAATGGAGGTGGCTGCCTGCAAATGGGACAGCTTCCACGGTCATTGTCTGTACTTACTGAAGTATGCATACTGCAGTTCAAAAGAATCAACTAATTGAAAGGAATGCAGGTACTAGCTTGTATTTTAGCAGAGCCTTGAAAAAAAAAAACTGAGAGAAAAGCAGATCAGATACTCAGGCTATAATGTGTTCATGCAAACACGGTTAATTGTTTTTCACTTGTGTGGTTTTCGCCATGAAAAGATTTTTCATGTTATTTAGTTATCAGAATCACTTTGAGGGAAACAGGAATCTTTGTTCTCATTTTACTCAGAGAAAATAAAAAATGAAGCAGAAAGACTTGGCCAGGGCCTCACCCTGAGCTGTTACCCAGTTTGGATTGGAACCTGAACTCCTCATCCAGTGCTTTCTTGGCCATACCACTCCCCCTGTACTCCTGTTCTTCAGGGCTTCCTCAGCCAGCACAGGCTCCCAGCCCACTGTCAGTCTCCCTTACCCTGGTTTGCCTAGGAGAAGAGGAACCAGAGATCTTCAGAAACATAGCAGGAAGGAGAGTCTTGGATGGCTTGGAAGGGTGAAGCTAGTTACTGCCTTAGAAGGGGCCACTCTGCACCAGCCCTGCCAGGAGCTGAAGACAAGCAATATCCCATAGAGTCCATTTTCTTCCTCCATTGTCAGAGTTAGTGGGTGAGTGCTCTCTTATCACCTGTCACTTCTCTTCCATAGCAGAAAGACAGAGGCAAGTAGGAAATGTGATTTGAAGATATTAAATGGTTTTTTCCTTCTTCTCTTCTGCTTCACCAAGTCCTTCCCCAGAACTTAATATATCACTATGCATGACTCCTCGGTTTGGCATTAAGATAGTCCTCTCTCAGATATTCATGGAGAAGAAGAGAAGATAAAAGAAGCAAACATTTTAAATTGTGAATTATAGTCCAGGAAAGTTCACATTTAAAATTCCACAAACACTCCCAGAAAAATGGTTAAGTTTTTTTCAAAAAGACTAACAATATCAGGTGTTGGTGAGGATGTGGAGCAACTGGAATGAATGCCTAAACATTGCTGACACAAGTGTAAATTGGGAAAACCACTTTGGAAAACTGGTAGTATTGACTAAAGGTAATTAAATGCTTTCCCTTTGACCAAGCAATTACACACCTGGGTTTATACCTAATAGAAATGAGTTATCATATCCTCCAAAAGAGAGGTACAAGAATGTTCATAGTGCCTTTACTCATAATAGCCCCCAAATAGGAAACAACTCAAATTTTCACCAACAATACAATAGATAAATTACAGTCTATGTGTACAATAGGATACTACATAACAATGAAAGAAGATATAGACAATATGAATGTATCTCACAGCCATAATACTGAACAAAAGAAGCCAGATGCAATACAGTGCATACCATATGATTTTATTTATAGAAATCCAAAAACAAGCAAGGTCCATAGATGGTGATATAGAGCAGAATTGTGGTTATCTTTGGGAAGGGGCACAAGAAATTCTATAGGGTGCTGAAAATACAGTTGTCTCTCAGTACATGCAGAGATTGGTTCCAGGGCCACACCTGAAGATACCCACATCCACACATACTCAAGTCCCATAGCTAGCCTTTTGGAACCTGCAGATACAAAAAGTTGGCCCTCTTTATAAGTGGGTTTTGCATCCCACCAATATTGTATTTCTGATCTGCATTTGGTTGAAAAAAATATGCCTATAAGTGGACTCACACTATTAAAATCCATGTCATTCAAGTGTCAACTGTAGCCTGGATCTCAGTTGAGATGGTTGGTGCCTACATGGGTGCACACGAATGCAAACATTCATCAAGCTATATGCTTAAGATATACGAACTGTTCAACCTCAACGAAAGAAAACAAAGGGAAAAACTCACAAATACCATAAAACCGTGGTTCTCAAAATGTGGTTCCCAGTGCAGCACCAGGGAACATGTTAGAAATGCAAATTCCCTGACCCCATCACAGACCCACTGAATCAGATGGGGATGGGGTCTAGCAATCTGTGCTTTAACAAGCCAAGGTAATTCTGACACATGCTAATGTTTAAGCATCCTTGCCATAAGATGTGGGTATTATTAGCCCCACTTTGCATATTTAAAAAAGCTAAGGCTCATAGAGAGAAAGTAACATATCCAAGTTCAGCCAACTACTAAGAAACTAAGTGTCATGAGCTGCACAAGATAAGATATAACCAGGCCCATGCATGTTTGTGTCTTTTCATAAGGTCTGATTTATTGATGCTTATTCAACCATAAAAGCCACAAGCTACATGGAGTTCCCAAGAAGGAAATTCTTAGTACTATCCATTTGCTTGGTAGTCAGAGACATGGCACACAGGCTCAAGCCACAGCATAGGTCAGTCAAAATTGCAAAACCATACATAGTAGTATACTCAATATATAAATGTTACAGATTACATCAAACAGAGTAACATTTAACATCAAGAGAAGAGGGGTGTATTAGTCAGGGTTCTCCAGAGGGACAGAACTAACAGGATATATGTATATATGAAAGGGAGTTTATTAAGGAGAATTGGCTCACGCAATCACAAGTTAAAGTCCCACAATAGGCTATCTGCAAGTTGAGGAGCAAGGAAGTCAGTGGTGGATCAGTCTGGGTCCCCAAACCTCAAAACTGGGGAAGCCAACAGTGCAGGCTTCAGTCTGTGGCCAAAGGCCTGAGAGCCCCTGGCAAACCACTGGTGTAAGTCCAAGAGTCCAAAAACTGAAGAACTTGGAGTCTGATGTTCAAGGGCAGGAAGCATCCAGCATGGGAGAAAGATGAAGGCTGGAAGACTCAGCAAGTCTGCTCTTCCATCTTCTGCTACCTGCTTTATTCTAGCATCACTGGCAGCTGATTAGATGGTGCCCACCCAGATTGAGGGTAGGTCTGCCTCTCCCAGTCCACTGACTCAAATGTTAATCTCCTTTGGTAACACAGTCACAGACACACCCAGGAACAATACTTTGCATCCTTCAATCCAATCAAGTTGACACTCAATATTAACCATCACAAGGGAATTTAAAATGGGGTTAATAAACCAGTCCAAGGAGAGTGACGTGTACAGACAGAGAGTGTCCCAGGCTGATCTGGATGGGAGTCAACGTCTTGCAAGGAAGAGTCCTTGATTTGGGCAGAGACTTCAGCAGCAGTTGCTGGGTGCTGAGGTGCTGAGTGACAGCAAGACAGTGTCTATTAAGGCAGCCACCTTGAGCTGGTGAAGTTCTATTCATTTTATAGCTCTTGAGTTCGCTGGTATAAATTGATAGTAAAGAATGTGACTGGTCATGTCCTTATCTAGTTGGGTGTAATCTCTATTGATTAGGCAAACATCCAGTCCCTATTGGCATCATGGCTTTTGAAATGTAAGATGGAGTCTTTTTCTAAGATGGAGTTACTTATGTCAAGGGTGCTGTATACACTAAGCTAGCATTTGAACCCATATCTGCCTCAGTCCTGTGCTCCTTTTGCAAAACCACACCGTCTCCCTCTATAGAAATATGGCTTTGCCAAGAGGGATGTGATATGAGGCCATGTTGTATCACTTCATTAATAAAAACAGGATTCTACTTCTGGGTTCCTATAGGCAGACAGGGCAGAAGGGTATGAATTTCAATTTCACAGGTTTTGCAATGGAGAAGGCCAGCTGAGACCTATTTCCTTGTTTTTCTAAACTGGTCTGATGCAGGAAGAGTTCCTGGAGGTGAAGCTGGAAAAAAAGACAGAGCCTAGGATCTGGCATGCCTTTTAAACCATCTTTAGGAGTTTGGACTTGGACCCAGGAGCAACAGGAAATCCATCATCTCTTCCCACTCTGACTGTAAGCTCCATGAGGGTGGGCACTATGTTTCATTCACCAGTACATACCCCACTCTAGCGTGGTGCCTGCCAAGTGGTAGACGCTAAATAAAGATTTGTTGAACTGATCAATTATTTTATGCTGGGGATGAAGTGACCCATTTTCTGTTTCTAAAAGCTAGCCCTGGCTGAGGCATGGTGGATAAATTTAAAGAGATCAAAGTTGGAAGCCACGAGACAGACTGGTTAGAAGACTAGTATAAGAATTCAGGCCACAGTGGAAGGGTCATGGCTAAGGTTGATGTCTGCAAGGATGGAGGGAAAGTAATTTATCTGCCAGCCAACCAAGTGAGGCATCTTGGTAGGAAACTCAATGTCTCTGAATGCCTTTCCCACTATAAAATGGGGAGAATTGTAGTATATACTTTATAGGGCTATGAGAATTAAATGAGATTGCAGACACAGTTCCTGGCACATAACCAGTATTCAAAAATGTTAGTTTAATATTGCTGCTGTTGTTTCAAACTCTGGGCCCAGGAAAGAGCCCTGCATTGCCAGTCTAGTGATCTTGTCATGGCTCTGCTTGACTTTGAGCCTTATGAATAAAATAAAAGTTGTGATGAGCTGACCTGGTGGGCCCTCACAGTGCTCATATTCTTTATTGTTTATTATTGTTGTTTTTTGGAGATGGAGTCTGGCTCTGTTACCCAGGCTGGTGTGCACTGGTGCAATCTCCATCTCAGCTCACTGCAACCTCCGCCTCCTGGGTTCAAGCCATTCTCCTGCCTCACCCTCCCAAATAGCTGGGATTACAGGTGTGTGCCAGCATGCCCTGCTAATTTTTGTATTTTTATTAGAGATGGGGTTTCTCCATGTTGGCCGGGCTGTTCTCAAACTCCTGACCTCAGGTGATCCACCCGCCTCGGCCTTCCAAAATGCTGGGATTACAGGCATGAGCTACTACGCCTGGCCACAGTGCTCATATTCTGCACTGTAAAGCTTTTACTAGCCCTGACAGACAAACACTGCATTACAGGAGAGAGGGAGACCCTCTGCCTTGGAAAAGTAGCACCTGCCAAATTTTTGGTTTGCTCCCTCAGACTTAGAGCTGTCCAGGGCCACAGAAGCAAATTGGAGGACAAAGAGTGTTAACTGTAATATCTATTCAAGGGCCCTTTATTAGCTTCTGCTATTAGTAAGGGGAGGGGGGCATCTACACATTTCTGAAATATCTGTTTTCTTCTTGCAAGACAGGGAACAGAATTCAAGCTTTCAAACTGTTTATAAAGTAATCAGCATTAATTTGTTCTGTTCAGGTTTTAATTATACACTGTAGGCCATTCTGACAGGACACCACCACCGCTGAGCCTGTCAGAGGAGATAATTTCCCACCAGGATGACCACATATCTCATGAATTATACATGAAACTTTGTTTCCTTGTGACTGTTGCTAAAAGATGCTGTCAGCCTCCTGAAATCTCAAAAGATGTGCAATTGTTTTTCGATAAGTCTAATTAGCAGGAAGTAGGTTGGGGGGAGGTGTTAAGAATGACTTCCCAGGGATGAGAGCTGCTGAGAGATGCCGAAAGGGCCCTTCCTCAGCTAGTGACCCTGGCAGGCTCAAGGCAGAGTTGGCCTCCATGGTGAAAGTCAGGTCGGGATCCTTGCTCCCACAGGCAACAAGATTTACACTTGTTCTCTCTGGGACTGAGCCCCAGCAAGCCAGACTGAGATTCCAGACATAATTCTGTTATTCAAATGGGAGAAGAGTTTGATAGCTATACTAATGACTTTTATCTGTGAAAACATAACTAATAGCTTGGTTTACATTTGCGTACATTTATGAGCATAATTTTAGCACATAATTTTATTGCACAATAAAACATAATGCAGCAATAGTCGGCTTCACTAAAAAAAAAAGGGGGGGGATACCTTAGAGTGATCTGCATGTAAACCTTCACACTGTATTTATATGACAGTATCATTTTAAAATGTTGACCCATTTGAATTAATGAAAGAGTTTCCCAGTTAACAATTAGCTGCATAAGGCCATTTCCTGTAGACATAATATTTGGGGGCAATGCTTATGATTTGCTGCATAATTCATCGTAGAATTGATTGCTAAAGATCGTTTTTCAATGCTTTTATTCTTACAGTTAAATTGGATTGAATGAAGGTGAGCCTTCTCTTGTGCATGCACGTATATTTCTGGAGCCTCTGCAGTGTGGCTCCCATTTAAGGAAGGCAGAGACACCAGCTAGGCCAAAAGGCTCCCTTTTGGTTTGAGGAGGGTAAGACCTTGGAGATGGCATGAGAACACTGCTTTGCACAAGAGAACAAATGAAGCAGAGCTCAGAGATGGAGCTTGGGGGCAGAAAGGGGTAAGGCTCCCAGAGAGAAGGCTACGGTTGCAATTGCCAATGTGAAACAAGAGAATAGCAATGAATAGGACATTGTAAAGGAAGGAAGAAATCTGCATGACCAAGGATGAAGGCAGAGTCAGGTCAGAAGCAAGGAAGTTCGGTGAGGCCCAAAGCTAAACACAGCCATCATTCCTAGGAAGCCCACTGGGGAGCACTGGCTGGACTGGATATATTAGCCAAGACTCTTTCTTGCAAAGGCAGAAACCAAAGTACTTCAAACAAGGATGGAATTTTTAAGCTCACATAACTGAAAAGTCAAGGGGTGGGTCAGCATCAAACACAGTTGAATCCTGATTGGTCCAAAGATATCATAAGGGACAGCTCTCTCTCTCTCTCTCTTTCTCTCTCTCTCTAGCTCTCCATTGTTTTCTACTGTGCTGACAGCATTCTGTGTAAGAGCCTCTCCCAGGGGTCGGACAGTTAGCCCTCTAGCAGCCTCAGGCTTACATGATAATTACAGCTCCTAATCATAAATTAATCCCTATAAGAATCCAGTCCTACACACTGTGTCCAAGGGTATGAGATACTCTGCCTGGGGTCCTGTGCTGTCTCTTGTGGTGAGAATGTTTAGACCAATCTTGAAAGGGCCCAAAAGCAGGTCCTACATAGAGTACCTGGAAGAAGCAAGGCTATTCCCTTGGGACCAGGAGACCTTAGGGTTGATGACAGCTCTCTGCAAATACTGAAAGCCTGCTTCTCCCCATAATTTTGGAAGGAGAGAAAGAGCAGTGGGTGAAGTTACAGGTAGGCAAGCAGGGTTGACATAATAGATGGCTCTTATGGACTGAATGTTCCCCTCCAATCATATGCTGATATCCTCATCCTCAATGTGATGGTTTCAGGAGGTTGGGCTTTCAGGAGGGTGGCGCCCTCATGATGAAATTAATGCCCTTACAAGAGAGGAAAACATGAGATCTTTCTTTTTCTCTTACCATATGAGGCCACAGGAAGACAGCCATCTAAGAAGCTGAAAAAGAGCCCTTGCCAAGAACCCAACCATGCTGGCATACTTATCTCAACTTCCAGCCTCGAGAACTGTGACAACTGCATGTTTCTTGTTTAGGCCACCCAGCTTATGGTAATTTGTTATAGCTGCCCAGACTGACTAATACCATGGCCAATATAAGGTCTTCTTAGACAGACAGAATCTAACTGAACAGACTGTCCTGGGGTTGGTGAGCTTCTCATCTACGAATAAACATAAGCAAATGCTAGAAAATCCCTCTGCCAATATGTTGTAGAGACAAAATCAGAATAGAGAGAGAGAGAATGGATTAGATGACCATCTACTATAAACACAGGGATGGGGAAGGCACTTGCTGCATACGGCCTCAAAGCACAAGCATCTTTAGGCTGAAAAGGGAAGGCTGAGATGCATGTGTCCAAACTCTCTGAATGTTAAAAAAAAAATAAGTAAAATAAACAAGGCTGGAATGTGAAGATGTCAAAGAGAAAATAATGGATTTGGAAGATCAGGTGAACAGAAAAAACTCAATAGGGAGAGGAACAACTTTCTGAAAAGAACAGGAAAATAGAAAGTTAGGAGAAAAGAGACAGGAAGGCAACCCCAGTGTGAACAATTAAATTGTCTTCCCCGGGGCAATACTGGAGAGAGGGTTGGGAAAGACCAGGGCCTGATAGAAAGCAGACTAGACTAGTATATTCATTCTCTAGGACTGCCATGACAAATTATCACAAACTGCATGACTTACAGCAACAGATATTCATTCTTCTACAGTTCTAGAGGCCAGAAAGCCAAAACTAAGGAGTCAATAGAGTCACACTTATTCCAGAGGCTCTAGGAGAGAATCTTCCAGTCTCTTCCAACCCAGGCAGTTATCAGCGATCCTTGTGGCTGCAGTGCTCCAACCTCTGTCTCCATCTTCACATGGCTTCCCTTCTTTTCTGGCTGTATGTTCTTCTCTTCTGCCTCTTATGAGGACACTTGTCATTGGGTTTAGGGTCCACATAAGGTAGTACAGGATGATCTTATCCTGAGATTTTAAACTTAATTATTAAAATCTTAACCCTTTTTCCAAATAAAATCACAATCACAGATTCTGAGCAGGCCTACCACTTGTAGGGGCCACCATTCAACCCATTACAACAGGCAACCAGCCAGAGTTGAGGACACCACAGGAGGATATCAAGGTAGGCCGTGGTGGCTGAGAGGAGAGAGGCTGACCTCAGGCAGAGCTAAGGCAAACTCACTGGCTTCTTCCAAAATTTAGCATCCACAATGAATGCCCAGGATAGGGTAAAAAGTGGAAGTGTCTTGTGTACTTTTGCATGTTCCTGAGGATGAGAAATAAAATGTCATGGATTACAAATGAATTTTGAAGACTGAAGTCACTCCAGAATTCTCAGAATTCATCTCTTGATGAGCTTTGTAATGTTAGATACATATTTACCTCCTAATCAAATATTAAATCTAATATAACTTCTGGTAAAAAGTGTTCATTTGTGTTTCAGATTTCCCAGGAGTGTTGGTAAATAACATATGCTAAGACAGTAATTATGTGGCCAATCCATTAGAAATCTCACAGAAAGCACCCACCCATATAATCAATTATCAATGTTAATGTGAACAGCCACATTCACCAGAGAGTTGGGTGAAGGAAATCACTCTAAAACTTCATGGTTCAGCAAGCCCACAGTGTCTGAAGAATGGTTCCATCTACCCTGATTGTGAAGTCCCCTATTGTACAATATCCTATTTTGGCACTAAACTGAACCTGATGGTTGTGCTGCCATCCTTGTCATCACCACTCCAATTGAGGACACCCTCATCACCACTGTTAACCAACTCCCTTAATACAATGAGTGTGGTGGGGCCGCTGAAGGCAGGCAAAGACAGCTGTGATGTGCTGAAGGCAGGCAAAGACAGCTGTGATGTGCTGAAGGCAGGCAAAGACAGCTGTGATGTGGTGAAAGGACTCCTAGACTTGGAGCCATTTCACTATATCATTCCACTGGCCCTTTGTGGCAGGTACGATTGTTCCATTTTGTTGTTGTTGTTTGTTTTGTTTTGTTTTATTTTTGAGATGGAGTCTCGCTCTGTTGCCCAGGCTGGAATGCAGTAGCACAATCTCGGCTCACTGCAACCTCCACCTCCTGAGTTACAGCAATTCTCCCTGCCTCAGCATCCTGAGTAGCTGGGATTACAGGCACCCGCCACTACGCCCAGCTAATTTTTGTATTTTTTTTAGTAGAGACGGGGTTTCACCGTTTCACCATGTTGGTCAGGCTGGTCTTGAACTCCTGACCTCAGGTGATCCACCCACCTCAGCTTCCCAAAGTGCTGGAATTACAGGCATCAGCCACCATGCCTGGCCGATTGTTCCCATTTTGCAGAGAAGACAATGGAGGCTCTGAGAGGCGAAGTCATATACCCAAGTTCTCAAAAATCTGAGTCTTTCTTGACTTCAATATTCTTTCTTTGTGTAGCTTTGCTAGAGCACACAGGATGATAATGAGTTCACGCTGGGCCTGTGTCCTGGTAACCAACTCAGTCTGCAGGTTCAGGTCATACTCTCGGTTGGTCTGTCCTAAGCACATCTATGAAGTGGTTGCTAAGGGAGATTCCTATTACAAATGTCACATACAAGCAAGCCAAAAGAGGCAATGCAGTTAATTATTCTGATAAGTTGGCTGATTTCAGAAGATGAGAAAGTTAGAGTATTTTTAAATATCTAAGGAGGTAAGATAACCTGTAGGATGTAGAGAAAGAACACTGCCTAGAAGTCCAGGAACTCTTCTTTTTCCAGACCTGGCTCTGCAGGATTTAGGACCAGCTATGGTTTGAACATTCCTATCTTAATGGTATTCTAAAAGCTCCTTTTACCTCATGGCCCCCACAATTGCAGAGAGGCCCAGAAATTTCCCACTGAGTTTATTGTTTAGGGAACTGCCATTTGGTCCCAAGTTAACTTGTCTTTACTTTTTTTTTCTTTTTTTTCTACCTTTTACAATTTCTTGTCTTTGGTCCTTTGTCCATCCAGCTCCTCTTTGTAATTAACCCTTTTTTGTGTCTCTGGGGGAGGCAGACCAGCCCTTTACAGGCCTCTAATGACACCTACTTTGCCTCCCACTGAGCCGCAGGAGATAATGGCCTGGAAAGCTCTCTCAGCAGCACATGGGCCTCTCCCTCCCAGCCTCTGTGTGCCCCAGCACTGGGCAAAGTTTTATATTCATAGACACTCAGTTTAGAAAACGACACAAAGGCAGACAGCTTAGCCTGTTGTGTCTAAAAGACATAACACCATGTAAGTGTCTTCCTGTCCCTGAAGCCGAATGTTCATGAAGTAAGCTCAAGGCTCTTCTCTTCGACTCCCTGGGAGGTTCAGGTCAACCTTGACTAACCAAAGTGTTGAGGAAGGGGGAAGAGAGAGGAGGACAGTTATAAGTAATTGGAAAGTTCTACCTTACTGAAAGTTAACCAAAAGAGCTTTTTTTCCCTAGCCTGTATTTCAGCCTTTTTCTTGAAACAGTGAAATCTCAGTTTTGTGTTAGGGTAGACTGGTGAACATAGTTGTTGTTCTCTTCTCAACTTCTTCAAGAAGGGATAGTTGAATCTTCCTCTGTGTTCCCAGGACTCTGGGTTCAATTCCATTAGCCCTTAGCTCAGGCTATTAGGGGTTCTCTTTTGTATCCGTTGTCATTCCTCCACACCTAGAGAGCAGGAACTACGTCATATTCATGTACCTAAAGCAGCTTGTTTTGGCCCAGCCATTTTGGCCATAAGGATATTTGACCCAAATTTTATCTCCTCCATTTGCTACTTGCATAGCCAATGACACAGTAAGAACACAGTAGACAAAGAGATGAGAGGCAGACAGACAGACTAGACTGGCCATGCAATAGACCAGTCCAGAGTAAGAAAGCAATTCTGGAACCCCAAGCGGAATTGTTCACTACTTCCTCTAGGATCAGCTATAAATAATTATTAACTATTTTATCTGAGTCTTAATGAATACTACCTGTAGAATAATTAACATAAAATATTATAGAATGAACAATAAATAACATTTAGATATGCACAATTTGACCCAGAAAAATTGAACTTTATGGAAGTAATGGCTAGAAGAAAACAAAAACTCACCTAAGCCATATCTATTATCAATATAATTTGATATGAATCAACAGATCTCTACTGCAAAATTTTCAGGGCAAAAACTTAAAAAAAACCCATTATTTTAGTGATATAAAATTAAGACTAAAATAATGGAGATGGTTTAATAGTTTAACTACAAAATATATTGAGGATTTGAATTCTTAGGGGCTTTTGGGACTGGAAAATATTTTCACAATAGAAAGTTATCAGCATTAGCATTTAAATATTTATAGTTTAAAATTCCTGGATGCAGATGGCAGGTCTGAACATCCTCCACCCTCATTATCTTCAGTGCATTGCACTGGAACTCAGTTCATGGAAAAGGGTTTTTTCTGTCTTTTAAACATTTTGCATTTCTGTATTATTTGAAATTTTCACAGCAAGCAGGTATTAGTTTTACAATTAGTTCAATAAAAGATGTTCAAAATGTTAAATGGATAAAATCATGAATAAGTGGCATGAACTGTGATGAGTCTGAGCCTGGTTTAAAAGTGTGCCTTTATCCTACTTGTGAGCTAACAAGTGAGGAGTTAGGCTGCCATAATTTCATGGATCCTGGTAGAAGATAAGAGAATTCAGTAGCAGCAGTCAGTGTATTCTCATTTGCATCATTTTCCTGAGCCCCACTTCCCACAGGACACGGCAAAGTGGGCCAGATGATGCATGTACACATATTGGAGTGAGTCACCAGAGAGGGACCCCTAGTTTAGGGAACCCAGATATTTTATAATGGACAGTAAGCTTGCCTGAATTTTGTTTGAGGGAGGCACTGTCTTCCAAACTGTTAGCTATACAAACACCCTTGAAAAGATAGTCCAGAACAAAGGCAGCCAGTGCCTCTGCTGGCAAGACATGCAAAGATGCAAGATATCCCTGGAGAATTGCCTTCCAATGACGAGCTGATAGGTAAACTTAAATCTCTCTGTGATAGGTAAACTTAAATCTCTCTGTGTTAACTCTCACAGGTCTTCAGACCAGCCCTCCCATGCTCTGATTATTAAATTTCAGAGCTAAAGATGGAGAAAGAGCAAAAGACTGGCACAAATATTTTTTGGGGAAAGCCCCTATTTAAATTTCTATGGCTGCATCTATTTTATGCCTATATTGCCTTTGAATGGGAAACTTAACCATGGGCATTGCATTCTACTTTGAAGAGATTTAACTGTGCCAAGAATAGACAGATTATTCATGAACAAAAACCTATCAAGGGCTAATTATGTGCCAGGTGCTATTTTAGGTAAAGCCACCACATTGAAATCTATCATTATACTGTACATGAATGCTCCCTCCTAAAGTTGGGCAACATCTTAGCCCAGGGTTCTAGATGCTAGAAATGCAAAGCTTAACAAAAATGACCAAATTTCCTGCCTCTCTGGAGCTTATATCCCAATGTACAGAGACATACAATCAATGTTTAAAATATAAGTAAAATAGTATGACAGACGATGATAAATGCTATGGGAAAAAAATTAAGCTGGGAAGAGGATGGGGGTGGTGATGTCGGGTACTTTTATAGGGATGATCAGAGAAGGCCTCACTGAGAAGGCCACATTTGGGCAAAGTCCTAAAGGATGAGGGATCAGGCCATGCAGGTGTCTGGTATAAGATTGTCTCAGGTAGAGGGAATAGCCCTGAGTCTGTAGCTTGGCTAGTGTATTCAAGGAATAACAAAAAGGCCATTGTGGTTGAAGTGGGGAAAGTAGTAGGAGAAGAGGTCAGGCAAGTACTGGCCTAGTCATACAGTAAGGCCATTGTGAAGACATGCAGAAGCAACAAGGCTCTGAAACTGGCCATTGGGGCAGAGAAAGGTACTGAGTTGACTCAGTCTATTCAGTACTGAATGCACATGTTGAGGCTCTTCAGGGAGTGCATGATCACGTACAGAGTGCATATGGAAACCATAAAGAAGATCCTCCAAGCCCTTTCTTGAACTGGGCATCACTGCTGGTTAGAGATGGAAGGGAAGTTGGAAAGTCATAGATTGGAACTCAGAAAACCAGAGAAGAACCTAGTTGCTCAAGATCACATTGGGATTAGTGAGAAAAACAGGTCTAGAATCGAGGATTCTTGGGGCACAGTTCAGTGATCTTTCCTCAGTCTCTCTCCACTCCATAATTTGAACCATAATATTACATGGTCAATCTCTTCACAGGATTGTTTTGAGAAGTAACTCTAATCTACCCTGAGATGAATTACATCAGTGAGTACCACTGAGACAGAGTCAGACACATCTTGGATGCCCACTGGCCTGGGGCAGGGAACACATGCATGGAGAGAAGGGGAATGTAAGGAGGAGGGAGGGAGGAAAACAAATGGAAGAGGATGACAGCATGACACTTGTTGGGGATCTTGGGCACCCAGTCTAGCTAATGGAACTTTGGTCTAAGCTGCATGGAGAGAGGACCTGCAGGCAGAAGACAGGGGAATGTTCAGAGGAATTTGATAGAACATGGTCTGTAACCAGCACAGTCTGTGACTCAGGCAATACAGAGGTGGGTGGAAGAAGGAAGAAAAGACATCTTTCTACCTGGAGCACAGTCATGTTCCAATGAACATGAACATGAAGGGTGGCAGATTGACAGCCATTTGGGGATCTAGCCCTAGTCACTGATGCCAGAGCTCTAATGACTGACATGGTCAGAAGAGCAGGATGAGAAGACCCTAACACAGGATGCATGGTAACAAGTCAATCAGCTGGCTTGGGACCTGCTGGATAAGCATCCTGAGGACCTCCAAACAGGACCAGGGAGCTCTGCAGGATGAAACATGAGCTATGATCATCACAGGACCCCCATCTAGGCCCATAGGCTGGAGAGACCCTAGACAAAATTGAAATATACCTGCAAAGTGCCTGACACAGAGTAGATGCTCAAACTAATTGTCTCTTTGAACCCAGTACTTATTGAACTTGCAAAGCAGGGCCCAGACAAAAGTCCATTCAGTTGGAGTGACTGTGAGTAAATTCCACAGAAAGATTCTTTGAGGGTCCTTGGTGAGGAGGAGGAGGATTACAAATCTTGGGGATTATAGTCTTCCCTCAATGGTTGAGAATGACCCCCAAGATTGGCAGATGTGTGTCTGGTGTGTGTGCCTGTGAATGCGTATGTGCCAGGCTTACATGATTAGTAGGAGGGGGGATTAGAAAAGAGAAAGACAGTAAATAAAGAGGGGCAGTTGAGGTAGCCTAGAAGACCAGACTGGATCCAAGGCATGGGGACCACCCACCCATTGGGAGGACATGTCCAGGCTCTTGAGGCACGTTGTCTAGTGTGAGCTGGAAAGGAAGTAAAAGGAAGCTGGAGGCTCTCCATTCAATCTCAGGCCAGGCAACTAATCATTTCTGATATGGGCCAGAGTTCTGCCAATAATTGCTAGGCTTATCCTCACTTTCAAAAAAAAAAAAAAATTTCTAACATCTGTTCCAGATTTCTTTTTGACTTCAGGCCGGCCTTGATCCCATTATCCTTGAGCATTTGACACTAGCGATGGGAGCTGGTAGGGCTTAATGGTGAAGCTCCTCACAGGGATCCCCCTGGACCCATCCCAGCTCCCTCACTCTTAAGAAAGGGCTACCAGGCCCCTCTGCCTCACTTGACAGGCCAGGAGAGGGACTTCTCCTGCAGATGGGACTGTCATTGATGCTCCAGCGCCAGCCTTGGAACCCCCACTGGGTGCCTCTGTTCACATCAGCACCACCCCCCTCTATTTCTAGTCTTTAGAAATTACCTTAATGTCCTGTTGCCATCTCCTCTCTTCCAGTCTTTTAAGTTCCTCTAAGAGTCTCAGAGTCTTGCTTTGCAAACTGATGTCTTGGTCCCCAACTCCAACTCCTTGGCCTCTCAGTGGGAAGCAATTGCACCTGCCCAGTCCCTTTTATCTAAGTCAGCCTTCAGCTCCCATGCCTCACTCTTCTGTGCAAGGGGTTCAGATGGATTTCTATAATAACTAGTCATATCTCTTTTCTCCATCTGAGTTAGAGTCAATTAAGAAATAGGATACTGGAGTCAGGCAAATAGTGTGAATTTGGATAATTCAGCAGCTATTCATTCCCCTCTCTGTCTATTGGACTGGACAGAGCAGATTTCCCTGGGCCACTGAGGCTGTGCTTGGCCCCATGACTTTCTTTGGCCAGTGGAATGTCTGCAAATGTGACACAAGAAGAGGCCATCACTGTGCTCGAGCAGTTTAGCTTGGCGTTTGTTCTAGGTGGCCCACTGGTCCTGGAGGAAGAAAAGATAAATGAGGCAGACGTGAAACTCAGTTCACAAGCTTTGAGCTGGTCCCAGCTGAGCCCAGCCTAAATCAGCCAAAGGCCACATAACCCATAGACACATGAACAAGAGGAAATGATTGTTGTTTTAAACCACTAAGTTACAGGGTGTATAGAACTATTATAGCAACAAGTAAGAGATATGGATGGTGGTCCAAAAACTAGATTCATGACTGATAAGGCTGTCTGGGCAATCCTGACATCCTCCCCCACAGCTACACCTGTCTCTCTGTCACACTCATCACTCATGACTGTGCCCTGAATGGTGGCATACAGCCAAACACACCCAAAGCTCCATCCAACCAGCAGTCATGCCCAGAGAAGTGCAAGATGCTGTGCATTGGATCCTTAGATAATCGGGGGCTTACACCCTTTACATTTCCACCTTTGTTGCTAAAAACCTCTGTGAAATAGGACCATCCACTTCCTTGATTTAGCATTGCCAAGGCCACAGCGTCAAGGCCAAGACTGAATGTTGGTGTAGGGATAGGTGTTGCAGATGGGGCTGTGCTGACCCTGGACCTCTCCTGAATGACTTTTTCTAGTTATTGCTGTTTGCTTCAATGGACTCCCGGATCTCAATTTGATTTGTGATCATTTGGCTTTCAACTGAGAGGTAACATGGAGGGGGGAAAAGCAAATCACTAAGGAATCCACTATTTTGTTTCTAGCACATGGAGGTTTTTCTGCAAAAGTAATGGAAAAGATCTCCTTGTAAGTCAGTAAGCCATGATGACCCTGTGGTTTCCTGGGGGTGCCCTCTCTGAACCTGGGCAGGTCATTCACCTCTCTCAGCTTTTTTCTTACTCTCCTCTTCCCAAATATGGAGATAATGACAATCCCCCCGCCTCCCTCACAGAGCTGTGCTGAGCTGCAAATGACATAAAGTCAGATTGTGAAAGCACCTGAAAAATCCTAACACCTGGCACATGCAAAACAGTACAACAATTCTCACTCTGGCAACCTTGTTCTCACTTTAAGACAGTCAACAAATTTAAACGTAACTTCATTGGATCATACTTCTTTAACAAGAATGTCTGTCCCAGTCTTCATTCTTCTTAAAAGAACTGGTCTTTCTATTCTTGGTATGTTCAAAAGAACACAGGCTTTGAAGTTAGAAAGATGTGAGTTCAAATCCTAATTCAAGTATTTATAGCTGCGCAACCATGGGCAAGTCAGGTAATCTCATTGAGCCTGAATTTCCTTGTCTGTAAAATGGGTATAGTAATAAACATCTCTTCAGATTGCTGTGAAGGTCAAAACAGACGTTGGTGTCACAGCACCTTATGAATGAAAACGTGATGTACAGGGGTTGGATCTCATCATTATAATTTTTCAAGCAATGGTTGAGACCTAATACATATAAAGGGGCTATGTTTGATGCTCTGTATGACCCGGATCAGGCAGTATGGGGACACCTTGTGCTGTTTTCCCTGGAACCTCTGCTCTTTTCCTTTGAAAGTGACTTCTACAATCAGGAAGTGCTCTTTCTCTCCTCAGCAGCCGCAACTGAAAGGAGAAAACGGCAAGAGAGAGAGAGGCGGGAGGAAGGAACTGAAGACTCCTGAGGTGGCTGCAGCACTGCCCTGGCTTCCAGAAAGCTCTCGAGCATGCTGGGTCTCCTCAGGGACCAAGAAGACGAGGTGCGGAAGCTGCTGCTGGGTAACAGCCTTAGTCATAAAAGTAACACTGTGAAAAATCCATTTTGTGGGTAACAATGAGAAGTTAATACAAAGACTCATTGCCCTTCGTTAGTAAAAACTTTGGCAGTGACCTTCCAGGCTCCCGGGAAGCCTTTGGAGAATGCTGCTTCAACCCAGAAGCACTTCATCATTTATATGAATGAAAATGAGTGCAAACAGATTGTCGAGATGTCTGTTCACATCACCTCTTTTTTCTTGCAAGGAATCCCCTCTGTAATTACATTTTGCCTGTCAGTTCATAAATTTTTCTTATTACAAACTAGCCATTATTGATTGCTTTTTAAAAGTACTAAAACTGGGCCCAAAGCAGTAGATCTCTCCGTAAATTCAAAACACACTGTCTTCAGTCCCAATCACTGGTGAAGAGTGAAGGGGAAAATCTCAGAGTTCACTGCGGGCTCTGCGCAGAGGCAGGCCTACCATACGTTTTGGTTTAGAGACTTGGCTTTGAGGGCTGCATGTTCTAAGCCACAATGAAAATAATAAATAAAGGATAAACTTCTTTGGCAACCACTGACACATTGAAAGCCAACCTCCTGTCATTGTTCTTCATTGGGTCCCACTGCTCAAAGTGTTCTATTTGGGTTTTTGGCACTTACAACCAAACATCGTAATGAGCAGAGGGGGAACGATGGTGGAGGGAGTGAGAGAAGATAATAAAGACTTGGAGTCAGAGTTTCTGAGTCACCAGTAGAACGTTTTCCTAAATGTTCCTTTTAAAAGGAGATGGGGTGGCTCTATATTTAGACTTATCTGGTAAAAATGTGAGAGGAGCAAAATCTCAGGGGATTTTCATGTTCTGGGAAAAGAATGGGAGTTTCTCATTGTTCACAATTTGAGGGAAGTTTCTAGAACCTTTACTGGTTACAAGCAAAAGAACATATCAGCAGAAGACACTTAGATTCCAGGCCTCTGCTTTGCGGTGAAGGTCTGACCAGGGGGATCACAGGCCAGCACCCCCAACCCTCTCGTCCAGACTTCTGAATACAGTGTCTTTAAAAATCATGGCAGGCTGCCATCCCCCAAAACCCACCCCTTTAACCTGCAACTATGGAGAATGAGTCGGGGGGAAAGCAAATGAAAATCTGAACGTGTGTGATCAGTTCCTGATTGGAGCTGGATGGAATCAAGTAATCAAAGCAAGCCACAGCGCGGCCTGCGTCGGGCTGCCAATCTTGGACTGCTCGCTCACTAAAAGCAGGCAGCGGCTACCGATCTGGCCAGGAAACAATGCCCCATTCAGCTCTCAGAATCTGTTCTTAATATCAAGACGAGAAACCGGGGTCTCTATTGGTGAGGAAGCGACGTCTGGGCCAAGGAGAGCAATTACACCTTAACCAACCAAGTGAACAAAATGGGAGACATAAAAACATTTTTAAAGTGGAAATAATTTAAGGGCCTTCTAAATATCTTAACAGCACACTTGGCCATGCTTGGGATTAGGAAGCGATATTTTACATTAGGCAGCAGGCCTTTTGTTTTGTGTGCGTGTGTTTTTCTTTTTAGCCAGGGATCTGCAGAGAGGACTGCGTTCTGTCAAAGTGTGGCACTCTTCTTGAACCCCTGCAGGGGATGCCCATCCCAAGCATTCAACAAGTAGTCAGAGAAGTCCAAGATGAAACAGACCAGTCAGGGTGCCTGTCTTGGGAGCTTTGAAGCATACCCTTTCCACCCCTCAACCACCAGGAGTCTTGGTTTATGGGAGAGGGCTGCCCTCAGAGTAAAACCCCAGAGATGACAAAGCTCATGAGCCCAAAGCCTTTGGCCATGGCCCCCAGAGCAGGGTGGAGCTGGAACTAGGACACCCTCTGTTTTCTGTCAGTTTCCAGATAAGATGAGAAAAGGTCGTGGCTGCTGGGAGGAGCCAGTAATCCCAGCAGAATCCCTCAGTCGGCCCTAATGTTGGCCTCTAGGCTATAAATCTGCTTCCTGTAAGAAGCAGCCCCTGCTCTGTGTCGTCAGGCGGAGGCTCCCCACTTGACTTCTGAGCAGCGCCTCTGTGCTGGGTACTGGGATCAGAGAGAAACAAGCCTGGCCTGAAGGGAGGCTGAGAATCAGAAAAAGAGATGGTGATGATGACAAAAGTAATGATAACTAACATTTATACAATGCTCACCCTAGGAGCTTTACAAATAATAACTCCTTAAATCATTAACCCAGTGAGATAGGCATTATCCTCATCCTCATCTTAGAGATGATGAAACCACAGCACAGAGAGGTTAAGTAACTTGCCCAAGGCCACACAGGCAGAGTCAGAATCTGAACCCAGAACATCTTGCTCCTGGGTCCATGTTCTTAACCGGGTTGCATCTAAAAATTTGAGGGTAGGAAGCAAGTTAGAAAAGACTTCCTGAAGAAGGTAACCTGTGAGCTGAGTCTTATAAGAAAAGTAGGAACTGAGGTTCCACCAGGGCTGTTCTTCTATTATTCCTGCAAATTGGGAATGAGCCTGTGAACTGCTGAGCAGCCAGGCTAACGCCTCCTGAGACACAAGGCCCGGTCTGTTAACACTTGGGCCCCTCACAGGAGAAGAAAAATGCTTGATTCCCTCCCCTCCTGGTAATGCCAGGCCCTGGTACTGTCTACAAAGTGTGGCTCGGAGTCTACAAGATGAGAACGGTGTCACTCAAAGTGTAGTCCCTGAATGGCAGCATCAGCCTCGTCTGGGAGCTTGTTAGAAATGCAAATTCCTGGGCCTCGATCCAACCTTCCTGAAACAGAATCTACTTTTTAACAAGCCCCCCAGATGATTCCCATGCACTCACAAGTTTGGGAGGCCCTGATGTAGAACATAAGGCTAGACGTGCCCCTGGAGGTGGTCTGAGTGGCGTGCCCAAGGCCACAGGGAGAGTCCATGGAGAGCCAGTGTCAGTGTCTCCCGTCTGACTCCCAATCTGTGCCATCTGTGCTGCCACAGCCAAGTTGGGGCTGTGACTTTCCTCATCATCACAGAACCCGTCTGACGATAGGTGGCAGCCACTGTCTTACTCCCCAAAGATCTTCCCACAGCTGACTCCTCTATAGAGCCTCCTTCAAAAGGAAGCCAGCCTTGACTTCCACACCAACCTTTATTTAGAGAGGGGTAGGACAGCAATAGTTTTTGCCACCTCACTCACTAACCTCAATTCCCGTTCTCAAGGGGCTTTTTCTGTCCTGTTTCTCCAACCAAGATGTTGTGGCAGAGCTCAGTTCCTGGATGCTCGACCACTTTCCCTTTCCCCACTAGGAAGCTGCTTCAGGAGCAAAACAAGTCCTGGTGGAGACTTTGAAGTCAGAAAGAACAGGGTGCAAAAATCAGTTTCATTACCCTACCTGTGTGATCGTGGGCAGGTTGCTTAACCTCTCTGAGCTGCATTTTCTTCATCAGTAAAGTGGAGATGAGATGATCTATTTCATAACTTGATGAGATAACATGCATCTAACGCCTAATGCATTGTTTTCTTCCCTGACCAGTTCCCACCACTGACTACCAGGCCTGAGACGCAGTGCATAGAGTCAGGTCTTAGGAGCCTCTAGGCCAGGAGTGATAGTCTTCTCTTTACACTCATCCCCACCCCCATCACATTCCTGTCACTCCATTGGATGAAACCACAGCCCAGTCACCCTTCTGGGCTCACACACATGTTAAAGGGTGCAGGTAAAGCCCAGGAGCACAGCTCCGGTGGAGTCCCTACGGCACTGGCAGAGCCACCTGCATCAGGCTGGTGGTCCAGAGGAAAGCAAAGGAGACACAGGGGAGGCTGAGCCCCAGAGCCCTGTAATTCTGGGGCTGGAGCTGGTAACCCCCCGGTGATCTTCTGGATTGAAAACCATCCACATCACCCCCAAACACCCTCTGAGCCACCACTTCTGGCATCCTGGCTCAACACAGTGAAAAGATCCTGGGAAAGCTGTCAGGGACCACATCTAAGAACAGCCCATACCTTTCCACCCACAGGCCAAACATTACACATAGACATCACATGCAAGCGTCCCTCTGGCCAGAGTCAGAAGGACAAACAGAGGAAACAGCACAGCTCGAGAAAGCTGTTGCCAACACGCCCTGGGGTCCAGCCTCCCTGCCATTACCTTGCAACATTGCCTGAAACTCCATCACTCCTGCCTTCATCTCTCAAAATGCGCGTGTTCTAAGAGTATGAAGTTCCTCATCGTTCTTTAGGGCTAAGGTTATGAGACAATTTTTCATTAGGCATGATGAGACAGCACTGGGACCTGGTGCTGGAAGGCGTTAAAGAGACATTTAGAAACCCAGCAGATTAGAGATCCATGGCCAGCCAGCCTACTGCCTTCCCAAGCAGGAATCCCTTCTGGAATCTCACTCCTTAAACACTTCGCAGGATGCTTCTCTCTCAAAGTAAGCACAATCATATTTAGAATCGCTGCTATTTGTTAAGCACATACTATGTGCTAAGTATTTTATGTAATAGATTACCCAATTAACCCTCGCAAAACCATATGAAATAGAAAACATTATTTTCTCCTTTTGCAGATGAGGAAGCTGAGACTCAAAGGGAAGGAGGAAAGTATTTGCTCCAGACCAAATAGCTAGCAGTATGGAGTCAGAATTCCTGCTCAGATTCCCCTAACTCCAGGGTCGTGTTCATAGCCACTTGGCTAATGGCTGTCATCAGAAAGATTTTTTTCCCTTTTCTTAGTTCTGCTCTTTAACTGTTAATTAATTAGTTGTTTAAAACATAATCTTACTTCCCTCCTACCTCCTCCCCAGAGCAACCACTTTGTCTATAGTGCTCCTCAACTGTGGAGACCCATCCCACAAGGAATCAGCTCCTGATTTCATTGGAACTGACCAATAGGGACGTTGGCAGGACTATCACCTTCCTCATTCAGCATGCTCTATCTATTATTAATATGACCCAAGACATCAGCACTCCATGCAATCTCCCTTCCCTACTGATACACACTGAGTTAATACCAGTATAAGAGTCTAAACGTTCTTTTCTCCTTCACAGGTTTCCAGAGGGGTTGTGAGTGGGTTGCCGCCTTCTCAATGGGGTCTCAGAATCAGGGTACAGCAGAGCAGTCTCTGGAATGTTCTCTGCCAGTTCATCCTGTCCCTGCTGCTCTTCCTTTGCCCTGAGCCTGTAAACTCCACATCCCTCATTAACAGCAGAGTCAATAATTGCACTTCTTCAGCAAGCAGGAGTCAGACCCATCCCCAGGCACCCTAGATACCCTAGTCCTGTGTACTTTTCTGGAATTTATATTAAAAAAAAAATAATGATTGCCTACTCCAAATAGCAGATTCATTCTCCTAACCTGTGGCTTTAGATTTTGCTCCTGAGCTCAATTCAGAGGCCTGGAGCCAAAGGGCCTTCATGTAGATTCAGAAGGTTCTCTGCAGCCCATAAGGCAGCCCCTCCTCATTCTTTCCCTGGTAAATGATACGAAAGTTCTTCCTAATTAGAGTCTCTCCTTTAAGTTCTGTAGACTGCTAATGAGTAAGAAAGAGGAGGCACTTGGGAGCCCTGAAGAAATTATTTGAAAGCAAAACCAAGTGGCCTCAGTAAAATTCACCATTTCAGTCAAAGGGATTTTTTTTTCTTACATACGACCACCTGACACAGCCCAGCTGGTGCATATTGAGAAATTAGAGACACTAGCTTTCTTCAGAGAAAACAGGCCTCTACTTTATATTCCTGGGGCTTCTTTTGCTTGGCAAACTGTCTACTTATCAATTTGACCCTTCCCTGACCCTGATCTCTCCCAGCAAAGGCAGGAACTGATATCTCCTTTTGCTCAGTGCTCTCCCAGAGGTCCAGAGAGGTTAAGGGAATTGTTTAAGATGCACAGTAAGTTGACAGCAGGGCAGTAACTGGATCCTAGGGCTACAGGTTCTAGGACATTTCATTCCATCACTAATAAGTGTGAGCACGCATGTGTGGCAAGAATGATGCTTTACAGGCACTAACTCATTCATGTATTCCTTTGCCAAATAGTTATTTGATTTCTGGACCTAATGAGCCAAACAAAACCCAAACAAAGTTCCCAGTCTCCTGAAGCTCATGTTCTAGCCAGAAAACCAACAGAAGATAAATACACAAGACAATGTCAGCCACTGCTTAGTGGTATGAAGAAAAATGCATCAGAGCAAGGGAATAGAGAGGGGCTGAGAATGCTGTTTAAAGAGGGAAATTGAGGTGGCCTCTAGGAGGAGGTGGCATTTGAGCCAAGATTCATTAAGTGCTGAGGGAATCTATGTAGTTATCTCGGGGAAAAAGCATTCCAGGTGAGGAATCAGCAGGTGCAAAGGCCCTGAGACAGGAGCTTCTTTAGGAATGGCAAAGAAGCTGGCTGCCAGCAAAACACATGCAGGAAATCTAACTGGAGATGAGAGGGAAGATGCAGCCAGGGCAGATCACTTAGGGTGTGGCAGCCCATGGCAACGGCTTCAGCTTTTATTCTAAGCATCCCAAGTTGTGTACAGAGAGATAACAAGTTCAGACTTCAGTTTAAAGTCCTTGTGTGGCTGCTCTTTGGGGAACAGATTGGCAGGGTCAAGCAGAAGCTGGGAGTTCAGTAAGGAGCAAATGAGCTCAGCAAATCCTGCAGCACCCCTATAAGATAGGTCCTATGATTATAAGGCAATGGAGGCTCAGAGAGATTAAAGAACTTGATCTAAGTCTCCTGCTGGTATGTGGACAGGCTGAGAGTGAACCCACATTTGACCAAAGCCTGAGCTGCCCTAGGGCTGAAAGCTCAAAGACCCAAAGACACCATGTAAAAGGGCCCTGGTTGCTGTCTTTAAGGCACAAAGCTCTCTTATTTCAGGCTTGCTCCTAACCAGATACCCTGAGCCTTGGTTTACTTTAGAGCCACCATTTACATGGGCCTTACTGTGTCCCAGGCACAGGCTGGGACTTTGACATACAGGATCTCATTTAATCCTCACTGCAGCCCAGGGAGCGGGGTATTATTATCCCTGTGTTACCAGATGAAAAAGATCTCATTTTCTCAGTGGAGATAGTGAAAACATTCCAAAGCTGCTTTGGGGTTTAATTCACAGAAACCTCCGCATTTAATCTACTAAACCAGAAAGTAATCCTCTCTTTGGCCGGCCCTGGCAGCCTGGGTCTGCCCACAGTCGTCAGAGGGAATTGGTAGCTCACACTTGCACACGTGTGCACCCACACACACATTCCAGGATCCAAACCCCAGCCCATCCTGAACCATCCAAAAGGTGCCAGCCACCCTCACTGTGAATGTGTCTTTAATGCTCCCCTCCCCTTCCGCTCCAAAGCCCTTCTCCCTCCTCTGTGCACACTCAGCCAATGGCCTTCCTCAGGCCACCTGGCAGCCCCCAAAGCCCACTCTCTATGCTAACTCTGGCAGCAGTAATGAGGTCATACCCATTCCACCCCTCACAGAACACTGCACCCTCTGGCCCAGTCCTCTCTCCTCCCTTCTCTCAGCCTCATCCAGACCTACCCGACCTATGTCTGTGTTTTCCAGAACCCTGCATAACTAACGTGACAAGCTGTGCTGGACTCGGTTGCAAATGGCTGCCAGGAAGTTATTGATACTAAAATCTCAGGTAATCCTTTTGGCTTTCAAAGGCACGTTCTCTGACAATCATTTGTTCCTAGGCAGTGAAGATAATGGAGAATGATGCTGCTTGTGGCAGGCAAAGAGAGAGAAAGGGTTACAATAGGAGGTTAGGGGCACTTCCTACAACTCCATTATTCCAAGACTCTTGATGTTGGAGAGAACCTCAGCCTGACAATGATTTATTTTTTTTAAGCACTCACTATGTGCTAAGCACTCTGCCTAAGTGTCTCACCATCTAGCAGCGAATCAAGTGCATGGACAGTTACCATGACAGGGTGATCTGTGCAGCTCTAAAATTATGTACATGATCCAGGAGGGTTGAGGAGGAAGGGATTAAATCTCTCCTGGGAGGGTCTGTAACAACTTTTGGAGTAGGTTTAATGAAGTATAAATATAAATGTGTTCACGTGGCTGATAAAGAGGGAAGGGCTCCAGCCAGAAGAAACTGAGAACAAAAGCAAAGAGGTGTGAAGCTGCACAGTGCATGGGTATTGGGAGAACTTGTCACTGCTAGTATGGATGGGGGTGGGGAGAAAGAAGAGGATTTTTTTCTGGTGTAGTGTTTACACCTTGATTTTCTTCTATGGATTTATCAGCAAACTCCATTTTCCAGAATCCCAGCGTTGCCCCCTCAGGTAAGAACGTATAAAAGAAATTTTGTTGGCTTCAGCAAGGTGATGGTTTTCTGAGGGAATCACTATCATGCTTATATACCCTCTATGGCTCCCTAGTACCTAGGGAATTGAGTTCATATGAATGAACAAAGACTAGGAGAGCATGCTAAGTTCCAGCAGCCTTTCCAAGCTCTGACCCTTCCCCAAACTCTCCTGCCTTCTCCGGGAAGCTATCTTGATTCTTCCCTGATTGGAGGGCTCCCTCCCTCCTCCATGATCTCATCCTAGTTCCTCTCTTATGACACTGCCCTGGTCGTCCCCGTGTCAGAGACCTCTGTAGGAGCCCCAAGCTGGCCTGGTAGGGAAAAGCAAAGGTTGAGGCCACCCACGACCTGGAGACTTTGGGGAAAATGAGCAAGGCTGAGTCCATGCAGTGCAGCAGTTAAACCCACAGGCTCCAGAGACAAGGCTGTCAATTCTGGCTGAACACACACATGGCTCAGTCTTTTGGTATAATTTTCAAATATTGATGCCCAGTCTCATGCCCCAGAGATTCTTATTTAATTGATGTAGAGTGATATCTCAGCACGGGTATTTTTTAAAAGCTCTGTAGATGATGTCTATGTGCAGCCAGAGTCAAACCGCTTGTCGAAGAGCCTGGATGTGGAGTTCAAGTCCTGGCTCCACCATCATTCGCTGAGTGACCTCAGGCAGGCAGAGTCCCCAACTCTCCATTTTTGAAACTGGCATAGGGGATAACACAGCACCTATCTCTGAGGAGTGCTGGAAGGCTTAGCTTGGATAACACATGTCAAACTCTCAGCCCCAACTTGACACGTGGCAAACACTTCCTATTAGCTCTCATTAACCATATTTTAGGCAGGGTGTGCTGGACCTAGTTCTGGGTCCCCCGCAGAGCCCGCCACAGGAGAGGAACCTGGGAAGAAAGTGTTCCTTTGGAATCAGTTTAATTGAGCTCCAAGGGCAGCCAAGCACCACCCAGGCAGAGCCCAGCTTCCAGCCAGCTCTGAGGCCTCCCTGAGAAGGTGCTTTTAGTCCTCCGTAGCAGGTTGGCAACCTGGGTCCTCTCCAGCACCCTTTCAAGACCAGCTCAGGTACACGCAAGTGACAGCTCAAGGAAACCCCAGGACACCTCCATCTTCTCCTTCTTTACCTCCCCACAGATGACTGCCCTGTCATAGACCCTCCTGCCACCCCCAGCCTGTTCCTGGGGAGTTTTCAGGCTGCGAGCCCAAGCATCCCAACCCTCAAACGCAGAGTGCTGGGGGCACGCATCAAGGGTAGCTGACCTCTCTCCTGCCTTTTGGGATCTCTGACCCCCGGTCTGACCAGCTGAAGAACTGGTTTAGCTGTGTTAACCCAGCCTTTCTCAGGATTCTGTCAATCCAAAAACCTGCAGGCCAGCACCCTGGAAACCAAACCTCACATTTTCCAGGAAGGCCGTGAAGATGCCTGTGGGCCTTCTGCTGTTACATTTATCAAAAACTGTAAAATTAAGAACATGTAAACATTACAGGACAATGGCCAGGAATTTATTTCGTTGTTGTTGCTAAGGCTTTACAGCACAATTCGAAGAAATTTCTGTAGGGGAAAAAGAAACCTTCCATCCCTCTCTTCTGACCAGCCTTTTTTCACTCCCTGTCGCCAAGAGCAGGACTCTTGATCTGCTGGATGAGGCCACGTTACTAGCCAGCAGGATCACTACCCGCAGTCCTGATACCTACAAAGCCCTCCTCTTCTGCTTCCTGTGGCTTCTCAGTGCAGTTGGTAAAGGACCAATGGTTCCCTCTCTTTAGGGCGGCGCCTGCTGACTTTCTCACTTGGCATTTCTTACATGAGCTACAGCAGTGCTACTAAAAATGTGGTTTATGAACCACTGTCAGTCTGTGAGCTGGTTTTTACTGGGCTGCAATGAGATAAGGAGTTTGTGCCAGAATGTAAATCAACTGTGTCACTAAGCACATTGTTTGGTTCAGCTGACATATTTTTCATAGCAGGACTTTCTTGATGAAGGAAGTGGAGTGTTGATTTACATTCTCCATGTGATGCTTATCTCATTGCAGACGAGTAGCAATGTGTGGAAGGCCTGTGTTGTGTAGCACTGTGCTCTAGGACAGCCCTCACTTCAGATATAGTGATTGGCTGGTGGTAAGGTTTGGATTTCTGCTTAGATGGGGAGAAAGAGTCCTGTGTTCCAGCCCTGCCTTGCCAGGCCTCTGCACTGGAGACACCCAGCCTGTCCCAGCTCATAATAAAATGGTGTTTGCTATTATTCCTTGTGTGTGCCCACCCCTAACAGCATACTTAGAAGGAGAGGTGATTGGCCAGGCAGAATTCAGGCTCCAATACAATCCTATCTCTCCAATGTCCCTAAATGATTGCATTTGTATTTTAAAAGGTACGATATATAGTGTGGCAAAGGTTACCATAAAAGAACCAACAGGTCTCAGATGAATTATCCACATCAGGCAGAATCCAGGCTTGCAGCCGGACCCGAGAGACCAAACAGTGAGAAATATTAAGAAAAAAAAAAAAAACCCCAACCAAAACACACATATCCCACAGAGGTGTAGAGAGAAAGCCACCAGTTTAGGCAGCTTACCTGATGTTCCAGGGACCACAGCTAAGCACTTGGGTCAGTTATGACAGCGCTTGCTATAACAATCAACAATAATGCTTCATAGCGTAGTGGTAGCAGCTGCAAACCCTCACTCGTGTGTTGTGTTTCATCTGTTCACTGCTGTGGCAGATAGTTTAGGTTCTGTAGTGTCTCAGAATGCTCATCCGAGCACTTACTCTATATGTGACCCTAGACTGTAGCCGAGACTCAGTTTCCACATCCGTGAAATGAGAGTAAAATAGACATCATGGAGAGGCATATGTGGGTTCTGTGTAGGGAAGAACTTTCAGCAGAGGATCCCAGGAAGGGCTTCCCAAAGCTGGGCTGACTCTCTGAGCATTGGAACAGCAGTTGAATATCTCCCTGAGGAGAAGGTGGACGAGCAGAGCTGGAGACTCCTAAAGTCCTTCCCAATAGAGTCAGCCATTCCTTGTCCATAGCTCCCTCTGGACACCAAGAGATCTCAACAGCCATAGTTGTAGGGAAATCCACCAGCCTTTAACCAGACACCCTGGCCCCTCTATCTGTGTGGCCTGGTATGATGTGAGGGGTCCTTGTATGTATGTGGCTACTCATTTTCACTTATTTTTGCTCAGCCATTAGCATGCTATATTTATTGATGTCCAAGTTGCCGAGGGGGCTTGCTGAGCAGATTTCTGCCTGCACACTTTAGATGGGGCAGTGAAACACCTCCAGAGGAAAGAGGCTCAGACCCAGGTCCCGATGAGATGACCAGTGCCTCCAGCCACCTCCCCTGCCCCTTCACTATCATGTCCCCCATGCAAGTCCAGAGTGAATAAGATGGGGCCAAAGCCCTCTTCCCATCCTCCAGTGCCAGCTCTAGTCATTTCCTAGGGATGCCATAACTGAGTGCCACCAACTTGGAGCTTAAGACAAGAGAAATTTATTCTCTTATAGTTCTGGAGGCCAGAAGTCCAAAATCAAGGTGTCAGCAGGGCCATGCTCCCTCCAAAGGCTCTAAGGGAAAATTCTTCCTTGTTCTTTCCAGCTTCTGGTGGATTTGGGCGTTCCTTGGCTTGTGGCTGCATCACTGTAAGCTCCGCCTCTGTCTTCCCATGGCCTTTCTCCTCTTCAGTCTCACAGAGACAGTTATCGCATTTGGGTCCACCCACATAAACCAGAATGATCTCATGTCAAGATCCTTAACTTAATGACATCTGCAAAGACCTTTTTTTGAAATAAGGTCTCATTCACAGGTTCCAGGGATTAAGATGTGGACATCTTTTTTGTTGGATGAGGGGTACCATTCACTACACCAACAAAATGCCATCAACACTACCATGGTCCTAATGTTTGTGACCCCAAAAACATATATACTAAAAACCTAACCCCCAGCAGATGGTATTAGGAGATAGGGCCTTTTGGGAGGTGACTAGATCATGAGCTCTGCCCCTGTGAATGCGCTCAGTGTTCTTATTCTTATTAGAGCCCTTATTCAATGACCTCAGGAGCTCATCTGTCCCTTCCACCACATGAGGACACAGAAGGAAGGTGCCGTGAGAACTGGAAAGTGGGTCCGCACAAGACACTGAATCTGTCAGCACCTTGACTTCCCAGCCTCCAGAACTGACATAAATAAATATCTGTTGTTTATAAGCCACCCAGTCTATAATACTTTGTTATAGCAGCCCAGACTGACTCAGGCAAACAATAAGAACAGCTCCTAACATACAGCGGAGACTCAATAAACATTGTTGAATGAAATCATGAATCTGCTTGGTTCAATTCAAGGACATTGCCTACTGCCTGTCCTGAGCTAGACCCTGTGTCAGCTGCTGAGGACACCGGCATGAGACACAGCCCTGAACTTGAAGATCTCAATCTAGAGGGGAAGATAGTGTCAGACAGAGCTGTGCGAATCTCAGCTTCACCTCCTGCTACTTGGGCAGCCGAGGAACTCAGCGTCTCTTCCTTACCTATAAAATAAAGAAAATAACACCTGTGTTCAGGGAGGGAGTGAGGAGTGGGGAGGTTTCCTTACTTATAGATGGGGTCACAGGCCCATAAGGACTGGGCTCTTTCTGCCTCAGAAAAGTGAGTACATACTAGGTGCCCACCCAAGTTCATATGTGCCATTCTGTTTCCCTTCTGTCCACAGCACTCCCTCCAAAACCCCCATACTGGGGAAGCACCAAGGCCGGCACGGAGGCTGCTGGCTTCTGCACCCCCTGAGCCTGCTCAGTCCCACAGCCAGGGCCTGAGCCTCAGATGCCGCCTGTTCCCGAGTGGGCAACAGCCTGGGTGGTAATCAGAGATTCCAGCGGAGCCTTTGATGCCGCAGCCGGCGCGGCGAGCTGGGCACTGTTTGAAGTGCCTTCCTGTGTAATAAGGATTTCTAATTCGCTCGAACCAAAGCAACATTTGCAGTAAAGATCATTTTTGGAATGAAAAATAAATTGTGACTGGAGGGTCTGGGTTTGTTTCAAAAAGGGAGATCACCCACAAGCATCGTGCTCTCTGAGAAGCCACCCGCCCACGTGTTTTGAGATGGAGAGCACGCCACTCAGAATTTCAAAGTGCTGTTAATTAAGAGCAGTTTATTAAAATGTCAATCTTTTAAACCAAAACAACTCTCTTCCCCTTGCTTGCGAGTGGGCTTCCCAGCCACTCTTCCCAACCCAAATAACCCAGCTTCTCCAGAGCTCCTGAAAAAGTATCTGTCTACATATTCTACTAAAACCCCGGTGACAACTGCTTCCAGGAACAGCCCGGCACCTGTCATTCTGCTGAAAGCCACCCTCAAGGAGCCTGCCTTCCAAGAGACAGGATAGCCTAGGCACTGAGCCCATGGCCTCAGGAGCCAGACTGCCTAGGCTCCAATGCTAGCCCTGCCTCACTAGCATGTAACTTTGAGCAAATAGTTGACCCTTTTGTGCCTCAGTTTCTTCTTCTTTAAAATGGAGTGAGGATAATAGTACAGTCAGTCCTCTGTATCCATGGGTTCCACATCTGTGGATTCAACCCACCATGAATCTAAAATATTCAGAAAAAAACATTGCATCGGTACTAAATATGTAGACTGTTTTTTCTTTGTCATTATTCCCTAAACAATACAGCATAACAACTTTTTCCATAGCATTTACATTGTATTAGATCTTATAAGTAATCCAGAGATGACTTAAGGTATATGGGAGGCTGTGCACAGGTTATATGCAAACACTATGCCATTTTGTATCAGGGACTTGATCATCCATGGATTTTTGTATCTGAGGGAGGTCCTGGGACCAATCCCCCCGGATACTGAGGGATGACTGTAGCTACCTTATAGGTTATACAAATGAGATAGTGTATGTAAAGCACTTTAGGCTGATACCTAGAACATAGTAAGTGCTAAAGGGGCATTAGTCCAGTTATTTCCCAATGAGCATTAGCCCGCTTACTTCCCCATGAGCAGGTGCTAAATTTCACTTCTGTGTTTACAGATCTGTCTCCTCTGAGGCAGGAAATGTGCCCTCTTTTCCCTGTTTTGCAACTCCAGCAGTCAAGATCTAGCACACAGTAGTTGCACAGTAAATGCCTGTCAAATAAATAAACAAGTCAATAAATGAATAAATGCATGCTAATTCCCATGCATGTTTGGCAAACAGGACAAGGTTAGCTGCCCTGCAGGAAGTCACGATCTAATAACTGCCAAAACAGTTCAGGGCTATGTGGTGGCTCCCAGTGGTCCCACCTCCTGGGATACACTCCCTTGTGTAATCCTCTCGTCTTGTGTGTGGGCTGGACCTAGGAACATGATCCTGATGAATGGAATGCAGTAAAAGTGATGGAATGTCACTTCCATGATTAAGTTATAAAAACTGTGACTTCTCTGCCTCTGACCCTCTTCCTTCTCGGCTTGCTGGCTTTGATGAAGCAAGCTGGTAAAGAACTGAGGGCAGCCTCTGGCCCACAGCCAGCAAGGAACTGAATCCCACCAGCAGCCATGGCAGTGAGCGTGGAGTGTTCCTTCCTCAGTTGAGCCTTGAGATGACCACAGCCCCAGCCAATACTTTGCAGCCTGTGAGGGACCCTGAAGCTCAGAACCCAGGTAAATTGCACCTGGATCCCTGACCTATAGAAACTGTGAAATCATACATGTATTGTTTCAAACCACTAAGTTTTGGGGTAATCTGTTTCACAGCAATAAATAACTAATGCAGGTTCTAAGGGAACAGAAGAATCTTGGGGAGGGAAAGGAGAGGCTGCCTCCTGCCTTGTCTGAAATCATCTACCCTATAGTTTGCTTTCTCCATCAGTCACACCAGAGCCATAGGGGACCCCCAGAAAGAAAAGCATTCAACTCAAATGGGCCTGGCTTTGAGACCCGGCTCTGCTGCTCTCTAATGTGTGACTTTGGGAAAGTTCCCCAATCTTTCCAAGGCTCTGCCTCCTCCTATAAAGGGGGATCACCATACCTGCTTCATGGGTGTGTTGAACAGATTGAGATCATGTATGTGAAAATGCCTGGCAGAGCTTTCCAGACCTTTTGGAGTAGAAGCAGCTGGAGAGACCTGCGTCCTCACTCTGATGGTCACCTGAAGCCCTCAGTTGTCCCTCCAATGATTCAACACATAATCTTGGAGCATCTACTATGTGCCAGGCACTGTGCTAAGCATGGGAGAGACAGCAGTAAACAAAACAGCACAGTTCCTGAGCATTCCGCATAGAGCTGATTCTCTAATAGACAGACATCAAATCAGTAAGGGCGAGAGTGAGATGCAACAACAGAAGCCCAGAGGCTCTGGGAGGGTAGAATGTGGGATGGAAGGTGGGGAGGTAGAGAATGTATGCTGGCATGAGCAGGGGCCTCCCTGAAGAAGTGGACTTTGAGCTCCCAACTCAAGAGTTAAAGGAGTTAGCTGAGTGAAGAAGATGGTAGAAGGCCCAGGGATAATGAATAGCAGAGCAAGCATTTATTCAAGAATTATTGACTTAGCATATACTATGTGCCAGACCCTGTTCCAGATACTGAGGATACAACATTAATCAGAACAGCAAAGTTCCTCCCTCATGAAGCTTATATTTTAGTGGAGGAATTATCTGTTCCAAATATAAAAAGAAGGATAATTTAGGAAACTCCAAAAGGGGTGACATTTGAACTGAGACTTCAAATGTGAGAGGGCACAAAGCACTTAAAGTTCTGGGAGAACAGTATTCCCTGCAGGGGATACAGCAAGTGGAATGGTCCCAAAGCAAAAACGGCATAGCTACTAGAACCAACAAGAGGGCTAGTGGGCTGCAGTGGAGAAAACAAGGGGGAAATGGTCAGAAATAAGGGCAGTGAGGTGGACAGGGTGATCCTACGGTGTCATCCAGAACATGGAGAGGAGTTTGGGCTTTTTATTCTAGGGCTAACAGGAGTTGCTAAAGGTTCATGAGCAATGGGTTTGAGTTCTGAAAACAGACCTCTTGGAATATGAGTGGGGCAAGGGTGAGATGAGGGCAAGTGGCCAGGGTGGAAGCCATTGTAGGATTACCGGTGTGACAGGGACAAGTGGCAGTAGAGGGGATGAAGAGGAGAGCTGGAGGAGGGTCCCTGCCCTAGATTTCACCCTGGATCTTCCTGACAGGACTGTTCCCTCCTCCATCACAGACCTTCCATCAAAAGCCTTTACATAAAGGATAGTAGCACATGCTCTGGAGACAATTGCCAGGGTACAAATGCCGGCTCTACCACTTAATAGCTGTGTGGCCTTGAGCAAGTCTCTTAACCTTTCTGTGTTTCAGGTCCCTCAACAATCAAATGGGCCTAGAAGATGGATTTCACAGTGCTGTCATGCAGATCAAATGAGTTCAAGTGCTAAAGCCCTGACACACATGCGTGCTTGCGGTGTTAGTGATTACAGAATTATAGAGCCTGCAGGCTGTGTGCCACGGGTCTCTGTGACCTCCTTGTCATCATCAAACTTCAAATCCCCAGAGTTTAGAAAAACAAGTGACAAATGATGTGTCCCCATCCAGTCTGGGCTGACTTAACAGGTCCCCCAAGGAACCCATGGATTTCTCACATGCCTCAGCCTGCACTAGGCCCGATGCACCAGCACGCAGGTGTGCTCTACAGCTACTCCCAGAGCAAGCTGCAAGCAGATGGGCCAGGTGTGTCAGGCAGTACCAGCAGTTCCAGGTCCATCTTCCCAGCAAGCCTGTCCTGGGTATGGGGTCTAGGGAGGGCTGAGACTGCCTCCGCTTAGTCACTGATGCATCTTAACACCCACTCCATGCTCAATAGTTGTGCTCTAAACAAACGAATGAATAAATACGTTCATGGGCCCCGCAGTGATGTTCTAGTCAACAATTGACCGCATATACAATGGGGTCCCATTAGATTATAATACTGTATTTTTACCGTACCTTTTCTGTGTCTGGATATGTTTAAATGCGCAAATGCCATTTTGTCACAACTGCCTACAGTATTCAGTACAGTAACATGCGGTACAGGTTTTTAGCCTAGAAGCATTTGGCTATACCAGGACAGCCTAGGTGTGTAGTAGGCTATACCATCTAGGTTTGTTAAGTTCCCTCTGTGATGTTCACATGACAACAACATCACCTAACGACGCGTTTCTCAGAACTTATCCCTGTCATTAAGTGATGCATGACTGTACACAAATGAATGAAGTAGTGAAGGAATGAATGTGTCTTCAACAATATGTGGGTTTCTTAAGGGCATTTATTCGTTCATTCAACAGATATTATTGTATGTGGATCTTCTCCGTGTGCTCCTCTGGATCCCGGCTCTCCTCACTCTGTGCAGGAGGCTGACTTTCATGGACTGTGGTATTCAGGCATCCTTGCCTTTCGGCTGCAGGAGACCAGAGGCTGAGAGCAGAGAGAGACTCCAGCCTTGAGGGGCCTCAACTTGGCCATGGCCCTGCTCCTTCCAACAGCATTCTGGTAACTACTCTCGCCCACATTGCTAGTCGGGGGATGCTTCATACCCCTTGGTGGTTTCCCTTAACTATGCACAACCCCACTGCAAATTAACTCCCATATGGCCTGTCTTCTGAGTGATCTCCTTGGAGGAAGCTCTTACTGCCAAGATTGCACAATTCACATTCAAGAGAGCTGGTGCCCAAGGTTCCTTGTGCCCCCCAGCTATGGAGCCAGGCTACGGAGAAGCCCTCCACCCCAAGGAACCTTAGTCTGTGCAGCCTGAGGCCTGCCCCCTTCCCCAGGCCCCTGCCCCAGGATCTCACTGGCTGACCACAGACCAGACCAGGCCTCTGTGGAGTGAAGGGCAGGAGCGGGTGGGAGGGCCAGCAGAGGGCAGCCCTGCCCGTGCCCTCGGGAGCCTGTCCCTGGGGAGTCTCTCTCCCTTTGGTGATTGTTTCCCAGGCTCCCTGGAGCCAGAGGAGGATGGAATGTTCTTATCGCTCTCCAGAGGGAAGGCTTTCTTCTTCCTTCACAAAAATGTTAAGCTTTATAATCCGATAGGGAACCTGGACAGGCTGCAGCTGGAGGCCTGGGTCCCACTTCTGGGAACTGTGGGGAGAAGAAGAAAAATAGGAGTGGGGAGGGAGGAAACAAGTCCCCTCGAGCAGGGCCAGGGAAGGGAGAAGAGGATGAGGACAGGGGATGGGCAGACCTTCCACATAATGAAAGGGAAACCTTGGAGATGGTCCCCAGACCCCAAGACTGCAAGAGCTCTCTTCCTCACGACTCACTCCACTCCGCCCTGTGAAGGAGGAGGAGCCCAACCTCACGGTTGAAGGTTGCTGGCCTGTTCGCACACCTCTGTGGACAGCAAGCTCACTCTCAGGGCGTCTTGTTCTGTCCCTTGCAGGAAGCCGTGAGTCTGAAAATGTCCCTCACAGAGCTGAAAGCATAAGTTGCTCCCACCTTTTCACGACAGAGGCCTGCATCAGACAGGACAGGACAGGTCACCTCAGTGGGGCCTCCCTCCTCAGAAAGCCTGAGTTTCTTGAGGTTAGAACACTGCCATTTCCTGCAAACAGATCTACTTCCTGAAGTGTGTTGAGCGGGACACTCCCTGAGACTCAGAAATCCTGCTAGAGCCAGAGTTTAAGGACAAGGTGACATGCGCCAGTGGGCCATTTATTCAGCAAATATTTATTCAGTGTCTCATGGGGAAGAAACCAGTGAGGCACTAACTGATAAGCAGTTGCTGATCCCCTACCTCCCAGCTTGATCCAGGGCCTGTGAAACCCCCCAGCTTGGCCTCTGGAACTGTCAATGCCATGGGGACCATATGCTCTGGGAGGCCAACAGGCCTGGCCACTTCTTGGGGCTCCCCCAGGAAGAAAGCCCCACTCTTACCCTGTGCCAGGTCAGTAGGGTAGAGAGAGAAGGGGTGATAGAGTATATTAGTCTTTTCTCATGCTGCTACTAAAGATATAGCCGAGACTGGGTGATTTATAAAGAAAAAGAGATTTAATGGACTCACAGTTCCACATGATTAGGGAGGCCTCACAATCATGGCAGCTGGCAAAGGAAGAACAAAGGGATGTCTTACATGGTGGTAGGCAAGACAGCTTGGGCAGGGGAACTCCTATTTATGAAGCCATCAGATCTTGTGAGACTTATTCACTACCACGAGAACGGTATGGAGGAAATTGACCCCATGATTCAATTATCTCCGCCTGGCTCCGCCCTTGACATGTGGGGATTATTACAATTCAAGGTGAGATTTGGGTGGGGAAACAGTCAAACCACACCATGGAGGGACCCAGGGCCAGGCCCCTCAGAGCTGAGCCAGTGTGCCTCTCCTTCACCTCCTTCCATAAGGCCGACCACAGCTTAAAATGCTTGATCCTGTTAGCTGCTGGACCCCGAGAACAATTGTGCTAAACAGACAAGAGCTGCGGCTCAGGTCCACCTTCCAGTTCTGTACCTGACTGCTCAGTCTTGGCTAACATTCCTCCTGCGACAGGGAGCTCACTTCCTCCTGGGCGGCAGCCCATCCAAAGGTTGGACGTTCTATTAGATAGTCCATTTCGTTTTAACCAAAATCAGATATAAAATAATGCAGACGCAGACTGTCATGTAAACTGGCTTTTAAAAACCAACACCGTATTGTGTACATCTTTCCCTCTATGGATGTGTTTCATGTGTGTGTGTGTGTTTGTGTGTGTTTGTGTGTGTGTGTGTGTGTGTGTGTACATTTATATATACGGAGAGTGAAAAAAATTTAACAATGATTATCTAAGAAGTAAAGTTCCATGTCAGAGGACTCTACACTTTCTAATTTACAGTTTTATACATTGCTTGAATTTTATAGATTATCCATTACTTTTATAATAAAAAAGGACATTTATATTCCAAAATTAAAAATAATATGTTGTTTAAAAGAAGGTGCTGGGTGCAGTGGAGTAGTGGGATAACCTGAGGAAAAAGACACTGTTTAATAGAAGTGGGAGATGGGTGGGTGTGGGACAGAACGTGCCTGACATGCCCCAAGGCCATGCTTCCCAGAAGAGAGGTGACTCATTCCCAGCCAGAGCACCAACTCTCCTAACCTAGGTCAGGTTGATGGAAGGCTCCATCCTGCCTACAGGGCACTGCCCAGGGGGCAGGTTCAAAGTCAAGCTAAAGGGCTTCTGGACATTCTGCATGTGACACCAGTCTGTGTTATCTTTGGGAAAGATGAACGTTCACCTGGGCCAGATGTGTTGCTGTCACTCCAAACTAGGGAGGAGCCAGCTGCAGGCAGCTCAGCAGACCCTGAGGGGCAACCCCTCTGCCTCTGCTCACAGAACAGGCTTTGTGGCCACCCTGAACTGTGGGATCAAGCAGAGGAGAGCTTTCCTTGAATCTGCTCAAAGTTTAAAGGTGCTCAAATTCCCAAATTAAAAAAAAATAATAATGTAGGACCATAGTGGGGAGGCTGGAGATCAAACTTAAGGGTGGGAAAGAGAATGATTTCCAGGGTCAAGGAGGTAAGAACATCTGACTGCAGGTCTCAACAGAGAAAGAGGTGGGGAAACGAGAGGACGCCGAGGCAGGAGGGGAAAGGGGGCATCGCGGTATGCTGGGCTTATCTAGTCCTGCCTTTGGGAGCATATGTATATGCTGCTCTTTTGAGAAGGCTCTGCACACCTCTGCAGTGGTCATTTGTCACCTTTGAACATTCCCCCCTGTGTTTATGGAATTCCCCACTCAGAGTCCTAGTCGGAGGCAGAGACCACCTCTTTCTATGCAGCCAGACCTCTACTTTCCCAGCCTTCTTGCAGTCAAAACTCAAGCCCCTGACCATGCTTTGATCATCAGGATCATCCACATCAAACAGAATCGAAAGCAAAGGATGCAGCCAAGCAGACGCCACCTGGAACCCATTCCAGTGAGGGCAGCAGTAGCCACCACACTCAAGTTCCACAAGAGCCAGGGCTAATCTTCTGGGGCCAGCTGGGATCTGGAGCAGGGAGAGCACTTAGGTTGTCACTGACTGCAGTGTCAGAGCCTGCAGTGAAGGTTTAGGTGCTCTCCCTGGACTGGTCAGTTCTGCAAAGTGATTTTGGATGTTGTTCTTCACTGTGGGCCTCCAGGCCAGTCCTCTGGCCCTCTAGAGATTCTGCAAGTTTCTCAAAATCCTTTTAATAAATCTTTAGTTCACCTAAATTAGCCATCTTGGTTTTCATTGTTTCAAAGGCAGAAGCCAGGCCTGAATTGGAGGCCTGCTTGGTCAGAGGAAGGTAAGGAAGACAGGAGGGTCTCAAGAACAGACACTAATGGCTCCAAGCTGCGCATGGACCCACTGCCCCCTGAAGAACTAAGAACTGTCAGTGGGTTATCAGCATCAATAGAGAAGATCCCTCTTCCAACTCCACTCCTTCCTCTGTTCAAGAAACAATAAAACTCATTCCTGAGTTGCATCAGTGGATGGCACAGAACCCCAGGTTGTGCAGGCCCAGGGTAAGCTAAGTTCCCCATGGCATCTTGTCCTGGGTCTGAGCTGCTCGCATCAATGCTGCCTTGCCGCACAACCCCAGGGTGCGCATTCCTAGTGTATTCTATGAGAATCGCTCCTTACTTCCCGACGCTGTGGTTCCATTGAACTCAGTATGGAATAGTGCTCTGGAGTTGCACAAGATGGTGGCCCCTGGCTGTCAGAGGCAGTAGAGAAATGAGTTCTGAGTTAAGACCCATAGACCTCTGCAAAGCACATACTAGCTAGGAGTAAGTATGAAAGGACTTTGCTGTAATTAGAAGGTTCCTGCACTCCCATAGCCTTTGGCCTTTCAGCATCCACATCTCTGGGTCCTGTCTCAGATGTCACAACCCCAGAGCCTCTCTGCCTCCCTTGGCCTGAAGCATCCACTCTCCACACATACCCTTCCCTGAAAGCTTCCTCCATCATTGCAATGTCTGCCTGAGAGCCTATTTCGAGGCAAGTGTTGGAGGGGCTAAGGGAGGCTGAATTGTGTGTGTGAACCCACCCATGCTGGGGAGCACAAGCCCTATCTCTCTGGAGGTTGGCCGGGCCCTGAGATGTGATCAGCAGCTCCTCCCACTTGCTCTGTGGGAGCCAACACAAACAGAGCCACAGAGCTGCCCCCAGGCTGGCCGCCCAGAAGGCCCACACCTCCGTCCCACCCTCTTGGGCAGCCACCCCTGGAACCAGGAGCCAGGTATCAAGCTTCAGCTGGCTGGACTCCCGGCAGCGCCTGCTGGCCCGCACCGGGCCTGCAGCCCAACCTGCCCACAGGCGCTGGCCACCGCCTGGGCAGCGGGGCTCAGAGCTCAGCCTGTTAGCACCCACCAGCCACCTCCCTCCTCTGGCCCCAGGAGCTGGCTTGGCAGTGGAGCAGGGTGAGTGGATGGGGGTGCCCTGACTCACTAAGCTCCCCAAGACCTCCAAGTTTGCTCCAGGACCCCTTCCATGAGGTAACATGAAACCCAAGCACTCAGGCCAGAAACAGAATGTTTTGAACAATTTGAGGGGAAAAAATTATTCGGACCAATTTTAAGACATCTGAGAGCTCAAGGGGAAAATCGCAGCCACCTCTTCAGGCACTATTGTGTGTCCGCGCCAAACCCAAACGGCTTGGACTGAAGTAGCACGAAGGCTGAGAGGCCCTGCATCCCTCCAGCAGAGGACTGGCCTGACGCCCGGCATCTGGTGCTTCGGTCCTCTGGGCCACCGGGCATTCTCTCCTCTGTGACTCCACACAGCCGACCTATTTTCTGGACTCCCATTGTGTGTGCTTGATGCTCAGAGGTACCACCCACCAGCTAGAGCCATCTCGTTGTCCTTCAAACTCAGCCAGCCATTGCTTCCTCCTAAAACTTCCTTGGCCCCTCCAAGACACCTTGCTGACACGTTAATGGTGCCACGTGGTCCCTAGGACTACCCTTCTCTGGGCCCCTACCAGGCACTGAGCTCTGAACGGGAGCTTGAAATAGGCCCCCTGGGTTAGAGCACCATCACCTTAGGAGGTGGGCGGAGTCACTCATGTCACGGATGGGGACACTGAGGCTCAAAGAATTTAAGTCTTTTACCCAAAGTCACAGCTAGTGGGGTCTGCAGCTGGAATTTAGAACTGGGCAGTAAAGAGCCAGGGGCTGTCCTGCTGTCTTTTCACAACACTCCCCTGGAGGGGAGCAGAGAGGGAGCCACCAGCTTTGCTTGGGGAGAGAGAAGCGTGAGGAAAAGCAGAATAAGCAGAATGCAAACGTTAACAGTGAAAGCAGTAATTAAAGGAGGAAAGGACAGCATCCAGGCAAACAGGCAGGGAAGAGCACTCCGAGGGGAAGCGGAGACCGTAGAGGCCAAGAGGAAGGAGAAACGGCAGCCCTCTGCGGCTCTGGGGCAAGAGGAGAAGGAAATGGGGGACAAGGCTGGAGAGGCAGGCCGGACTCTGGCAGCACCGCCGACCCACAGCCCCTCCACTCACACAAACAGACACACACACACCACACACAAAACCACACTCACACACATACACACGTCACACCGGCCCTACACACAAGCGTGTACACACACACACCCACACACACCTGCCCCCACACACACACATTTCACACACACCTGGCCCTCTACACACACATATCACACTCACACACATACACACATCACACTCGGCCCTACACACACGTGTATGCACACACACACACCACACACACACCCACACACCAGGCCCTACACACACACAGACACACACACCTCACACACTGCCCTACACACCTAGCCTACCAGACACACACACATCCCACACCTGGCCCTCCACACACACACACACACATGCGCGCCCCACACCTAGCCCTCCACACATACACACACCCCACACATCTGGCCCTCCACACACACACGACACCAGGCCTTCCCCACACACACCACGCACACACATACACACACTATACTTGGCCCTATACACAAGCATGCACACACACACACGCCATACAGACACACACCACACCTGGCCCTACACACACACCACTCACATACACGTCACACTTGGCCCTACACACACACACATACTACACACCTGGCCCTCCACACACACACACACCACACTTGGCCCTACACACACACACATACACACCCCACACACACCCCACACCTGGCCCTCCACACACACACACATCACACTTATACAGATACATCAGTCGGCCCTACACACACACACACACACACACACACACGGCCCTATATACACATGCACACACACACACCACACACACACCACACCACATACACACTTGGCCTTCCACACACACACACACATCACACACACACAGACATATATACACAACACCCATCACACTTGGCCCTACACACACAAACACACCACACACTGGCCCTACACACACACACACACATCACACATCACACTCAGCCTTACACACACACACACCACACACCTGGCCCACCACACACACTCATACAAACACACACATCACATTTGGCCCTACACACACACACCCCACACACACTAGGCCCCCTACACACACACACACACACACACCAGCCAGCCCTAGGGGCTTAGCCCTTGTTCTCTGGGTGAGGAGAAGCCATGGTGGGGATCCATGATGGGAAGTAGAAAGCTCAGATCTGACTGGAGACCCATCCCTCCCTCAATAACCCCTGTGGAGCCCATTCTGGAAGTCATGCGGAGCCACGTGAGCACTGCTGAGACCAGCCCAGATACAAAAGACAGGTCTGGGAGGCATTCAAGAGGCATAACTTTTTAAAGTATATTGTTGTCTGGTTTATACGGCATTTGATCATATTCAAGTGGAAGAAAAATCTTTGGTTTGATTTTTCCCCTTTAAAAAGTGTTATTCGTGCTTATAACAAAAACAATTTTTTAAACAAGCAAAAGTATATGAAGTAAAAAAGAGAAAGTCACCTTCCTGTCCTCCCCAATCTACTCTGCCCAGAGGTCAACACTGCCATGAATTTGGTCCTTTCTGAACCTTCTATTTGCACAAAGGTATGTGGCTATGCACATGTAGAGGGTGTTTTTCTTACTTAAGAGTTATACATACTCTGTATCTTGCTGTTTTTCACTCAATAATATATGGTGAGCATCATTATTCAACCATTCAATAAATATTTGTTCGGATCCCACTGCGCAGACAGGGAAGTCAGGTTCCTGCCATCACAGTTTTCACAGACCCGGGTAGGGGAGACCGGCAATGGGAAGGAAGTCATTGAATAATTACAAATTGTGATTAGGGCTGTGATGGTGCGGTGTGAGACAGTAATGGGTGCACTGATTTGAGACGGGGTGAGGGGAGTCCTCTCTCAAAGGAGACATTTAAGCTGAGACTGAAAATATAAGAGCCAGAAGAAAAGCCTGTGAGATAGGGGGGACAGCCTGCACCAAGGCCCTGCACAGAGCAGGGAACGGGGAGGAGCTCAGCAGGCTCAGACCTGTAGGGATCCCAGTGCCATAGGGGCTTGGTGATCTAGGACAAGAGAGGCAGGTGATGAGGCTGGGAGATGGGAAAGGTCTGTCGACCAAGGTAATGAACTTGCATCTTGTTCTAAGAACAGTGAGAGAGTTTTAGGCAGGAGAATTATATTATTTGACTTGTGTTTTAAAAAGAGACTGCTGTCTGCTGCTTAGAGAAGGGATTACAAGGGAACAAGTATGGAGGCAGGCAGACCACTTAGAGATAGGATTGGCAAAGCAACACCTCTCCAGAGATGTCCACATTCTAATCCCCAGACCTGTGAATGTGTTGGGTTATGTGGCAAAGGACATGTAAGTTGGAAAAAGGGGGATGCAGATGGAATTGAGATTACTAGTCAGCTGACTTTAAGATAGAGACATTGTCCTGGATTACCCAGACAGGCCTAGTGTAATCACAAGAAACCCAGAGAGTGGAAGTGAGAAGCAGAAAAGGAGGTCAGAGTGATGCCAGATGAGAAGGACTGGATGAGCATTGCTGGCTTTGAAGAGGAATGAAGGAGACCAGGAGCTGAGAAATGCAGGAAGCCTCTAGAAATTGGAAAAGGTAAGGAAATCGAATCCTCTCTGGATCCTCCAGAAAGGAATGTAGCCCTGCTGACAGCTTGATTTTATCCCAGTGAGACCCCTTTGAGACTTCTGAGCTATTGAATTATAAGATAAAAATTTGTGTTGTTTTAAGCCTCCAAGTTTTGGGTAATTTGTAACAGCAGCAAATAGAAGACTAATTCAGGAGGCTAATGCAGGAGACTGAGTGAGAGGTGCTGGGGCTTGGACCAGGAAGGTGAGAAAGAAGTAGAAGAAATAAATATTTATACTTACAATGACAAAGAGAGAGAGACTCATGGGCTGGGGGAGACTTGGGGACCAATTGGATGCAGATGTTGAGGGAGAGGAAGTCCTGGGTGTCCCCAGGTTTGGGGATAGAGAAGTGCATGATGGTGGTACTTGACTATGCCGGCCCAGTGAGGGCAGGAACTTTGTGTCATTCGCTATTGTGTCCCCAGCACTCATCCAAATGCTGGAACATAGCAGGTGCTCAATAAATATCTATCTAATGAATTGATTAAATAAAAGAAAGAATCTAGAAAGCCCAAGGTTGGGCAAAAGCAGTGAGTTCAAAGCTCAGCACTACCTCTCCTAAGCAGCTCTGTGGCCCAACACAGCCATCAGTAGGGTAAGGAAAGATGATGCCACCATGGAGGAGCTCTTTGGCTGCACCTGTGCTTGTGGGGCTGCGCTCAGAGAGAGTATGGCCAGCTTCAGGGTCCCCAAGGCAGGCAAGGCAGACAGGAGGCGGCTCAGTGACATTACCCACTAATAGGAGGTCCTTATCACCCAGGATGGAGCCGGGTGCTCTACTTAATTTAGGGGAAAGCTACTCTCCGGGAAACAGGTACCAATTTGCAGCAATCACAATAAGAAACATGCTCTCTCTGGCTGATGCAAGCCAACAAGGTAATAGGGCATTGTGCTGTGGGGAGAGATCAAAAGGATTTTTTTTTCCAGGCCCACGGTGGGCACTTAATCCATCTTTCGCTCTCTCTCTCTCTCTCCCTCCATTACGGCCGTGGATGTACTATTTACAGGACCTACATTAGCTGCCTTTTCAGATATCGCACTTCCTCAAAACCACTTCAGAAGGAAAGTGAATTAGAAATGAATTTGAGACATATGAGCGGCTTTCACTGCCTCCTCCCTGCTCCTGGCCAGCAGCCTGCGGAGCTGGGACCCACACTCTCCCAGCACTGGGTGACACCGTCCCCCAAAGTCTGTGGACACACTGAACCCGCCCATGGGGCTGGTGTGGAGCCCCGAGGCCAAGGGTGAGTGCAGGGCAAAGTGTGGGCGAGGAATTAGAGCAGGAAAGGCTCACACTGGGCAGAGGCAGAGGTCGGAAGAGCGGCTCAAAGAACCAGATCCCGGGAGGTGGTCATTTTGGACAGCCCTCTGCCTTCTGTAAGGCCCCCATCAGGGACAGAGGCCCAGGCTCCCAAATGGGCCATCCACTTATAGCTGTCCAGGCTGCCTCACTCCTGCCATGGTCCCTCCCTGACTTTCTGGGGGCCTAGGCGCTGTGACTAGTTCCGGCAGTTGCCGGACGCCATGTTGGTGAAGCGCCGGGGCTGCTAATGCTCCCTCCCCTCTTCCTCTTTGGCTCTCTCTCTCTCTTTTTCCAGACACCTTAAGGAATTCAACAACCCCTCCCCTGCACACAGGCTTCTTCCAGGTGTGAAATTCCATGAAGGGCAGAGGGAAGGCAGGCATGTGGGAGTTTTCTGTCCCTTGAGTAGGAGAAAGTTTCAGCACAGGAGAACCTGCAGTCAGAAATCCCCTAGCTTGGGCTCCTGCTTGTATAGAGGAAAAAATCTGTGAACAAAGTGACTCCTAGAATTCCTAAAACTAGGACTAGAACCTGACATTTCTGACCCACAACCAAATGCTTTTGCCTGTGTTTGATGAGTTTAAATCAAAGTGGTACAACTAGAAAGAAACTTGGACTTCATCTAGGCTGAGATTTTGGACGTGAAGTTGGAGCCATGGAGGGAAGAAGGGAATCCTCTCCCACTCCAGCTCCCTTTAAATCGTCTTCTTTATTGGGATTTCCCCTAAGAGTCTGGAAGTGAATGAACTATTTCAAGAAGGGGAGAAGCCAAAGGCACACCCCAGGCCATGGGCCTCCTTTTCCACTGCTGGGTTGATGTCTGTGGCAGGCAGGCTCTATAAAGGCCCCTAGTGATCACTGCCTCCTGGAATCTGTGCCCTAGTAATCCCCTCCCCTCGAGTGTGGGCTGGACCTAGAGACTCACTTCTAACAGATAGAACATGGCAAAAATGACGGACTGTCACTCCAAGATTAGGTTACCCAAAGATTCTACTTCTATCTTGCTCACCCTGTCTTACTTGATCTCACTCTCTCCACCTCTCTCTCTGAGGGAAGCCAGATGCCATGTTGCAAGATTTCCTCTGGAGAGGGCCTCTTGGCAAGGAACTGATGTCTCTGGCCAGCAGCCAGCGAGGACCTAAGATCTGTCAACAGCCATGTGAGTGAGCTCTGAAGCAGATTCCCCAGAGTCAGGTTGACGATGACTGCAGCCCTGGCTGATACCTTGACAGCATCCTTGTGAGAGAACTCGAAACCTTGGGAGGACACAGCTAAGCTGTGCCTGGCTTCCTGACCCACAGAAACTGTGTGATGATAATACATGCTTGGGGTAATTTGTCACACTGCAGTAGATAATGAATACAGGCCTTTCTGGAAGGGTGTTTTTCATGAGCAGGGACAGCCATGAAATTGCCACACTCTGGTGTTAAACTCATGTCAGGAGACCCAGGGTCCATTTTTGGCTCTGCCATTAATTCACTGTATGGCCTTGGTCAAGACCTTAAACATTTATGGGCCTTAGTTTCTCCCAATGCTCAACTAGGGAGGACTTCATGATGGCTCCAATTGTATGTGACTGGAGAACTAGGAAAGGGAAGTTTCCATGCCTGAGATGACTGCTGACAGTCCTGAGAAAGGAGACAAAGGGACAGATGCCTGATGGGCCCTGACCATCCCTTTTGCTCTTTTCCCTAGCCCTGAACCGCATGGCATGAGGCATGGCCTCAGTCTTCAGTGACATCCTCTGACCTCAGAGGCCCTGGGTCTCAAGACCTGACAGGATGAAACTCAAGACACTGGCAGCTTCCTTGGGAGGAAGAGAACTGCCCTCCCCGCCCCACAGACTCTGTGCCCAGCATGTACCCTGCCTTCTGCCCCAAAGAAACCTTAATTGGTCTTCTCCAGCTTTCTGTCCTCTCAAGGTCCCACAGGGACTCCTAGCTCAACCCTCCACCCCCAGGTGGAAAACCTCCTCAGGGGACCTGAGTGCCCAGAGAAAGTTTCAGAGGCAAACACCCACCTCTTCCTTTCCACAGACCCCTAGCACCAGCACAGGCCCCTGCAGAGTGACAGGGCCCCAAGACCTTCCCCTCTGTAGCCCAGGTGAAGAGCAGGTGCTCTTCCCTCCACACCAGGCCTAGGATGGTCCCCAAGGTTCCACTGCCCTCCCTTGAGCAGCAGGAAAGCCTGGGAAAAGACAGGCAGCTGCACCACTCCTGGGGGATGAAAACAAGCCCAAATAAGGGTCCATTTATACCAACATTCCTTCAGGCTTCAAGGGAATGCCAGACCAGGGCAGTCTCCCTGCTGTGGCCTCGCCCTTACTGGGGCCAGGCCAGGCCTGAGTCTCTAGGCCGGGAAACGCCGTCTTGCGCCCCAGCAGGCAGGACTGCGGTGAGCAAACTCTCTCTTCTTTGAGTGTGCTTTTTCCTCTCACTGGGTCTCCCGGGAAGTTCCACTGAAGGTCAGCACAAGTTAGGGGTCCCTCAGGGGTTCCTGAAGCCCTGACAGGCAGTGTCTGTAGCTTCTGTGATCACTGCAGAGGGCTCCTACCACCTTTTATGCTCTGGCTGCCTCAGCCACCCTTCTCTTTCGCTCACAAGCTATCCAATCCTCCTAACTCAGAATTTCTCAACCTCAGCACCTCTGACATTTTGGGCTGGCCAATTATTTGTTGTGGGAGCTGCCCTGTACATTACAGATTGTAGAGGAGCATCCCTGGCCTCTACCCACTAGATGTCAGTAGCACACCCCCACCCCACTGATTATAACACCCAAAATATCTCCAGATATGCCAAATACCACCCTCAGTGGAAAGCCACTGTCCTAAATTTAAAGGGCACTGATCAAGTGTTCTAGCTGCAGGGCTTTGTGAGAAGAAAGGCAAGTGGCAGAGAGGAAGGGATCCTCACTGGACCCATGGCCGCAAACCCACACACTCCTAGCTCTCTCCCTGTCTCTCTCACTCCTTCTCTCTCTCTCTCTCACACACACACACACACACACACACATACACAATAACTTGAAAGGCTGGAATGTGTGTCTCTGTTGTATGAATGAAGACCAGAAGAAGGTTAAGTGGCTTGCCCCAAACCACACAGTTAGGCAGAGGCAGAGGTGGGACTCAAGCTAGGCCCATAGGCCCTGACCCATACTGTGCACTATATTGCAGCCCCCCTTCTACAGATGAGAAACTCATGGCCCTTGGACCCTTCTGGAGCCTGAGAAGAGACTGCACCTCCCTTGCTGCTCGTGCTCCCCAGGGGTGTTGGTGTCTGCCGCCTACTTCTAGTGCCAGGCCCCCAGCATTCTCCAGCTCAGTCTGGGTTTCCTGAACCCCCTTGATTGAGTTGTACCTTCCAGTTTCTGAATTGTCCTGATCTTGGGTGATCGATTTGCATACTGTATCGATCTCAAGGGCTGTGTAATATGTTTGATTTGTGGCACTTTGCATAATTTTCTGATTAAGTTGCTTATTTAACCTATTGACCTTTTCTCTTAATTAGAGTATCTGGGTACTGCAAATGTTGAGTAGTAATCAAGCTTCTCGTTTCCCTGAGTGGAATCGCGTCCCTGCCACTTCCCTGCTTCTTCATGATGCTGGCTTCCTTTGGAGTGGGGCACATTGAGCCAGCTGGCCCCCACCTTAACCGAGAGGAGGAAGAGGGGTGCAAGTGGGGCCAGGTCTTTTCTGGTCCCTGCTGTTCAGAAGTTCAGGACCAGGCCAAGACAAGGGACAGCATTGTTTAGAATAAGTACAGTAGTCTTGTCTTATCTCCAGTTTTGCTATCCAAGGTTTCAGTTATTCATGGTCAACCATGGTCTGAAAATAGGTGAGTACAATACAATAAGAATTTTAAGAGAGACAGCATATTCACATAATTTTATCACAATATAATTTTTCCATTGTATTACTAGTTATTGTTCATTTCTAACTGGTCCTAATTTAGAAATTAAACTTCATCATAGATATGTATGTATGTGTGGGAAAAAAATAAAACAGATGCTCCTCTACTTAAGATGGGGTTACAGTTTCTACTGACTGTATATCACTTTCACACTATGGTCAAGTTAAAAAATCCTAAGTTGAACAATCGTAAGTTAGGGACAATCTCTATATACATACAGGGTTTGGAACTGTCTTTGGTTTCAAGCATCCACTGTGGTCTTGGAACGCAACACCCGAGGATAAAGGAGGACGACTGTATTGACAGTTGAGTGGATGAATCAAGACAGGGGTGTGGCCCAGAAGTTTGGACACCCTGACAGTTAGCTATGGTTTGTAACAAACCACCCCAAAATGTAGTGACCTAAAACAACACCCATCTATTATTTCTTATCAAACTGTGGGTTGGCTAGACATTTTTGAAGATCTGGGTCAGACTGGGATGATTTGGGCTGACTTCACTTATGCATCTGCAGTGAGTTAGTGATTTGCAGGGACCTGACTGGTCTACCCCTCAGCTGGAATGACTGTGGTCTACTCTTCCGGTCTCTCATGTCCCTCTAGCAAGTTAATCTGGGCATGTTCTCATGAGACTATAAAAGAGCAAGGATCAAGGTGGCAAGAGAGCAAGCCCTAGTGCACAGAGCTTGTGAAGCTTCTGCAGGCATCACATTTGTTCCCATACCATTGGCCAAAGCAAGTGATCTAGAATCAAGGGGTATGGCGGAGCACCTTGCCCACAATAGGAGTAAAGAAACAGGTCTGGCAAGCCTTTCTGTCTGCCTCAGCATAAGAGGGACCCTAATTAAGTGTTGAGAGTCTTGACACTAGTGCACAACACAGGTGAGCCTCCTCTTCTTGCTCCATCCATCTGAGCACCCGCCCCCAAACTCTAAAGCTGAATGCTGTGAGCTTAGGCTCCAGGGAAATGAGGGTTCAGGGTACAGTTCACTACTGCCTCTATTTTGGCATCTACTTCTTGGAGGACCTCAATTAAGATACCCTTTTGGAGCTGTTACAGACCTGCTTGTTTTCTAGTCATAGTGGGGCAGGAGAAGACAGAGAGGCTGTCTCAAGCTCTTGGTGGCTGCGATCACTGTCCTCTTTCCTAGTGGGGTATGTCATCTTTGCTCTTGCTTCTCTGGAATAAGTGGAATACAGCTTCTGCCTCCAAGGGATCTATGCAGGATGGGGCATAGCTCTCTCCTACTCTCTGACATCTAACCCTGTCTGAAAGGGGAAGAATTGGCCCCATGGAGGACCCCAGATTATTTTCAGAAATCCCCTTCACCAGCATCCAAATACCTCCTCTCCCCTGTTTGGTAGAATGTCCATTGTCTGCCAAAATCCACTCTCCTCTCCTTTCATAGAAAGAGCTTTTTGTTTGTTTTGTTTTACAACTTTATTGAAGTATTAATTACATACAACAATCTGCACATATACAATAAAGTACACAATTTGATGAGTTGGATGCATGGACACACCCATGAAACTACTACCACAATCAAAACAGTGATCATAGCCATCACTCCAGAAGTTTCTTTCTGCCCTTTTGTAGTTCTTCCCTTCTCCTCAGCCTCCCTCATGCCCAGGAAGTCACTAATACGCTTTTTTGTTACTAGACATTGGATTGAATTTTCTAACATCTTATATAATTGGAATAATGCAATATGTACTCTTTTTGGTACACTCACCATAATTATTTTGAAGTTCGTCCCTCTTGTTGCGTATACCAAGAGTTCATTCTTCTTTATCATGGAGTAGTATTCCATTATGTGAATATACCACAATTTGCTTTATTCATTCACTTGTTGAAGGAAAACTTGAATTATTTCCAGTTTGGAGCTTGCTATGGTTTGAATGTTCAAATTCAAATGTTGAAACTTAATCCCCAATGCAATAGTTTTAAGAGATGGGACCTTTAGCAAGGGATTAGGTTATGAAAGCTCCACCATCATGAATGGGATTAGTACCCTTATATAAGGATACACAGCGTTCACCCCCTTCCACCATGTGAGGATGGAACAAGAAGTGTGGTCTGTGAAGCAGAGAGCCCACACCAGACACTGAATCTGCTGGTGCCTTGATCTTGGACTTCCCAGCCTCCAGAGCTGTGAGAAATAAATTTCTGTCATTTGTAAGCCACTCAGTTTAGTATATTTTGCTGTAGCAGTCCAAATGGACTAAGGCAGGGCTATTACAAATAAAGTTGCTATATGTATATACAAGTAGACATATGCTTCCTTCTCTTGGGTAAATATGTAGAATTAGATTGTCTGGATCATGCAGTAGCTGTATGTTTATCCTTGAAAGAAACTGCCAAGATACTGTTTTAAATGGCTATACATTTTACATTCCCACAAGTGGTGTATGAGAATTCTAGTTGCTTTATATTCTCACCAACACATGGAGCGAACAGCCTTTTTAATTTTAGCCATCCTAGTGGTAGAGTAGTAACATCTCATTGCAGGTTTAATTCATATGTGTATTTGCCATCCATCTATATTATCTTCTCTTAAACTGGGCATATGATTGTTGAACTACAGACTCTATTTTTCAACCTCCCTTGCAGCTATTTGTGGTCATATGATTAGTAAAATATGAAAGAAAATTATTTTTTCACTCATGCTTGCTTAAATGAAAATTGCTTGCCCTCAATTTGTACTTTGTATCAATCAGCTTTTGCTGTAATAATACTGCATAAAATCACTCAAAACTCAGAAGCAAATAAACAAAAGTATCTATTTCTTATTCACAGGTCTGCAGGCTTTTGAGTAGCTGCTATGTTCCTGGTTAGGGGTTGAGTTCAGGTCAGTTCCACATGTTTCATTCTAGCACCACAGCTCCAGAAATAGCAGCTACCTTGGGCAGGTTTTGCTCATATCTGAGGTCAGAAGCTTCCAAAGGATCAAACAGAAACTCATGATACCTCTTCGGGCCTAGATGTAGAGCTAGAGCAGGGAAGTTTACCCAACCTGTTAAGCTGAACCAAAAGGAAGTTAAAATTTGTTAAATAATATATAATCTACCAATGCACTCTTCCTCTTCCCTTTAGCTAGAACATGGATGTGTTTGTAATCCACTTTTGGCCCTATGGGTTATCATTCTAAGGGATGGTGGGGCATCAGGATGGAGGGAACCTAGGTCCTTGAGAGTTCTTGTGGAGTAGAACCACCTGCTGACCTGGATGGTGATGCTCACTTGATGATTGTTAAGTTAGAATAAGATAACCTCCATCTTTTTAATGACACTTTATTTTTAACCCTCTTTGTTTCAGCAGCCTAGATGCTACTCTAGTATGTGCTCCAGCTGTTTCTTTTCCAGCGCAAGGAAAATTTTTGTTTTGCTTTGCTTTAATCTCTTTTCAGGTGGAAAAAAAAAATGCCTAGGAAGCATTCTTTCATGTCTAGCCACCCAGAAGAGGGAAGGTCCTAGGGTCAAAATGCAAAGGTTAATACTTCACACTACCATCTTGCCGCAGAAGCTACTCCCCTGGGTGTTCCCAAGAATCCTGGGAACCAACTTGCCATATTCAGAACACTTCCTTCCCTGGTCTTCAGTCCACATGTTCACTTTCCTCTTAAACAGAGCTCCTTGCCTCCTCTCTTCACTGAGTTCTCTCTTCCCCAGGCTTATGGCTGGTCTAGCAGAGCCAGGTGCCAGGCCTGGCGGGAGCATCCTTGTCTCTTAACTGACAGTGCCTCCACCTGGCCTTGCAGCTCCACTCGACAAATACTAAATAACAGGCTCTGGCATCTCCTGAAGCTCTGCACTCATTAACACACTGGGAGGTAAGTGCAGGCAACCAGGGAGAATTTACTCTGCAGCAACAGGCTTCTCATATAGAAGCCAAACACACCCCAGCAGGTATCAAGTACAGAGGTTGGGGGCCTCCAAATGCTGCCAAAATTGTTCCATTCTTCCTCCCCATAAAGCCAGCCTTTTCCTCTCCTGCCTGATGTCTTCTACAGCTCTGGCCCCTTTCTGATACCTCTTTTGCAGGTGTAGCTGTCAAGCTCTTCTCCAGGGGAGTTTTCTAAGAGCCTGGAAAACTGCCAGCCTCATCTGCCACTTCCCCTCTTCCCTGCACACACTCTCTGGCCACTAGCAACTCCACCCCGTTCTATTTAGCCCCCAGATCTCACTGCTTGCTCTTCTGTCATTCTGCAATGCCAGTACCTTCCTCTTCACCTGGCAAACTCCTATCCATCCTTCAGGTCCTGATCAAATGACCCCTCCTCCAGGAAGCCTTTCTCTAGATTTCCAAACACAGTGACTATTTTGTCCTGTAGTTTCCACTGATTGACAACCATCTTTCTGTTCTAGTTTCAGCTTCCCTGCACTATTGTTAACTATGTATCTGTTTCCTTCCACCTACCAAGCTGTATGTACCTTGAATAAATGGTCAAGGCGATTTTTATATTTTGGTCTCCAGCGCCTGGCATAGTGTCAGACAGATTGCAAGTGTTCAGTCAGTATTTGCTGATGACTGGAGGGAGGAATGAATGAGCAAAAATAGACAAATGAATAAATAAATAGGTATATAGAAGCCTGCTCAGATGTCTTTTCCCCTTCTAGCACTTATTTCTGTTGATTGTGTATTATACATTCATTTTTTATCTTCTCTTCCACTCTACTGTTAGCACCAGAAAGACACAGGCATCTGTTTTATTTACAGCTGTATCGTCAGTGTCCAGCTCAGAGCCTGGGCCTTAAAAGGTACACAATAAACAACTGTTTGTCTAAATTAAAAAATAAAAGATGACTACATTGGAGTACACATAAAAGCATGAGTATATACCAGGATAAAACCAAGAAGATCCAGTCAGTTTTGTAAACTAGAGAGACTTGGGAAATTCTTCTTGGGGAAAGACTGCTCTTCTCTTGGGAGAAAGAAAACTATAACAGGCCTCTCAGTTTTATAAAGGCAAGGCTGCAGGCTTACTCTAAAAGTGCATGTTAAGGAAATTCAGGGCCAAACTTAAGAGTCTGCCCTATGAATAAGGGCGTGTATGTATTTGTACCTTAATTGTATGTATGTATGTATGTATGTATGTATGTATGTATGTATGTATGTATTTATTTTGAGACAGCGTCTCCCTCATGTAACCCAGGCTGGAGTGCAGTGGCATGATCTTGGCTCACTGCAACCTCCACCTGCTGGGTTCAAGCCATTTTCCTGCCTCAGCCTCCTGAGTAGCTGGGATTACAGGTGCCCACCACCATACCCAGCTAATTTTTGTACTTTTAGTAGAGACGGGGTTTCACCATGTTGGCCAGACTGGTCTTGAACTCCTGACCTTAAGTGATTTGCCCACCTCAGACTCCCAAAGTGCTGGGATTACAGGCATGAGCCACTGCGCCCTGCCATTAATTTTTTTTTAAAATATTAAAAGAGTGGCAGTTTTTCATTTTTGTTCTGTTTTCTTCTTCCTGATGAGTAGGAAGGTAGAAGTTCCATGGCTTTGGGCCCAGATGAGAGAAGACCCTGAGTTGAGTGGAAGCAGCAGTGCCCCTCCTTGGCCCCTGCCTGGAGATGGAGGCCACTAGGACCTGGAGAAGGAGGTGAAAGGGCTCCTTGTGATGGGCCATAAATAGTAGGCCTTGGGAACTTTGTCATAAAAGGTGTAATTTTAAGTTTTCCTTCTCTGTGTTGCCATTCTCTTAGAATATCCTCAATACAGTCCATGACTCATGACAACTTTGTGTCACTGGAGACGTGGAGAGTAAAGGAAGCTCCTGTGTCCATACTTGGGGCAAACACGGGGAGAAAAGGGAAGGGTCCACAGAAGCAGGGACAGCGATAGAGCATGCAGAAGAAGCCCAGGCCTATAGCTCACAGACAGAGGTGTCGAGCAGCAATGGCTGCAGGTCAACACTCCCCAGAAAGCTTCAGAAAATTCAGGTGGGGCTGAGATGCCCTCTGGTCAGGCATGGTGAAGGCTCTGGCATCATATTTGAATGGTAAAGGAAAGAGGGGCCACAAGAACCTGGAGAATGGAAGAAAGGAAGGAATGGAGGGAGGGAGGAAAATAAATGGATGGATGGATGGGTGGGTGGATAGATAGCTGGATGGGAGGGTGGGTGGATGGATGGGTGGGTGGATGGATGGGTGGGTAGTTGGATGGATAGATAACTAGCTACCTACCCACAGGTAATAGACCCACGCAGAGTGACTGGCCACTTGGATGTCTGAGTTAAAAGGAAATAGGTGAATGCATTACTCATCTGGAACTCACTTTCCTGCCTAGAATCCTCAAACACAAGCCTGTCTCTTCTGCTTCCTGGCCCTCTGCCCTGGCAACCCCTATCCCAGGCAGACAGGGATTGTGCCTCAATCAGCCCAGGGGAGGAGAGCTCTAGTTAAAATATTCAACTGCAACAGTTAAGAATGCACACTGATTAGCAGAGTGCATTCCAGGCCCCGCTACTGCACTCCACAGCAATAGCCTGATTAGTGAAGGAGGCCGTTCAATCAGCACAGCCCGCAGCACTCAGGGCCCTGGCACTGCCAGCTCCTCACAGGCTGGCCCTCGAGGGCGGATGGGGCAGGCAAAGGGATGTGGCTGTTGCTGACTCCTAGGCAGTCATCTTTGCTTCCAGCCTTCTGCCCACCCCTCTGAGACCAGGACCCTCAGAGTCTTCCAGGCACCTACCATTTAACCACTTAATTATCACAGCACTTTGAAACTGATATTAATGCTATTCCCATTTTATAGATGAGAAGACTGAGGCCATAGTACTAGAATTCAAACCCAGGTCCAAAGTCCGCATTTAATAGTACCTGCTAGAGTGAAGGAGCTCAGTCAGGCACTGGCAGGGGCCCTTTAAATCCAAAAGGCTGGCCAGGTGGGGTGAGGCTGATGGGGATGGGATTATTCCTTTTGTGGGCTTGTCTTGGCTTCTGCAAAGCAGAAGACCCCACAGACCTCCATTCCTGGACTTACCTACAGCTCCCTGGACACACCATTAGTCCCTCAGACCACAAGAACTGCCCCTTCCCGCTACCCTACCAGCTGACCTCACAGCCCCAACGTCCTTTTGCAGCCGTCATGTCCAAAGCCAGGAACCCAGCCTCCTGGTTTCCCTGAGCTGGCATCAGTGGCTCTAGGGGACCCCTTCATATCACAACTCCTCTTCTTTGTGAGAGCTTAACAAGGTGCTACAAAGCTTCCAATGACTCAGAACATAGGTGAGGGTGGCCAAGTCTCATTCCTACTGCTCCTGCCTCTCCCAATTCCTAGTCTGGCCCAGAAGACCCTCTTCAGTCTTCCCAGCATCCCCCCCTCCTTTCTTTTCTTTCCTCATACCCTATCTGCATCACTCCCACACCCCACAAATGCTGCAAAACTCACCTAGGCTGCTCACTCTGCCATTCAATTCCCTCCTCTTCCTCCTACCCATCCATGCAATAAACACCAGCTCCTCCTTCAAGACCCAACTTGACAGCCGGGTGCAGTGGCTCACGCTTGTAATCCCAGCACTTTGGGAGGTCGAGGTGGGCAGATCACGAGGTCAGGAGGTTGAGACCATCCTGGCTAACATGGTGAAACCCCGTCTCTACGAGAAAATAGGAAAAATTAGCCGGGCGTGGTGGCGGGCGCCTGTAGTCCCAGCTACTCCGGAGGCTGAGGCAGGAGAATGGTGTGAACCCGGGAGGCAGAGCTTGCAGTGAGCCGAGATCGTGCCAATGCACTCCAGCCTAGGCGACAGAGCAAGACTCCGTCTCAAAAAAAAAAAAAAGACCCAACTTGAGTATCCTTTTCTTGATGGAGCCCTCTTAACCCCTCTCCTCCACCATCCCAAGACTTAAACAGCTACCCCTCCTGTGGGTTATCCTGGGTCCATTCCATCATCAGAGGTCTGAGAATACCCAACTGTTCTTTTATATTCTCATGTTTGCTCCTCTGCCAGGTTGTCAGAGCTTGAAGGCAAATTATCGGTCTTCTTCCTCTTTATTCCTCCAGCACCCAGCTGGGAGTAGGTACTTAATGATGTTGGATTAATCACTGATTCTCAAAACCCTTCTGTCCAGCCTAGCACACTGCCCGGGACATTGTATTAAATCATTGATTAATAAGTGAATGTGGGTGGGTAGGGACTGGGGAAAAGCCCATTGTTCAAGATAGGTTCAAGTTTTTGCAGAGTAAGCATGAGCCCTGAGTCCCTGGCAGTGAGACATTTCAAAAGCCTCCTCTGACCCACTGAATGCAGTAGATTCAATGTTGCTTCAGAAGAGCTTTGTGGTTGAGGCTGGGCACGGTGGCTCACGCCTATAATTCCAAACTTTGGGAGGCCGAGGCGGGTGGGTCACTTGAGGTCAGGAGTTCGAGACTAACCTGGCCAACATGGTGAAACCCCATCTCTATTAAAAGTACAAAAATTAGCTGGGTGTGGTGACACACGTCTGTAGTCCCAGCTACTCAGGAGGCTGAGGTGGGAGAATCCCTTGAACCCAGGAGGTGGAGGTTGCAGTGAGCCGAGAATGTGCCATTCCACTCTAGCTTGGGTGACAGAGTGAGGCCCTGCCTTATTTAAAAAAAAAAAAAGCCTTCATGGTTTCATGGTTTCATGTGGAACCCACACTGCTTTTACTTTTTACTTGTCTCCAGGCAGAAGGGACAATGAATTGTGACTCGGAAATTAATCAGATGAGACCTGATGACTGAAGTACATCACAGAGCTAGGAAGAGAGATTACTAAGCAACACGGTGAGAGCTCCATCCTCTGGGTATTCAGCCAACTACAGATCACTCAAAGGCAGACATTCTGGGATCTTCCATCCATCAAGCTGAACCAGAGTACAAGGCCAAAACCAGTGAATGACAAAGCAACCCCATGCCCAGCTTAAGAGTTTCCTCAGAGAGTTTGTCTTGTAGGAGTCATTAGACACTAATTTGATTCTATTTGCATGTGCACACCCTGCCCTTTGCCAAACAGGGAGAGAATCACACTTGAGAGCTAGCGCTCAGCTCAGTCTCTTCTCCACACCACGCTAGTGCACCAAGAACAAGGTTATAGGTGTGGCAAAAAAACAAACCCTGCCAATGCTCTAAGTATATGTTTGATGTAATCTTATTTCTCATAAAATTAAGAGGATAATATTTTTAGGTGATGCAGAGTATGAGACTGTCATTAGGTTACTCTGAATCTCTTTCTCTCTCTCTCTTCATGGTAAAAATTAAGTTCCATTAGGAAAATTCTTCCTCCCCTTCCTTCCTCCCATTGGTCTTTCCTCCTAAGATCCAGGTAGCTCTGAGAAAGTTTGTTTCATCTATGCGTTGGCCTGGGAATCCTCCTCTTGTTAATCTACACAAATAAAATCATCTTAAAGATCGAAAGCTTTTGTACAAAAATGTCCTTCATAGTGTTTTCTATATTAGCAAAATGTTGTACAAATAATACATAATCTAACATCTTAAAAAAGGGGAAATGATTAAATAAATTATAGCACAAAAATTCTGTGAGATATATAGGCGATGATTAGATGACAATGTCAGGTCAGTTCAATAAATACATGTTCATTAGTTCCCATATGCCAGGCACTGAAATAGGCATCTGTCTTATATGTATACATATGTAACAAACCTGCACGTTGTGCACATGTACCCTAGAACTTAAAGTATAATTTAAAAATATATATATATAAAGAAAGATAAACAAGATATGGACCCCTAAAGGAAACTCACTATTTTCAGATTGTAAGAGAAAACATTTGGATATATTAAATTGTAAAAGAACAATACATGAACTATGCTGGAAAATGGTTTTTTTTATATATACACAGTATGTTCTTCACACCGTTACATTTCTCCTAATAACCCCATTAACATAACCCACACTCCCATCTTGCCACTGTGAGATTGTCCTTCACTTCCTATCCGGGGTCAGGAAGAATTGCACTCCCAGGGATGTTCACACATATAATTCAGTCCTGTCATCCTTCTCACCGTGTGTCATCTTGAGCTAGTGTATCAGTGTTTTCAGTAGCCAGAGACTCACTTGCAGCCCATTCAGGGGAAGCCTTGGCCAGATCACTCTGCTAACCATCACTTCCTGCCCCAACATTGTCCCCAGGGCCATCCAAGGAGAAAGAAGTAGAGAACAAGGGCAGTTTGCAGCCTCACAGAGTTGTTATTAGAAACAGGCAGTTTCACATGGCCTCACGCAGACCTACACTGCCCCTGTCCATGGCTGTGATAGCATCTTAGATAGATGGTTCTAGGGAAAGGAAAGGATGAAAGAGTGGGCCTCTCAATCATGATTGCCACCAACTTGGGCCTGAGCTCTTTACTGTCACTAGCAGAGAGATTAATCCCAAAGAAAATTCTTAGGGCTGGGCTGGGTGGTCAAGAGAGGCTCCTGAGCCAGCCTCACACTGTGCCCCACGACCTTTCCCCAGGGCAGTATCAGCTGTAATGAGGAGCGATGGCCAACAGATCAGTCACCCCTTGCCCTGGTGGGGTTCCCCTTTCCTCCATGGTAATGTAACTTCTGTATTTTAGTATCCTGAAGAAAGACTACATCGCGCATACTCCCCTGCGGGCAGGCAGGATAAGTTCTGGCCAATGGGATGCAAGCAAAATGGTTACAGCTTCCTTAAACCTTTCTTAAAAGGAAGCTGGGATATACCCTTTGCCCTATTTATTTATCCCTTCCTCCATCTTGTTTTCTGGAATGCAGATATGCTGTGTAAAGCTTTAGTTGCCATTTGAATCATGAGAATGAGGACCATATTCTAGAGATGGAGAGGCATGAGCTAGGAGTTGCTTAAGAGGAGCAGAAATGCCTTACCAGCCATGCATAGCTTACCAGGCCCAAGTTGGTGCCAATCACACTTGAGAGGCCCACTGTTTCATCCTTTCCTCTCCCTAGAACCATCCATCTAAGATGCTGTCACAGCCATGGACAGGGGCAGTGCACATCTGTGTGAGGCCATGTGAAGCTGCCTGAGAGCAAAATAACACTTTCTCTTCCTCCTCCTCCTTTTTTATTATTTTAAGCTATCGCTTATTTGGATCTCTGAAATTAGCAGCAGAATCTAATACAGTGTCCCTTCCTCCCCATAATCTCAGTTGGTATCATCTCCAGAAGCTTTCAAAATGGAATATGGTCAGCTTCTCCATCCTTTCTTCCTCTCTCAGTAAGCTCCATAATTCTTATGCTGATTTCTTCATGACCACCTCAGTAACCTTTGAATACTTCATACCAAGGGAAGTGGGAAGTATAACCTCTGTCAAACCAAAAACTTGTGTTATAAACAACCTAAGTATTAAATATAGCAAATGTGATTAACTGTTAGTCATAGGATGATTTTTATTTCTTCCCATTTCTAAATTTTCTTATTTTCTTCAATGAGCATTTATTGCCTTTATAATTAAAAGTAAACAACCTAATAAAAAGATCTGTTATGTCTCAAATCAAAAAATGTAGAAATGCCTCTGAGGATGTGATGGTTAATATTAGATGTCTACTTGATTGGATTGAAGGATGCCTAGATAACTGGTAAATTATTGTTTCTGGGTGTGTCTGTGAGGGTGTTGCCAGAGGAGATGGACATATGAGTCAGTGGATTGGGAGAGGATGACCCACTCTCCCTCAATGCACGTGGGCACCATCCAATCGGCTGCCAGTGCAGCTAGAACAAAGCAGACAGAAGAAGGTGGGATAAGCTGGCTTGCTGAGTCTTCTGGCTTTCATCTTTCTCCTATACTGGATACTTCCTGCCCTTGGACATTAGACTCCAGGCTCTTCAGCCTTTGGACTCTTGGACTTATACTAGTAGTTTGCTGGGGGCTCTCAGGCCTTTGGCCACAGACTAAAGGCTACACTGTTAGCTTCCTTACTTTTGAGGTTTTTGGACTCGGACTGAGCCACAACTCACTTGCTACCTCCTCAGCTTGCAGACGGCCTATCATGGGAATTGTGATCATGTGAGCCAATTCTCTGTAACAAACTCCTTTTCATATGTACATCTATTATATTACTTCTGTCTCTCTGGAGAACCCTGACTAATACAGAAGACAACCCAAAAGTCCAGAGGATAATTGGTATTGTCAGAGTGGGCAAAGAAAGGAGTGATGCCCCTCTTAAGGAACCATGTACAGAAGGTGAATTTGGCCAGTTACCATGCCAAGTGACTTGCATGTGCTATCTCTAGTATACATAAACCCCAAAGACAGGTACTGTCTCTGTTTCATAGATAAGAAATTATAAGGCTCAGAAAAATTAAATATTTTCCTCAAGGTCACACAGCTGGATAGAGTTGGAATTTGAATTCAAGACTCCCCAACTAGAAAGCCCATACCATGTCGCCATACGAAGCTATTTTACTTGCCTAGATATTTTAAGAATTGGACTCACCATATCACCCTTATGAGAGTCAGAACTCTAACTGTTGGTTACACATGTAAGAAACCCCAACCCAAGCTACAATAAGAAAAGAGAATTAACTGGCTCACAAAGCTAAAAGTCTGGGGGCAGGGGGTGGGGGATAGTTTTAGCTTCAGCTTGACTGGAGCTCAAACCATTTCATCAGAACTCATTTTTCTGTCTTTCAGCCCTTTTTTTCAGACATCTCAGTTGACAACCTGAGCAATAGCTCTGACCTGGAAGCATCCAGCTTTGTAGCCAAAGAGAAAAAGCGCAGACCTTTGTCCCAGAATTCTCATCAAAAGTGTCTTTCATCTCATTGGCCCTGTGTGAGTCATGTGCCCACCCCTAAACCAATCACCATGGCCTCAGGAATGCATTGTGTTGAGTAGTTTAGGCTGGGGTCAGTTTTATCCCCATCCAAACAACAGAGCTGAAATCCGAGGAGAAATGATTTCCCAAAGAAAATTCCAAGGATCATTTAACAGAAGAAATGTACAAGATTCTGGGGACAGAACTACAGGCATCCCCCAAGCTCCCAAGGCCTGTAACAAACTTCCACTGCCCTAGGACTCAGCCTCCTGAGGAACCACTTCTCTGTGTAAATACTTAAACCCATCCCATGGCTGACACGCACGTGGCCCATGGAAAAGTGGCTTCTGTAGGACACACCTCCTCCTTTTCCCAAATGGACTTTGTTCTTAAAATCCTTTAATGAGGAGCAAGCAAGCATCACTCATCTATCTGGATGTGGACTCAGGGCCAGAGGCATTTGATGATTTATTAATTGACCCACCAAATCTAGTTCGTCCCCATAGGCCAGTGCTAACAGGCCATTTCATTTATTACTTGGCAAAGTTTGACCTCATGAAGCAGATCCCTTTTCAATTACTTCTTACAGAAAAATTTCCTTTGGCAATTCAGTGCAATGAACTTTTATTAAGCACCAAGTATGTGTCATGGACTGCTGGGCTGGGTACAAAGATGTGCTCACAACCCAGCAGATGGAACAGGTCTGTGAATGAATGAGTGCAGTGCTGTTCAGACAATGTTCTATTCATTTTCTAAGGCAGCCATAAGAAATTGCCACAAACTTGGTGGTTTCACACAAAAGAAATTTATTCACTCACACTTCTGGAGGCCAGAAGTCTGAAATCAAGGCATTGGCAGGGCTGGTTCCTTCTGGAAACTCTGAGGAACAATCAGTTCCATGCCTCTCTCCTAGCTTCTGGTTTCCATCAGCAATCCTTGGCGTTCCCTGATTTGTAGACGGGTGGCTGCGATCTCTCTATCTCCATCTCTGACTTCTGTCTCCGTCTTCACCTGGCCTTCCCCTCCGTGTCTGTTAAATCTCCTTCTGCCTTTTCTCATTGGATCTTGGGCCTACCCTAATCCAAGATGATTGAAACTCAAGATCCTTAACTTAATATTATCTACCAAGACCCCTTTTCACAATAAGGTTGCATTGACAGGTTCTGAGTGGGTGTGTCTTTTGGGAATCCACCATTTCACCCACAGCAGTTGCTTTGCAGGGTGTGGCGATGCATCAGAGGGGAGAGTGGATTTCTGTCTTTAGAAGGTGACAGCAGTGGTGTCCTTACAGAGGAGAGCATGTCTGAGCTCTTCACAAGGACAGAGGGGGTTATCAGGAAGGAAAGGCATTCCAGGAAATAGCAGGTGTTAAGGCAGAGAGCAGAGAAGGAGCAGTCACCTTCAGGGAACAAACAGTCATGTGGCATGGCTGAAACAAGGGAGAGAGTGACCAAAGAAGAGGCTTGACAGGGAGGTGGGGGCCTGAGAGCCTCGGGAAGGAGTCTGGACTTGAGCCCATGGGTAACACGGAGCTGTTACAGAGCCACTGCAGAAACAACAGGTTTGTCCTATATGAATGAGTGCTTGGGTCTACTCAAAGGGTCTTAAGGATTTTCAGCATTTCCTTTGTAACCTTGGCAAATAATAGATTGTGAGCAATGTAAAAGCAAGATTCACATTTGATTTACCTTTGTGTCTTGCACAATTCCTATGTCTAGCATGTAGTCCTTGCTCAGTAAACATGTTCTTTTTAATGAATGAACAGAAAAGAGCTGAAAAGGGTAATTGCCAAGGGTTGAAGGCCTCGGGTTCTCACCTTTCAGAGGCAGTGTGGGACTCGAATGCAGAACCTGTGGGCCTGAGACTCTCCAAATCACAGTGCTGTCACTTATGAGCTCTGTGGTCTCAGACAACCCCTTCCCCACCTGGGTTTCGGTCTGCCCATCTGAATGATGGAAATGACCACCACCCTCATAAACACCACAGGTGAGTGTCTAAACATCAGGCAGTGCATGGCCTGCCCCAGGCAGCTCCCAATAAGCAGGAGTTGGATCTAAAGAGACTCAAGTGCTCCAGGATGAGGGCCCAGAGTCAGAGCTGGCTGTATTAGCATCTTCAGCTGTTCTGAGGCCAGTAGCTCAGCAGGACATTGGTGACACATCTGGATTAGGACAGCCCTGGGCTATGGCCAGTGTCAGGGGCATGCTTCTGTGACAAGTCATGGTGCTGCCTGCACAGCTGCTCTCTGAGAGAACTAGAACTTAGCCTCTAGAAGGTGGGTACAGGTGGGCTGCAGAGAGGCCAAGGTGGAGCCCTGCTGAACACAGAACCTGCAGGCTTTCCTCCCTGACCCGGGTCCACTCAGGCCAGCTGCTCAGCTCCTGGGTCCTGTAGGCTGCCCCGGGAAGCCCAAGGAGAGAGCTGAAATGTTGCTTTGTGCTCCACAGTCCTCTTCTAGGGTGGGGCCCTGGCTCTCATGTGGTGCCTCTGTCAACTAGGAATGTCCGCTGTGGCCTCCCTGACTACACCCTGCTCTGAGGCCACCCCCAATACTGTCCTGCACTGCCATTTAAGTGCCAGATTAACAACACCCTCTTTTCTCTGGTGTCTGGTCCAGAAACGACAGCTCTTGGGGCAAGCTGGCTAGAACCTAAGTTTTCCTTGAGAATTTGGATTGAGGACACTGAATCCATTGGCTGCAGGTCAGGCTGCAAGGCTCTCTAGCATCCTTGGTGCTGGAGTTCACAACATAGCCATGCACAAATCTCAAATATGAAAAGCAGAAATGAGTAGTCCTGTGGAGAGAAGAGGGAAGGCAAGAGTGGTTCTGCCCAGGAGCCCAGGGATGAAGTTGGAGGGGCAGAAGATACATTGTAGTCATTGTGAAAAGTCCCATAAGAGAGGGATGTAGTAAGTGCTGTGGGTCACCGAAGAGAGAACCACCAAATCCCTGGGATCATTAGAGAAGTCTCCACTGAAGAGTTACCACTGAGCTGGACCTTGAAGGAGACCTAGGAGTCCATCAGAGTAAAAATAGAGGAAAGGTCATCCCAGGAAGAGGGAGCAGCTTGTGCGAAGGTGTGTAGGAATTAAGTCTAGTGTGACTTCCAGCCCCTGCTGACCTCATTCTCTTCTGCAATCTTGATGCACTGACTTGGAATGCCCACAGGTTACTGCAATGCCCAGTAGAAAGACACTGAGTTGGTCTCTTCCGTATCCATGGAAGCACATTCATTTGGGTGGTCTCTGCCTCAGTAAACCAAGTATTCCACCCAGGACTGTGCAGAAAGCTGATCCCCAAGAAGAATAGCTCCATTGCCGTGAAGCCCCACTGTCTTGGCCCAGTTCCAGGGATGCAAACCCCTCATGGCATGTCCTACCTTCTGCTCCTTCGTCTTCAGGACCATCTGATCCAAGCCTGCAATCTGACCCTTCCCTCAATGTTGACCTCATCCAGGAAGTGCCTCTCTCCCTTCAGGAAGACCCACATCTGAATCACCTCAGCATCCAGGATCCTGCCTTGTCCCCAGCCCTCACGGTCCAAATGCCCTGGCAGATCTGTCCTGACCTGTTCCTATTAAAGGGGCTCAGTTAAAGTATAGATTTTTGTGTACTATTTCTGTGCCTGGCAGTAAGGCGCCGATAAACTCTGAAAAGCCCTCCCACTGGATCCTGCACTAATTACAACAAACAGAATTCTTAATGCATTCCTGGGCTCCCTAGAAAGTAAGAGAAATTTCCATGGCCAAATGTGGCCAAAAAAAAAAAAAAGTTCAGCAAACTGAAATTCACATGTAAAAGGCAGAGTTTTCTTGAGGGAAAATGTCAATGCTGTGATAAAGAGATTAATCCCTGTGTGGAAGGCAAGGTCAGAGACCTGAGTCCAAGACTTCAACTTTAACCAGGGGGACTTTGAAGGGAACTAAAATGAATCCAGATTTCTAGACCTCCATGGCTGACAGCAGACATATATCAATCGTTTATGAAAAAAAAAAACCTCTGACAAGATTCTTAAATAAAATCAGTTCAAAATGAGCTCACAATAGAAATTACCAAACACATATGGAATAGGCAAGAGCCAACAGAATGACAAACAGATTTGTACCTTCAAAAGCTTGGAATACTGGATTTATAATAAACACGCTATTAATATTAAAATAGTCCTATTTTAAAGAGATAATGAAAATATGGAGCTAAAAATGTACAAGGAATGAGAAACAGTCAGAAATAGACAAACATACAAAAATGAGTAACTTAAAAATTTTAGAAATGAAAACAACATTGTTGAAAATGTAGTAAATAAAACAGTAGATTAGAGACAATTGAATAGAGAGTTAGTGATCTGGAAGATACAGCTGAAGAAATTTATGAGAATGTAGCTCATACAGGGAAATGGAAAATACGGAGGGTAAGTGATGTGAAGAATAAAATGAGAAGGCACAGTAAGAAATCAGAGAGTCAATATTCAAAGGAGTAATGAATAAGATTTCCAGAATTTTTCCAGATGAAAAGGTGTAAATCTATAGACACAGAGCCATAAATATACAAGGCAAAACTAAACAGATAAAGCTGTACCTATAATATTGTAGTAAGCATGCAGAAAAACCAACAGCAAAGAGAATATCTTAAAAGCAGCCAGAGAGAAAAGGCAATCAGCCCCAAAGGAATACAATTATATTGAAAGCAAAGTTCTCAATAGTAATGGAAGCCAGAACATAGTAGAATATTATATATAGTAGAATATAATATTCTAATATAGAATTCTAATATAGAATATTAGAATATTATATTCTGCAAAAAATAATAACTAGCTAAAGGAACTATCTTTCAAGGATGAGGACAAAATAGACATTTCAGATAAACAAAAAGTGAGTTTACAATAAGCTGACCTTCACTAAAAGAATTTCTAAAAATGAACTTAAGAAAGAGAGATGATGATCTCATAAGAAGTGCAATAAAAAATAAAGAAATTGGTAAACGTGGGTAAATGTAAACCAGACATTGTCTCAATAGAAAATATAATAGTAGCAACAACAATAGCAATATGAGAATGTATAATATAGTCATGTGCTGCAGAGCAACAATTTGGTCAACAATGAACTGCATATAGGACGGTGGTTCCATAAGATTATAATGCTGTATTTTTATTGTACCTTTTCTACATTTATATACACAAATAGCTATCATTGTGCCATAGTTGCCTACAGTATTCAGTACAGTAACATTCTGTACAGGTTTATAGCCTAGGAGCAATAGGCTATGCCAGATAGCCTAGGTGTGTCGTAGGCTATATAATCTAGGTTGTTGTAAGTACATTCTATGATATTCCCACAGCTACAAAATCACCTAAGGACACATTTTTCAGAATATATTCCCATCGTTAAGTAACACATGACTGTTTATGAGGTTAAAAAGGATAGACCTACAATACTCAATGACAATACCATGTAAGTCAGGAAAAACGTGACTGCAATTAAAACATTTCAACATTCTTGTGTTGCTTCTTTTACTATTGAGGGGAAATATTTAATATACGATTTAATATATCATGTAATGATGTTAAGCATACAAGGTAAAAAGCAAATGCAATAACTAAAATAGAAACTAAATGTATAACTTAAAAAATGTAGAAATGACAAGTTAAACCAACAATGACTATTTAAAAAACAATTATTTAAAAAGCAAGAGAAGGAGGTAGTACAGAATACAAGGCAAAGAGAAAGTTCAGAGTAAGCTCTTGTAAGAAACCAAAAAAATAAAATAAAATAAAAAATCATAACAAATATAAAAAACCTAATGTCACCCATTAAACTACAGAGTACCAGATTGGATTAAAAATATAGCTATATGCTGTTTAAAAGAGATATATCTAAAACATAAGAACACAAAAAGATTGAAAGTAAAAGAAGGGAAAAATTGACCAAGGTTATTGATCAAGGTTAACTAAATAAACCTGGGGTAGCTATATTAATATAAAACATATACTTTAAAAAAAAACACTGGAGCCCCCATTACATTAAAATAATAGGTTCAATTTCTAGGAAATTATAAAGGCTACTAACTTACATTGAATTAATACAATAGCTTTAAACTTATTGTAAACAGAGAAAATGTAAAATTCATTGTGGAAGAGTTCAACATATTTAAGTATTGATATATCAAGCAGATAAAAATTTACAAAGAATATGGAAATTTGAACAATCCAATCAATGGGTGTAGTTAATACTTTCTATCCAGTAACTGGTTGATGCACATCTTTTCAAGTACACATAGAACATTTGCAAAAATAGTACGGGTATTAGGCCATAAAATAGTTCACAACCAGTTTCAACCATGTTCCTGACTACTGGGCAAAGCAAGCATATGTCAGTTGACAAACAGATAAACAAAAACACCGCCACTATGACCACAACCACCACCCCACCACCACCACCAGAGGCTGGATAGGCCGATCTATTCCACAAAGTTATTCAGCAAATTCCCTCTCTTCCATTTCATTGCTTGATCATTCCTTAGGATATTGTCCTCATCTGCATGGTTGAACTTTGGTCATGGACACATTTGTCTGCCAGGTTGCAGGAGAAAGAGTCCAAGTTCCGCAATTTTATTTAAACTCACATTTCACTGGTGATAATCATATAGATGGGTCACATTCAGCTCAATGCAGGCTGAAAAATGCAGTCTCTGGCTATGCAGTTGTGTCCAGGAAACCATAGAGAGTAGAGCGGGATGATCACTCGGCAGTTTGCCACATTCCCTAACTCACTGTATGAAGTGTAATACTGTTACCAAAACGACAGAACAGCAGGAAAAGAAAATTGCTGGCCAATTTCACTCATGAAAAGAGATATAAAAATTCTAAATAGGAAGAGGAAAAAACCTGACAATTTAGACAACATATAAACAGAATTAAGTATTCTAGCAGATTTGTTTTAATGATCACCTCAGAGTGGATCCAGTATCTCAGTTGATTCTTGCAGATGAGAAAAAACCAAGAGGAGCTCAATGATTCATTTGAGGGCACACAGCAAGCTGAAGGCCCCAAGTGCCCACCTTCCACCCCACACTCCTTGGATGCTGTCCAGACACGTAAAGCAGCCAGGATGCTTGAAGGGGACCACACCCTTTGTAGTTACACAACAATTAATTTCATTGAGGCAAGCCCTTTATTTTCTATTCTTATTCATTAACTTCACGAGCATTTGGAGAGCACTTACTTTACAGAGCACCCCGACATGCATTACTCCTTTAATTTCCACAGGAACCCAGTGAAGTAGGTGGTGGTATCGCCATTTTGCAAATGAAGGAAGAATTGGCCTCTTGGATGACTGTGTCCATCTACTCTTTCCTGGAAATCCCAGCCACTGCTAGGTCCCTAGACGTGTTCCCTGCAGAATCGTACCACACATTCCCTTTTGGAAAACTTCATCTTCCTGAAGGTGTCTCTGGGGCCCAGGGTCAGCTTTGGTTTTGAGAAATCTCAGAGGGCAGAGCCTTCAGGACAGAGGGTCACAGGCAGTTGGCTGGCTTCAGCAAGTGTGATCCTCCCACTGTTCCTGAAAGGGCCCCAGCCAGCTACTGTAAAGTCCTCATTTGAAGACTGCAGCAGAATTACAGCTCTCCTCCCCTCTCTACACCACACACACACACACACACACACACACACACACACTTCACATATTAATAGATGGACAGGAAGCCCTGCCATGGGGGGAAGAGGGTTGGATTAGGAATCACACACCCGAGTTCTGGTCTGGGCTCTGTCACTTTCAGAGCTTCATCTGTAACGCACACTGTGAGGCTTCTGTGAGCAGCTAGATGTGGGGGGATGTTCTGGCGAAAGGTAAGAAGATGCTTACTGGCAGCATCGTTATCCTCCATTCCAGGACTTTTTCTGTTCTCTGACTCAGCAGCCTCCCTTGAGCATTGGAGATGGTCAAGCAACCCACAGCTCCGATCTGCGTTAAGTGGAATAGAGATTCAACTCCTGTTACAAAACCTCCAAATAAATAGCTTAATAAGTAGCTTAAATAAAGTGGAAATGCATTTCTCTCTTATGTAACAAGCAACCCAGGCCTGATGTCACGGCTCTATGTGGTCGGTGGCCCAGGACTCTTTCATCTGTTGCTCTGCCATCGCTTGGGTGTTACCCTCACCGTATGGTCCAAACGGCTGCCACCACCTCCGTGTTCCAGGAAGCAGGCTGCAGAAACAAGGGCTCGCTCTGTCCCTTCACAACATAATCCAGAAATTGTTCACACGCCTTTCCCTCAGTCCCACTGGGCAGAAGGTAGTCATATGTAACTAGGTGTGGTCACACCTAGTTACAGTGGAGGCTGGGATGTATAGTTATTAGCTACACAGCCATATATCCCATTAAAATCTTTGCTAACATAGAAAGTGGGGTGCACAGACATTGGGGGACTTTTTCAGTCTTTTCCACACCATCCCCCCCTTCCACATTTAAGAAGAATGAGGAACTTCTTGGACTGAAAACGGACTTTCTAATAGTGTTCTATTTTGGCATGCATTTTGAATGACTTATTGGAGTTTCAGTTGTGGAGTCATTAAGTCAGAAAATTCAGCAAATAAGCACCAGCCCCACACTGGTCGCCTCAGGAGTAAAATCGGGAACACCCTCCACCCTGCTCTCTAGGGAGAAACTTGCACCAGCTGCTACAGGGCAGAGACCAGCCTGGACCATCCATGAAGGGGGCTTCCCAATAGCTAGCGGCATGGCCACCAAGCAGAACTCCCCCAGCACTGGGAAGGTTCTGCCCTGAGTCCTCTGCTCTTTCCCTCCTTGGGGCAGAAATGAACACCTGGAAAGTCCAGGTCCACTAGTCCACCATTTGTCTCCCTGTCTATAAAAAAGGCAATGAGTGGGGGCAGGGCACAAAGCCCAGAGCTGGGGCTTAAGGAGTGCCTCACCCTCAGTGAGAGGCTGTGCCATCATAGTCATTGGCAAATTCACAGCTCTGAGGAATGGCAAGGTGTGTGTCTGGGTGGACGTAGCCAGGAGCTCAGGGGTCATTCCTGGAAAACTGCAGAATCCTGTTGAAGACTGACTGCTCAGTGACAAAAGCCAAATGCCACCTCTGGCACCAGAGGAGCTGAGTGATCACACCTAGTCTACCAGGGTCCTCGTATAAAGAAAATCAGAATGCCAATGTTAGTTTAGCCATTTATTGGGGTCTTTTGTGCCAAGAATCACATTAAGAGCTTTATGTATATTTTATACAAAGAAATCTCTTACTTATTGTTCACAAAAACCCTATTGGGAATGGAGAAACTAAAGCTAAAAGCAGTGAAATAACTTGATGAAAATTACACAGCCAGTAAGAGGTGGGTGGCAGGGTTCAAAGCCAGGTCTGTCTGATTCCAAAGCTAGCTAGCGAGTTTAACCACCACCACAATGGATGCAAATATGGAGGGGTGGGACAGCATGAGTTCTGAGTCAGGTGGGCTTAGGTGCAAATCCCAGCCCACCACTCTCACCAGTGGCTTCTCACAGCCTCCATGCCCTGATTCTCTCCTCTTTCCCCAGGGCCTAATAACGACCACCCGCTTGGCTGCATGCTGTGATACTGATGTAAAACGTAAAGTGCTCAGAGCACTCAACGGACGACTTGCACTGGACAAATGCCGCCTTCCTTTACTTCTTTCCCATCTCTACCGTGAACTCCACACATTGCAGGGACCTTGGATGTTTTATTCACTGCTCTGACTCCAGCATCTTCCTAGCTTCCCATTCTCCATGCACTCTGTCTCTTTACCCTGCTTTATTTTTTCTCTTAGTTCTCTTCATCATCTGATGTATGATTTACCCATGCATTTGTTTATATTTTGCCTGTCTCTGAGCACTAGAATGTAGGTTCAACGGGTTCAGGGATCTTTTGGTTCTGACTGTATCCTCAGTGTCCAGATAACAACATAATAAGGAGTGGGGACTCAGTAAAATGTAATGAATGGATGTATCTAGCAATGAAAATCCAGCAGACTTTACAAGTGGGGCAACCAGTAGATTTAATGAATGATGAATCAATTGATCAATGTCTAGTAGATGGTACAAATTCATTTTAGCTTTCCCCCACCTTCAGAAATAAGCTGATGAAAGTTTCATGAGCTCATGAGCTTGCAAACACACACAAAGGAGGGGCTGGAGCACTGAGACTGCTCAGTGCCTTAGAACCTTCCGGCAATTATGAATTGGCTTTACCCCTCCCTGGGAAACGGAGAAGTGATACAGTCAGAGGGACACAGCTCAAGTGAAAGCAGTTTCCTGGTCCCTCTGACACTCCAAGTCAGGTCCATCTTCTCATTCCCTTCCAGTCTCTCCCAGAGAGTCTGAGCCAGCCTTCCCAGGCCCCACCCTCCCCTCCAGCTCCCAGGCCTCTAAGTCCCTCTAGGTGGCACCTTCCCCTGGTTTCCCAAAGCAGGACACCCAGGCACTTGGCATTCCAAACAGGCCCCTACTCCTTCCATAACACAGTGGGTTCTGGAACGTTCTAAGGAATGGGCTTTTTTGGTTGATGAGGGCAAACGCCAAGAATCAGACAAACACCAGCAGCCTAGCCTCCACCCCTCTTGGGGCTGATTCATGAGGCCCAGGCGTGCCCATTAACTGCCAGGCCGGCCCTGTGTGCTCAGAAAAATATTGCTGCTGCTCTTGAGGCGGCTGCAGCGTTTTTCAGAAGAGCCGCGGCCATAATCACAAGGCGTCCGCCTCCCGGCCCGGGAGCCCATCAGTTATTATCTGCAGCACAAACACCTACCACTTTGTACTAACATTTTGGCAGTTTCATACAAACAGAGCACTTAGTGCTGCCCCATAACTCTGCGCTCTTGCTGGGCCCCAGCTCCCAGCTGGCACGCACAGCCAAGTGGTCTGTAACAAAAAAGTAAAAAAGCAAATGAAACGTTTTTGGTTGTTTTTATGGGCCTCTACAGCCCCCGCGGCTCCCCCCGCTCCTGCGGCAGACACATAAGTATGAGTTCAGACCCTGCACGACACATTTTTCGGACCGGCGCTGGTGACGCCAGCTCCGGGGATTACAACAGGATGGATTGTGCGGGCCCCGAGTGGCATTTTCCAACCTCGGCCAGGGGCTTCCGCTAGAGGCGCCTGCGATCTGCAGACTCCGTGTCTGCCCACCGCCTACGCATGGTTGGGGCGCTTGCCTCCCAGCTGGGCACCCCTGGCACATGCTGATCCAGCAGGGAGGACAGAAAGCCCCAAACGGCAGCTGGCTGCCCAAATATTTGCTTCTCCAATCCTAGCCAGTCAAGGAGCCCAGAGCCTGCGCCATTCACAGTCCGCCTAGCTTTTCCCAGAAGAGCTGGCGGTCGGGGGTTCTGGAGGCCAAAGGAGATGGTGGAGAGTAACTTCTTGGTGCTGCGGCCTGGTCCACTGCCATGGGTTCTTCCAGCCAATAGACTAAAAAAGTGACTCCAAGGCTGGTTGGACAATCTGGCTGCCTCGTGCCCCCTCTCTGGGCCCTTTCCCCTCTGGTCCATCCAACTAGCTATTGCTACTTTCTGGTGATCCCTAGATCCTCCAAAAGCTAAACATTTTTCAGAGGTATTTGGGAGGCCCTGCTAGGTGTCACGTGAGGTGCCAGGCACTTTAATGGCTATTACCTCATCAAATTCTGATAACAGCCTTATGGGAAGGTAACATTGCCTCCATCTGAAAGGCAAAATCACTTGAACTCAGAGAAGGTAAGTGACCTGCCCAGGGTGACACAGCTAGTGAATGGGCATGTTGGCACAGAGACCCAGAACTGTCTCAATCCAAAGGTCATGTTTTTACTTCCAAACCATGCTGCCTCCTGCTGACCTTTGGGGATGGCACCATGCATGTGCTATGTAACACCAGGCAATTGTCCCCTCCTCTCTGGTCTAGAATTTTGTCATCTGGGCACCAAAGGCCATGGGTCTGATGTTTCCTTAGGTCCCTCATTGCTTACAGTTAACCACGGTGGGCTCTGCCCTTCAGAACAAGCCCATCCTTCTGCTCAGGCCTCCTGTGCCTCCTCCTCATCCACCCCGAGGTTGCTGCACACCCACCATGCACCCATCAGAGCCCAGAAAGACTGCCTAACAGGCCACTACACAATATCCACTCTGTTTGGCTTGGTATTCAGGGCCTCTCTAAGTCTGACTCCCACTGTCAGGTGCAAAGCATGCTGGGGCACTGGACCCAGAGGACTAGGGAGGAGGGAAGAGGCTGGGTCCAGGTAGGACCAGGAAGGGAAGGCTGATGTAGTCCTGAGCCATGGCCCAGCTTGGTTGAGGGCATAGGCACTGGGAGCCCTTGGCATTAGGGTAATGGGCAACATGTTGGGCATTCAAGGCCGGGCTCAGACACAATTAGAGATACATCAGGGGGCTAACCAGAGCTTGGATCAATCTTGGGATTCTGGGAATTCAGGCCAAGAGAGAACCAAAGGGCTAATCAGGGAAACCACGGCAGATATCAGTTGTCAAGACAGAGAGGGGCATAGGAAAGCTTCCATGAGTCCTCATCCAGGCCTCACTTGCTTCCCAACTTAATGCTTCCTTCCACAATGGGGCTGGGAACTGAAACCTCTGGTGTGCAGCTTGCTTTTACCAAGACTGACCACAGGAACGCAAGTATCGGTCTGGTGGCCCTTCATGATGGGGATTCCTGCTGCATCCCTGCCCAGCTGCAGTGTTTCTCCCACCCCTCATGCCCTGAAAAATGGTACTCATTTCTCAAGACTAAGTCTATTCTCTCTCATCACCAGGTTTCCGCTCCTTTTCCTTCAGGAAGCCCCACCCCAAGCCTCTCCTGATCTCACAGGCCTAGTTGGCCGGTCACTCATATGGCTTTGCCTTAGTTTAGACAATTTTTACTCAGAGGAGACCTTAGAGCTCTCAAGAATTTTCACAGATCCTTCTCCTTCTCTGGAATCCATTCCACTTAGCACAGGGCTAAGCAGCTGGGAGGGGCTCACATACCCATTCAACAACAGCAAAGATTTTTCTGAGTCAGGCCATAGGCTAAGTGGCAGAGATAATGGGGACAAGGATGCTTAGTCAAGGGGTCATCAGATCTGGAATCAGATTCTAGGATTTTTGAGATCAGGGCCCACTGAGATAGTGACATGAAGAGAACTCAGAGAAGGAACCCATGGAAAAGTTCCCAGAGGAGGTGGCATGGGGCTGGCAGGACTCTCAAGAGCCAGGGGGCAGAGGAGGAACAGAGAAGAAGAGCAGGCTGTAGAGGTAGGCACGTGCTTTGGTCGGATACATTGAACAGACTGTGAAGAGCTTTTGTCTGAAAGTGACCACAAGCCATGGAAGGTGAGAAATTTGGTCAGAGTTCTCTGTTGAAAAAAATCTCAAAAACTCTGAAGCTCTCACTATGTAGATGACCTTGAAGGAGCCTCTGAAAACTGTGAGTTTCTGCTTCCTCGTTAGCAAACTGAGAAAAACAATGCCTACCCCTTGTAAACTATAAGGCACTGTTGCTAGGCAAAGGTTGTCAATAGTTATGATATTGAAGATGGGATGCTGAAGGGCCTCCTCTTTCCTCCTTTGGCCTCCCTGAGCCATACCAGAGGAGCCTGGGGGCCACAGCCTCTCAGAGCCCAGCCAAGGCCCACAGTCTCCTCGCCTAGTGGAAACCTCAGCCTCAGGGTGGCCCACCGGCCCTCTGCCTGCCCAGCAGCCTGGGCCTGGGAATAGGCGGGCCCAGCCCACCCTAATTGCTCCCATCTTGGCATCTGCCTTTGGTTAAATGCACAGCTCTTCTCACTGGCTGGGAACATTAGCCATAAACAGAGCATCTACATGGCGGATGCTGTCGTTTAAAAATAACCCAGGCTTGGGAACCGCATTTCCCTGCCCTGGGAGTTGCTGGAATGGGAGAAGGACCATCTTCCACGGAGTTAGCTCTCCAGCAAGTCGCTCCCGGGTCCCAGGCCAAGGGCTGCCATGCTAGTGCAGTTCCCTGCGCAGCCGCCAGGTGGCGTCAAGGCCGCCGCCTGGGGGGCCGGGCAGGCCGAGGCCCCTGCCCGTCGCAGTCCCAGCCTCGCTCACCACTTGGCCCGGGAGTTGGCTGCGGGCAGCGGCTTGGCAGCCTGCGGCCGGGGGCGGACGGTGGGGCGGTGTGGGTTTCAGCCTCCCCGGAGGGCCCTCACGGCTGAGCAAACGTTCGGGCTGATGTCGGCAACATGCGGAATCAATTTTCGGGGAACTCAGCAGCCAAACCATCCACCTTTGGGCGGGAAGCAGGATCGCTGTAGGCCCGGGGGCTCCTTGTCTCCCGTTTGGAAAATCCGAAGTCTCCTCGCGGTGGGGGGCAGGCCAGCCTGGCTGTGTGGGGCCTCAGCACAGGGAGCCTGGGCAAGGGCTGAACTCATCTGCCCTGGGCTAGGGAATGAAACTCAGTCTCCATTACCACTTTTTATGAAGCACCTACTATGTGCCAGCATTGCCCTACATTTTCCATGCATTTTCTTATCTTATCCTTACAACCAGCAAGTCTCAGGGGGAGTGAGCCAGGCCACAGCCCAGGGCGCCTGTCTTTAAAGGGCACTAAAATATCATCAGAATAAATCAGAAATACAATCCAGGTCCCCAAAGAAAGGGAGAAGTATAAACAGATTACCCTGCTACCCAAAGCCCTGAAGCAGAAGTAAGAGGCCTCCCCCAACCTCCCAAACCTCCTTGACTCGTACGGGAGGGGCCTGGACGCTATACTCCCTTGGAGCAGCAGCCAAGGCCCCTAGTCTCCTGGCCTAGTGGAAACCTTAGCCTTTCTCTTAGCCTACCCTCCCCCAAATGAACACCAAACAAATACTTAAGGCACACATCTTTGAAACACGGAATAATGCATTTTACCAGGTCTGGCCCCTGTCTGGCCCTGGATGCAATTGTCATCACTCCCCATTTCACAGAGGAGAACGCTGAGACCAGGGGCTAGACAGTGACAGAGCAAGTCCCCAAGGAAGGTGGAGGGCCGCACGGAGAGGGGGACTGGGGTGCCAGGCAGTCAAAATCAAAACTGTTATCTCTACTGTATGAGCTTGTAAGGGCGGTTCACCTATTCCACACTCAGTTTCCTCACCCCTGGTGAGGGACTCCTAACAGACCCTCCCTCTGTGAGAATCAAATGAGGTTTGGAGGCTCTCGAGCGATGCATGTCACTTAGTTCCAGCACTGACTATGGTACTGGCTGGGATGTGGAGGAATCAGGGCAAGAAACTGAAGGGGCTGAAGAACCCTCAGAAGAATGAAGTATCCCTAGAAAGCAATTCCATGACTAAAGAGGAAGAAGCAAAAGGAAGAAGGAAAAACAAGATGGTGGCTCTAACCAAAAAAAGTTGACAGAACTTCCCTGAGAAAGGAAAAGGAATCCCTGAGAAAATGAAGACCCCTCCTTAGCTACCTGCCTCCTCTCACCCTTGTGCTTCCATCTTCTCGGTCATGGAATTTAGCCACCCCTGAATGTGGGCGACAAAAGGGTAGGTGGCATTGAGTAAGTGTGGCATGTTCACCCGGTGAGAGCCACTCAGTTCTGCAGGTGCCCACATGAACCAGTGGCCCAAAAAGCCTGATAGTGTGACACGTGGAAGTGTGAAGGACCCGGTGGATGGGAGGAATGCCTGAGTGAGGTCATCATGGTTGCTCTAATTGCTCACCACACCAGTGACGATCTGCTTCAACTCCAGCTGATACATCGTGTTATGTCTCCCTCTTGAAGAAATGTGTCCCTGTCCCTCCCTCCCCCTTTCTCACGCTACCTTGTCTGGCTGTTTCTGCAAGCCTGGGCACCAAGAACAGGTTCATGGTAAGGGAGCTCCTGGTGGTGTGGGGTGCAGGGGAGCAGAGGCTGAGGACAGTCACAACGCTGGGAGAGGGCTGGGGAGGTTGCTTGGTGACAGAGAGGAAAGAGGGGACAACTCGCTCGTCAGTCCTGGGCCAGCCTCCGTGAGTGTCTTCTCCCACTCTCAGCTGGGTGAAGTTTCTTTATCAGGGACATTACAATGGCTCCCCCATCTGATATGAACTTGCGTGGAGAGGCCACCTCAACATCAGGCAGGAGGAGCGAATAATCACAGATTGTGAGGAGATCTTATAGTACAATGACACACAGGCATGGCCCTGACACATTCGAAATTTCACTGTCCCTATCTCACTTAACCCTCCCTCAGGAGGTTCTGATTTCCATCGTTTGCTGTAGGAAACCTTGGCGAAGGCCCTGTGCTCTGCAGAGGATGGTGAATATTTGTGCAGATGCCTCTGGCCCAGCCCCCACCTGCTGGACAAAGCTGCAGGCTCATGGTGTGTTTTCCAGACCCACCTGGATCAGACTTTACCACTGTGCTCCTCACAGGCCCCTCCGTGCAGCCTGGCTCCAGCCGTGCAGAACATCTTGCTGTTTTTCTAGAAGACCCTTCCGCCTTCTCTGACTAACAAACTCCTACTCTTTTCCAAACCCAGCTCCAATATCATCTCCTGATCCCCTAGGCAGAGGTGGGACTCCTGTCTGGGGGCTTCTACTACACTGCTCCCTACCCCTACTGAGATTACAGCAGTGACCTTGGGAGCAGGATTTTTCTGAGGTCTGCCCTGAGTCTCCTACTGTGCTGGGTACTTTACACATACTTTATGTGTACATTCCCTAAGGGCCCTGCCTAGGGTGAGGCAGGTGCAGCACTTACTTTGGCTGCAAAATTGAAGGGAGTGCCAAAATCTCAGTAATCAAGATGATGTTTTAATGTAGTATTTTGAAAAATCAAAAATAGCCCCTATTTGAAACACCCAGTACACTCATGCACAAGCACAAACATGCTCACACACCTGCACACACGCAAACACACACACACACACACGCACACACATGCACACACACGCACACATGCAGGCCCACATTTGCCTTTCTGAGGCATCTCCCTTTCTTCCTAGTAAAGAACCTTTGTAATCAGGAAAGGGTTCTCAGTCAGAGATATTGGGATGGAATCTCAAAACACACACACACAAAGTAAAGGGTGTTTTATTTACTTAGACCAGAGTCTCTCCAAGTATGATACATTGGAATAACCTGAGAGAGTTTTTAAATATGATTTCTTGATTAAACTCACTCAGACAGTAGCCTGGGAATATGCATTTTAAATGCTTCCCAGGTGATTCCTGGGGATGCTAGAGCTGGCTTAACCACTGCCCTAAAATATTCTGCTCTGTGGGCTTCTAAAGTAATTAACTTCTTACTTCCTTCCAGGTTAGCTGAATGGCAGCCAAGCTTGCCAAAGGGCAGCCAATCCCAGTCTTCTCTTCTGCTGAAGTCCAGCCCATGGCTAGCTGCAGCCCTTCTCCCTTGCTGCTATTGCATGCTTGGACTGACCAATGTGTGAGTGGTGAGACCCATTCAGTTCTGCAGAAAGATGCATTTGACTCAATCCAGCTAAAGTTGCCAACACTGGGGACTATGAATTCATTCATTTGTGCTTTCCTGAGCAAAGTGCTAGGAAGACTGTAGTAGACAAAAACGAGGAAGGAAAGACAAGATCTCTAATCTCAGAGAGTTCATGCTGAATAAAGGAGTCAGACATTAATGAAATAATTGCAAAAACAAATGTAAAATTACAACATTGCTGAGTGTTATGGAGGAGAGATTCATGGTGCCAGCAGAGTGTATAACAAGTGTTGAGCAGGGCAGGGAAGGCTTCCCCGAGAAAGTAATGATCAGGTCTATGAAGATCAGTTAAGAACGAACCAGATGTAGATTTGGGGAAGAGGGCTCCACTGAGAAGGAACAGCACATGCATAGACATGGAGATACTGAGAAGATTCGTGTTTCTGAGTGTAGAGGGTAAGGAGGGATATAGGAAAAAATGAGCTTCGAGCAGTCAACAGGGATCTTCAGGGTGTGAGCTTTTACCTGAAGATAAATGGGAAACTATTGGAAGGGTTTGAAATCTGAGAGGGAGCTTTGAGTGTTGTTATGATCAGTTTATTGATTAGAGAAGATCCAGTGAGGACATCATGTCCCTCCACCCATGGAGGGATGGCACCTGGTTTCTCACTCTGGGTGGCATCCAGCAGCCTGATGCTGAAGGGCACATGGGGTATTTTGGGGAGACTCTGGGAGCCCAGAAAGCCTGGAGCTGAGACCTCATTTGCCCCTGGTGGTTAGACTGTTCCTGCCATAATAGATGTTCTTTCAGATAACAATCCATAACTCTCTTGGGTTGACCACATGTGGTTACAATTGGGTTGTTGTTGTTTTGTTTGTTTTGGTTTTAAAAAACCCATAAAGAGAAGAAGTTAATCCTATTGTCAGAGAAGCAAGCCTAGGTAAATATTAAGATGCTAGTCCCTTAGCAGCATAGATTACCTTAAGAGAAACTGTGTCCTTTGCAGTCTCAGGGGTCCAGCAGATAAGGCCCCAGCTCTACCTCTCTGAGCACCAGGAACCCATTCTTCCCTTCAAGCATCACACACAGAGAGAGCACCCACTGTGTGCCAGGCAGCAATGTTCTGGCACTAAGGACCCAGCAGGCCTTGGCCTTCAGGAGTGCCCTGGCCAGTGGAGCACCTCCCCTCCAACAGGGTGGTCTGGCTCAGGCAGCAGGATCTTGCAGCTCAGATCTCATAGGAAACACCACATGTTTTCATACAGTTTTTCATTAAAAAATATATGTCTCATCCGAGCACTATATCAAGTGGGCAGAAATGGAGCTATTAATCCCATTTTTAGGTATAAGCATACTGAGGCTCTGAGAGCTGCTGGTCATGCAGCTTATAAATATCAGTAAGACAGAAAGCTCCAGTCTCCAGGGAGACCAGAGGATGTTCCATGTCTGTCTGCCTGTTGCTGTTGATAGCAACAAGAAGCACATTCTCCGTCTTTCTGCCTTTCCAAATTAAAGTGACTGATTGATCAACACATTGCATTTTTTTAATGACAGGAACTAATCATTTTCTAATCACCAAGAGGCAGCATGACCTTCAGAGTTAGACAAGCCTGGGTTTAAATCTACTTATGAGCTAGTGACCTTGAACAAGTCAAGTCATGTCACCTCTTTTTCTCAGCTGTGTAATAGGTCTCATAATCTGTTCTGTCATGTGAATCATGGAAGTGATATTATTAATAATCTGTAAGGTTTATCAACTGTGAGGTTTTGTTATTCTATCACAGGAATTCTGAACTCTTGAGCTCCCTCCTTGGAGCTCAGCCACTTTCTCCTTTCCAACCAGGCTAATGTTGTGCATCTTAAGTAGTCTTCCCTCTTTCAATCATTCACCACCTGCAACCAGGAAAAGGTTTGTGCAAACATGTAGTCCACTACATTGTAGTATGGACATTTTCCCTCAGCTTTGTCCCTGGATGGCTCTGTCTTGTCAATCAGGTATTAGCTCAACTACCACTTTCTCAGCATGTTCTTCCCTTGCCATCTTAGCTCCATAAGTTACCATTAGCTATAGGTTTTGCATAGATTACCTTTATCAGGTTAAGGAAGTTCCCTCCTATTCCTAGTTTGCTAAGAGTTTTTAACATGAATAGAATCAAATTTTTTCAAATGTTTTTTCAGCATCAATTGAGATAGTCCTGTGATTTTTCTCATTTGTTGTGTCAATATGGTGAATTATATTGATTGCTTTTAAAATATTAAGCCAACCTTGCATTCCTAGAAGAAACCTTTCTAGGTTATGATGTATTTTTCTTTTTATATATTGTTGAATTTGATTTGCTATTATTATGTTAATCACTTTGTATTTATATTCATGGAGAATGTTGGTCTGTAATTTTTATTTCTTTGTGATGTTTTTCTTTGTTTTGTCTGATTTTAGCATCAGGGTGATTTTTAAAAAATATTTTGGGGGATTTACCAATAACATCTCTGGATCTAGAATTTTCTTTGTAGGAATGCTTTTAATTACAAAATCAACTTATTAAAAATATATAAAACTATTTATATTTTCTATCCTTATTGAGTCAGTTTGGTAATTTTTTTAATTAAAACTTTGTCCTCTTCATCTAAGTTTTCAAATTTATTGATCAAAAGTCAAAGAGACTTATAGTATTTATTTATTCTCTTTCCCTTCCTTCACTCTTGATATTTGCAACTTTTGCATTATCTTCTCCTTTTTTTGTTCAATCTTGTTATAGGTTTCTTAATTTTATTGATCTTTTCAAAGAGCCAGTTTTTGGTTTCATGGATTTTTCTCTATTGCTTGTCCATTTTCTATTTCATTGATTTCCACTTTTTATTATTTCCTCCGTTCTACTTACTTTGGGTTAAAAGAGCTTTTCAATCGCTTAGCTCTACCCTCCAAGCATGGCAACTATGTTTGTATAAAGTAATTTTACCCCACCTTTACAGTAACAAAGTGTCTATCCGTTGTTAGTTTCCCTAGTGCCAGTTTTAAAATCAAGTCAACCTGTCCTGCTACATTTCCCATGCCAAGTCATAAAAGTTTACTGAAAACATTTTCCCTAGTCACAGATGGCAAATATACAACAGTCACATTGCAGCTACTCCCTCCCACACCATTGGCAGACAGTTCTAACCAATCAAGCATCCTTCCCTTCTGAACCCAGATATAAGCCTTTTCAATAGCAGTCTACACTGGGCTACCAATGACTGGAGTATTCATATGGCACAAAACCAGTAGAACTTTGATCTATTAGTAGAGAATCACTACACATTTTCGTATTTCAAATACTGTATGCTTCTCATAGTTAATGTGTACATTCATTGTTATTTTATTTTTATTTTTACTCTCCTTCCGCAAAAGCCGCTATTACAATCAATGGCCTATTGGAGTCGATATTCATCCACCTTGTTTACTCAGGACTCCTGCCATCACCAGCTCACCCCACACGCATGCCTATTGCTTGCCTTGGCTCACTCATGCTTGCTTCCCAGATCCCTGACTCCAGGCTCTACTGACCTTCAGTCCCACCCTCCCCCACCTAGGCCTCCGTCAGTTTACTTTCTGATTCATCAGCCTTTACTGGCTGCTCAACCCCCAGCTTACCTGTCCACCTTCCCACTTTGCCCAACCTCTTGGCCTTTAGGTGAGCCGCATCTGGGAACCCAGTCCAGACAGATCAGGCTCTCCCCATGGACGATGGGGGCACTCAGACACTGGCCACTGCCTATACATATGGCAGGGAGGCCTTGGTGGGAAAAGTTCTTCCCAAAGGTTTCTTTTTGCTTTCTCTATTCACCTGTTTTAGAAAGTTCCAGCAAGAGATTCAGGCTGGGCAGTTTCTTATGCACTCATCCCCCCAGAAGCCTGGTGTTCCCTTCATATCTCACTGAGCTCCTGATATACCTGCTCCTGTGGACTCCCGTGTTCCGACAGAGCCTGTACAAGAGGAATACCATCCAAGAAAAATATTTTGGAGCCTTTGTAATTCATGGGCCCCACTGAATTTTCATAGAATGGGGGAACAGATTCTTAAAGGAAAGGTTAGAAATATGAACATCTCCTTGTTTAATTCATCGTATTCCAATCCAGCCCCATAGCATGTCTTTGGGATTAATGAGTAGAAACCAGCTTTCAAAGAGCTGTTGGCACCTGCTCCATCTGCCTTGATATTGAAAATTGGGCCATCACAGGGATACAAGGATAGAATTAGGGGGCAGGTAGCATTGAGCGTGCTCTGGAGGTTGTAGCAAGGGTTGTTTGACCTTTCTGAAACATGCATTCATCTATGTTACTTCTTCCTGAGTAAATTCTCCACTCTTCTTTTCTCCAGGTTATTAGTCATCCTTGAGTTCTGCAATGTCCAATGTGGTAGCCACTAGCCTCATGTGGCTATTTAAATAAAGTGAAATTAAGTAAAATAAAAAATTCAGTTTCTCAATCTTATAGGTCACATTTCAAGTGCTCAATAGCCACATGTGGCTAGAGGCTATCAACACAGGTATTTTCATCAATGTAGAAAGTTCTACTGGGCAGCATTGCCCTAGTCTAGGCAATCATTGAGACTCTTCAAGCAGATACAGAACTTTTGTGAGCTCCATGGAAGCTGTAGGCCAGCGAGGGGAAAATAGTCATGTCCTCCACTGTGTCTTGCATGGCATGAAACTTGGGATTGGCCTTTCACATATGCCCATATTCTGAGAAGGGTCAGTTTAGTTCAGTATGATTTGTCGACCATCCGCATTGTGTCATGCCTTTTCACAGGTGCTAGAGGTTTTTAAGTGATGATGTTCCTTTGAGGAACTCACTGTCTAGGGTGGAACACAGATTATATAAACATATAATGACCTGACAGACCCCAGGCAGAGGCAAGAGTACATGACTGAGGCCTTGGGAGCACAAATGCACTGAGATTTTCAATGTCAGGGGAGCTGGAGAAAGCTTCAGAAAATAGCCCATGTCCAAGTAGTTTCTGAATGATATATAGGAGTTACTTGATGGTCCTGGCAAAGAAGGGCAATTCAGAAAAAAATGAACAGCGCATTGCAAAGTCAAGAGGCAAGACATAGCACAGTGGGTAGGGGAATCACAAGCAAGTGGTTATTTGTGGAGTCCATATTAGCCTAACATCATATCTCAACACCCATACAATGTTTGGTATAGATTAGCTGCTCAATAAATATGTAAATACATGAATATTAGTTCTAAAGCTCGTGTACACAAGAATTATAGCTTTAAATTCAGTTGAATTTCTCCTTTCAGCTCTCATTATGCCAGGATGGTGGGAACTCAAAACAAGGGAATCCTGGGTGACATTGTGTGAGATGCTGGATCAATCCCCACTGGAAGGTAGTTCTACTTCCGGGTTTTGGATATGTGTACCATTAAGTTAGTTCCTGTTCTTTGAAGTTACTTGAGGTTGAGTTTTCTGCCACAAAGGAGTCATTTACAGGGAAGGAAATTAAGGCTCTGATAATTTGAGTGAGTGGTTTTCATTATTTTGTGAACACCAGAATCACCAGGAGGGCTTGTAAAAACACAGATTCCCAGGCCCCTTCCTCAGATTCAGTGGGTCTGAGTTGGAACCCTTGAATCTGAATTCTAACAAGCTCCCAAATGCTGCTGCTGGTTTGGGGATTACTACTGGTTTAGCCACCTACCTTCGGTCACTCTGCTAGTAAGTGGTAATCTGGTATTTGAACCTGGCTGTATCTGATTCCAAGCTCAGCACTTCTGCTCACTACCTCGAGTAAACACAGTGGGAGAGTATTTTAGCAGGAGGATATTAAATGTATTTGTCTTGCTTACAACATGAAAACTAGCTTTAAGGGAAAAAATCCATCAGAGAATAATGTGCAATAATTTTCATCCACCCTTTATGATTATTCTACTTTTAAACCAGTCTTGTTCCTGCCCAGCTATCTTTCACCTACATAAGGCATCTCCCTTTTTGCACTCACAGTACTTCATTATGTGGGCCACTTAATTACATGTATAAAATGGAATGAAATTTCATATGTCCATATGGAGTTGTGTTAGGCAATATTTTTATAATGTTGCTTCCAGCCATCGTGTGAAAGTTATAACGTCACTGCCACATAATTTCTTGGAAATTCCCACCTAATACTATAAGAGTAATGCAAAAACCAAATAAATTTTTTTCTACCATTCCCCTTCTCCCTCTCCCAACAGTCTAATCAACTGTTTCCCTGGTGGAAGTTAATGCACTGAACAACTCTGGAAGATTCAGAATGTAAGACTGAGCTGGGCCTCCAAGGCCACCCCAAGATGTCCTGCTTTTGCTAAGCGGAAGGGGCTGTTGCTCCTTCCCTTCCCACCCTTCTGGTATTTGAAAAAAATGCCAGGCCAGGTGCTTTGCCTCTTCTCTAGCAATGGAGAAGGAGAAGACCAAGGATGTGAGCAGAGGGAGACCAGGAGGGAAGAGGGAAGAACCTCCCTCAAGGAGGAACCCAAACAGTGAGGAGAGGGGAGGCTGCAAAGCAATGGATGCTGCCATTGGACTCAAGAGGGAAGCCATCTGGAAGCATGGGATCATTCACAGTGGGGTTGGAATTATGGTGGATTTCAATTCCACCTAAGTGGTAGAATGTAAACTTGGGATGGCTTAGATGATTATATTTAGTTCAGTTCCATAAACATTTGTGGATGCTCACTAGGATGGTAGGCCCTGAGCTAAGTGCCAAAGACTTGAAGAAAAATTAGGTACTTCCCTGTGTGCAGATTACTGCTGGGCTGCTCAGCCAGATGCTGGTGTGCAGTAGTAATGTCCACCGCACTTACGTTTTAAACAAAAGAGTGGTGTGATCAGACTGACAGTTTAGAAAGACCATCTTGGTTGCAGATGGGGTAGTGGACTTGGAGGTATGAAGTCCAGGTAGTGTATTACTTCAAGTTCTGGAAAAAGATTAAAGCCCTTAACCAAGGCAGGTCTCTCCAGGAAACAGAGGAGGGCACAGCCGAGAAATACTGAGGAGAGAAAAGCAGTAGAATATGATGAGGATGGTGGAAGAGTCTAGGATGGCCAAGGTTCAGGTTCAGATGACTGAATGTTTATATTAATATGTTCATCCTCTGCATCTTGCACAGTTTGAGGCACAGAACAGTTGTTTAATCAATTATTTCTAAATTGAATTAAGTTGATCATCATAAAATTAATATCTCTAAGCCTTCATTTTTTCTATTTCCGGAAGTTCATTATTGTGGGGATTAAGTTCAATAGTGTAGATAAAAAATGCTTAGCTCTGTTTCTAGCCCACAGTAAGTACAAAGGAATTTTAAGTTCTTCACCCTCTAAAAAAATCCTCTAAGGAATCAGAGGACAGCTAAAAATATCAGATGGAATATATACATTTCAGCTCTGCTTCCTCCTGAAACATTAGTAAAATATTAGTAAAGGGACATTTCAAAGGCATAAACCCAGATGACAGAGAGAACAGTAGAAGGGACCTCAGCACTAGAATTTCAGGTGGTGGAAAGCAGACTGTGAAATGTAACTGATTTAGCAGCCCAAGAAAGCCGAAGCCAAAGCCAGCACCAGGGAGGCGCAGAGCAAAATGACTTACACTGCAGATCTCTAAGCCTTCGAGTCTAAAGGCTCAGGAACTGCCACTCATGCCCCTGGAAGGAAAGTAACGGTGAGGTTAAAACAAAAGAATTGATTGAACGTTTGTTTAAGAAGGTGATGGATTCTTTCCCCAACTCAGCACCGAGGCTGTGACTGCCAAGCAGAATATTGGAGACATAGTGTCTCCAAGGGTAAAACAGAATCTCTAGACACTAGCCACTGAAAATGGGGGGATTAAATGGAAATTAATATAGGGAATGTTTTCCTACTCAACCCCCAGAAAAGTGGCAGTCAGGCTTAGACCTACCAGGCAGAGACTGGAAGGTCTTTTCCAGATAAATCTTATAGAAGACCCAAAGAAGCTGATATCAGAAGTTCTCCAAGGAAACACCCCAGCCTTGTCACTCACAATACATATTTTAAAATAACAAATACCTCCCTCACACATAAAACTTCTCATTTGATTTTTTGTGTACAATTCTCTTAAATATGAGCAGGGAGCCAAGGTTCACAAGACCCATTAGGGAAGTTTCTGATATAAAAAGAGATGGGAAAATAATCAACCAAAATGTAATCTGTACAAGGTTGGAGATCTTCGTTTTGTTTCCTGAGTTAGCCCAAGTTTCTAGTTGCCTGGAATATGATAAGCATTCAAAAAATATTAGTTGAATGAATGAATGAAGCAAATGAATGAATGAATGAGCCAAGCTTCACAAGACCCATTAGGGAAGTTTCTGATATAAAAAGAGATGGGAAAATAATCACCAAAATGTAATCTGTACAAGATTGGGGATCTTTGTTTTGTTTCCTGAGTTATCCCAAGTTTCTAGATGCCTGGAATATGATAAGCATTCAAAAAATATTAGTTGAATGAATGAATGAAGCAAGTAGGAGGAAATGGGGATCACGTAAGGAAAAGAAAAAAAATGGACTGACATTAATATTTTCAGTACACTATAAGAGAGGAAATTCTCAGAGAATAAAGAAGAACACTTATAAATTAAAAATATGACACAGAAATGAAAAACCCAATTGGCATTTGGAAGGTAAAGTTGAGAATATTTTTCCAAAACACAGAGCAGAAACTTTTAAATAAAAAGAATGGAAAATTAAATTAAAAGGACTAGATCCAGCAAGTTTAACATCTGAATATTATATGTTTCTGAGAACAATATAGAGATACCTAGCACAGCACAATGTGTAAACATATACACACCAAGACACATCATTATGAAATTTTAATACACTGGAGGCAACAAGACTCTACGAGTTATGAGAGAGAAAGAGAGAGAGAGAGAGAGAGACAGAGACAGAGAGAGAAATATTGCAAACCAAGGAACAAGAATCAGAATGGCATCATACATTTCATTAGCTACACTGTAAGCTAGAAAACAATAAAGCAACACTCTCAAAATTTTAGTGTATGTGCTAGGTCACTCTTGCATTGCTGTAAAGACATACGTGATACTGGGTAATTTGCAAAGAAAAGAGGTTTAATTGGCTCATGGTTCTGCAGGCTGTATAGGAAGTATGGCACCAGCATCTGCGTGGCTTCTAGGGAAGCCTCAGGGAGGTTTTACTCACTGCAGAAGGTGAAGTGGGAGCAGACACCACACATGGCAAAAGCAGGAGCAAGTGAGAGACATCAGGGGAAGAAGTGCCACACACCTTTAAACAACCAAATCTTGTGTGAACTCAGAGTGAGAGCTCACTTATCACCAAGGGAACGGTCCAAGCCACTCATGAGGGATCCATCACCATGATCCAAACACCTCCTCCCAGGCCCCACCTCCAACACTGGGGATTACATTTCAACATGAGATTTGGGCAGGGACAAATATCCAAACTCTATCAATGAAATATAATTTCTAACCTAGAATTCTCTGAGCCAAAATATTAACAAAGTGTGAGATTAGAATAAGACATTTTAGACAGATTAAGTCTCAAAAAACGTACCTTTCATGCACCCTTTCTCAATAAGCATCTGGAACTGCTCCGGCAAAACAAGAGAGTAGATAGTGAAAGAAGACACAGGATCTAGGAAACAAGGTACCTAACACAAGAGAAATCTGAAGTGCCATAAAGAAGGAAAATCCCAAGACCAAAGTTTTGCACTAGGCCTATCGGGCAACAAGTCTATTTTGGAGCAGAAAATAATTTTTCAGGAAGATAAAATTGATCAATGACTAATGCGTTTGAATGTATTGAGAACATATTTACACAAATGGAAGAGTCACATTTGTGATTAATGCATGGACAACTTCATAAAGAAACTAGATAAAATTTTGAACTATAAGAAAAATAACCTGTGCACAAAAGAGAAAACAATTATAATAGTCCACATGCCTGATATGGTTTGGCTGTGTCCCCACCCAAATCTCACCTTGAATTGTAATAATCCCCATGTGCAAAGTGCAGGGCCAGGTGGAGATAACTGAATCATGGAGGCAGTTTCCCCCATACTGTTCTCATGGTAAAGAATAAATCTCACAAGATCTGATGATTTTATAAATGGGAGTTCCCCTGCACAAGCTCTCTCTTGCCTGCCACCATGCAAGATGTGACTTTGCTCCTCCTTTGCCTTCTGCCATGACTGTGAGACCTCCCAGCAATGTGGAACTGTGAGTCAATTAAATCTCTTTCCTTTATAAATTACCCAGTCTTGGGTATGTCTTTATTAGCAGCATGAGAACAGACTAATATAATGCCTCACCTGTGAACTATGATTACAAAGTAGGTATGCAAAGTGAGGGTATATAGCAGGAAATCTGTCATTATTTCTTAAAACTCAAAAGTTAGGAAGCAACTTTAAAAGACATTTATTTAAAGATATTGTACGGGAGATAGGGAGGGACAGTTGGCAGGAAATATCTTAGAAACCAGCTAAAAGACATGAAAGTGTTTTTATGAAGAAGTGGAGATAGTAAGTGGAGAAATAGAGGGATTGCTCTTTTTTTTGCAAAAAGTGCTGTATAACTATTTGACTTTTAAAATCATGTTCATGAGTAGTTTTGATAAAAGTAAAAAACAAATGATAAAAATACTCCACAAGACTCTGTATAGCATTAGCTGTTTTCTTTTGTCTACTACCTAGCCTATTTTTGATGCTTAGTAAATATGTTCTGAATAAACAATAAAAAATACTCACTATACTCGTTATGTGTACATTAGAATCTATTGCTTCCCAGCAACCACAGAGTCTTTCAAAAATCCCTGTAACAGACCATATCACTCTCCTGCTTAAAATCATCTTATTGGTTACCACTGCAGTTGGGGGAAGAAGAGTGAGACTTTTTAGCAAGGCCTACAAGTGTTCTACTAAATCTGGCTCTCCCAATGCCCTGTGCTCCAAGGACACTGGTACTTCTTCTGTTCCTGGAATAGGAATCTCTACCCTCCTCTCCCATCATGAAGTTTGTTAAATGTGCTGCTGCTTCAGCCCGGAATTCTTTTTGCATGACTGGATCTTTCTCATCATTCAGACTGTTGCCCAAATGTCACTTCCTCGGAGAAAATTCCATGGTCATCCTTTCAAGATAGCCCCATCCCAGTCCCTCTCATGCCACCATTCTGCATTGCCTTTTTTCATGACATTCCTTATTCTCTGAAATTATGTTATCCCTTTATTTAGTGTCTGGCTTTCCCACCATGGTGTCAGCTCCAGGACAGCAAGCACCTTGGTCTGTTTTCTTCACAGATGTATTATCCAGGGCTTTGAACAATGTCAGACATATAGTAGGCATCTCAGTTAGTTTTCTAGAATAAACAAATAAATAGCTAATTTCACATAATCCTCATAACAACACTGTGAGGGAAGTATTCTTATTTCTATTTTACAGATACTGAAGATGAGGCTCAGAGTGGTTACATGATGAGCTGACCAACACACAGCAGCTTAGGTGTGGAGTCAGAATTCCCAGTTTGCCAAAGTCTGAAACCGGCATCGTTTTCATTCTTGCCTGCTTCCTCCAGATTGGCACCACCTTCTTATCTCCCAGATCCGCTAGCCACTGGCCCTATGGTTCTCAATTTTAACTGCCACTTGAATCACCTGGAGAGTAGGGTTCTTTTTAAAATCCCAAAGCCTGTGTCAGATCCCAGACCAATTAAATCATACTTTTTAGAGATTTCAAGTATTTAAAGCTCCACAGGATTTAAAGAATTTAAAGCATCCCAGGTGATTTCAAAATGCAGTCACGCTTGAGAACTTCTGCTTTAATCCAAGGCTTCTCAATAGGCGGACCCAGAATTAAAGTGGGCTGTGAGACTTTCTAAGGTACCTCAGGATTTGCTCTTCCTCATCCCATGTATTATGGAGTTTGGGCAGCTTGTTTCCATACCTGGCCTGTCCCAGAATCTCCTTGTTCACTCAATAATCTCAGTTTTCATGAGCACTAGCAACTGCTCAAAGATCAGGAGCAATTCAGCCCACCCCCACCACCCTCTCCCCAACCAGGGACACACCTGAAACCTGTGGTGGCCCATGACACACATACAAGAGATGTGTTGTGCCCAGCCCTCGAGGGCACAACTTTAATAAAGTTTTTAAATAAACTTTATTTAAAAAGTTTCTGAACTTTTTAAATAAAGGGCCTGCTAGTAATTATCTTAGGCTTTGTGGGTGTATTAGTCCATTCTCACACTGCTATAAAGAACTACCTGAGACTGGGTAATTTATAAAGAAAAGAGGTTTAATTGACTTATAGTTCCACAGGCTGTACAGGGGGCATGGCTGGGGAGGCCTCAGTAAACTTACAATCATGGTGGAAGGGTGAAGGGGAAGCAAGCATGTCTTCACATGGTGGCAGGGGAGAGACAGAGCATGAAGGGAGAAGTGCTACACACTTTCAAACAGCCAGATCTCATGAGAACGAACTCACTATCATGAGAACAGCAAAGGGGAAATCCACCCCCATGATCAAATCACCTCCCACCAGGTCCCTCCTCCAACATTGGGGATTATAATTCAACATGAGATCTGAGAGGGGACAAAGAGACAAACCATATCAGTGTGTTATACAGCTCCTGTCACAGCCACTCCACTCTGCCATTGTGGTGCAAAAGCAGTAGTAGACAATGCATTTGTAGCTGTGTTCCAATAAAACTTTATTTAAAAAGTGGGTGCTGGGGTGGAGTGGATTCTTGGACCGTAGTTTGCTGTCCCCTGCTTTAAGATGTTGTGGCTTTTTTGGCGTCCCTCATGGGGAACTCATGTTCTCTGAGTGACTGATAGGTGAGACAGAGGGGATGGGCCCTCCCTAGGATTCACAGCTATGTAATAGTAAACAAGAAAAATGAAAAGGGAGGAAGAGGAAGAGGAGGAAGAGAAAGCCTAAGGTCACGATGCTGCTGAAGCTCTAGAAGGGTATTCTTTTCATGCAAGAAAAGTCAAGGTCTAATCTGAGAATTTTAGTCTCAGTCATAGCAGCAAAGGCCCTAGAATCATCCGTCTATTAAACACAGATTCAGTGAGCATCTGGTTTGTACCAGCCATCTGCTGGTGCCAAAGTGGGAAAGACAAGACTTTGACCTCAGGATTTGTCCACTCTCTAGTGGGAAAGTAGACACGTTGAAGAATGACAATGCCATGTGAAAATTGCCATGAACCAGCAGTTGAAGGTTAGTTCTAGTCCACTAAAGATCTAAAGATTAAACAGAGCTAGAACCAGGCTAGCAATGATGCAGGAGTCTCCACATGGCCACAGGGTCACTTGGGCTGTGATCAGCATCTCTTCTGCCTGGCTTTCCAACTGATTTTACATAAAGCCTATTCCATGCAGGACTTCAGAAACGTGCTGCCCAGCACCCATTTCTCCTCCTTCTGGAGGACTGATTTTCCTTTAGGGCAATTAACCTTTATCTACTCAGCCTATGTCATTTGATGGTGGTTGGTAAGGGCATTGATCTTATTGCATTTCCTGGGCTACAGTGATTTGTTCAGCAATGATCATGTGATCCAAGCCAGGATAAGAAGACTCAATTCAGATATGTTTGTAGGAAACTTGTAAGAGAAGTTCTTTCTGTTGAATTGAAAGCTGCAGTCTGGATCTGCAGAGGGATGTCTCATGGATAGAGACAACCTAGGAGCAAAGCCAACCAGGGCAGAGAAGAGACAGAAACTCAGCCTTGAACACCTGCACTCAGCCAGGCCTGAAGCCATGCTATCCTTGCACTTTTTCAGTTATGTAAGCCACTAAGTCCCTCTTAGCTGCATAAGCCATTTAAATTGGGTTTCAGTCATTTATAACCAATAAAGTAAATAATGCAGCAATTGACTTCACCAATGCTTTGTGTGGTTTTATTTTGTTTTATTTGGAAGAGAGGCTTCCCAGGTGTCTTCAACTCTGAATTACCCATCCCCAGACAGCCAATCAGAAAAATGAATGTAATTCACCTGAGTATTCTAAATCCTAGGACTGCAGTAGAGAAATTAATCAACATCCAATCGTCTTTAGTCTATCATTATTGTGGCATTGACTGAAATATAGGGTTAAATTTAATTTCCTCCTACTATCATTAAAATTTGTGAAATTAACTTTAATTCCAAGTTTTGATTGGACATTTTAACTCTTCTGGTCCTCATTGTTCTGATTTTCTTGTTTAAATTAATTGGACTTATGCCACCTCTTGCAGTAGAATTGCAAAAAGAGAGTCCCAGATATTACACTTTGTTTGGCAGGCATTTGAAATTCAACAGCCTGAAAAATGATCCAGTTTCTTGGGCCGTGTTTATAGCCATTATCCCTTGGTATGTCTTATCTCACCCAGTTTAAGGTCCAGAACCACTTGTGTTTTCCACAGCTCTGTCCAGGGCTAGTGTGCTTGTCCAACAATACAGCAGCATGTCCACTACCTGCCTTCCTGGCATCTGTGGAGGGTCCCAGTTACCTCTGCAGGTGGAGAAGCAGAAGTGCCCCAGCCCCAGACCTAAGGAGAGATGGATGCTTGGGAATTTAGTTCTCATTTCTCCAGTGGCTCAAACCTATATATTTAGCAAGTATTGTTATTTACAATATTTATAAACAAGTACCTTTTCTAAGTGAATTAATTTATTTAACATGTACAATAAATGCACTTAAGTGATTTCATATGGACTTTTATCCAAATATAGAACATAAGAGTACTTTTCGCAATTAAATATATTCTAACTCAAGTGTCAATCAGGTCCGTGTAATGCTACAGCACAGGAGAACAATGGGCTCATCGATGGATCAGTATCTTGATTGTTCTTCTTTGCTGTTTTATTTTGTTTTGTTTTTTTCTCGGCCTAACTTTCCTACCTGTCTGTGTTATTCATTAATAACATCAGTGCTTCTTTTATTTCCAAAAATACATCTAAATTCTATACTTGGCATTTCATAATAAGGATCACAGTTCATTTATCCTTTTCACTCTAATAACACTTATAATGGTAATAATGAGTTTTTATGAAATTAATATGTAATAGTAATTTAAAATAAAATAATAAATGATTCAAATAAAAAAGGCACTCATAATTGTCCTTGCTTCTACAGATCTAGTTTGGGTACCTATGATAATATGCATTAGCTGATTAATGTTAACCCAAAGTCAGAAACTGAATAGGTTGTTTCTGTTTTTCCCAGTAAAACTTTTTGAGTTTAATTGATGACATAGATCATATTAGGGACTCTTAGAACATTAAGCTAATATTTCCTGAGCTTGAAAAATGTGAAATTATTTTTGTGTATAGATTATGGCTCCTTGTACAGATTATTGCCATTTTAAAACATGCTGTGCTGTATGGATGGCAGTGGTGTTGACAGAAATATCAATACAGGTAGCATATTGCCAAATGGGAGTTGACTGGTATTTTGCTGATTAGTGACAACATTAGTTTCATTGATAGTCTCATTTGGGAAACACGGGAAACCCTGTCTCTACTAAAATACAAAAGAAATTAGCCGGGCATGGCAGCATGCGCCTGTAGTCCCAGCTACTTGGGAGGCTGAGGCAGGAGAATCACTTGAACCTAGGAGGCAGAGATTGCAGCAAACCGAGATCACGCCACTGCACTCCAGGCTGAGCGACAGAGCGAGACTCCGTCTCTACAAAAAAAAAAAAAAAAAAAAAAAAAGAATATAAGTCAAATTCTATTGCAACTCCTCTGGGTGTCTCACTCTGTCTATCTATATATATATATATGGGAAATGACTAGTTTGAACATTTCCAGAAATAACTGAACTGCTTTTGAGAGGGGAAAAAGAAAGATCCAAACACTTTACACCAGGACCTTTCTTGTAATGCTTGTTCTCACTTCCCATTTGTTCTAGGGCACCCTTCTGCCTCAGTGAGCTTCTTGCCCACATCTGGCCTCTCCAGGGATCTCTGGACCATATTAACCACATATTGATATTGGCAGGAATGGACCAAGGCCTGGGGCTTCATCCTCTCAACTTAGAGCATCCAAATAAATTTCAGACATGTATATCAGCATTACCCCGTGTGCAAGGCCATGTGAAGATGGGGTGGTTGTTGGGAGTGGGGCACAAGGGTTGCAGATCAGCAGATATTAGAGTACAGCAGACGGTACTTCCCCAAAATGACCACAGCAACATATCCAGTCCCATATATATTTAAAACTTTATCATTCCCCAATCAAGAGGTGGAGTTGGCTTCCTCTTCCCTTGAACTAGGCATGAATTTGTAACTGCGTCGATACACAGAATATAGTGGAAGTGATGCTCCATGACTTTAAGGTCAGGCCGTAAAAGAGGACACCACTTGGCCCTCTCTCTTTTTCTCTCAGCTGCTCACCCCTGATGCTCAGCCACCATGTTGTGAGGCAGCCCAGGCCACATTAAGAGGCCACATGTAGGTGTTCTAACCAACAGCCTCAGCTAGGGTGCCAGCCAACAGCTGGCATCGACTGCCAAACACGAGAGGAAATGAGCGTTCAGTGTGCTCCAGCCCCAGTCTTGGAGTGTCCTAGCTGAGATCCCAGACATTGCAAAGCAGAAGAGAAAAAGCCTCCCACTTTACCCTGTCTGAAATTTGTGAACCCACGGAATTTGTGAATAGAGTAAGTAATGGTTTTATGTCACTAAGTTTTGGGGAAATTGTTACTAAGCCACAGTACCTGGAACACAGAACTCACAGTGGAGGGGGGAACAAGTTACAAACTCTAGGGTAAGGGCCACACTTCAAAGAGAAGGTGATATAGAGCATGCATTTTCTGTTTTTGTTTTTTTTTAATTTGAGATGGAGTTTCGCTCTTGTTGCCCAGGCTGGAGTGCAATGGCGCAATCTAGGCTCCCTGCAACCTCCGCCTTCCAGGTTCAACCTCCTGCCTCAGCCACCCGAGTAGCTGGAATTACAGGCATGTGCCACTATGCCTGACTAATTTTGCATTTTTAGTAGAGATGAGGTTTCTCCATGTTGATCAGGCTGGTCTTGAACTCCTGACCTCAGCCCGCCTCGGCCTCCCAAAGTGCTGGGATCACAGGCATGAGCCACTGCGCCCAGCCATAGAACAGGAATTTTCAACAGGATAATGCCACCTTCCATAAGGGAGAAAAATTTGTTCTTAGGAGATTAAAAAAAATCTTACTTTGAAAAAATAAAGCACAGATATACATAGAGTACTTAAGCAGATAGTAAATCTATTATATTACAATTTAATGGGGGGAGGAGGGCTACTGGGAGTACTGGGAGGAAAAAAGTGTCTTAAAAGCTTCCTTAGGTGGCGATAATAAAAAAAAAATGGCCGAGGAACTCCAAACTAGAAGGAAGAAGAGATTCATTCTGAGCTGGAGAGGCCTGAGAGCAGCTTGTCCATGCAGAAGGAGACATTCTGACTCACTGGGAGATCCTGAACAAGTGGCTTGACTTCTCTGAGTTTCAGTTTAATCTTTTGTAAAACAGGAATAACAATGTTTAATGTTCAGAGCCATTATTAGGGGTCAAATGAAATGCTTATAAAATTTTTTGCTGCATGATAGACTCTTAGTATTTTGTATGGTGTTGAAGCAGGTGGACCTGAAAGGGAAGATGATGATTGACAGATATGGGGGAAAGGCAGTTGAGACAGGGGACCCTTGAAGCCCAAAGAGGTTGGAGAACATGTTTCAAATTAATAGTCTGATCTGTTTAGAGAGCTAGAAGCCGTGGGGTTAGAAGATCAGGCTGAAAAACTAGCCATTGGCAGAGTGTGCAGTACTTTGAGTTCAAGTAGAAAGAATTCATTCCTTCATTTATTTCATTTTTTAAAAAAATAACATACACGTAGAACAGCAGGAGTGTTCATTTAAAAAATTTAAAAAGAATATGCACATTGATTAAGCACCTACTATGTGCCAGGACTGTTGGATAAAAAAGTGTGACAATCAGATTCATTGTGACCCATAATGAAATACAATCAGACAATTTCAGTGCAATTCACATTCTCAGGGTAGAAGAGGAATGTGGAGAGAAGGCTTCCCATGGAAGGTGACGTTTGGGCTGGGCTTTAATGCATGGGGCTGTGATGGTTGGTGGAAGTGAGAGAGGGACTTCCAGGCACAGGAAATATTTCAGTGTGTGGCCTGTGCAGATCTCAGCAAGCAATGTGCTGTGTCTGTGTGGGGAGCCTGCTGGAGATGGGACTGGAAAGGCTGATCAGGACCTGGGGGCTTCAGGAAGGCCGTTGCCTGAATGCAAACAGCGTAGACTTGATCTTGTGTCTTTCATGCCCTGCCTGCATCTATGAGAGGAAGATCCTTCTGGGAGCAGAGAGGAAAGGATAGAGCTGGAAGTGGGAATGGCAGCTGGTAGTAGTGGATAAACCAATCCGAACAGGTGGCAGGGACAGTGCTCAGTCTTTAGTGGCTGAGGGGAGACAGTGGTGGGGGAGACAGGCTGGGGAGTCAGTGTGCCTGCCCGGGGTGAGTTTAGGAAGCCAGTGGATAACCAATCCACACGTGTTCCTAGAAGCCCTGGGTGACACTAGCTCAGACACCTTCCCTGATCACTCTCTTCACTGGGTGTCCTCCTCCCAGACTCAGGAATGGGGCCCCCAGAACCTACACATATTCTCATTGATCTACTCCATGGCCACTCATCCTGGTGTCAAAATGGAAAAATTACTGGGTGGCTAGCTAACAGCGGGGGCTCTGAACAAGCTCTCCAGAGAGCCACCCTATTGATCCAGGGTCTCTTGTGGGCCAGGCACTGGGCACAGCCAGGGTAGAGGATGACAGTCAGAGATGCCAGAGGCCACTGCCCCTAGATGCCTTGGTGCTCCCATAGTGTGACACAGTCCAGGACACCTGGTGATAACTGAGCTCTAGATCCAGGGCTGTTCCAGTGATGAGCAATTTCCACAGACTATTGTGAGGTCATATGCAACACGTTCACCTGTGTTTAGAATTAGAAAACACAAGTGCATGTTACCACACTGACATTTAATCTGTGTGTGACTTTGGGTGGGTCATGTCCTATCTCTGGGCCTTCACAATTCAAATGAGGAAAATCCTATCTCACATATGATGTGTCATTGACTTAGAGGACGTAGATGACAGTTCATGGAGTCTCAACTGCTAGGAGCTTTCTACTCAGTATAGCCCATGCCACATTAGCCCATACTTTAATATGCCTTAGGTGATGCTGTAACTGCTGATCTGTGAGCCATACTTTGAGCCAGCAAGGCTCTAGAGCACTACTGAGAGAAGGAGTCATTACCTGGACCAAAGAGGAAGGAACGGACACTAAGTGAACAGCTGTCCACATTGCAGCCTCGTGGGATCACTGCCCTGGCTCTCCACAGCAGGCAGAGGCAGCTGGTCTCCTTCCCTTTCCATGATGGAGGCCCAGAGGTCAAGCCTCCAAGAACCCCTTGTCTCTGAGCAGACTGTAGGGTAATCTTGCGTATCTGGGATGTCAAGGTAAAAGGTAAGGAAAACTGATAAACACTTCCCCTTCCTAGTCTGTCCTTTTCATACTTCAGCCAGGATGCCTAGGAGGAAGAATAGAGCCGTGGCTCTGGGTTCAGAGGCTCAGGCATTCTGCAGTGAGTCATCCTAAAAGCATAGAGACTCTCAGTGCCTTGTGCTTGTCATGCCAACTTGAAAAATGGCTCTCCCAATATGAATAGAGATGTTTTTAACTAATAACGTTCTCCAAATGAAGTAAGTAATACCAAGGTACACCTACAAGATCCCTCAGCCTCACCACCTGAGACCCCGATATTCACAGGCATCTAAAACACACAGGGAGACCAAGTTGCAATCCCTCATACATTCCTTCCACAAACAAGTGTAGAGCACTTACTATGTGCCAAGCACTGTGTTGGGGGCAGGGCAGGCCAAGGTACAGTTTTTGGTTTCAGCAGTTTGTCGTCTAGCAGGGAAGACAGACACAGAGACAAATCATTACAATGTGCTCATCGTGAGATTCTTTCAAAGAGCTCTTTGCTTTCTCCGTAGGGAGAGCTTGAAACCAGGGGGCCAAGAAGGTCTCAGGAAGTGGTGATATTGGGTGGCTTCTGAAAGATAACTGCGAATTTCCCAAACAGAGAAGGGGACAGATTCCTTCCAGGCTAAAGGAGAAGTAAAAGCCCCAGAGTGGTGGACAGGCTGGGGGTGTGAGAGCAGCAGAGAGCATGGAAGGTGTGTGGGGTCACGGTGGAACATGGGGCTGGCAGGTCTGTGGAGGCTTGGCTGACAGGGCAGGAAGTTGGGACTTTATCTAGTCAGCAGCAGAAAGCCAGAAGGTTTTAGAGAAGGATGAGAGGGGACAGGCTTAGAAAGAAGACCTGCAGCAATGGCAAGGATGAGCTGGGAGTGAGAAAACCTGTGGCTTGGAGACTAGCTTAGAGGGAGGGCCCTGAGGTATGTATGCGACCAGGCTCTGAGAGAAGGCCTCAGGCACCTCCTTCACTTTACTCAGTGGTAACACCAGCCAACCTCCCTAGCTTAGGCATTTTCTGGTCAGAGGAGGCAGTGGGCATTCATGCCCTCTGTGTGCCATCCACTCCTGGATGTCTTACCCCTGCTGTTTCTTTTCATTCTCCCAGCACCCTGACAGGTAAGAATTGTTACCCCATTTTATAGAGAGGATTGTGGCTCAGAGGTGTTATTCAGGGAAGGTCACGCAGCTGGCAGGTGGCAGAGCCAGGCTGGTGTGACTCCAAAGTCCCTGTTCTTTCCAATGTCCTGTACTTACCTGGGCTTTTAAAAAGCCATGGGGCAAGAGGGAGGTCCCGGAATGCTAGATTTTCAGAACTTACAGGAGCCTGCGTCTAACTTGCAATGTGACTGGAATAAAGTCAGTCCCACATATTCTTGGATTTATTTTTCCTGAGGCATTTTTTAATAGGAAATATCAAAAGGAGTGGCTGGGCCTCTCCTCTCTCTTGAACACTTTTGTTTCACTCTCTAGGTGTTGGTTACTCATCTCTAGACTCACAGGACTGGCTTGGCTGGTGTGGCAAGTCTCCCTTAAGGGCCCTGCTCACTTCACCCCACTACCCACCTTCCGTCCCCACTCAGACTCAGCACAATGAAATAGCTTTGGCAACATTTTAGAAGCTGATATCACTGGGAACCGAGTTTCACTCTGGATGCAACTCATTGCTGGACAAAAAGATGGGCTCTTTCTTCTCTGAGGCAGAAGGTACTGAGTAATCAGCCAACTACTGCCAACCACAGTGGAGGGAAAGGTTCCATAAGTGCAGCATTTTCCACTCTTGGCTGCTAGGCTCGTAGAAGGTGGCGTCAGATGAGAGGCTGGCCCTTGAGAGTTGTTCATACTCCAAAAGGCTCTAAGCTGTTTCACTGACACGAAGAAGTCAGGTAAAGAGGCAATGCCATGCTCTCTTATCTTCTCTTGACAAAAATCCACCTTGTATCCCGTTCCTCCCTTCTAAATCCACAAGTATTTCCTGCTGCAGCCAGGTGTGCTCCACAACGAAAAGAGCAGGCAAGTCTTTCCAGGCTAAGGGGTTCCATGTCTTTCAGAGACCTACCCTTGGGCCAGGCAGAAGCAATGGCAGAGGGCAGGAGAGCTCTGCAGGCTCCAGCAGCAAGAGGGTGGCACATTCAGGGCTGGCTGGGGCCCCATGGTGGGGACAGTTTGCAGGGCACAGACAAGGCCATACACAGAGGTCATAAAACAAAATTTATCTTTAATTTGTAAGTGTCAACAGCAGTACAAAAGATGGAGTGATGACAACTAGATTAGGGTAGAGAGGACAGTCTTGAGGTAAATGAGCATAAATAGGCAGTTCTTATAGACACTCCCCTAAGGGGCCTGAGCCCCATCACGGCATATACATTATCACCCAAAGATGGCATGTTGAACATATCAGGAAAGCACCTTGTGCAAAAAGGAAAAAAAAAAAGTAGCTAAGGTGCCAACATACACCAGGATAGATAAAGACAGTGTGTCTTTCAATTTTGTCTTTTCCCTTAATTATGAGGCAGAGGAGGGGAAGACTTTGAAAAGTACCACTGAAAGATTATTCAATGTTGAGCTTTATCTCACGTCAATACTGCACAACAAAATCCAAGAAGTTTGTGTATGCAACAAAGCTAAGAACAATGATTCATTCCTGTAAATTTGAAGAGATTTTTTTTATTTTTCCCATTTCTTTAATCCTTAGCAAACTTTTTATTATTATTATTATCAAGAGGAGAGTGTGAGAAAGATGTGATGGCAACCCTTAAGGTCATTTAAAAACTTTACACTGGACTGTACAAGATTTTTTTTTGATAAACTATTTACATTTTCAGACTTTCAAACATATTCAAAGCAGCAATAGACACTAGTTTTTATGTTTTTTTCTTTTTTTCTAATTGCCCAAATAGTTACCAGCCATGGGCCAAGTAGGTACCTGCATTATACATAGAATTTCTACAAAGAAAATCTGCAGTTAAAATTTGCTCCAGGATGTATTAAATGCCCTTAGCAATTCAAGGGCCACACCCAGTGTTGCTATAGGAACCAAAGCACAGTACCTTGACAACAGAGTTGCAGTTGTCCCAACAGCCCTACACAAACTTTACACTTTGAAACAGCAGCCAGCATGTCAGTCCAGCATGTCAGTGAATTGTGCTGATTAAATTAACATAGAATACAATTTCACAATATACATCACAAACAAATTACAACGTCGGGGGAAATAAAAGAGTTACAGTAAGATAAGTTATGTAGTAACAGCTTATAAGCTTGTCTAAGGTAATAAAAATTTTACATGGCAAATACAATAATGAATGAACATAAATGCTAAGCATTCTAATTTGCTACAAGCTGGAGGAGGGTACAATAAAGACTGCACTTTCAAAAAAGCAAAAACACATATGACAAAGGAAGACAAAGGGAGAATGCACATGAGCAGACCTGCAATGTGCAGCATACAAAACAGTTAAATATTTGCACATTCCCCATACTCCAAGAGCACCAGCACTGAGGCCTCACTTTATGCTTGTGGTTCTTCAGGAATAAGAAACTACTGAGCAAGATATGTCACTGAGTTTTCTTCAAGCGTTCATATTGCCATGGACACTGATTAGAAGAGTTATCTGCATTAAGCATTACCTTTCTGCCCCCACCCCGCCCACCCTTACCTCTGCCCCAAAGGTACCAGCATTCCAAATATTTGTTCATGAGCTTTTGGAAAGCAATCTGTCCCCAAAGGGAAAGATAGAATGGGGATGAAAAGGAAATGTGTTTGCATATCAATATTTTCAATGATATTAGTACAGGGGCACGCTCAATAGGATATGGCATCAGAAACAGAACATCATTGGCAGGAATAACAGACAGAAGTTGTTTATTAGGGAAGAAAACATGTCAGGGAGCAGATGACTTAAGGAAATGATGCAAGTGCTTTTGTGAAAGGACAAATGAGGTCATACAATATTATTATACTTTGAGAAGTGAGCTTAAGTGCCAACTCAATTCTTAGACAAACGTGTACAAAATCAGGCAGGGCTACAGCAACCATTTTTGTCATTTTCTCATTAAAAAGGAAGACCCAGTAGTAATTTCAATACATTCCTCTAGCTGCATTTCTTTGCAGTTGTTGGCACTTGGTACAGGACTTCTCATATGATTTAAAATTACTAAGTGATTCTTTTTCCTCTCCCTAATGAGTTGGTAGAGGTCAATTCTTTGCAAAATGAGTAAATTGAGAGAAGCAGCCTCAGCTGTGCTGTTCAAGTGACCAGGCTGCCTTCCTACTGAGGGTAAATGGGCTTTCCTGAAACAATCCCTGCTTTCTGCTAGTGCTTGTGCTCCTGGCTCAGGAGGGTGTACTCCGAAGAAGCAGCCTGGCTTCAGAAGGAAAAGAAAGCAGCCTTTAATTTCAGCCCTAGAGTGATCACGCCCTTTTCAAACACCCTCAGGCTCCCGTGGGGCTAATGTTCAGGGGAGGCCAGAATTCGACAAGCTCAATAGCACTGTGAGCCCACACCTGAATTTAGAACTTGGCCTGGGCTTTGGTGTCAGGACCCTGGCAAATCAAATCAGGCCTGAGGACAAGGCTGGAGAGTATCAAATACCTAATGAAGCAAACCGAGGTGCTTCTAAAAGGCTGAGCTGGGTACACATGAAAACAACAAAGCTTCCGTACCTTACTGGAAAAGACACTGCTTCATATCTGCCAATGAAATAGAAAAGTTGTCAGCCTAGCGGCTCGTATCCGCAAAGCGACCTTTTTTTTCTCTCTCCCTTCCTACTTTTTTCCTTTCTTCCTTCTTTTCTCCTTTTCCTTCCATTCCATATGGCTATTTTTTTTTTTTTTTTTTTTTGGGAGAGGATTGCCTGGCAGTGTCCCAATTCTAAGTGACAAGGAGAACCCTGACCCTGTAAGTTCTTTAACAAAATGGAGATAATTTTTATTTTTGATTTGAAGATACTATGAAATAGGGAGCACCGCAAAAACAAAGTTGCTTAACATTCTTGAATCTAAACTGACATGACGGGACGTTTATTAACGGCCGATCTCAGAGGTGGATTTTTGCCTTTGTAGTGGCATTCATGCTTCTTGCTATTAAATGGTCACAGAACTATCTTAGAAGATTTATGTAGACTCCCAAAGCAAACTGACTGTCTCCTAACTGTAGTGGAAATTTAGTATGTCCAATCATCAACTTTCTGTAAGAAAAAAGGGAAATGTCTGGATCTGTGGACAGTGGGTTCTGAACTGCATGAGAACCCTGGTGAAACGTTTTGCTGTCCCAGCTGCAGGCCAAACACTGCTCTCTCACTGTAGCTGATAACTCACTACCCCGAGAGGCACAGTGACTCATCAACTTTCAGTTTGGACCAACATCTATGGATAGAGAACAAAAAGGAAATACATAACTTATATCTCACTAAGTATTCATGAACCAAAAATAAATTCTATTTCTATGTTATATTTACACAATTAGAAAAATCTAAAATGAGATGGTAAAGTCATATAAACTTTGTTTAAGCCCCACTGAAAATAAAATGAATTGATCCCTATGATTGTCATTCTTAATTTCCATGGATATTTAGAGCCAAACTTGGCTAATAAATAAACTGCTTATACACAAAATTTAGATTCAAATACAGCATTACTGTTTGATCCAATGAAAAAGACGTTTACAATCAGATCATTCCTGAATAGCCTTTCATTTTTAAGAACATGGCTAAAAGTAAATGAACCCCAGTACTGAGGCAGAGCTGGAGCTAAAACAAAGTGTTCATACACACATGTATTTTGCATAAATAAATGAAATAACAAGACATAAAAATGACTCAAATCCGGCAACTGTGAGGCAAGCCCACACGAGTCGAAACAGATGACTTTTGTTCATGTAGTTTTCGTACAACAGTTTCACATTAGTCAGAAGTGATAAAAAATACCATTTATATCCAGTGCTTATAACACTTACGAAACAACATCTGTGAGTGTGTGTGTTTTTTGTTTTTTTTTACTTACTATGAGCAAAATCAAGTTTCAGTCCTAAAGAACAGTCCTTTGTTCTCCACCAGCCCAGAATATTATTTTGGCATGGTCATAAAAACAAACAAAATTAACCTACTATGCTAAATGTTTGCTTTTGTGCAAAATTAATTACATACAATACAATGCTAGCCATACAACACTCTACCAATGCAACAAAATAAGAAAGAAGTGAGAGAGAGCAAAAGCAAAAGCCAAAGAGAAAGAAAAAAAACAAGAGTGAACTGAGGAGGAGAGGTATATAATCAAAGAAATCAGTAAGACAATAATAAATACTCATTTTTTGAGAGAAAAAATGACCTCCTCCTCATTTGAAATAAATGTACAAAAACAAATTTCTAATCCCCAACCAACATGAATAACAAAGAGTTCCTATCAGTACCTTAATCAGCTTATAGAGAGCACTCCCAGCTAACAGAATAGCTTGTAATTTCTTGGCTAGACCTGTTTATTGCTATTAGGCCTTGAGCACTCTTAAATAAATACAAAGGTACACTATTTTCTTCCAAGTGACAAAATGGCTCAAGAAATCTGATGGGGCCATTCCTATGTCCTGGTGATCAGATTCTGGGTTGTCCCATGAGGTGAACTATCCCATTCACTGACATTCTCCCACTAAACCTCTCTGGGGGAAGCCCCCCGATAGACAACCTGTCCTAGTTTCAGGAAGGCCAAAATGACATGGCAGAGCTCCCTGTAGTTAGGAGATGGGGAATAAAACCTCACTGCTTCCCACCCCAGTAGCATGTCTTCAAAGAAATCCTTGTGTGATAAGTGCAGTTCATTTTGTTCACACGTAGGCAGGTCCCCATGTGGCTACAGATAGAGTCAGCCAGAGGAACTCATCTGCTGCCCCCGGAGCTATCTGTTCCCCAGAGTTAACAGTAGGAACATCCCATATAGGGAATGTATTCCCCTCCTTCTCCTCCCTTACAGTTTTCTTTCATTCTCTAGATGTATCATGACTATTTGCCACCATCTTTGCTCTGAGGCTGTCATGTGGCTTTTTGCATCCTGGGGATTTTGCAATGAACTCCCTAGATGTGCCAGCTGGGACAAGGCAACTCAGTGTAAAGGTGCCAGCCCATGACAGCTTCACTGAGATTCCTGCATGGCCCACGAGCCTTGGGCTTCAGGTTTGGCCGCAGGACTCTCCTGCCTGGCAGTCACCACTGTTGAACCTTGCTGCTGAATGGAATTCAGGGGGAAATGCCACTGATGCAGACCCTACCACTTGTGAACTGAATTAGGGGAAAATTCTGGCAAAAGACTTGAGGTCACAGTGAACCTCAGGGGCATACCTGTTTAAGTGTAAGACTATATACCTATATCCCAATACACAGCCCTGCAGCCAGATACATACTCATGATTAAAAACAATAATAGGTTTTTAATAATATCTTGGTTTCAGAAATGCTTCCAGGCGTTCTGGGGACATAAAATCACTATGTACACAGGAGAAGGAGGTGAAAAGGACGGAAAAGTTCTTCGGGGAAGGAAGGTGAAAAACAAGAATTATTAAATTAATGCCACCAACAATTGAAAAAAAATAAATAGCAAGTGGACCCTTGACATTCTGGAATGAATAAATTATTTAAGATAAAATGTGTTAAGACTGAATGTCAGGGTTAAAGGCAAAGGGATAATGGATGTAGTGAGAGGTGGTCTCAGGCAGAGAAGACCACTCTGTCGATATCTGGTGTGGCGGTTGCTCTGGTGTGTGTATGTCATACCACATCACGCACTGATGGCACGTCAACAGGCAAACACAATTGGGTCCATGCACTGTGGCAACCTTGTTCATTCCTTACAATATCTTGTCTCCAGATTCCTGAGTACCTTACCATTTTCTGGAAAAAAAAATGTTGGTTTGCTATTTTATTTTAAGATGCCAAAGATTGTCTAAGACTTTGCAGTGTCTCCTTTAAGACTTTCAAAATATTAAGATTCAAAAGTTACGAAAAAGTTTGGCACATTCAAAGTTTAACTCTACAAATGGAAAATTGGAATTCCGAGGCCTTTTGAATATGCTCTACATGCAGCTGCACACGCCGTGGACTTGTTCTGTTTCACAATATGAAATCCTCAGTTGTTTTCTAAAATAATTCAGAATAAAAACACATTCACAACCTGTAGGCCGGCACAGCATACCTGAGTGAGAATGTTTAACCCCATCTAAAACAGTAACTTAAACCTTTATCAACATCCAAAAGAAAAAAAAAGTAAGACAAAAATATAAGACTTGTAAGACATCTACGGGTTGAGATAAGTTTCAAGTCCTGGTGTCTCATATTTAATATGTCTTCACCTAAATTAAAAAAACAACAACAACAACAATAACAATAACAACAAAAAACTCAAGTTCATGAAAAATCAGGGAAAACTTAATCTGTCTCACACTTTACGAAACAATTAAGACCATTCTGCTGATGTAATTGTGGAGCCACAAATGCATGCGGGCTCTTTAATAACTCTTTGTTGGGGAGGGGGGTGAAATGTCAGAGTACTTTAATTCAGCAAACAAAAACTCCTCAGTTGGCACTGACAGCCTCCGGGGCTTCATTTTCACTGCTATAGTCTGATTTGGGGTCATCTTCATAGTCATCATACATTTCCATTTCATCCTCTCCATTGATCATTTCATTTCCAGCTAGGCTTCCGCCATCTGTCTTCATACCATAAGTGCTCTGGATGACCGGGAGGCTGGGCTCCGGGCTGGCCGAGGTGCTAGAGCAGTCAGATGTCATCTGAGGCGATGGTGTGGTAGTTGCCATAGTGATAGCACCAGGATACACAACACCTGTTCCTGTGGTGATTGGAATCTGAGGCTGTTGCCTATATAGATTCAAGAAACAAAATCAGACAAGGGAGAAATATCTATATATGTGCTATGTACAGCATTGGAATTCACACCCTACACTTTCAAAAGGGAGCCCTAAATAAATGTTAAATAACATTCTAAGCAAATAAAATGTGACAAAGGTGTTCCCTGGAGGAGTACTGCAAATCTCCTTGATGCTATGTTAGGGGTTAAACAATATGATGGAGCAATTTACTGATGACTTTGCAACATAAAGGCAGGGTTCTTTTAACTTGGTAAATATGGCAAAGTTTGGATAACACCTGGCATTAGGAACAAATGATGTAGTGAATTCCACAATGTTACATGTGAAATAATTTTTGAAGATCTCCCAGCACATTTTGAAAATTAGACTAGTGGCATGAAACATATTATAATGACACTATTAAGCAGGTTTGTGTCTTCACCTTGGTTTGAGAAATGTATAAATCAAGATGAGAAGGGACCTAGCATGTCCCAAAGAGTGAGATTCAGCAAAGCATTTATTTGTTATTCATGTAAATGTCTACATATTTCCATGGCTGAACTTGTTAGGAATAATCCCTGTGGAAGGATCATCTTGGATGTCATTACTGCTGAGACCCTGGGCTGGAACTGGGGTTGGGATTAAGAGAGTTGGGAGTAAAGAGCAGTGAGACCTCTGCAACTCAACAGAGTAGAGTTGCAGAGTAGACACCAGATACGCTGCCTCACCCTAGATCCCAGAGGGTGGCAAGGCCTGGACACCAGTTCATTCCTCCATAATGTTACCCTAGTTTAAACAAACTTAACAGATCCTTTGTGGAGGTCAATCTCTTCCTCTGCAGGGAGACATGATTACTGTCTCTTAACTTCACTTAAGGCATTATAACTGGTACACAGGAATGAAACATCTACCTAACTCAGAGACTATGGCGAAAATATTATTTTCATATATGCAATATTCACCAAGAGTTTCTCAATCTTTAATGGATAGTAAATTATAGTTGAATTTGTTTCAAGTTGTCATTGTAACTATCCTTTTGGAGCCTTTGTTTCTACATATTTATACAAGCCGGGGTCAGGGAAGTTCTGGAAGGTCCTTCCACTTTTTGTACTCATGACTTCAGGTCAATTATCACTTGGACAATTCTTACTCACCCTACACATTATCACTGAAACTTTCTATCCATCTCACTCAAACAGGAAAATACTCTGAATCTATGAAGAAGTAGCTTAGCTACCTGCCATTCTTTTTTTTGTTTTTTTCTGTTAGCTCTCTCTTTTTTTTTTTTTTTTTTTTTTTTATTATACTCTAAGTTTTAGGGTACATGTGCACATTGTGCAGGTTAGTTACATATGTATACATGTGCCATGCTGGTGCGCTGCACCCACTAATGTGTCATCTAGCATTAGGTATATCTCCCAATGCTATCCCTCCCCCCTCCCCCGACCCGACCACAGTCCCCAGAGTGTGATATTCCCCTTCCTGTGTCCATGTGATCTCATTGTTCAATTCCCACCTATGAGTGAGAATATGCGGTGTTTGGTTTATTCTTTGACATGTCCAGAGGAACATAATTTTCTCACAAAGACCTCCATGCCCTCCAGCCTGGCAGAGGGAGAAGGGATGCAGATGGTTTAGAAACACTCTGTGAGATATTGGTTCACGCTGAATTTAGCAATCTCTTTTAATCACCACAAGGCACATCATATCCCTAACATAACATATAAAATATTTTCAGGTATACCAACTCACCCAATTAACATCATGGCCCCATAAGTTATTATTTTTTCCATTTCCAGATGAAGAAAATCAGACCTTGCTTCAAGCCCTGCATTCAATAACCAGCAGAGCCAGAATGTGAATCTAAGCCATTGGCTGACTTGAATCCCATCACTCTTTCCTTTATAGATATTCAATCTACAGATACACTAAGCTCACTGTATATCATAAAAATGCCTGACTTCTATAGAACCTGTCAGCACCTAGTTGACACTAAGCACTTGACATTGACCCAGTTTTTATGATTCTCATGGTGAGTTTTTTGGTTGCCTGAAGGAAGCAGATAATAGAGGAATCTAAATCTATGTATAGAAACATCATATAAAATATTAGTTCCCTCTTATTGAATCAAATTTTAAAACAGTATACTTCTGGCTTCCTAAGTTTTGGGCAAATTAACACAAATTAAATTTTATGCTAACCTTATAATGCCTCATTGGTTTTTTTACTGAATTTGGATAACTGCAATAAAATGTTTTTGCCTTAATCACATTATGAGTGTAGAGGGAAAGCTTTTACTGCAATGTTAACCCATTTTACAGATTTCCCAATTTGGCAAGCTGATCTGTAATACAAACTCTGCATAAAAACACACTATCAAATGATACGTTTCCTTTTCACAAAGAATAGATGGTCACTTTTTGCAGTATTTTTACCAGAATATCTATATCAATAGGTCTACTGAATAAATTTAAATTGAGCTCGTATTATGTGCTGGGAACTATATTTAGGTGTTTTTACATTATCTTCTTGAATCCTCATAATAAGCCTGAGAGGTAGGTATCATTTTCCCTCTTTTACACATGAAGTGACCAATTAAGTTTCAGAAAATTCAAGCTGTTTGTTCAAGGCCACGCAAGTACCATAATCAGGAGTTGAACCTTCCCCGTGTCACAAATTCCCTAGCACATATCAAGATCAGGGTGAGAAAGGCAAGCTCACACTATCAGAAAAAACTTAGCAATTTAAATCGGAATCAAAATCTTCTACACTGGGCTCCACATAGTTCAGAGTATTTGGACTTTAAGCTGGTAATGGAATGCTAAAAATAAATAAACAAGCAAATAAAACATCTGTACAATTTACTTTCTAGAGTGAGAGTGAGATGCATGATATTCAAAAGCCTAGTCCTGGGAGTGGAGAGATATATATGGCTGTTTTAAGCCCCCAGACAGTGCTAAAAGCCAGTGAGGGTAAAAACCCAGGGGTTACTCCCCACCTTGAGGAAATGAAGGGAGTCCAGCTCTGGTAAGGTTCTCACATTCACATACAACTGTTCGAGGTTGTACATAAATGCTAGAGTGAGAACTTATCCCTGTGAGAGATGATTTTTGCCTCTCCAAGCCTTCTGGGAAGAAGGTTATGTGGTATGGTGAGCTCAGGTTTTGGAGTCAGAATGGCTTGGGTTTAAATCCCAGCTGCACCAGTTACTGGCTGTGTGATCCTGGGCAGGCTAATTATTATCACTGACATTGCCTCTCCTCGTCTATAAATTAGAACATTCACATTTGACAGGACTGTGAAGATTAAGTAAGAACATATATGCAAAGCATTACATTATAGAGTAGACGAAAATGTTAATTCCCTTTCCTTTCCTCCTTTGGGAAGCTGGTGTAAACCTCACAGAGAGCAAGCATGTTCTAAGTCTGGGGGAGCACCAAGGAAATGACAAGGTAATGCTTTGGACTCTCCGTGAGTGCCAGCCCACAGAAGCCATTTGGAATTGGCGGTTAATTGTAAAACAATACTCTGGTTCACAAGCCTGGCCAGGAGAGGACTTCCTCTTTACCGCAGAACTGTAGAGAAGGGCATCTGAGAAGGGAAAATGTTGACATCTTCTAAGAAATGTTTAAAAAGAAAAAAGTCCCCAAAGAATAACATTTGGTTCTGTATAACCCTTTTTCTAACCCTAACTCCCTCCTTTCTCTAATTCCTGAAATATTTCCATTATACCCTCTGGAACTCAACTGTCAGTCCTTACTGACTCACCTTCTTACTCTAACTGAAACTTGGCTCTCTCTCTAGGCCACGAGTCTCCCTAAGGCCCTCGGAAGAGTTGGTTATTTGCTTTCCATCCCCCTCACATGAATGGGCCTGGAGGTGGGGTAGTTCCCTTCTTAGCTCCTCATTGCCTCGTCCAACCTACTTTTTAATCCCTCCATCCTAAAAATCTCATCTTTGAATCTCATGTCACCAGACTATGTCACCCACTCATACCTTTATCTACCCCCTGCCTGATCAATCCCCCTCATTCCTTAAAGATGTTAGCTCCTGGCTCACTGTTGCTGTTTCTTCAACATAACCTCTGCCATGATCCTTGATGTCTTTGCTATCTCTGTAGATGTTCATTCCAACACCCGACTATCTCAGTGTGACCTCCCCGCCACTGTGATAATCTGGGCCCCTCCCTATCTTAGTTGCTCGCTCTCTTGTCATACAGTGGACCTTGTCATTTTCATCTGTCACTCCTCCCTAATCTCAGTTTTAAATATCCCACTCTCTAACCACCACATCTTATTGTTCTAGTTTTCTCCCTTTAGTACCCAGTTTATGATTTCACTCCCCACCCCATCTGAGGAGCTACGGTTTCCTGATCCTTCAACCCACCTTCACTGCCCTCAGTTACTTGAGCCTCTCCCTGCTTGTGCCCCCACTTACCTCTTTACCCAGTTCCAATTCCATGGTTACTCACTCCCTTGCAGACACTCTCCATTCTCTTACATAGCAAAACTTCAACTTTAGTTCAATTTAACTCTCTGCCTACTCTGTTTAGCCACACAGCTGAACTTGGCTGGAGAAAATACACTGCCATACTTACTAGTCTCTAAATTTACAATGCTGTACTTCAAATAGGCCTCTGGTGCTGTTCAGCCATCATATTGCACATTGTTCTAGCCTACTCCTTCTCTTAGCCTCCTAGACAATTACTTCCTACCTTCTTAACTTTCCTCAAATATCCAACTTCTCCCCCTTTCTCACTCCAAGCTAATGGCCTGGCTTTCTATTTCATGGAGAAATTAGAAGCAATCAGAAGAAACTTTTCACAAACTCCCACTGTCACGTTGACTGGCCTCCCTGTATCTGTGCCCCATTCTCTGCCTGCCTTTCCATATTTTGAATCAGTTCATAATCCAATATAAGGCTAACCCCTCTGCTTGTGCACTGAAACTATCTGTTTTTGTTTACTAAAGATATCTCTCCAGCAATTGTCTCTCCTATCTGAATCATTAATTTTTTATAGAATTCCCACCAAACATGCTATAATCACTCATACCATAAAAAACAACCAAAAACCTCTCTCGGCACATCTCCCCCTCCAGCTCTTGCTTCATTTCTTTGATATCCTTTAAAGCAAAACTCTTTAAAAAGTTGTCTTTCTTCATTTCTTCTACTCAATTCTTTCTTAAACCCACTTCAATCACTCCCAATACACCACTGAAACAGAGCTTATGAAGGTCACACCATCAATAATCTTCATATTGTTAAATCCAAAAGTCAGTTCTTGGTCCTCATGTTACCCAGATCTATAACACGGGCAGCATTTGATATAGCTGATCATTTTCTCCTTGCTGAAACATTTTATTCACTTGTTTTCTCAGATGCCACACCCTCCTGGTCTTCTTCCTAATTGGCTGCTCCTTCTAAGTTCCCATGCTGCTTCCTTCCCATCTCCCTGCCATCTAAGCACCGAAGTCCCCATGGATTGAGTCCTTGCTTCTTCTCTTCTCTATCTAAATTGATTCCCTTGGTGATTTCATCTAATTCCATGGCTTTAAATATTATCTATATGCTGACAACGTCCCAATTTATATCTCCAGTAAGCCCTTCGCTCCTAAATTCTAGACTCATTATAATGCTTATTATATATATATATGAGTCTAGAATTTAGGAGCAAAGGGCTCACTGGAGATATAAATATATATCTATATATAATATAGATATTATATATAACATATCAGCATTATATATAATATATATTATATATAACATATAAGCATTATATATAATATATATTATATATAATATATATAAGCATTATATATTATATATTATATATAAAATAAGCATATATAATGCTTATTTTATATATATGAGCATATATATAAGCATATATACATGCTTATTTTATATATATAACTGCTTATTTTATATATATTTTACATATATATATATATATATATATAAAACTGCTTATTTGATTTGGATTTCTAAATGCTGTCTCAACCTCATAGGTGCAGAACTTAAAGTCCTGATCATTCTCCCACATACCTGCCCCTCTCATGGCCATCCTGTTCTTGGTTAATGATTACTTCATCCTTCCAGTTGAATAGGCCAATCTATGGTAACTGTATTTCTTTCAAACTCTGTATCCAATTGATCAGCAAATCCTATTGGTTCTTCTTCAGGAATACATCTAGAACCCATCTACTTCTTACCACCTCCACCCCTACAAACCTGGAACAAACCACCATCAACTCCAATCTGGTTTATTGTAAGAGGCTAGCTTCCTTGCTACAGGCCATTCTCCCTTCAGAAAATTCTCAACATAGCATATAGAGTGATCCTTTCAAAACCTAAGTCATATGAAAGCATTCCTCTGCTTAAAACTCATCAATGCCTTTCCATCTCACTCAGGGTCAAATACAAAGTCTTCACAATGTCTTACAAGTCTTTTCATAACTTGGTTCCTTATTATGAAGACTATGGCTTAAAAGTCTTTTCTACTATTCTTCCTACCTACTCACTTTGCTCCTGTCATTCTGGCCTATTTATTTCTTCTTGGAACAAGCTAGGCACAATCTCGCCTCAAAACCTTTACAGTTGCTGTTCTCTCTGCCCACATTTCCCAGATATCTGCACAGCTTGCTCCCTTCCCTACTGAGGCCTTTGCTCAAATGTTGCTTTCTCAGTGAGGTTTTCCATGACTGCCCTATTTAAAATTGCACCCTATAAGCTGAAACTTCCTATCCCTTTCCCTACTTTACTTTGTTCTAAGGCACCTCTCACTATTATTTATTTGTTTGTTTGTTATTTGTTTGAATTCTATCACTAGAATATAAGCTTCATGAGACAAAAATTTTCACTGACATAGTTCCAGAACTCAGACTGCTTGTAACATAGGAGGCACTCAGTAAATATCTGTTAAATACATAGGATGAATGAATGAATGAGAAAAAACAAATGAAAATTCTAAGTAATCTATTTCAGGGAAGAAAAGATGTAATGAGACTAGCTGTATGAAAATAACCATCTTTAGACGCTTGAATGGTTATTCTCATAAATAAAGGGGAGATTTGTTCTAGGAGACACGAAAGAAGAAGATTAGAACCAATCTGCAAAGTAGGAGGAAGGAAGATTATGGCTTAGTTAACAGAAAAGAAAACTTTCTAGTATTAGGAAATGTTCCACAAAGGAACTAGCTCCCTTGGGAAGCAGTGAGCTCTCTACCCTTGGAAGAGTTCAAGAACTTAGGGAAGACTCCTCCAATGGCTTGAAGTATATAACATCTGAGGCCCCTTCTATGTTGCAACTAATTCTGTGGATGCAAAATCAGAAGCTAACCATCACGCTGATCTTGCTCTCTTTTATCATTATCAGCATAAAAAGAGACTAAAAAAACCACACTAACTGTGCATAGCTAATTACAGTTGAAGAAACCTGGCTTTCAATGGCTTCCAAAATCTTCCTCCACCCTACCCATCTTATGTTTTCTTTACTGCCAGGAAAAAGCCTTAGGCTGCTTCTTTTTTTTACTATTGAATATATCCACATTTTCCCCCAGGTGTTCATGCTCTCCTCTATGCTAAAGCAGGAATCTACTTCCCATAAGTCTGACCTACCCAAACTTCAAGTCCCTTCCTCAAGAATGTCCCATGCTTGGCCATAATGCATAATAATCTCTCTTCCTCTGAGCTTTATTTGCTCTTGTCTACAAAATGAAGATTAGTAGTTCATTAAATGTTATATGCAGTGCTGTGCCATGTCTTGTGTGTGTATGTGTGTGTATAAGACACTATTATATGCTAATCTATTCATGTATGTATCTGGCTTCTCCAACTATAGAATTCTCTGAAACTCATGTGTACAGAAATAATGCCTCATGTACCATATTAATTTAGTAAAGTGTTGGACACATAGCTGGTTTCAAATAGGCCCTTACCAATTAACTAACAAATCAATGAACAAAATAAGAAATCCAGCCAGCAGGTTCAAGCTTTGTCTATCAGAAATTGCTTTCCTAAAAAGCATTTTTTCCTTCCTTTATAGATCAATTTCAAAGTCAAAATTCAAACACTGCAGATTTCACAAACAGGAATAGCTGGCAGGTATTGGGCTTTACAAATAATGAATGTGCACATCAAAACAACATTTGTGGATGTTTGTAAAAGTATATACATGAGTTGATATGAACAGAGATATTTAAGAACCCTTCCTCCCAGTCTAAGTAAAGAGTAAAAGCTGGCCCTGATAGAGCCCACCATTGCTACATGACTTCCAAATTACAGGAATATTTCTGGAGTGTAATCTAGCTTTGCCAATTACAAAGTAACTACATATTTATGCTGGCAAAGCCCCATTGTTTGCTGACCCTTCAGACCCTTCAAAGTGTATAAATAAAGACAAGGAAGTTTGTTTCATTAGGAGATAAGCCTATACGTCACATATCTCTGTAGCTGATACTGCAGGAAGGAACAGAAATAATAATAATCTGTTCACTTTACCTATTGAATGTTCTAATCCAGGGTCTTTACAGGAGGACAATACTTAAAAAAGCATGGCTAATCTATGCTAATGTAATTGTATTTTATAGGTGTCTTAAATAGGATTGATTCGACCTCTTTAAAATTAAGATTAAAATGCAAATGTTCAAATCACTTATAGTACAAGGCACTAAAATAATTATTGTAATATAACATAGAATATATACTTGGCACACAGTATTATTTTTCTAGAATAATAATATTTACTTGAATTTAAAGCTTTTCATATGCCAGGCAATGTTCTAAGCACTTTACAAACAGTAAGTTACTCAGGCTTCAAGAAGAGTCCTGCATATGTCATTGGTATTGTCATTCTCATTCTACATATGAAGAAACTGGTTAGAGAGAGATTAAATGTTTCCCAAGGGCAAGGGGAGAGTTCAGAGGAATAAAGATTGCCATGTATTAGTTCCTACAGCCAAGAAGGTGCAGATCTAGTATTTGAGCCAGACTAGTCTGACTCCAGAATTGATGCTCTTAACCACAATGCTATACCGCCTCTGTGTGTGTAATGTCGTGTCCTTACCAATGTCCTTTGGTAAAAGGGACATATGTTTCACATTCACATAAGCCTGGTTTACATCTCAGCTCGGCCATTTACTAGCTGTGTGGCCCTACACAAATTATTTAACATCTCTGAATATTGCATTTTTCAATTTAATAGTGAGAATGATATTCCCTATCTTGTAAATTTGTTGTATTTGCAATAATCTGTATAATCCACTCAGCAGAGTACACAGCACACAGTAAGTATTCAATAATCTATCTTTATCATTGCTAAAAAAGTAGCCCCAAATTTAATATTTTATAGTAGTTTTACATCTGTATCATGGGGGATTGGTTCCAGGACCCCCACAGATAACAAAATCTGAGGATGCTCAAGTCCCTTTTATAAAGTGGTATAGTATTTGCATATAACCTACACACATCCCCTATATACTTTAAACAATCTCATTATTTATAATAGCTAATACAATATAAATGTTATGTAAACACTTGTTATGCTGAATTGTTTAGGAAATAAACGCAAGAAAAAAAAAGTCTGTAGATGTTCCATACAGATGCAACCACTGTAGACCTAACTACATAGTGTACTTTAGCAATAATGTAACATTTTCTCGAATTTTTTTAAAAAATATTTTTGATCCACAATTGGTTGAATCCACACAGATACAGAGGGCTGAATGTACCTGCATAATTCTCTATGAGTTCATAGGTAAATTACCAAATAAGTTTCAAATAAATGGAAGTATATTCGGTCACAGTTCTTTGGGAAGACGTCATTGTAGCTACATGTACCCTAATGAATATTCCCTCTACATTAATAGTAGAGGGAATATTCTGGACACCACACTCAGAATTGGTAAGGGCCTATTTGAAACCAGCTATGTGTCCAACACTTTATTAAATTAGTATAGTAAATGAGGCATTATTTCTGTACACATGAGTTTCAGAGAATTCTGTAGTTGGAGAAGCCAGATACATACAAACAAATATACAAAGCCAGATACATACATGAATAGATTAGCATATAATAGTGTGTTATACCCACACATACACACACACATTTATTATCTTGAATAATCCAGATAATAATCTTATCCAGATTATTACAACATTCTGATACTTACTCTGCGAACTGAAGAGGTTAAAACCAAGGCAAGGGCTAACATTGCTCCCTTCCATATTATTGATAAATTCATTTCATAATAGCTAAGTAATAAAAAAAACTAACTCATCAGCCACAGTTGTGTAGTCAGTAAAATGCATGAAAATGTTGAGCAGTATATGCACTTTTATTGGCTTGAAAGTTATGCATGTCTTTTCAAAATCAGCTATAAAAATTGATCTGAACCCATTCCATCAAAACGTCAATAGAAATATTTGAATTTTTGTTTGTTTTTTGCTCAACTCTTGTAATAACCTCATATGTAATAAAGATCAATTTCCAAAGAAAAACTTCAGGAAATTAATAATCTATCAACTACAACTACTTAAAAGAGAATACAAATCCTTAAGCAGAAATAACACCTGGCTCTACATAGCAAGTATTATCAAAGCTGGGCAGAGGAAAATGCTCAGCATTGAGATGAAAGAATAAGACATTCTGATCATTGCCTGCACTTCAGTAGCCCTATTCTGCAGTCTAAAATGATCCTTCCATAAAGGACTGTTCTACACTATTGAGAACAGGATACTTAGTCTCTAAATTTCAAAGTTCTTTTTATGTACCATATACCACAAGCAGAGACTTCATTTTCTCCAAGTGCTAAGAGCTCTTGCTCAGATGGCATAGCCACACTCATGACTGCCAGCATAGGGCTATGAGGCATATTTTGAGACAAAGTAGTAAAGACAGTTCCTCAGTCATTTGGCATGATGGGGGCCAATACCTGAATTTGAACCTTTGCTCTTTATCACCTTTCTGTAGCCATAGAAACTCTCTAAAACTCAACTTCTTTATCTTATTTAGAGAATTATGTGACTTATATATCTAAAATCCTAGTATACACTAGATAGTCAATAAATAATAGATGTTATTAAATTGTTTTAGTTTTTTATTTTTACATGCATTGGTACATGTTGTGGTATTTTGATCTAGAGCTGTTTTAATGTACCCTTTAGTAAAGGGAACTAAATTCAATAGTATTACTGCAACTCATATTTTCAAATAAGTATTACACCAAGGTATTAAAACAGCACCTTTAGTAGCCTTCCAGACTGGCGGAACAGCCCCACTATGTATCACTACATACACAGGGAACATGACTGAGGGAGGGCAGGAATCACAAGAGGTCCCAAACTTAAACTTTGGATTGTTCAAAAGAGATTATACACAATCTTAGAGGTGTACTAACGGGATTAAAAGAGAATGTTTATCACATAATCTTAAAGTGGACTATGAATTAGTATTTTTCATAAATCCTCTAATTATCAGCTGAATAGCCCAATTATACCACATTGCCCTTTTTAGCGTTAAACGCATTACCTTTAAAAATGCAAACATTTATAATACAGAGGAATTTGATAATCCTATTTTGTCATGTCTTCATTTATTAACATACTGGGATCTTTTATAATAAAGTGGCTTAAGCTTCTCTCTACCTCTAAAAGGTTCTGCCATGGTATAAAGAAATTCACTGATCATCTGGTGTGATATAAAATATGGTTTTCTGTGATAGGAAATACATATTAAATAGTAATGATAATGCTAGAGTTCACCTTTATTGATATCGTATTAAGCACTATATAAAGTACTTTTAAAAGCGTTGCCTCATTGGATCTTCTCAACAATCATACAAGATAGTTTCCACTATTCATTTCATTTTACACATGAGAAAACAAAAGTTAGAGAAGTTTAATAACTTGCCCAGGTAGGTGGCACAGTCAGTATGTGAACCCCAGAAGTCAAACTCCAAAGCCCACGCTCCTCCCGAAAACACTGCAGTGTATTGCACAGATTCATGACCCAGACTACGTTCATTGGCTTTGTTTTCTTACTCTATTTACTATTCCTTTTAAACACATGCTCTGAAAACAACTTTTTGTTCCACAGGGTTACCTCTTGAGTGCCCTTAAAAGTGAATAGCTCTTGGCTTCTCCTTTAAGGTACCTCTTTTTCTACCTTCAAGTGAAGCTCTCTTAGTTTCCTGGCACAGCACAGCTCCTCAATTCTCCTCCAACTTCACAGCAAATGCAACTTCCCTCTTGCTTACTCTGCTTCTCTCTCTCAAGCTCTTTCCCAAGTGTTTCCCTACTCTGAGTCCAGCTGCTTCAGGTCTGTGCCTCAAATGGCCCTCTGGATTTGCCACCCTGCTGTGCTTCTAGGTCTGGGTATGCTGGAATCTACAGTCATCTGCATCCCCACTTATCCTGACTACTGTGGTTATGAGGGGCCTCTTTTGAATGCAGACAGCCAGTCAGCCAAGTTGAAATTTATACCAGAAATCTATTACCTAATTTTTAAACAAAATGACATGAAATCAGACTTGAAGATATCAAAAGCATGTCTAGTTTCTGATTTAAGCAAGAAAATACACATTGTTACTGCTCCCACCACAGAATAATTTACTGCAACAGGAGTTCTGGATCTTATGCCAAAAATGAGGTCCTCTAACCAATGTCGAGGCCAATTATCTTGTGGTAGATCCCACAACAAAAGCAGACTATTGTGATTAGAGTCAGAAGCACCACCCAGAGAAGCTGGAAAGCTTATGGGGATTTCTTAAGGTTAGTTTTTATTTTTCCTCCCTGTGTATCTGCTTAAATAAACTACCAGAAACTCTGTGTGTGGCCACTGAGCATCTTAAATTGGCTTGGGAGACAATGACAGGGGTGATCAGCTGGGAGTGAACTGTTCCAGGTTTGGCTTGATTTGAGCAAAAGCCATGGTGCAAGGCAGTGCCCCTATGACACAGCAAAGATTCTCATGGCCAAGCCCCTTCAGTATGCCACAACCTCCTCTTTCCCTAATCTCCTTCCCAAACATACTGCCAGTAGCCATCCTATAGTTACTTACCGCAAAAGTAAAGCCCAGGTGGCTAAATTCAGGAATACTTACCCCACAGTAAAGAACTGCCTCATCTCCTGTCTCCGAGACCTCATCAGTTGCTTATACTCCCCAATCCGAAGCTTTTTGCCATCAACAATGCAGGTGCGTTTCGGTCGGGGTTTGTATTTATAGTTTGGGTACTTCTCTAAGTGGATCTTGCTTAGCCGGGCCTGCTCTTCATAATAAGGTTGCTTCTCCTGGTTGGACATTGATTTCCAGCGAGATCCTAGAAATAAAAATAGCCTTAAGTACCCAAGTGGTCAAGGCAACATATTCTAGGCAAACACAACTAGATATACCTTCCCATCACTTCACTCATCTGTGCGCTGGGTGGCTCCAATTCCCACATACCACTGGCTGTCCCAACTATACTTTTAGTCTATAACACAAAGAACAATTTTGCGTATGATACTTTCTTGTGTTATTTATCTCAATAGTTTAAGACTGATGCTACTATAGTATTTTAAAATATATCTTTGCTGCTTAAAGATCATTGCCTACACCAAGGTCTTTCCCCATCCACCTGCCTACCCTCTCAACAGGGATAAAAGGCTAAACCTCCTAAGCATACTTTTGAGCATGACAGGATTCTCAGGAAAAGCTTTGTTTGTCCTAGAAATTCAAACATCTCCCAAACTCCAAGTATCTTTAGTGAAACTATCCTTTGACAAGATGTCAGCAGATGTTGAAATCATTCCATATATAAAAAACTACTGTGCACAAGTCTGCCATGGCCTAGGTAATTAAAAAACCTAAGCTCTACCTAAGAAGTTATAGCTTTAGAACCGGAAGATACCATTGGAATTATATATACCATTTTCAAGTACTATAAACGCTCATTCAAAGCTGTACCAATAAAAGTACAAAAATTTTAATACGGTTTATACAGGAAGAAGGATAAGTATTCACTTCTCTAATATTGTTTATAAAGAATTATCTAAACACTTGATGAAGAGGGGATGTGTTTTTTTACATGTATCAAATTGCATTTTTGTGTCTCGCTGGTGAATAAAGCGGTAACAGCTGTGCAGACTGGATGTTAGCGATTCTTCAGTGGAGATTTTTCATACATAAACAAATGGAAAAGTTGTACAAATATTCTCTGCAGCCAGCAATATCCTAGTCTGCTTTAATAGCACATGCATCCCTGCTCTTTCCTGATTGTTGTTCAAAAGTTGTGTAGAAGGCCTAAGCAGATAGGCTTCTCTGTGTTCTGCTGGTTTCCAGCAGCTTAAAGCCCCAATTAACGAAGAATTCTTGGTGCTCTTGAAACGCTTGCACTTAAAACTTTACATTTTAATGAATATACTTACTATATTCCTAATAATTTTTTCACAGAATGCACACAAATAATATAGATTCCCCACAGCTGCCAAAATGGAAACAGAGAGGCTCTGTGCCCATCTGAAGGCTTACTCATATTGCTACTAAAAGGGCAGAAAAATATGAAAATCTTCAAGTTAGATATAAAACTGTAAGGCCAGAGAAGCACTGATTTTTTTTTTTTTTAGAATGTCATTTAACTAGAAAAAAAAAAATGTATGTCCACTAGGAACATTTTGGTTTGAAAGATATTTAAATTCAAAATAACATCCCTATGCATAACTCTGAAGCTCTAAAAATAAAAACCACACTTAATTGTAATGACATTTAGTATCCATTTTGAAATTAGAAAATCAAAAAAAAAAGAAAAACATATTTAACATTTCACCACTATTTGATCTTATGTATGTTTTAAATTTTTCTTAGAGGTCACTGCCTCAAAATGCCTCAGAATCAAGTTAAATTATTTATACAGTGACAAAACATGTGTATCTGTGCATGTCCAGATCACTGATATTTACTCAGGTTAAATATTTATTACTTTTGAACAAAACATTTAAAAAATTAAAACCACAGTTTAAGTCTCTAATGTTTTTCAGCTTCTTAAATGGCTTCCTTTGAGATTTTGTCACATCGTGACAGCTTTAAGTAGAGCAGTGCCTTCTGTGTTTTTCCTTTTTAAAGAGGAAACATGTTGACTGTAATGCTGCATGTTGAATAAAATATGTTTAACATGTTGAGCACAATAATTCCAAGCTGTACAATCCACACTAGGCAAGCTCTACACTAATAGAACAAGGCTTGAGTTTAATCCTGAGAAATAGAGAATCACTCTGGCAATTTACCACAAACTGGGCCTCTCCCCTGCAGCTCGTGTGTTCAGCTCACTGCTATGAAATTTGAACTAGTCATATCTTATTAAAATAATTGTAGATTTATTTTACAAGTTTTAAAGTGATCATCAGAGGCACTGTTTTGCACTCCATGAATTTCATACCATTTTGGGTTTCTAGTCCTTGATGAATTCTTTCAGTGGGACATATAAACCCAAGAACACTAAAGCAGAAAACTGTAGGGTCTATGAGTACTTCATAGCAACATATGAATTTAAGAGAACTGCACAGTAAAAGGAGATAAAGCTTGTCTCCACGATTCTTGTTTAGCAGTGACCTCTCAAGAGTTGCTAAATTCACAGTATTAACACATACTATAAATAGTTTTGTCTCTGAAATAAGTGTTCAGACAGTCCTGCCCTGGCACCTGGTGGATATAATAACTCCCAAACCTACATGCCACATTATGGGGTGGGGGAGGCAGACGTGATGACGAAGGCTCCTGCGGCAGCTGGCTGACCTTCGTCTAACTTGCGCCCGCCACAATCTCCCTTAGGATCCTAGTTATCCCCTTGCTTCCCACCCTGGTGGCACTCATGGGATTTGCAGGGGAGAAGATCAGCTTTAGCTGCACTGCTGCACTCACCTAAGATTTTGCTAATGTTGGAGTTATGCATGTCGGGGAAGGCCTGAAGGATTTTTCTCCTCTCATCCTTTGCCCAAACCATGAATGCATTCATTGGTCGCTTAATGTGTGGCTCGCTGCTGGCACGGCCGCGGGCGTCCCTGTAGACTCGTGCTTCAGCCACAGTGGCACCTCCTGTTGGCCAACAATAATACTGCTGTAGTTTAGCTGCAGAGCCATTCATTGCTTTACTTCCTGTAATGTCAGGGCAGGAAGAACAAGATGAGTGGAAAGCGTTATTTTGTGGATAATGTCACACAGCTTGCCGCCTGGGTCAGCTGTTTTCCCCAGGTCCTCCTCTTCTTTTCTAAGTGACTTCTTGGAAGTAGAAGGCAGGTTCAAATGACAGTTCTACAGGCTCTTCTGATGTAGCCCTCAAAGACACACTAAGAATTAATTTTGTGTGTGTTTTATACACCCTACCACATTTACTACAATAAATGGTAGGTGATCACAGAGCAATGAATGACATTACCTTATGGTAAACTTTCCTGCTGTAATTCCTTTCTTCAAAAACATGCTCTTACTGGTCATTTTAGACTCATTTGCCCCAGATCACAACCACTCTATATGTTTCCCAAAAATAGAATTGTTTTTCACAATATTGTCTTGACCTGTGCTCTTCTCACTGCCTAGAAGACACTTCTCCTACTCTTTCATGCTAAATCCCATTCAACCTTCAATCATGTTTCATGATTGAATGAATTAATTCAATGAAAAATATTTATTGAGCAATTACTATAACCTAGGTTTTATGCCAGGTGCTAAGGAGACCATGGTAAATAAAACAGCTCCTGCTTTTAAGGAGCTCACAGTTCAGAGTAAGGACAGACAATTATAACAAAGTGGGTGAGAGGTGCTACAATACTGACATTAACAGGGCACCAAAAAAGCACCAGATAGAATGGTCAGCTAGTGCTTCCTAGGAGATGTGATGTCTAAACCGAGTCTTCAAGGATGAATAGGAATCAACAAGTGAGTGGGAGAGGGAGTAAAGTCTGATGGGAAGGGTAATTCAGGGTAAAGGAACAGCACTTGCAGTGATGCTCCCCAGGCTGCACTCAGTCCTCTTGCTTTCAGGAGACATGCCCCATAGTAATTATTGTTTATGTGACTATCTCCCTCCTTTCCACTCCTCTCAGGAATACGAGATACCTAAAGTTAATGATTATGCTGTACTTATTCTTGTATCCTCAGGATTTTTCACATAATAGATAATAAAATATTCATTAAGCAAAGATTATTTGGTTTTCAACTCATATGCAAAAGTCATAGACTAAGAGGCATTTATTTCAAGCGTCCTGTTCTATTTTTCTGTTGTTTAAGGGTAGTTCTTTAACATCTATGAAACTATGCCTAAATTCCTGATGCTATATAATTTCCAAAGAGCTGACTCTAGTAACATACTAGATTGAAAGCTCCCTGAAGATAGGGCAAGGGATGGGTCTTATTCACTGCTGTATTCCTAGGATTCAATAAAGTACTTGGCACATAGGATTTCAATTAGTAAAATATGTTATATTAATGCATGAATGAATAAATAAATGAATGAATGAACATAGTTCTTACTTGTTTTCATGCACCCTATACCAGGGCGATATACTGATGTATACTTTGTGATGTGGCAACTCCTGAATATCTCCTACAGACTGAGAACTTCTATAATTAAAGGTAAAGTGGTCAGACTGATAGCCTCAGACAAGGCTTCTACCGCATAACAGGAAAGTCTACGCCCAGAAGTTTAGAAGCAAAATATACATTAAAACCAACATTTCTATTTTCTGGAAAAAGTAAATCCTTTCTGCTCAGTGAAGTTATTATACAGGACCAACATGATTCAATCAATCTCTGGCCCTTCCTCTCTATTTTTAGATACCTTGGTTAAGTAGACATTTGTTTGTGTCAAAGCCAGTAATAAATTACAACATTATAGTGCACTATTATTTAGCAAATATGGTTATCATTTACTGCAAACAAAAGACAGTATAAAAGGGTGGGATTGGCTAACATGAATTTTTTTCTAAACAGGAAGGAGGGCAGAAAGGCTACTTTCTGAAGATTATACAAAAATAACATATTTTATAAACAGCCCTTCTTTTAGGCCTACTAGACAGAATGATCCTTTACATGAAAAGTCTTAGATCCCAAGATGCATAACTAATATGATACCTTTTTGCCACGATACCCACAGTACATTAATTTCATTTAAAATGCACTGACCATACAGGATAAATTGATTTCACTTTATATGGGTTTGACAGCCATGTTTATTGCGCAGTGAAATGTAGTGTAGCTTCCAGCTGACAATATCCATCAACACAGGGCAATATGCTGACTGCTGGGCCAGATGAAGGCATACATTACTCTGGAAGTGAAACACTCATTCAGATACGACAGTGTCTTCTCCTGAGGATCACCATGGTAATTTATGATGCCCTCAGTGCCATTACTTTACAACTGACATGGATTCAGCAATTTATATACTGACATGCATTCACATAAAAGGAGACAGGTTTGTGGAGAATGTCAGATGCAAAAACATTTCAATATTATTCTAAGTTAACTGCTATGCCACAGGTGATTAACATTTGAGCCTGCTTTTACTGTTGTAGCTTTCTCTCCACCTCTAGCAAAACCAAATAGTCAGCTTCCATTTATTTCTTCATTTAAAATATGTATTTCATCGTAAATGGGAAGTTTTACTGTCTCAAAGACTGACAGAGATCATAGTGGATTTTTAGATGCTGGCTTTGGTATAAACATTCTAGATTCTCTACTCCATACCAATAGAGTCTCCCAGATATGCCATACATATGCCCAATCTCTCTCCCACACATGCTGTACCACAGTCTTCACATATCCTTCCTACTCTCTTCTACTTTACCAGTTTCTACCTTTTTCTGAGGAACAGAGCTCAAGTCTGACCTCTACCCTGCACTGACCTTTTCCTTTCCTCCTACATCACATATTATCTTCAGGAGCTGAAGGACAAGGAATTGATTTCACAGCAATTCTCTGGGACTCACATGTAATGCTTCCAGAAGTTGCAAAATTCGAGCACAGTGCACAGAACAAAAACATGAATTAAGAAGGAGAAGAATAGAAAATGCTTTAGATCATGTGCACATTGCTTTTTTCTGGTCACCTCTTCTGTCTTCCAGAAGGAGTGAACTAGAAATGAATGGGGACATCCTAAGCTAAACTAGAAATGTTGTATCAGATGAACCAAGATTTGGGAAGAAGAGATTTACCCAGGGAGGCCAACATTTGAAACTACTTTTAAATTGAATCTGATACCTGATCAACTACAACAGCGACGTTTAACACCACACAGATTGCAATGCCCAGATCCCTTTGCAAAATCAAAACTTGGAAAATGTTTTCCTGTTTTTCCTTCTACCACTCTTCCTATTTTTGCCCCCTTCCTGTCCTATCTCCCAAATATGTAGTACTCTAACACTATCTTATGACTATGCAAATTATGCCCAGGAGGTCACTCTCCTTAATTAGAAAGTCAATGAAAACAACAACAACAAACCAAATTTGCATATAAAAATGGTCTCACCTTTGCTTTCACCACCACCACTAACATCCTAGAAAGGGAGTCTATCCTTCCCTAGATTTATAATATCTGAATTAACACCTGGGTAATGTACAGAAAATACAGTAATATAAACCACAAATGCCCCACAAATACATATTGAAGGTTTCTGCTTTTCTGTCTTTTCGAAGTGACTATGCCATATAAGGCTTATATGGAACTCACTGAAGCATCCATATGAGTACTATGCAGAAAGATAGATGTTTTCAACAAATATTTCTTCAATATTCTGATAGAAAACATCTCCCAATATTACTTTTTTTTTCATTTAAAGCTGACAACTTATCTATTACCTGAATTTACAATCTAAGTTTGAATTAAACTTAGATTCAGAATTTTAAGAAAGTATTAGAGGCCACAAAGTCAAAAGAACATTTAGAAAGTGTCCCTAAACTTTGCTTCTGAAACAAAATGGTTAAAGAATTGTTGCCGCAGTAGAAATACATATGATTATGTGTGTGTGTATAAATTCAGAAATTTAAAAATGGAAATTATATATCTGGAAAACCCTTATAAATAGATAAGAAAAATTTTACAGCATACTATAAATTGTTTTCAAAAGGTATACTATTAATCTGTGTATCTGAAGTCTAAAATTCACTTTGTTATAATTAATTTTAAAAATCAGCATATTGTATGATTTCATTCTGCTCCATTCATCATTAAGTGCAAAAAACCAAGTATTTCATTCTTAAATAGCCAGTAGTCTGCATCAGAATCCAGAACTTGGAATGGCTCATAATTCTATGAGGCAGCTTCTTCTCCTTTTAACAGCAGAGGGGTCATTTGTGAGTTCAGCGTATGATTTTTCATGGAAAGCAGTTAGAAGCCTAGACCCACAGTTATGTACCTGGAGACGGCTTTCCAGCTGACCTAAGAGTCTTTAATTACCAGCAACAGCAGTCCCAAATGACAGTTGCTGAAAGGCCAAGAGATCAACAGCACCACAGTAGGCTTCAAGGGAAAGCAAGGTCCCGTATGCCAGGAGAGGCTGCTCTGTACAACTTCCCCTAGAAGGCTCAAATTGGTTAATTCATCCTTCATCTCAGTTTGTGTAAAGGCAAACTTTCGGTTAGATTAAAGATAGTTAATCTGCAGAGAGAAAATAGAAATTGCCAAGGCAAATATCTCCTTAGAAATCTGTGATTTGAATGATTTAAAGAGAAGACGAAATTGAGTTTTTCCAGGTGGGTTGGAAAGAAGGCCAGTTTCACCATCATAGCCTCTGGCAATGGTCCTGAACTAATCCTGGAGAGGCCCCTTCGTGGTTAAATTCCAAGGGATATCAGAGTGAATGAGTGAGTGCCTGGTGCACATATAAAGTTATTCCTCAGGGGAATTCTAGTTAATTCTATAATGTGCCTAGTAATAATTTATTTATGTATTAATTCAATAAACACTTCTGACACATTTCATATGTACCCAGCATTGTGATGGGGTATACAAAGATAAATAACATGTGCACTTTGTTTTTAAGGAATTTGGTCCAATGGGAGAAGACACATAAATTAAAAATTACAAACGATGCTAACAGCGGTAATTTAAAAATACTATTAGAGCAGGGAAAATAAGCTACTAACACAATTGGAGTGGACAGAGATGAATATTAGGGAGGCTTCAGAGTTGAAGCGGTGCTTGAGCAGCATCTTAAAGGAGAAGTAATAATTTACCAGCAGGTATGAATGTGAAACTATTTTGGGCTTGGAAATCAGTGTGAGGAAAGGCACAGGGTTATAAAAAAAAAAAGCAAAGGACATTTTAGGGAATAAAAAGAAGCTGGCGATGGCTTGGGTTTATGTAAAAAAAAAAAAAAAGGGGAGTATAAGAGATGAAATTAGAAAAGTAAATAGGGACCAAATTTGCTAAGCACCTTGAATGCCAAGCTAAGAAGTCTTTTGAGGTTTTTAACCAGAAGAGTAACATGAAAAAATATGTTCTAGAAGAGATCAAAATGGAAAACTAAATGAGAAATTACCACTGAATAGTCTCAATGATTACCAGTGAATTGATAATAAAGAATAGAATAGAGGAAAAATAAAGTGACTACCTCTTCAAGGGCCCATTAAAACTTACATTTTGTCAGATAGAATTAATGTGATACATGCAAAATATTGGCGCAAAAGGTTCTATTATAAAATCAAATTCTGGTAATGGCAGAATAGCTCATATCAGCCCTGTCCTCCAATAGATAATAAATATAAACTCTGAACAAAATATGAAAAAAACCCATAGATGTTGAAGATTCCTGAGAGCTACCAAAATTAAACAGAAACTGGAGTGGATTCCATCCTAGAATGAAAGGCATTTTACTAAATGAAATTCTGTTTTCATAGTTTTTCCCATGAAGACGCTTTCTGGTCTTCATAGCATGGAGTGGCTAGAATGCAAATAGAAAGTCAGTTTAATTGGCTTAATGTGTCAGAAGACAGAGTTTGAACTTACAGGTGGCTGCTGACCCCTGAACTTGCCATGTATTTGGAAGACTCAAATGAACCCATGAAAAACAGAGCTGTGTATCTGGAAAATCTGAAAAGAGATTTCAGCTGATGCCCTTTGCAAGAGAAACAGAATTTGAATTGGAATCCTATCAAGTTAGAAAGAATTCATAAACACCTTGGGCTTTCCACTGAAACTCCAGAGGAGCAACTCCTTAGGAATAAATTCAATATGCCAGGACTAAGGATTTGCCCTAAGACTAAAAACAAAATTAAAAAAGACTCTCCCTAACAGTGCAAAAACTAAGTTTCCACAAGTTCAACGTGTGCAGCAGGTAATTTAACTGCTTCCTGCCCCCAAAGTTAAAAATTTTCAGAGGAAGATAATAGAATACAGAGTATCTACAATGGATAATCCACAACATACAATATATAATTAAAAAGTATGAGTTGTACAAACAACCAGGAAAATGTGACTCAGAGATCAAAAAATAAAAATAAAGGAAGAAAAACACTGGCTGAAAATTACCTGAATTTGGTGAGAAACATCAACTAAGAGGTTTGAGACATTCAGGGAAATGCAGGCCAAATAAATACAACAAAACCACACCTAGAAACTAGTTAAACTTCTGAAAACCAAAGACAAAGAGAAAATTCCAGAGAAAAGGGACATATTACTTACGGGGAAACAAAATTACAAATAAGGGCTGATTATTCACTAGAAACAATGAAGACTAGTAGACTATGCAACATCTTTATAATGCTATAAAAGGAAATAAATTCAGAGTTTTATCCAGTGAACATATGCTTCAAAAATGAATATGAAATATACTCTCAAATGATTAAAAGCTAAAAGCATGAGTTACCAGCAGACAAACACCAAAAGAGATATTCAAGGAAATTATTCAAGAGGAAAAGAAATAACACTCAATAAAAACCAGATATACAGAAAGAAAGGAAGAATATCAAAAATGATTTGTGACCATTTTTTCTTCTCTGGATTTCACTAATAAACAGCTAATTGTCTAATGTTTTTAAAAGACAAGGAACTATTTAATACAAAATATAACATCGTATTGTGGGACTTATAACATATAAAAAGGTGAAATATGGAACAACAATAGCATATTACCACAAAAGATGAGGGTATAAATAGAATTAGATTGTTAAAGGTCGTAATATTTTACGTGAAGTGGTAAAATTTTAACTGTAAGGATACTCAATTAAGGTTTCATAGTGAATCCTTAGAAAAACCAATTTAAAAAAATACAAAGAGGCCAGGCAAGGTAGCTTATGCCTGCAATTTCAGCACTTTGGGAGGCAGAGGTGGGAGGATCTCTTGAGGTCAGGAGTTCAAGACCAGCCTGGGCAACATACTGAGACTCTGTCTCTACAAAAGGTTAAAAAATTAGCTAGGTGTGGCGGCATGCACCTGTAGTTCCAGCTACTCAGGAGGCTGAGGTGGGAGGATTGCTTGAGCCCAGGAGGTTGAGGATGGGCCACTGCACTCCAGCCTGGGTGATGGAACAAGACCTTGACTCAAAACAAAAAACAAACAAACAAAAGTAAAAAATACAAAGAAGTATAGCTAAAAATCTACCAGAGTACTTCAAACAAAAGACTTAAAAAGGGATTCAATTAACACAAAGGAAAGCAGAGAGGAGAAATAGAAGACAAAAAACTGAGGGAACAAATACAAGTAGTGAAAAAAATACTGAAGTGTAAGACCTAAGCCCAACAGATTTAATAATTATATTAAACAGAAATAAATCAAATTATCTAATTAAAAGTTAGTGATTTCTCTGAATGGATGAAGAGTAAGAATCAATGAAACAGAAAACAGATATAATAAAGACAACTTACAAAGCCAAGGTTAGAAATTTGAAAAGTACAATAAAATTAATAAATCCTAAGTAAGATGGGTCAACAGACAAAGAGAGAAGACAAAAATGCCAGTATTTGGACTGAAAGAGGAGATTTCACTGTAGATACTACCCATATTACAAAGATAAAAAGGGAATATTATAAATAACTTAATTTCAATAAATTTGACAACTTAGATAAAATGAACATATTTGTTGAAAGACACAAACTACCAAAATTCACTCAAGAATAAATAAAAAATCTGAATACACTGATAGCTAATAAATCAATTGAATTTATAACGAAGAACTTATCCACAAAGAAAATTGAAGCCCCGAATGGTTTCACTGGTAAATTCTTTCAAACATTTAAGGAAAATAAGAATAATATTGCGTAAAGGTATGAAAGTAGAGGAAGAAGGAACACTTCTTAATTAAGTTTATGAGGCAGCATACCTTGACAGAGGTTTGAGTGTAAGTGCAAAATTTTAAAATAAAATGTTAACAAATTGAATCCAGCCAAATGTAAAAAATAGATAATACATCATGACCAAGTAGAACTTATCTCAGGAATGTAAAATTGGTTTAACATTTGAAAATCAGACAATGTAGCTCATTACATTAACAGAACAAAGGGAATGAAAACACATGATAATCACAATAGATTCAGAAAATGGTTTTAACAACATTCAATACTCAATCATGTTAGAAATGCTCAGGAAATTAGTATTAAAAGGAAACTTTCCCAGTCTGATAAAGGGCATTTAAGAAAAACCTACAGGTAACATCATACTTAATAGTGAACTACCGAATGCTTTCTCTAAAAATGAAGAACAAGGCGAAGATGTCCACTCTCACCATTGTTAATCAACAATTAAAAAACTAAAAAGCTCACACTTTATATTTCGGGAGGCTGAGGTGGGCGGATCACGAGGTCAGGAGTTCAAGACCAGCCTGACCAATATGGTGAAACCCTGCTCTACTAAAAATACAAAAATTAGCCAGGCATGGTGGCGTGTGCCTGTAATCCCAGCTACTCAGGAGGCTGAGGCAGGAGAATGTCTTGAACCCGGGAGGCAGAGGCTGCAGTGAGCTGAGATCATGCCACTGCACTCCAGCCTGGGCAATAGAGCAAGACTCCATCTCAAAAAAATAAAATAAAATAAATAAAATAAAATAAAATAAAAAATAAAAAGCATACAAATTATAAAGGAATAAATAATGTCATCTGTTCATATATAATTGTTTACATAAAAAATCCTAAGGGATTTACAAAATACTAGAACTAATAAGTGAATTAACAGTATTGCAATGAACAATAAAAAATACCAAAATCAATCATATTTCTTTATACTAGCAACAAACAATTAAAAAATAATATTCAAATATATATTTATAATAGCATCAGATAATAAAATACTTGGGAATAAATTTAACTGAAAAAAGTATTCAACACATCTACACTAAAAACAAAACAACATTTGTAACTTAAAGACCTAAATAAATGGAGGAATATACCATGTTCCTGAATCAGAAGACTCAATATTGTTACAATGTGATTGTTCCCAAATTTACCTACAGATTCAACCAAATTCCAATAAAAATTCCTCAAAGTTTTTTCATATAAGGTGACAAACTGACTTTAAAATTTATATGAAAAATAAAGCAGTAGGACAAACTAAAACAAACTTGAAGAAAATTAGAGGATTCAAACTACCTTAATGAAAACTAAGGCTGTTAAAGTGGAAAACGATAGTTTTTTCAACAAATACCGCCAGAACAAGTTGATAGACACATTGGAAAAAAATCCTGCATCTTGTATCACACATTATATACAACAATTAGAGATGAATCATGACTTAAATCAAGAAAGAAAAAACTATAACACTCCTCTAAATATACATAAGACAATATTTTAGTGACTTTAAAGTAAAATGACTCTTAGATACAACATATAAATTACTAAATATACAAGAAAAATGTTAAACTGAACTTTATAAAAATTAAAACTCTGCTTATCAAAAGTCATTGTTAAGAAAATAAAATGTCAAAGCACATACTGGAAAAAATATTTGGAACACACATATCTGATAAGAACTTGCATCTAGGATATATAAAGAATGACCAAAAAAATCTAATTTTAAAATGGACAATAGACTTAAATGAACATTTTACAAAAAAGGATATAGTTATGGCCAATAAGCAGATGAAAAGGTATTCCCTATTATTAATCATCAGGAAAATGCAAATTGAAACCACAATGAGATGCATTTCACTGGAATGGCTTAAGTGCTAAATGTTGGCAAGGATAAGGAGCAACTCTAATATACTGTAACTCTAATATACTGGTAGTGAAAGTATAAAACAGCATAACCATTTTCTGGCAATTTCTTCTAATTAAAATGCATATTTACTTATGACCCAGCAAACAAATTAAAGCTTCTGTCAAAAACAGACTTATATAAGAATATGATAGCAGTTTTATCAATAATAGAAAAAAGGAAAATAACTGGAGAATGAACAAATTGTGATATATCCATACAATGGGATACTACTCAAAATAAAACTATTGTAACTCTTAGTTTAAAAAAGGCAAAAATGACACCAAAAACAAAAACCCCACAAAATAAAGCAGAAAACCAACCATCCAACAAATAAAATGCTCTTTTTTTTGAAAGGTTCTTTTTTCTGTGGACCTGAAAAGTAGGTGACATATTCAGGCCATTGTGAACTCAAAGATAATCTCATTTACTAAAATGAATTATTAAGAAGAGCAAAAAACTATAATTGATTGCTTATGAAGAGAAAGAGACATAAGTATCACTATTGGGTTGCTTGATGGAACTGTTGACAATCACAGTATTTCAGACTACTTCATTTTATTAATAGAATAGTTGATTTTCTCCTGTGAGATTCTGAAGAGTCACACAATACATTTGATAGTCCCTTACTTGGGTTATTAGAGAAAAATGATACCGAATGCATTAGAAACAAAAATGTAGAAGGTGAAATTTTAAAAGGGGATTGAAATTAGAAAAGAGAGTACTAATACTACACAGATTTGATTTTTCACCATATTTATCCTACCAAATTTATCTTAATACAACAGAGGTCCAATTCATTGTGTTGAAGTAATGGCTGATAGATGTCTGTCTATGATTATGGAAACCTACTGCTAACTTCTCATTCCTGTTCTGCCAGAATGTGAACTTACTTTCATTACAGGAAGGCTGCTTGGATTTCAAATTTGATTTCTTCTTGCAAAAAAAAAGAAAAAGGATTTGGCTATCCTAGTGGTTTGTTTGGCAGGCAAAATACATTCCATGGCGGAGCAAGAGCCTTAATCATTAAGGAAGTGAGGAAGTGATGTGTTCATCTTCTGAGAAGAAGAAATGCCAGAGATGTAGAGTATGCTTTGTTCTCTGTATCTTTTATAAAAATTACCTAGATGTATTAGCAAAGAGTGATCTAGTGACAGGTGAAATGACTTAAGGTAGGCAAATGCAAAATATGGATACACAATTCTTCTGAGATAGTGATTGTTGAATATATAAGAGCCGATGGTACAGGAACAAAAGGTGAATTACCTGTGGTACTTTAATTAAAGTGTTAATTCTTCATTTGCTGAATGTTGAGGAAAACCATAAGTAAAGTTTAATATCTTTGTTTTCATCTTAAGGTTCCTTAGCCCTACTAAAAACAAATCCCTATTTACTTCAACTGTTGAAGCTATCTACATCAAGAAATTCACTAAATAAACTAGGGAGAGAGAGAGGATGACAGTGTGTGTGTGTGTGCGCGCGTGCGCGTGTGTGTGTGTGAGAGACAGAGACATGAATAGAAAGGCCTAGTTATATATAATGTACACATAAAAAATTCCATTGGGCACTTTGGAAACAAACTTTTTATTTTTATTTATTTTATTTTATTTATTTATTTTTGAGACAGAGTCTCACTCTGTCACCCAGGCTGGAGTGCAGTGGGGTGATCCTGGCTTACTGCAACCTCTGCCTCCTGGATTCAAGCGATTCTCCTGCCTCAGCCTCCCGAGTAACTGGAATTACAGATGTGAGCCACTGTACCCAGCTAATTTTTTTTTATTTTTATTTTTAGTAGAGACAGGGTTTCACCATGTTGGCTAGGCTGGTCTTGAACTCCTGGCCTCAAATGATCTGCCTGCCTTGGCCTCCCAAAATGCTGGGATTACAGACGTGAGCCACTGCTCTCGGCTGGAAACAAACATTTCATTAATCAGAGTACCAAAGTATTTCTTTAAAGAGCAATTTACCTTTTTGATAGACTAGGCCAGAGGTCAGTTTCTAGGATAGGAACACCAGCTGTGCTAAGTAACTTTGCATAAAATAATATTTACAAAGTGCTTTCACTGATTACATTATCTTCATCCTCATTACAATCTTTTAAAATGTGTAGGAAGGCAGATATCTTTTCACCCACTTTATGGATGAGGAAAGCAAGACTCAGAGACATGATAGCACCTTCCTCTGATTAACCAGTTGCTGGTAATATGAAGCAGAGCCAGTTCTAGAACGTAGATCTTCTGACTTTCAGCCTAGTACATCACCCCTTCACCAAAGCTACCCCAATCACTATTCGGCAATCTGAAATAACTCTGAATTTCAAAGCCCACCATTTCTTGGCTGGAACATTATTTTCCCACTTTAAGGATGCCACTTCCCTGCCCAGCTAAGCACATTAGAAGAGCCCATGACCAGTTATGAAGTTCATGCCACTGTCTAATTGTTCTCTGAAATACTGCCCCACCAAAGATGCAAGGGCATGTCGAGAAAGCACTAAGGACTAAAATTATAGCTGGGATGAAAACAATGCTAAATTAATGCATTCCTTGGTTACAGGATTATGAGCAAGTGTTATTGTGGATAAGACTTCTATTTTTTTTCTATTAGAAACTCCATTCTCTTTAAAAGATCAACAAGAGGAACCAAAGGGAATTCCCTAAGGTCAGCTCTGAGGAAACATAAACCTCTAATTCAATAACTCTGCTACTGCTCTGAAAAAGGGCTTTATTATTGCAACATCCATATGGAGCCAATTGGACATTAATGACTAATCAATCCCTCCCCTTTCTATTCTACTTAAAGTGTCACAAACTATGTTTAGATTAGCCCATTTCCTGCTTAGGATTGCTCAAGATGTCTTTTGTTCTTTCAGGACCAGCCTGATGGAGGCAGCTTAAACAAACACACGACCGGAGTGGCGCAGGAGTTATAAAGTGCCATATGTGAATGAACAAAGGGGCTATACTAAAGCCTTTTGTGGTATTTGTTAATGTTTTTCATCTGAGCTTAAAAAGGCTTAATGACTTTGTGGTGAGCTGATGCATGTGGCTCGTGGCTTTGCAAAATGAAGGAAATTCTAACCAGTGATATACCAGTCTGTATTTTCAAGAGTCTCTTGCTTTCAGTTTTGATGCCTGTGTTTACTTTTTTCAAAATTCTCAAGTTATATTTACTTTACACAGATAGCTAAACAGAGTCCTTTATCTTATTTCAACTACAGAATCCCAGGGCAGCTGGGATAACTTATATTCTTTATTTTAATGACCTGAAGGGAGCATAGAGCATCAAACATCCCACTTATTATCTATATGCTGTATTTATACATAGAAGGAGGGCCTACAAGCTGTTGAGCCCAGGTAAAAAGGCATCATTTAAGTTTGAACCAGAGACCACTGAGGTTGAAATAAGGCAATAACAAGTTCTGGCTTCCTAAGTTTTCAGGACAACTGGGCTCAGGTTCAAGAAGATGCCCTTGGAGAATAATGAGGCTGGTAAAAAGCTGGTAGACTGAATAATTCGTGTTATTCAGCAGCTTTTGGCTTTAACCAGCTCTACCTCCTGTCATAGACTCTACATGAAATTAAGAAGTGCAAAGCAAGATGAAGCAAGTCTCAGGAGTTAGTTAACACAGATACTACTGAATCCATCCTCTCATTTCAATCTTTATCGATTGCCTTAGCCTTCACTATCTTTGCTGGACTATTATAAAAACTAGCCTTCTGGCTGATATTCTTACACCCAGTTTTAAATCCTTTAACCTCCACTTAAATACCTCCTCTTAATTTCAGCCAGAATGATCTGTCACAAATGCAATTCAGACTAGGCCACTGCTATATTTAAAACACTTCAATGGCTCCCTCATGCCCACAAGATGAAGTTCACACTCCTTAGTACAGTACAGATGGCTTTCCGTGACCTGGCCCTCCAACTATGGCTCCAGTACCAGCTCTGGCTACTCTGCTTGGAACATTTTTTGTGTCATAACACTGAACTATTTCCAGTTCTCCACACACTGTGTTGTGTGTGTACATACTAGGGATCTGAGTTTTCTCCTTTCCTGAAATTACCTGGCCATCTTGCAATCACTCATTATTGAAGACTCGTCTCAGGTATTATTTATCCCATGAAAGTCTTACCTGGTTGCCAGGTTAGAATAAGTAGCTTAGGCTCTGACAGGTGGCACCCTATGCGTACCTCCATCTTAACATTTGCCATATTTTATCCAAATTACCAGTTTTATGTACTTACTTTCTTTTCTAGACTATGTACCCCAAAACAGTGGTGACTGCATTGTGTCTTATCCTTAGCTGCTTATCCTTATCCCCAGGGTCTAGTAGCCAGGATGGCATAAGGTAAATACTCAAATGCTTACTAATACAGTACAGTGGACATCTTCAACAGTGAGAATTTTAGAGTGAGTCTCTAATGCCCACATGTTCTATTAGAACCTGGGAATTTCTGAAATCAGATCTTGTAGAAATTTAATTTCTTATATTCTGTTAAGTGTCATTTCTTGAAACATCTATAAAACAATAATAATTTTGATGTGGAAAATGTACCCATAGTTGCGGTGTGGGACTCAGAGATTATTGGTTCCAATCTTACTTCTTTGATTGACTAGCCATACTGTGCAGTTCTGAGATGCCAGCCTCCCTACTTCTAGAAAAACCTTGGAAGGATGGTAAGGCATGTCTGAGATTTTTGGAAATATTAAATCTGAAAACTATTCTAATGATGTAGGGTGTGTGTAAATATATATATAATACATATATATATACACACACACATATATATGTGTGTATATATATACATATATATGTACTGTATTCAAGTAAGCATACAATGGGACTTTCCTTAAATAGCAGATTCATTATAAAATAGATAAAACACGCTCATTGAATTAGAGAACTCTAACAGGAGATGGATGTTAAAGATTACCTAATCCATACTCCTCATTCCAAATGAGGAAACTTTCAGGTTTAGAGAGATTAAATTGTCCAAGTCTCACGGTTAATAAATGGCAAAAATCACAATGGGCACTCAAATGTAACTATCCCCAAATTTCACACTTTCCATCAGAATGAATTTCTTCAATGGTCAGCTGAATTGTTTCAATGGCATCCAAACTTAGCTTTTAAAACTCCTAACATGACTAATTTAACTGGCCTCTCTTCATTTCATTTGTCTGGGGAATCTGTATTTCATTAGAATGGAAAATACATATTATGGGAGTAGCAGAAACTAATTTTTTTTTAAGGTTAGGGTTGAGGAATGAACAGTACTGAAAGGAGATCACTCAAGGATTTTAGAGACAATCCAATCTGATGGGCCCACCAATACTTCTTCACCCCGAGAACTGGTGAAAGTATTTGAAAAGTGCCTAATATTTCTGTGGTTTAAAGGATTAAAAACACTTTCACAGTTTCCATTTCTAATTAAAATTTTCTGCTTTTTAATGAAAACTATAGGAAAAAGCTAATCCAACAAAGGCAACCAATTTAGTCAGCTCATCTTGGAGAAAAACAGGAGGCAGTATGGCTCAGATGCCATATAGACAGATCTAGGTTTGAATTGTTGATCTGATCTTTCCTAGCTAAGTAGCCTTGGATAAATTGTTTTCTTTCTCTAAACTGTAGCTTCATTTTTCTATAAAAGAGAGCAATAATTTCTACCTTGCAGCATCTTTGTGAGAAATAAATGGGCATACATGTAAATTTCCTAGCACAGTGACTGGAACCCAATACCTACTCACTAAGCAGTAGTTCATTTTAGAAATAGGTAGCAGTAATAATGGCAACAGAAGTAGTAGAATGCTTATTCCAGTACCAAGAACATAGGAGGTGCTTAACTCATATGTGTTCCCTTTATAGACTTTCCTCATACCTGGGTGATGTTTGCTATATTTTACATTCTATTCTTCATGTAGTTACTAAATAAACCCATAAGTTAACTGAAGAATGCAATTTACTCCTTAATGGAGCCTCTCTTCTTCCCAAATGCTAAAAATATATTTCAAAAGGTTCTCTACGATATAGACGAAAATATAATGACTAGGCATAAGGCTCAACCGAGAAAGACCATCTCACATCTCCGCAGTTCCCATATATGGGAACAGAAATCAGACCATACTGCTCATACAGAGCCAGAAGAAAAGAAGAGACCATTATCTTGTGAACCTACAGATAGGCTTTTTTATAAAAGACTCATTGGAATTATGAAGGATTTGAATTATTGACTATGAAATTATAATAAATGGAGGGCAATGAAGTTTCAGGGACATTTGACAATTGTTTTTCTTCTTCCCCACTAACAGGTCTGTAGCTCTCCAGCATGGAGCAGCTATTATCCTGTTTATTTTGTCCCTGTGTAGGATCAACCTTCCCACAGAAGAGTCAGCTTATATTGAAGCACCATGAGCAATTTCTCTACCACCAAAGTAAAAAATACATTGATACCAGTAAGCTTCAATTTGAATTTCTAATATAAATTTAAAATGATTGAACATATTTCTTATGAAATGCTTTTTTCCAGGTCTGAGACTTGGGATATTACATTTTTGTTCAGAGTTACATGCCATAGCCTATTCCCAAATGTAGCAGTTTATAGTATACAGCAAATGACGATGCATTCTTACATAACTTTTCCCCTCTGGTACTATGACCTAACTTTGGCATCATCATGTCTCAGGTGTAAATATCCATTGAACAAAAACAATTAAAAAAAAACCCGCACTCCTAAGTGAGAGGCAAAAGTACAAGACTGATCTGTAAGGCATCGATCAGTCACAGTAGACAGTGAAAATCATACTTACTTGCATCCAGGAGGAGAGGAGGAAAGGAATTATTTCTAGTATGCGTTTGAATGAAAACCCACCTAACACCTGCTAAGCTTTCTCATGTTATAACATGGAAAGATATCCACTTGAACATCCTCTCTGAAATAATATTAAAGAGAGCAGAGGAATAAAGTGACTAACAGATCTCCAAAAACAACCTAACTACTGCATTTCCATTATTCTTAACCTCTCTAGTCTAAATCAGTCTTGAATGATTAAAGGTTAATGCATATTTATTTGGTGGTAAAGTCCAAATTCCTCAGCGTGGTAATCAAGGCACTCCTTAATATGGCACCCATCTATTTCTGTAGCATACTCAATTCAACAAATATTTATTAATTGCAAGTGTGTGCAAGGCTTTGTGTTGGGCTTAGTGGAGAAGACAAAGATGAAAAAGACGATTCTTCCCTTCTGGAGCTTTCCTATGAAGGTCTATCTGCTTAATGTCTGTGTCTGCTTAGATTATTCCCTCAAATGAAAGCTTTTCCTCTTCTCTTTGCTTATCCAAACCTAGGCTTATCTCCAGCCACACTTCTATCAGGTTTTCCAGAACCATTGCTGTCCACAAAGCTTCCTCCTCTAAATAGCAGTTCTTTTCTGTTTCTTTAACGATGTACTTGAACATTTAATGCCTTAAACTGCTTTGGTTTTTATGTATACTAAGCTTGTAATCCCAACTACATTACTAGCTCTTGAAGAATATAATGTGGTCTATATTTTTTAAAAAACCTTTCCCTCCATGCCCATAACAGTATGGTGTTATGAGATAATCAGTAAATTATAACTTGGTTGAACATATGGGTAAAACTGAAGATTGGAAGGCCATGAGTAGGGACAGATCCTGGTTAGAAAGTCCTGGTTCCTAGCACCGGAGATTCAGTCTACAGAGACCCACCTCTAAAGAGGCTGAAAATAGACAGCAGATAGTGAGTGCAGGCAGTGATAGACAAGCAGAACCAAACAAGAAGAGGAATCTAGAAGGAGATATTAAAAAACAGTCATGCATTGCTTAATGATGGGGATACCTTCTGAGAAATGAATCCTTTGGCAATTTTGTCATTGTACAAACATCATAGAATGTACTTACCAAACCTAGATGGTATAGTCTACTGTACACCTAGGCTATATGGTATAGTCCATTGCTCCTAGACTACAAACACATACAGCATGTTACTGTACTGAATACTGTAGGCAATGGCAACACAATGATAAGTATTTGTGTAATTTGTTTAAACATAGACAGGGTACAGAAAAAATATGGTATTGTACTCTTATAGGACCACCATCATATATGTGGGCCATCATTGACTTAAATGTCATTAAGTGGTGCATGACTGTATAAGAACACCTTGGTTAAGAAAAGATAGGAAGTCAGTAACAGAAACTGGGGGAGGACTGGGTGGGTACTGACTCTTTGGAACAAGTTAGAAACACAGTTATCAGAACATGAAGAAAAGGAAACGGCCAATTGATCAAAGTTTGGTCTCAATTCCAATCCTGACCTTAAACAGAGAGAATTTAAAGCACATTCATAACTAGCTTGATGCTCATTAAATCCCATTACCTTAAGGTTAGGCTGAATTCCACAGCTTGCAGGTAGAAAGTCAAGTGGCTCTTACTGCCAGGAGAGAAGAATCTGGGCAAGGTCCACAATCTCAAAAGCTACAGTCAGTCCAAATATGTCGGACAGAACTCTATCAGTCAGGGTTTAATCTAATGTGTTGGTTTATGTGAAGCAGACATACATACTGCTGAGGAAGCAAGGGCTGATTTTGCAGTCCCATCGGGAACATATGCTAGCTATCCTTGTCTTGGGTTTAATTTTCATGGTAGATAGTATTAATCTTTCATTGCTCAGTTGCTGTAGCAAGTTGGAGAAGTACAGTCATTACTCAGTATCTGAAAGAGATTAGTTCCAGGACCCCCTACAGATACCAAAATCCTCAGATGCCCAAGTCCCTTATATAAAATGGTGTAGTCCTTGCACATAACCTATGCATATCCTCCCACATACCTGAAATAATCTCTAGATTACTTATGTTACCTTATACAATGTAAATACTATGTAAATAATTGTTACATTGCATTGTTTAGGAAATAATCACATGGAAAAAGTCTGTACATGTTCAGTACAGACACAACCAGCCATTTTTTGTGTGAATATTTTTTATCTACAGTTGATTGAATCTACAGATGCAGAACTTGCAGATACAGACGGCAGACTATATTTCTATGTGATTCAGTAATGACATAGACAGTTATTTCTTCCCCAGGGTAAAGAACATTCAGTCAGAAAAGCAGATCTTTTTTTGTGGTAATTATTCACACTGCCATTGACACTTCTTTAGAAAAGGCAGCCCAATGAGAAACCAGCTATCCAGTAGGGCTAGATTCCTCACTAAAGAGAGGCTGGGTCTTTGATTGGGCTTTCTATCTTAAGCAACAATAAGCAGCAGGTTGAGTTCCTTTTATGGAGTATTAGGAGATGGAGTTATACAAGAATCTTGACATTTCACTATCTTGCCCCATCAGGACTATACATCACTTGGAGGGTTCAATGGAAATTGTTTTCTACCAACATTAAAAGTTATTTCGGAGCTTTTAAGACACAGCAAATATATTTCTTTAAGAGAAGTTTATTTGCTTGTTTAAGAGAGCTGCACTTTATATATAGTGCTGATATAAACTGGTGCACAGGATCCTCTAAAACTGTTTATATCCACAGTAAAATACAGTTTTGTGATACTCATACAACAGAGTTAGTCCAGAGCCCAGGGCTTTGTCGACTCTGCTTATATCCCAGCCTGTGTGGCTGTTACTCCTTTTCACCAGGTCTTGGGCCTCCCTCACTACCCATCCTGGCCTCAGTCACCAGTCTGCTGGTTCCACAGAGATGCTATTGCCTATTCATTTCTCTGAAATGCCTGGACGCCATTTTGGGTAGCTATGGAAAGCCAGACCCATATGCCCACAGCATAGCTCTAGTTAATGTTCCCTCTGATTTACCTGAGTCTTATCTTTTTACGTGTATAATTTCTCATCTTTTATTCCTAGTATCTAGTAGTTGGATACCTTCTTGGGCAAAGGCATGTCATCTCTGATATAATTACACAATAATTGTATTTATTTTGATTATTGCATCATCCCTAATTGATACTTATTATACTCTAGTTGCCTTGAAGGTGAATGGTTTCAATTATATAGCAGTAAAATAATAAAGTTTTAAAAACTGTCAACTAGAAACCATCTAGACCAACTTCCTCATTGACAGATGAGAAAATTTAGGGGAAGAAAATGACTTGTCAAGGATGGAACAACCAGAATTTAAGTCTTCTAGCCCTTAAGCAAATATCTGAAGGGGTGTCAAATCAAGAAATGATAAGTTTTATTGGTAGGGTCTAGAAGTCAGACTAGAACCAATGAGTAGAAGTTACAAGAAAGTGAGGCAAATTTTAGTTATAAGTTGTTAACAAACAGCTAATTGAATTAGGACGAGCCTCTCAAGAAGTGGCCAGTATTCTGTCTTCAGACTCTCAGAGGCATTTGAACAGATGTAAAACGACTACTTGTCAGGGATATGAGAAGTGATTTCTTGGACTGAATTACAGATTTGATGACCTCTCTCCTTTATTTCAAATCTGAGAATCCAAGAGTTGCAATGTGAAGCACTATATTCTGGTAGGCTTGAACTAATGATCTTTACATTCCAAAGTATATGCAGTTATAGCATTTAAATCCCACCCCAGATTAGGCTACAGTTTGCCTCTGCTGCCTTGAATGAGTCGTGTATCATAGAGTCAATCTTTTCTACCAGGAATAAGGATCTAGGGAGGGTAGGGGAATGAGGAAAGCTTCAACAATTTCCAAGTATATGGATCAAAGAATGAGCAGGATTTTTAAGAGAGGGCATTCATATTAAGCGGTGTGTTTTAAAGAAAAGAAGAACTATTACAATCTCTGCTATTTGTCTTAAACAAAGAGCTTAAGCCGAAAATAAAAAAAATATCCTGAGATATAAAACTTAGAAGCAGTTGGAGCTACACACACACACACACACACACACACACACACACACACACACACACACAAATAAAGCTTCAGAAGGGTAAGGTCATCTTGGCTGTGTTCCAGTTCACAAATTCAGTATAAATCTATAAAATGCTTCTGAAGAAATGTGAGAGCAATAGTCCCAAAAGAGGGTATTCTTGGTACACATATCTATTTCCATTTGAATCAATGCAAAGTTTTAATGCATGGAGGACAGCACATCATTCCAGTTCTGATCCAGGGTCCAACAGTCTGGCCAAATATAATCCCTTTCAGAGCTCATCCATAAATGCTAGGCTTATCTTTCACTATGCCCCAAATCAAAATGAGGTACAACCTCCCAAAAAGGCTGGGACAGAGTAATTGATGTGAAAATTGTTTTAAAGGTGTTAGAAGAATGTTTTCTTACTCAAACCATGCAGCAAAACAGAAACAAAAGAAAAGTACCCCTTTAGAAACCCCAGGTATAAGAGAAAAAAGAAACAGGATGGAAAGAATATATTTAAAAAGCCAAGTCTCAACTATTGTTGCTGGGGGAAAGGAGAGCAGAGAGAAAGAGGAGGGAGCCCATCTGTGAAAGGTAATTGGGAAATACTACTGGAGAGATCTTCTCATTAATAAAAACAAAAGCTCAAGGAACATGAAAACTCAATTCAGCAAGTGGCACAAATACAACCTCTAAGCCATTACTCTCCTCTTTTACTTCTCTAAAAAAAAACCCTAAATGGAACCTATGATAGATAGATCATCTTTCTGATAAGAAATTCACTCAGTGTTTTATCAAGATTCTAATAATAATCGCAGACTTGGAAAGGACCTTAGATGAAGTCAAATCCAACATACCTTTTTTAAAAGATAAAGAAACTTAAGCCCAGAGGTTCTTGTTTTTAGTCATTTAGCAAAGGAACTTCAACTCAAATCTCCCATTAAACAGGCTAGAACTCTGTCTAGTCTGTAGGCAACCTTGAAATTAGGAGAGTTGGAATAAGAATTGCACTCTTGCCTAAGCAGAATAAGAAAAGGGGAAATGCCATACGAAAAGTCCATAAAAAGTTCAACAGCTGTTCACTATTCTTAATTATATGGTGACAGACTCAACTAATCAAGCCCTCTCTTCCTTACATGTCCTACATAGGAGCTAACAAATTATGTATACTCAATACATGTTAAGACTTCAACTGCTTCAAAGTATAACAAAACCTTAAACATGTTTCCTAAGTCCCCGGCACCAATGAATTTGTAGTTTTATAAATATCATGGTGAACAAGAAATGCTGTCTTGTCACATTCAAGCCAAATAACAGCTGGACTTTAAAAATAAAATTTTGAAGGCATTTGCCTTTTATATTTTTAATTTCTGTTTTCCTTGCCTATGGTTTTGTCATATGATTTTGATGAGTGGTTAATACACATCCACAGCTGCCTCTTTTGGTGACCTTTTCCTCACTGCCTCCAGGCTCAGGGCTATGAAGCATGTCTACAAGTTGCTTACTAAGTGATATTGTCATTTTCATGGCTGGCAGACATTTTTCTGGGAAGCCTGGTGGAAGCAGGGCCTCATTTTCTGGGCTGGCTTACTTTAGTCACTTCAGAAGCCCCATAGGAGGATGGGTAGACATGGGGGGAGGGCATAGCCCCTTAAAATTGCTGTTCCAAAGCCAGAGGAAACCTGTATGGACTGAGGGAGAAGACATCCTGGGCCAGAGGCACAGAACTTACTTATCAACTCAGCCCGGCTAAGGAGCTCTCACTCCAAATCCTCTATACAGCACAAAGAAGTCCTGATCTTCTTAGCACTTTTCTCCATGATAATTATGTATGTACATATTTCCCTTTTAATCTTCTGTCTTTCCTCACTAGACCATATGTTTAAAGAGGTCAAGGACATCTCTGCTTTGCTGCCCATCGTTTGTTTTAAGTCTAGTTTAGGGGCTGGCACATGGTAGGCACTCAAGAAATGTTGGCTGGTTGTTTTTTTAGACCAAAGACTAAGTGAAGGAGCAAATAATTTTTTTAGTTATTCTGATACTTTAGTTTCTTCTTAATCTTACTGTTAAGGGAAATATGAAGGAACGAAGTAGAGAAAGTATCATATGTACCTGTTATCTACTCTGACTTTAATATGAAGTGTAACTCCAGCAGACTTTGCAATCAGCTCAGCCTTGAACAGATGCCAGGATATATCCTGAAGTCAGCAGAAGGCTGCTACCCATGCTAGCAGTCCTCACAGAAGCACTGCACTTCGGTCGGTATTAGAACAGGTAACTTGACTCCATTCGTGAACCCCCAAAAGCACATGAGGTCTCAATGGCAACTTCTGGGCAAGCTTCTAAAGGGAGGTTTTCACATGCTCCTTAAGCTCCTGGGCCACTACAGCCCTTCTACTATGATACTCATCAGGCACTGCTGCTATGTGTGACAGAGTAACATGAGAGCTGGTGTATGGCATGACTTGCTATATTTAGGGCAGAGGAAATGGGCTGTACTGAGGAAGGTCACAAGGAGTTTGTTCAGAAAAATGAAGGGACCACGTGTTTCTGCATAAACAGTGGGGGCAGTATGGCAGGCTGCTGGGGAGAATCTCAGCTCTACCCTTAATATGTGGCTCATAGCGAGTAATTTAATTATTCTCAGCCTCAGTTTTCTCACCTGTAAAATGGAAAAAGTAATACCTTCTTCACAATGTGTATAAGGATTAAATGAGAAAATGTGGGTAAAAGGCGTAAGACATCCTCTAGTATATAAACACTTGATAAAAAAAGTTTTCTAAAAACAAAACAGCCAGGGAAATTGGTTTCAATCTAGACAATCTAGGCATTGAATAGAATATCCAAAAATATTTATATGCAGTATGTTTCTCTAGAGTTAAATTTTTAACTTTTTCCTCTTATATAGTTAATAACTCTGACCATGATTTTTAACTTACCAAGCACATGATATCACTAACTAGGTAATGACATTACTGAGAGATAACTGACTATATTTACACCAAATATGCAGTTAAGGAAGCAAATGAAAAAGTGTGAATGACAAATTAGAAAAGTCTTTGACAGCGCGGGTAAGGTGACAGAGCTCTGTAACTACCAGTCTGTTGTCAAATAAACAGACTGAATACTCCAAAGTAATGAAAAATATTTATTTAATTACATATGGTCAACAATTTAGGTACTCTGCAGTACAATCTCCCAATAAAATTGAGATGGGCCAGACCTGAAACACTTCCACACAGGCTTTTAGGCCAGCCACAATCTCTGTGTTGCACTCGGATGGTTAACTGTGCAAGTAACATCATTTGGACTTCCTGGCTCCCTAGGCAGAGGAACCTCAACCCTTATCGGTGGAAAACCTGCACTTTTAAGTGCCTATGAAAATAATGGGCTGTTGATACACATTCTTCAAGGAAGACAGCAAGCATATTTCTGGTTTTGAGTAATCTTTATGCCTCCCTTCCTATCTATCCTCCCTCTTCTTCGTTCCTTTCCTTCCTTTCTCTTCTCTTCCCCTCCCTCCCTCCCTCTTTACTCCCATAGACACATATACATCCTAATCAGAATTTATTTTAACACCTGGTCTCCCAAACTATCATCAAACATTAGTCTTTCCTACTAGTATGAAAAATTAGCATTCTGAAAAATTTCTGAAGGGCTTCCTAATGTCTAATACTATTCATCTCTGAGTCCTCATTCCAGGGATTTCTGGGCTGCCTGGGATGGCCCCAGGCTCTCACTAAAAGCCATGCCCAGTTTAGATGCTGCTATGAAGTGTCTTCATGTGTTTTCGAGGGATTTTAGGGTCCTGGAAGAAACCCTGCCAGTTAAAGGGATACTAGTGAGATTCTTCCCCTTAAGCTAAAGAAGGACTTTAGCTGGGACCTGAGATGGGTGAAGTATCATGTTACTCCGAAGAGAACAAATTAATCTTCCCTGACTGGTGGGACAGATTCTGCCAAAGGAACAGCTAATGGGAAAACCAGTCTCTACTCTGTGATGACACAGTAAATAACCAGGCAACATTACTACTGAAGTGCTGACCTAACCCATAAATTGTACCCAGACTCTGGGGAGCAATTTCTGCTGATGTGCTGCTTGTGCATTTAAAACAAACAAACAAAAAGGGAAAAGAAGCGAACAGGCATTGATATTGGTGCGGGTAAACATTCTGAGAGGAAGGCTGGTCTTTCCACCCAGACTTCTGAAAGACGTTAGTGATGGTTAGTGCATAGGCACAGGCTGGGCCTTCCCCAAACAATTATTAAGTTTATGCTAAAACTGCTGCAAACTATCATTTAATCCCCAAAATGGTTTGATTGTACCTGGGAATCACTTGATTTGGATATGCTAAATATTCTGATTTGATCATTCCACAATGTATACATGTATCAAAATCACTTTATGCCCCACAAATATATACAATTATTACTTGTCAATGAAAGATAAAATAATATTTAAAAGTCCTCCTTTCTAAGTTTTCCCTTTTTAAATACAAATGCAGTGAGATGGATGAAACACAGAATTCTGCTGTTCATTGAAATGTAGAGGATCCTTTTATTTTAAAACTTTGATGGTAACTTGAAGTACTTGGATTGCTAAGTATTCGGTAATGTAAGATCTAACTGCTTCTTAAAGTCTTCTACTATAATGCACAACATAACTTACATACATACGTAGTTGAAGAGTGACATTTCCTTTGCTTTGCCTAAGAAATCTAGTGATGACTCCTATGAAAAACTATAAAGATCCTATATCTAGCTCAGACACACATTTGGAAACACATGGAGCAGCAGAAAAGAACTAGAGAAAAGCCACTCACCCTCTGCATCTTCTGGCCGAGTAAGGTCGATGACACCTGGGCCCAGTTTTCCATCTTCATTTGACTTTCCCGTTAACTGGGGCCCCAAATTCTCAAAGCGCGTTCTTTCCTAGAGGAACAAATAATCAGAGGCTTATTCTAGTTTCCAAAACAGCCACCATTTCCTTCCAGTTTCTATCTTGCTTAATGGCCAAAAGGTGAATTCAAAAATATCATTTCTGACCAATGTGGACTCTGAAAATCTTTCAGGAAGATTCCGTTGAAAGCTGTTTGTGACATGGACAGCACTGACAGCATCTAGACCATAGTACCTGTAGGGAAAGGAAAGCTGTGACAGGGAACCTGCCAGAGCTTCTATGCATATCTTCTCTCTGTCGGATTTGCTCCAGTAATCTAAAAACAACGCAATAGAGAGGGTTGAGCCAACAATGCAAAAACCTGAAAGAGCAGTTCTTATTAAAATACACGGCTCAATTTAATGGGAGAGGAATTTTCTCATTTAGAGATCATAGTTTGCATTGGTATTCCTGGGGAAATACAAATCAGAATTTTATGCACGAGGATTTCAAAAACAAATATTTCAAACCAGGCCAACCAGAAGATGATTGATACTACTATTTTGTCTCAGAATTTCAACTGTGATTTTCTGGGAACTGAAAAGGAGGACATCACTCCTAGCCAGCCATGGAGCCAGGAAAGTTAAATACCCCTGCTGCTTTAGGAGGGAAACCCAGAGATGTTTTACTTGTTCACCAGTTCTTCTAGGAGTAGGAGTCTGAAGCACCACAGTGAACACTCCCTCTGCAGCTCTCTGGATCAGTAGCAGAGGGGCTCATTGACCATCATTAATATGGTGTTCTTGTCTGCAGAAAAACAGCTCATGTCCCCCTCTCGTCTCCTCACTACTCTCCTGACTCAAACTTGGCTTTGTGTTGTGCTTATGAATGAATGAAACCTTGTTGTTCATTACTATGAAACAATATTAAATGTCATGTCAGCTTGAATTTACAGACATGAAATAGCAGCTTCCAGCTCCGGGAATGGTTTCTGCATGTTATACTTAATGCATTATGCAGCAGTAGAGTGCTGATTGCTGTTCAGTCTATTGTTCAATGACCTAGTTCTGTACTGAGCATGTTCGGCATTAGATGGAAACACTCTGAGTGTTCTCTTCTGTAAGATGTTTAGAAACTTGGAAATATTCTTAAAGAGCAAACATACAATTACTTGATAGAGTCTCTGCCTCATTTGTACAGCCTGACTACATTTGTGCTTTCTAATATGATTATTTTTGAATATCATTATATTTCTATAATTAATTCCCATCAGTCAAATTGTGCAGGAAGTCTTCCAGTTCCCCTTCGTCATGGAATATGTTGAAATCTGTGTTGGAAGAAAACACAGCATAAACCTTGCTTTAATCTACACCATTTCTATGAAAGATTTGCAACAAAAATTACAATCACGAGTTTCCCTAACTGGGTAATACTCACTAGTTTAAATAGCAGTATGTAGGGAAACCTCTGAAATATGACTCTCATAAAAAACAGAATGAAAATAAAAACCAAGTTAAGTATGGTTCCCTAATATCTTCCTATGTGAAAATACTGGTGCACAAGAACAAATTAACCCAGATGCAGGACACAACAAAAAGCAACTATAAGCCTTGTGGGAGCTTCAGACGCAGTCAGGGAAAGGACAGCTGCTTTTAATCAGCCAATTTCTATTTTTGAGTAGCACTTTGGTTGTCATGATGTAAAGAAAAAGAATTAAAGTGGAGATGAGTAGTACCAGGGAAAGCAAAATATTCAACCTTTGTTTTATCACATTGTTTCGCATTTCAAATATTTGCATGTGAATGCTTTCCCTATGTTAAATGCAAAAGGAGTTTTGATGTGACACCTGCAATCTTCTTGGAAGAACAACCTTTAACTGTATTTTCATAGGAGGAAAAACAACTTTCTCTGAAAATCAACAGACCGTGCTATCTATCAATATGCATATTTCAAGTATCTTTCTAGTCACTCATTCTCTTTGATTTTACTGGAAAATATTCTCAGTAAAATAAAATAAAATAAAATAAAGTTCCTGAAAGAATATCAATATTTTGACAAGGAAGGAGAAGAGGGAAAATTACATGCCATGGTTTGTAAAATCCTAAGACAACAAAGCTTACATGATGATAATATCTTTTCTTTTATAAAAAATGAAGTGCACTCACAATTCAGTAGTATCAGCTTGTTTTTAATCATAACAAAAAACATTCAGAACATTCAACAACACATTCACAGTGTCTTTGAAGTCATACATTTTTCTAACTTCATTGAAAAAAAAATCTTCTGCAGAGATACTTTCCCTTTAAAATATCAATATTTTGACAGAGTAGAAGTCAAGGAAGAATATCCCATGAAACACTTGTTAAATAGGAAGAAAATAAATCAATGATAGAAATTGTTTTGGGCAGTGGGTTGCATTTTAGATTTGGTAATATTAAGCACTTGTGTTTGAGATTAAAGAAGGACCCTGCAAAGCCATGCCATTTCATATAAATTTCCACCTAGTCTCCCAGAAGATTTCGTTCTTTTCTTCAAAGAATAGCTCAGAATATTTATTTGCCAGCCACATAACCATAAGATAAGAGGGCCTGATGTCTACAAGTTACGTCTGGGCAGCTGAGCTAAGCAAAGATTTTACCAGTGAGGTTGAACATGAGCCTAGTAAATACAGGATGTGGACATGGGCACAGAGAGAAGTATAAAGATACTTTGGTTCCAACAAGCTTAAACTTCTGTCATTAAGCATCCATGAGCATGCCCCTATATGGAACAAATATAGACTGTGGGTGGCAAGTTCTTAAGTCCAAATTTCCACACACTTGAACTAGCTCTCACCATATACATACCTCCCAAGTAAGATATGTTGGAGATATAAGCAAAATACCTCAATGCTAATTTAATCCCACCCCTTCCAGGAAAACTGCCCCATCTTCATGTTGACAGTGGATTTTACATGCAGCAATGTGATCAGACACTTACTTATGCATTGTCAGTCACAAACATGCAGGCAACATAAAAGTTATTGAAAAAAATTAAAGTCAGCTCTGCTGTGTTGTAGGACTGTTGGCTCTCTAAGTGCTTTGAAATTATGATGTATGAGGTAGATGTTGCATATTAAATAAAGATATTTAAATGATAAAGCCCCCTTTAGTGAGAGCTGATGAATGTTAAATGTTACAAGCCACAAGACGGTAGCATCCATCATCTTCACGTATTATCAGAGTCAATGACGGGGCAGCCTCACTGATGACAGATAGACTGCTGTATTATTATCCCTAATTTCCAGAGTCACTGAACAAACCATTCAACTCTTCGGGCATTATTTTTAACTTTGCATTAAATTAGCAACTTTTCCCTCCCTACCATGGCAAGATTGATCAATTTTGTCTTTGCATGGGTGGAGAGAGAGAATGAATTTGGGGTAACTAAAAGAACAGAGGTTTGTTTTCATCTAGGAAAAAAATCAACTTCCTCTTACTGGCATCAAATGTAAAATTGTGATCTGGGGAAAGAACAGCAATGAAACAGTAAGCACACAATAATGGCTTTTCTTTGCACTTAGATAAAAGCTGAATTTTTGATGTGCACAGTATATTTTAATAAAATTTTATATACTATGTTTTATACACTTATTGGCTATTCCATAATAATGTGTGTGCTAACAGTAAAATTGCTCTTAAATTTATGTGTGTTATTTATACGTTCCCACGTAACAATGCTTTTTGTTGTAAAAAATATTCTGTTTATTAATGTAACTTTACAACCACTGCATCCAAGATCCGTGGTAAATTAATGACATTTTTATTATTTTATAGTGTCATTAAATTTTTACTGATCACTCCATCAAACAGAGGCAGTAAAGACCATAATGTAAACTGGGACACTTAGATCAGGCAGCAGGAAGACATTCCATATAGTCTGAAGAAAACGGCTAGCAATAAATGATATTTATACCATCTTTAAGCATGTGAGAATACTTGGATAAGTTTGGCAAAACTGTTTCAGTAGTAGAGTGGATTGTGTACTTAAATAACAGTTTGCTTGCCAGAGAGACAAGCCTTTTTCAAACCATATGCGAAGTGACTGATTGCAGCCATCTCCTGAAAAACAACACGTGAAATGTAATAATGCACTGGGTCCCTCCCTTCTGCATTACCAAGACTGACCAGTGTGTACCAGGCCTCAAATTATTTCAACATGGTCCCCTTTGCCACAAACTGAAGTGGAAAATGGCACACGCTGAGAGGTTTTTTGTTTGCTGCTTTACAAACAAATATATTTCATTTAAGTACACGTCTGGTCAATGATGTGGTATATTTCATTCCAATGGTCTGAATGAGAGGTACTTTACTAACCTTTATTCAAAAGCTCATTTCTAAGGAGTGTCTGAATATGGGGGATCATTCACGGCAGCCATGGAACATACAACTAAGGGGCCATTATCTATAGCATAGCTAATACAGGTAAAAAATGATTATCTCATGTTATTTTTATGTGTAAAATGCATTATAATTATGATACTCTCTACATTGACTCTCTTAAATAAACCTAAATCTGTGTTATGAACTAATTGCCAAATACTCTATTTATGTATATATAAGACAGTAAATAATTTCTATGCTCATATAATTATGGATTTAGAAACACCTAATTTCTACATGGGGATTCTGGTATGATTCTTTCTTAGGTAAATAAGGATTTTGTTGTTGCATCCTAAAATACATATTTAAATATTAAAGACTTAAAAATCTTTCAAATGTGGAATGATAAGGAATTTTGCAGGGAAGGTTAATACTACAGCCCCACTAATCGTGTTTTGTGTGTATTCCTGACGCAGAATTTTCTAAGAAAAATAACAAATATATGTATTATAAATAAAAGTTCTCTAAGGCCATGACAATATTCTGAGATGATATCTTATCCTCAGAGTTTCAGCTATGTCTAGGTTATTGAGTGGAAGCTAAATAAGTCTTGTCGTTTTCATCCTAGCTCTTAGCTTCAATTTTTATGAAAGTTTGATTTCCATTTGTGTATTTTGATGTATTTCCAACCCAGGAAAACTCTTTCCTAAACTGAAAGTAAAGACTCCCCTGCAAAAGCAGCTTTCTCTTTACCCAGCTTCCCCTCCTTTCCTGTGTTCACATTGGTGCTGAGGGGTCAGTGTGATTTGTCTCACTGCTTTTCTTGCCCTTCTCTGTCCAGGCGATGATCCAGGCTTGCTGATTTTTCTTCCACATAGCCTCTTGCCCTCAACCCTCTCTCAATGCCCTCCTGCCATCACTAACTACCCCAGCACATGTCTTCATGCCCACACACCTATCTCACTGCTGCAGCCTCCTTTCTGATCTGCCTGATCCTTGGCACTGTCCTCCCCAGTCCTTCTACTCACACTCTTCACAGAGTTCTACTTCATGTCTCTGATTCAAAACCTTCCGTGGCTTCCCATGTCTACTGCATTTCCTCCAAGCTCCTCTACATGGTTTTCAAGATCTTTCATACACTGCTCCCCACACACCTTTTTAAACTCAATTTTCTACAGTTCTCCTGTCACATATCCTCTGGTTGAGGTTGGCAGTGACTTGCCTTTCAATAATAATACCACGATCATCCTTCCTTCTCGTTTCTCCTTCGCCAAATCCTATTCATATGGAAAAACCCAAGTTTTCCATGAACTCTATAAACTCTCTGATCTACCTACTCTCTGCTATACAAAAAGTCTTAGTTTTGCCTACGTAATTAGCCCCTAGTTACATACTATGTTAAAGAATCGGACTTTTGGTTCATGTGCACCACCAAGTCTCCCTCGACAACATCAAAAGATTTTTCAAGCCAGAGATTGTATCTTAGACCTTTTCTATATATCTCACAGAACACTTAGTATTAGTGTTCATAAATACTTGCAGGTTTATATAAGGCCACATAACTAATCTAGCCACATAAATCAAAAACATGCTGCACAAGTATCTAAAAGGGCAATAATAATCAAAACAAGGAAATTCAGAAAAACACCTTAAATATTTTATAAAAGAGGTAAATAAGCAATTTTAGAAGAGCACAATAGAAAAATGCAATTTGATTATATAATTTAATGTGAAAAAGATATTTTGAGTTTAACTTGGAATTTCTGCAGATTAATACAATCCATCTTTGTGAAGTCTTCGCAAAACTCTGGCAAAAGAAGATACTACATATCATAGATGCTTGGCTTAAAAAGAAGTACACATTTCAAAATAAAAGGTTTGTTTTGTTTTGAAAGCAAGACAATGCTAAGTACAATGCTAAGAGATATTCTGTCTCTTACTCTGAATGACTTTCTTTAATTCCTTGTTCTAGACGTATCTTGCCATGCTGTGATTCTCCAGAAACATCACTTAACCAGACATGTGGTTTCCTTTTTATTGACTTAACAAACACTGTCACTTTGTTATACTTTATTTTAGATCCTTTATTATGCATTTAGTAATTTAATGAATGATCAAAAATGTAGGCTTTACACTGGAAAGCAACCACATGTACTTTTAAAGGTGATTATATTTTGAGGGAATTATTTTAGAGGTATAGGACTTACTTTCCTAGTGACATTGTGATGTTTCTAGAGTAAGTAATCATGATAATATAGACTTTGGCTGGAGGAAATGAGGTTCATTATTGAACCTCATTTTTAAATAATATTTTTTCAGCTAAAGCTATTAATTTGTCTAGTTTCTCATACATTTTTAACACCAAAATTGTGCTAGCACTTAAGAATTAGTTACGGACTAACTGCTGTTTTCCAACTGTGTTTGCCATCACAGCATAAATATATCTACTGGTGTAGAAGCAGGGAAGAATGCCACCCACTGATCATCCACAATGTGCAAAGCCCTTTCCAATGAGTACTTCCTTTAATCTCATACCAATACTACAGAGAAAATACTATTGTTATCAACCAGAAGAAGGTGAGGTTCAAAAAGAATTTTTATATGGGTTAAGTCATTTAATCAAAATTTAGATATGTATTTGTACTGGGGTGAATTTTGAATAATAACTCTAGATTACCATGTGATCTCTCTGAGCCTGTTCCCCCCTTTGTAAAATGGAATAGACAATGCTCATGCCACAAGGGCTTAATGATTAAATGAGAGATTATACATGTGAGTGCTTTGCAAAAAATACAGCAACTCATAACATATCCACTTCTGTTAAAGATATTACTTAATGTTGCTAAGTATCTCAAAGCTAAACTACGATGACAGTGTCCTTATCCAAAGGTCAATATCCTTTCTCCTGTATCAACAATAGAACAATACATAACCAAAGATGCTTTGTTTTTCCTTCCTTCCTTCCTTCCTTCTTTCCTTCCTTCCTTCCTTCCTTCCTTCCTTCCTTCCTTCCTTCCTCCCTCCCTCCCTTCCTCTCTCTCTCTCTCTCTCTTTCTCTTTCTCTCTTTCTTTTGACAGAGTCTCATTCTATTGCCCAGGCTGGAGTGCAGTGGCATGATCTCGGCTCACTGCAACCTCTGCCTCCCAGATTCAAGCAATTCTCCTACCTCAGCCTCCCAAGTAGCTGGGATTACAGTGCACACCACTACACCCGGCTAACTTTTTTGTATTTTTAGCAGAGACGGGGTTTCACCATGTTGGCCAGGCTGGTTTTGAACTCCTGACCTCAGGTGATCTGCCTGCTTCAGCCTCCCAAAGTGCTGGGATTACAGGCATGAGCCACTGCGCCCAATCAATGCTTTCCATTTTATCTTGGCTGCTAAGTAACTCAGAAGTAACTTTAAATCTCAACCTTAGTAACCATGTAGGAGCTGGATAATTATTCACTACTTTTAAGCACTCAAGTCTTCCTTCACCTGTATGATAAGAACCAAACTTCTCTGTAAATTATGCATGTCTTTTTATGATCTGGCTCCTGCTCCCTCATCAGCTTCATATCCTATTCACTCTAGTTTATACTCCCTGTTACAATAAAATGGAATTTCTTGTAGCTCCCTGAACTAGCTATGATATTCCAAAATCCTATGTATTTCCGAATGCCACTTTTTCTTTCTAATTATGATGTCTTCCCTTCCAGATGACATCATAATTAGTCCTTTCTAAGCCTAATTAAAACATCTGCTCTGGACAAAATCCTTTGTTGACTTCCTTCCACCAGCCCTGGGAAGAATCTATCATCCCCTTTCCTCTAACACCCCTAACCCCTTTCCTCTAACACCAAATGTGGTGTTCCATCACCACATTTATAGAAAAATATATATTACAATTATTGGTTTCTATGTCTGTTTCCAGTTCTCCTCAACTTGCTCCTCAAGGTACAGTATCCATGTCTTATTATCTCTATAACATAAGTGCCTCTCATGATGTTGCACATACTAGGCTCTCTGGTTGTTAATCTTGGTAATCTTGGTAAAATTGCTTCTCTTTCTTCTTCCATTTTAATTTTACTTTTAAATAAAATGCAATTATTTTCAGATCCTATTTAAAGCAGTGAAATATAAATAATTAAAAGACAGATAAATACAAAGGAAGGTGTGTAAGTCAATTAAACAGTAGAGTGATCTCCTGGTCAGGGTTGGCCCAGAGCTGTGATACAGAAAATCTGCCTTATTATTATCACTAGAAAGGGCTCTCCAAGAAGAATTTTCCCTAAAATCTGAACCATCTCCACAAAAAATATCCTTACACATCTCTTACATTGCTTAGCAATTCACCATTAGCAATTCATTCTTTGAATTAATTAAAAAGGCCAATCTCTTATGAAAGGGTAATAGAATAAACTGTTACAACAGAATTATATTAATTTCAATTTAATTCCTCCTGAGAAACAAGAACATTCCTAGGGAAGATAATCCTGGTAAAGCCATGCAAACAAAGACATTGGTCAAGGGAGATCCTTAGGCACTGTAATCCCAGTGAAATAACTTCACGAGATTTGGAAATATCCAAGCTGAGTAAATATGGTTGTTATGGGCTGAATTGTGTTTCCCCATAATTCATAGGTACCCCTAGTACCTCAGAATGTGACTGTATTTGGAGACGGGGCCTTTAAAGCAGTGGTTAGGTTAAAATGAGGCTCTTAGGGTGGGTCCTAATCCAATCTGACTGGTGTACTTATACGAAGGGTACATCTGGACACAAAAAAGGACACCAGGGATGTGTGCACATGGAGGAAAGAGCATGTGAGGACACATCAAGACAGCCTCTATCTACAAGCCAAAGAGAGAGGCTTCAGAAGAAATGAACCTGCTAACACCTTGATCTTGGACTTCCAGGCAGTACTGTGAGAAAATGAATTTCTGTTGTTTAAGTCCGCTGTCTCTGGTAGTTTATTACGGCAACCCTGGCCAACTAATACAATGGCAGCTTCTACCTCTTATGCCATGAAAGGTGCTAGTTGCTTTCCAAAATTATCAAATAATAAAGCAGCATATTTTAGAGATAAGGTCCTATTAGCCTCACAAACAATTATCTAGAAACTTTTTTCTTTAGGATCTAGTAGCAGTTCTATCTGTTGACAGCCTTGTCCATCCATCTATATATTTATCTATGATTCTTCAAAAGTTGTCCTTTAAAGGGAAGGAAGCACTTAACAAAGGTTTTCAAAAACAGGAAGATTTATACTTGAGGCAAGAAACAGAATCTCAATGCTATAAGCTGTTGAGATAAACTCTAGGAATGCTGATATATGCCACTGGACCATAAGCATTTCGAGGGAGGGAAAGTATCTCACGACCTGCTCTATGCCCAGAGAGAACTGTGCGCTGCAAGCAGAGAAGCATGCAGCACATGCCTGCTGAAATGAACTAATGTCTGCAGAGCTTCTTGTGGAGATGTTTTATGGACCTTTCAAAAACATTCTCCAATGATGTATGACAAGTTTCCCTCAGGATTTGAAGAGTACTCCAAAATAAGCGAGTTCTGTCTCCACACCCCCGGCAAGGACAGCATCCTAGACATCTCCTGTAACACACATTTAGACTCTTGTCACTGACCATCAGATGATAAATGATACAGTAGCATTAACTCTGAAGATATGAGACCCTTTTAGGCTTGGAAGCCACTGAATTAAATTAGTTTCATCAGGATTATAGTGCTTACTGAACCCCTTTAACCAAATGCTTTCTGTCTCATTCATATGGTTTTAATATGGTTTTAACCAATTGCAAGGTTATTTATAAGTTTGCAACTCCCAAGTAGAGTTATAAAGTGTTCAGATTTAAGCAAATCCAGTTGTGTGGCAGCCTAACTCCTACTTATATGTGGTTTCAACTTTTTATTCGTGTACAGAGGCATGATGCAGATTTGTTCCTGAATATTCTCTGATTAACCATTTGTTTCAGTAAAAAGTTCACAAAAAGTCCCACTGTAAAATTACACAAACTCCTATTAAAACTGAACACATGGTTTAAAAAGTGGAGAATTCTATCTCCACCTAAACCACCAATAAGATACTGTTATTCTAACATGTACCATATGAACAAAGAGTGTCACAATAAAATTAATGACCAGCTAAGCAAATGTCTTTGTCCAAAAAGGTATCTTGGGAATTCTATTAGTTCAAAATCTAAGTGCCTCATCTGAGGTACCTGTTTAATTTATAATGTGTACTTTTTAGTATTATTTGTGGAAACACAAGTGCAGTTTATTCAAGTTGAAAACATCAAAGCTATACGAACCAAGAATAAATATTTTCTTTAGAAATATAGCTTCCATTTCAGTTTTAGCTGGAAAACTGATAAATTTGAAGATTTTTTTCCCTCAGAAACATAAACACAAAAAGTGGGAAAATGTAAGGTACTGCTACCATGTATTTGTTTTAATTTATGATATATATAAGCATATTGTATCTCCTAAGAGCTTTTCCTATAATTTAAAAAAATATGTATGCTGCACAAATAACATATATCTTAAAAAGAAAAATAGGGAGCATGAGAAAGCTTTAGTGCCAGAAGGAAATGTAAGGCCTCTTCATTCAAACAGCAATGTGACCAAGGAGGTGTGGACACTTACCACAGTCCTGAAGCCGGCTGGTGACAGATCCAGAACATGCCTCTCAGCTCCAGACTCTCAGTCTCCTGCTCCTTCCACTGAGCTACTCTTACTCTACCAACTATGCTAGTCCCTGTATAATTCATCTGCAAAATGAGGGAGTTAAGTTAACTTATCTCCATGGTTTCTTCCAGCTCTGAAATCTTATGATTCTATGATATTTGACTTTCTTTCTCTCTAAGATCTATACTGCAGCACACATTGATAAAATCACGCCTAAAAAAATTCTGAGGAATTATTCATCTCAAGAAAAGCACTAAAAAACAATGCATTTTTTTCAAACAAGCCTACCAAAGCATGGTCACCCTTAGCCAAAAAGCATCTGTTGGCTACTTCTGAAGTTCCGTGGCCACCATAGTCAAAAGCAATAGAAGGGAAGGGACACAAAGGCAAGGGAAGGCAGGGAAAGGATGCAGGGAAAATCAGAGGGAACACATTTTCATCTGAATGTGGCTTAAAGATTCCTCTGTGTCCCTAGTTTGAGACTCATTATGGTGGCACTAGCCCAGAATACATCTCTTTTTGTCTGCAAGTAAAGTAACATAAATGCAAAGACTGCTGCTAAGAAGAGGGCCTTTCTTCAGAAAAAAGCTGATTAACTCCTTAATGTCAAGATTTTGTATATTCTACTGTTATCCTCCTTCTAGGAAAAAAGAAGCACTAAATAAGGTCAAATGATGTCACAAATGAGTATTCAAATAAAAAACAAAAATAACCCAGGACTATGTCTGATTGTGGAAGAAGCTTTTCTTAAGATGAAGTAAAATTAAAATTTAGAAACTGTTTTCATTTCATACAAACTAAAAAAAAATTCTGAAATTGAAATTTTTAAAATGAGTTTAAAAGAAGAAGAAAATATTTAGAAACGCTTTTCAAAACAGTACTCCAATATGGCACCATTACAAAAGACAAAAGATAGTGTCCAACTGTGGGGATATGTGTTAATTGTATGGTTTTCCAAAGATGTGGGAGAACTGATATCAATTACAGTATAATTACCATTACTTCCAACAGAGTTAACATGTAGTTACCATAAAATAACATAGAATTAACTGGTGTCACATTGCACACCAGACTAAATAAGATACAAATTAAGAATTCCCAAATGTAACGATAATACTCTTCTATCTCTTAAAAAATACAATAAAAATAAAACAACTTTTCTCTGATAATGTCACAGCATTTGCAGGAATTAGTATAATTATTCAAAGAGGGAAAAACTAAGATATATAAGTTAGAAATCATCATTTTTAGTTATAAGGTAAAAAACTGCATAGGGATGGAGAAGTATATATTAACAAAAATGTTAAATTTAATAAACTAAAGGTATAGTAAATAAAATGAAATTTCCTACACATTTCTTTCAAGTCCTGAAAATCAGGCAGCTATATTTTAAAACCAAATTCAAGAATGTTCTTAGTTTTTACTGATACCTAATATTTTTTACTTTATTTATCAAACACGGGACAAGAGCCTGCTTTAGTCGTACTATAGAGAGACACAGAAATGAGTCAGGCTCAGTTCAAGACAGGAATTTAAACCCAATTTTTAGTTCTTTGCTATGTGAAGCAGTAAGTCATGTCTCAATATAAGTAATTTCCTTATCAGGAGGTGAGCTTAAGGGACAAAGAATGCTACAGTTCAATTTGAAGAAGCAGAATTCCTTGCTGGAATGTCTCAAGTCAGCAACAATAATACAGGATGCCTCCACGTGCTGCATATGAGAGAGGGGCACGTGTGGGAACACGTACATGCTCACCGCGCATCTAGATTTAATTAGAAGAGAACTGAAAATGGCAGAGTGCAATGCTGTGAAGTTGATGGGAGGACAAAGGGAAAGGAGCTGTATTTTAAATACAGCTACAGTGTATCTGCTATATCCGTTTCAAACATCTGGGCTTCCAATTATTTATTGAACTCATGTGTAAGACTTATTTGGGAATACTGCAAGCAGTTATAGAACAGGAACATGCAACTACTTTGTAAAATACTTGCAGGACTGAACTCTTGATAAAATCTTGGACAATATGAGTGAAAACTGCTCTGACATTATTTGAGTCAATGTGTGCAAACCGTGAAGAGGTTAGCATGCTAAGAATAAATTTTGTACACAGCCTGCTAATTAATGTAGCAGATAATATTTTATTGGGAACTTATATTTTGCATATTTTTGAAGATTTAGTTTATTTCCTACATCTGACTTTTTTTCATTTTTTTTCCTTTGTGGTATCCACAGGCTTACTTGAGATTAAATGAGGCTAGACACATTTGTAAAAGGCTGCACAACTTGTTTGAAGATTACATAAGCATATGCATAGATCCACAAAGCTTTCAGGGAAAGTCTGTTCCCTATGTAGTCAATATTTTCCTTTTTTCTATGAATATGGAGCTTGGGAATAGATGTATTAATTTTGCACCCAGTTCCATGTTTTATTCCATTGAATTCGTGAAGCTTTTGTTAGGCTCTAAGGGAAACCAAACTGGCTAGGAGGGATGACAACAGAACAATGATGGGTACATTATTATTCCATGTTATTTCCTCTTGTTCCCACATCACTGTTACATTCCTCTGATTATTGCAGTCTCAAAAAATGTGCTGATCACTGTGTGTGTTAGGCAACACTGCAAGACCGAGAAGCTAATATCCCAGATAGAGTACATTATGCATCTGATGTAAATGAGGTATGTGCTCTCCACATATCGGCCGTTTGTCATCAGAGAGCCAGCAAACAGAGCGGATGGGTGCGAGTGCTTTTATTCCCTTCCACTGTTTCCACAATGGTGAAAATAAATAAGTAAATAGAATAAAAATCACCTGTCCTTCACAACTGTCCTTAACTGGCACAAACTTGAAATATTTACAATGTAATGTATATTTTGGGTAGAGCTTTGTGTTTGTTGTCATTATATTAGGAAAAAACAAGGCTCGTCATCTTCACATTCAGAAATTAGAAACTGAAATGCAGCACATTGTAGGTCATACCAGCAAGGGTAGCGACTGCACCAACTTTATTTCTCAAAAAATAAAATGTAAGATATTTTAAAATGTGGACTCTGAATTCCTGGTCTAAAAGCAAGTGCTTCAACATAAACAATCCTTCCCGCTGAATTAGAAATGATGCTTAGATCACAGGTTAAAATCTCTAAGTGAAATAAAAACATCTCCAAGGGCTCTAGGACATGGGCTCAATAAACAAGCACATGTTTATTCCTACAGCTTGAATAACAGCACTTCTGCCCAGATAAGGAGAAACTTGGAAAATTAGCCTAAGCAGGATGTGAGACCGAGAGACAGTTCCTTCAGTCCTAAAGATTGTCTAATGAGGGCCGGGCGTGGTGGCTCATGCCTGTAATTCCAGCACTTTGGGAGGCCGAGGCGGGTGAATCACAAGGTCAGGAGTTCAAGACCAGCCTGGCCAAGATGGTGAAACCCCATCTCTACTACAAATACAAAAATTAGCCGGGCGTGGTAGCGGGCTCCTGTAATCCGAGGCACTCGGGAGGCTGAGGCAGGAGAATCACCTGAACCTGGAAGGCGGAGGTTGCAATGAGCAGAGATCGAACCACTGAACTCTAGCCTGGGCTACAGAGCAAGACTCCGTCTCAAAAAAAAAAACAAAAAAAAAACCGATTGTCTAACGAGAATTAACTAAAATGGATTTGAACAGTCTCAGGGAAAAAGGCAGTTGTTCATAGAACAAATAACTTCCCAAGTGAATGTTATAATTAGCCGTTTTTAAATCTCTGTAAAATTTTTAATGGCATTTTCAGACCAATTAATGACTTAAGAGAAGATCATGAATATAATAATTATACAAGCTACAAAAGTTTTTATAATATACCTCTTATTTAACTCTACTGCATATATTTGACACAAAGAAGTGTATAACCTAGGAAAGGAGTAAATCTGCTTTTCACCCTGATTAAATAAAACTCATATTTGAATTTGCGTTATGATCAAAATTTTAATTTTGCATAACTGAGGTGATGACCAAAGGAGTAGAAGAAAAATTGCTTCTAGAGAGCCAAACTTCTCGACTGCTTCGGGATCTGAATATTAAAATGTCACTTATATAAGGCTTCAGGTTGTACATTGTGTTCTCTAATTGGCAATGTGACATGAAGGGGTGGATTATTAGATTGCTTAAACCAAATAAAGTCTTAGTGTAAATATGATCTATTTAGAAACTCTTAGGTTTGAATAAATATGATCTATTTAGAAATGCTTAGGTTTGAAATATTAGTCTTCCCTTGAAGATTAATATGTTTGAAGCACTCACACTTGTACTTTCAATTATTTTAAAATTCATTGACAATTATAGTTTCTCAACTAAAAATAATACAAAATTCTAAAAATTCATTGTCTATTGTTCTAAACAGTTACATAGTTTGCCTTCTGTGTAAGCTGATTTGACTGCAAACTTTACTTCTCTTTAGTATGGTTTCTACTTGAAGGTAAAGCAATATTTAATACTGCCTCAAATATCAACTATAGAAAATTTCTAGCTCATTAAATTACCTTTTAAAATTATATAAACTTGAGGAAATGATTCTGGAAAACCAGTTTGTACAAAACCATATGAAATTCACTAACTCATAGTGTTTTGATCTCATTGTATTATGCTGATCTGTAAATCCATCTACATTTAGCTAATCCTCAGTCCTCAGCTAATTCTTTGAGCCAGAGATATTTGGTACAACCGACCTGATTTGCTTGAAATAGACTTCACTTCCTTTCTACACCCTCTCCTTCTCACCACCACCCACAAAGATGATAAACAAAAAGTGTTTTATTTATGGAAAAAAAAGTGATGACATGCTACTTATTTATGCTATCAGCCTAAGGCAGCTTTGAGTCTACCTCATTCCAATGAAACAGGAGGCAGGAGGCACACAGCATAAAGCTTCCCTTCTGGGCAGAAATCAGACTCATTTCCCTTCCTCCTCACACAATAAATATGGTAAATGGTCAGACTTTGTGGCCATTAGCATCTTATAAATTGTAAAGTCTTTTCCCACATATTATCTAATTCGTAAGGCACAATCATCCTAATTTTACAGAACATACTGAGACTCAGTAAGATTTAGAGACTTCCCCAAGATGACACAGATACTCAGATGTAGGCCTAGAAGACAGATCTCCAGCTTTAACATCAAGACTAAATTCCTTCTACGATTCACATAGCTTCATTTGTCAAACTTTACTCAGTTTTAGGTACATGAAATCAGGAAGCTCAGCATCCATGTTCACTTCCAAAGCTTTGCAAGTTGGTATTTATTTTATAAATTTAACTTTCTGAAGCTATTCAAATCCAGTACTTCATTGCACAGCCATTTAAATAAATGACATCAGCATTTGATTCTGAATAAATGTGTACTGGTTGTCTCTCAGCCCCCCTAGGCTGTGCAACTGTTTCATATATGGTTAATTCTTATGCGGCTTTAGAGGACTTATCATTGGAGATGCACACCCAAGAGCTCCTGTTAACTGTGCTGCTATCAAGGACACAGGAGTAGGGTAGGTAGGTATGCAGGTATTACACACTAGAGCCCTGCCATAGAAGAATGCAGAGGCAGCAGCTGCCTCCTGTAACTATAAGAACTTGCAGAAAAATCATCAATGATCAGAGACTGCACCCTAACTGCAGTAGGCTGTAAGATTGCAGTGAGAAGTGAAGGAAGGAGAGAGGGAGGGTGGAAAAATAAGAGGAACAAGGGGAACAGGAAAGGGCAATGGGGGAGCAGAAATGGAAAGAGAGGGTAGGAAGGAGGTTAGGGAGGGAGAAAGGAAAGGAGAGAAATCTATTCTCACACATACCAGGAGGCAGAGACAAAGAAGTGTGGACCGAGGGCGATGCATCCACAACCTCCAGAATAGAAGACAGATGAGGAAGTGGCAGTGAGACAAGCAAATTGAGACAGTGAAACAGACTTCAGTATTCTAGGGCCTTGTAAGAGGCAACCCTCCTATAATATGAATTTACTCTATCTGAGGAATGCCAGACACATTCAAAAGGGCAGAGAGATGAAAATAAATTTTCATCTCCGTAAGAGTAACTACTTCTTCCAAAGTCTGGGCTCTAGTCACAAGCACACAATCAATGAGCATTTTAGGCTCAGTGTTAGGGGAAGAGCAAAGAGTAAGACATGGGCTCTTCCTTCAAGTTACCAATAATGGTAACAGTGTGGTGCAGTAAAAAGTATAGAATTTATATAGAGCAGAGCTGGTATTTGAACCTAGAGTTACCTGCATGAATTTTCAGGGTTTTGTTCGATTTGTTAGTCTATAATGGGGGCTAATAAAAGATATCAATAATCTTTACCTCACAGGATTTCTGTGAACATCAAATGTGATTTTTGTATTAAAAATTCATCAGTCACAAATGCCTATAAATTATGTTAATTATTTCAAATTTTCATGTAGATTTACAATCCTATATCACCCTGAGGTTTCTCCCAGAGAGAAGAGTGGGAGCAACTTATTAGTTGCTTCTATAATTGTGTAACAGATTGACTGTCTCCAAGTTTATCTATGTGGAGAAATACACTCCATTTACCTCAGCCACCACTACCATCATTATCCTTTATTCTCTCTCTCTCTCTTTCTCACACATACACAATCATACATACAACCATACATACAGCCTCTGGGTTAACTTTCTTAGCCAGGCATTCAAGGCTTCCATCATCTGAATCCTGCCCCTCTCTAACTCAGAGTACACTTCTCTCTTGATTGAGCTGTCCTCCAGCCATTATTCCCCATATGCAGACACATGCCCCAACCATACTCATGCCAGGACCCTGCCTAGACACTCCTGCCTACCTACTCCAGCCTGCCTGTCCTTCCTTTGAGGGCATTTCAAGTCTCTCCTCTTCTACAGAACTTTTTTTCCACCAAGGGATTGATCAGGACGGCCTCCTTTTATCTTCATTAGCTTAATTAGCCTTACGACACTTTTCATTCACTCATTTGGCACACAGACCCTCTATTGTCTGGTTCCTTTTCATGGATCTGTCTTACCTCCCAAATCAGACTACCAGACTACACTCTCCTGTAGGTCAGAAAGAGACCAGTCAATATTTACCTGAATCCCTAGCACCTAACACCTAACCCATACATCAAATGGTGAGCACTTCCTACCTAACGCTCTGTGACGTCATGTGGTTGCAAACAACAATAAGGGAACCAGAAGAATATTTATTTGCATCTACCTTACTTCACATATATTATCTTATTTAATATTTTCCACAACCTTATACAGTATGTTCATCATTTCCACCTCCCAAGTGAGTAAACATAGTCTCAGAAAAGTAAGTAACAGGCCCCAGGTGGCATACCTAGTAATACACATGTTGTTGATCATTAATTAGGCTGAGAAGCTGAGATTTGGATTTAGACATGACCGATTTCAAAGGCTCCTGTTCTTTATTTCATTCCTGATGTTTGCCTAGACCTGGAGAAATCATTTCATGGCAATCAAATTGGTGGTCTGGAATAAGAAAGGCTAAACTTGCTACCAACCTCCCTTGAAGGAGTATTATTAAGATCAGAGAACTCGGCCAGGCGCAGTGGCTCACACCTGTAATCCCAGCAATTTAGGAGGCTGAGGCAGGTGCATCACCTGAGGTCAGGAGTTCGAGATGAGCCTGGCCAACACGGTGAAACCCCATCTCTACTAAAGATACAAAAAATTAGCCGGGCATGGTGGCAGGTGCTTGTAATTCCAGCTACTGGGGCGGCTGAGACAGGAGAATTGCTTGAACCTAGGAGGTGGAGGTTGTGGTGAGCCGAGATCGTGCCATTGCACTCCAGCCTGGGCAACAAGAACGAAACTCTGTCTCCAAAACAAACAAACAAAAAATAAATAAATAGAAAGAAAGAAAAAGAAAAGAAAGGAAAAGAAAAGAAAAAGAAGCAGAGAACTCATGTTCTTAGAAGAACAGAAAGGACTTGAGAAACCAATGTGATTTTGTAAATGTAAGAGCTCACTAAAATGTTTCTTTGAACTAGAGATGAGGTTTGTCTTCTTGCCCCCATTTTACAGATAAGAAAATGGATACTAATTTAATTGTTGATATTTTAATCTCAACATAGGCAAGAGAACCCCAAATATATGGTTTCTTTTCTTAAAAAATTATGTTGACTCTCAATATGGGAAGATAACAATTCAAATGATCTCCTTTGTTGAGAACTACAGGGGACTACTGCAACCTAGAAGATATGAGAACTAAGGCCATTGCGCAATGCATTTTACAAGACACCCTTTGTGTTATTTCAGAACCAATGCTGTTGACATTATTTATAAAAAGATATAAAGGGCAAATCAGGGTTGCACTAAAAATAAAATCAAGCATTTCCATCCATAGTGGGAAGACAGCACTTTGGGAAATTCTAATCTTAGTTGCAAATGTCAAAGATTGCAAACTGGATCTTAGCTAAAAGTAAACTTCTGCCAGACTGCTCTCAATGGCACATTTTTGACAACCAGATTTAAGACAATGCTGAGAGGGAATCAGTGATGTAAAGAATATATAAAGTACATCCATGTGCAAAGTTTTCACATATACTCTCTATTCACAGCCCTAGGCCAACCAGCTGAAAATGAAAATAATCAAGTATAGTAATACCCAACACCACAAAGGGAAGGGAGTAGAACACATACACGAAGACTTATACAGACAACACACATACACTGTCATACAGACCGTCTCACATATACACCCAGGTCAACTGACACAGACAGACATACAGATTCAGAGACAGACATAGACATGGACCCAGACATACCTACAGACATACAAATGCAGAGAGGTGCACACTGAGATAGACACACAGACACAAAGAGATACTGACAAATACACAGACACACTACAGATGCATAGTCGGATAGACAGACGCACAGCAGGAGCAGGTACCCACTTCTATAGATACAAACAGACCTATGGAAAAACAGGCAAAATAAATGCACATACACACACAAGGAACAGACTCACAGAGACAGACTCACATATAGATTTATACCCACAATGAGAAAGACATGAACATTCACAAAGTTTGCTCACATGAACACTCACAGAGTTACACGCATTGTGCAGTCACATGCACACACAAACTCATGTACAGCCATATATAATGTGTGACCTTCTTTTCAAGGCGCATCAGGACACATGGGCAGGGATAGGTTTGGGGGAAGAAGGTGAAGTCCGTCTGTTATTGCAGACAGAATATGGGATTCAAAACAAAAAACTTTGAAGTCTCTCAAGTTCAATATTAACTGTGTGAATGTAGGAAAATGATTTGAGCTCTTTGAACCTCATACTCATCTGTAGAAGAGAAATAATAAAAATTCCACTTCTTAGGATGTTTGCTAGAATTAACTTTAATTAATAAATGTGTGAAATGCTTTGCAAACAATTTAAAACACTGACATTTTAGTGATTGTTATTATTATGTTCTTAAAACTGCCACGAGCAAAGAAAGCCTCTTAGGAAAAGAAAAAGTTAAAGTATTATCCACCTCACCTATTACTAAGAACACTTAATGAAATCTATTTTTAAAAATTGATCTTTAGGGAACTAAATATTTATACAAAATGTAGTTACAGAAAATTGTGTTACTGGCATCAACTTAAATCAATTAATATTATATTTAGTGCCTACTATGTGCCAGGCATGTCTAGGAAATGTAATGTTCTATTTAACCTACACTCTGATTAGTGAAGCTATCAGATACAATATATTCCATACTTATCTCTATTAGCAAGGATGATAGTATAGAACAACATAAGCAGCACTAAGACTGAATTTAGCACTTTGAGACCATATGATGCCTTAGGGTCACCACCATAAGCATCTTAGGACCGTGAACATTAGAGCAGAATCTGGAAAGCACACAGGACTGAGTGCCAGAGAGACAGAGGACTGGTCCCAGTCTCAGTAACACCCTGTGGCTGGATTTGGGCAATCACTTCACTTCTGTTTCTTCATCTATAAAATGAGCGGCTGTACTAAATGATCTCTAAGGGCTCTTTTAGCTCTGATTCAACTCTTTTTTTTTTTTTTTTTTGAGATGGAGTTTCGCTCTTGTTGCCCAGGCTAGAGTGCAATGGCATGACCTCTGCTCACCGCAACCTCTGCCTCCTAGGTTCAAGCAATTTTCCTGCCTCAGCCTCCCGAGTAGCTGGGATTACAGGCATGCGCCACTAGGCCCAGCTCATTTTGTATTTTTAGTAGAGGCAGGGTTTCTCCATGTTAGTCAGGCTGGTCTCGAACTCCCGACCTCAGGTGATCCACCCGCCTTGGCCTCCAAAAGAGCTGGAATTACAGGTGTGAGCCACTGCACCCGGCCTGATTCAACTCTTCTTATAGTGTGATGAAGAAGTGCTGACTAATGGTCTTTCTGTTGAGAGAGTGTTGAATATATGAATTTTTACTATACTACTACAAAAACAAAGAAGTTCATATTTCATATCTCTAAAGGGAAAAGATCTATCATCATCACTGGACTAGAGATAATGTGGACGAGTTATGATTCTGTAAGAATAGAAATTGGTTAAGAGATTTTTAGACAGAGCACACATTAGATCCCGAATTCCCAAGGGCAAAGATCTCTGAGGAAAATCTTCAGGATATACCAAAGCCAACATCCATGAAATGGGATGTCAAAGTCTGCAGAAAGTTCAGATAGCTTTTAAGCAGAGCACCCTCCTCTTAGCTCAGAAAAATCCAGATGGACCCAGTTTCCTAAAGGCAGGCACACAGTAAAACAACACAGTGTGTTTTCAAGTGATCGCGTATGCTTCTCTGAGGAATCTAAAAATAAGAACTTAGACAGATTCTTTGTTAGACTTAGGAGGCAGCTTGCATTGTCTTGAGAAGTTTTGTGAAAACTTAGGAAAACAGTTTAGAATCTACTCAGCCTTTCTAAAGTTGCATTTTAAACTGAACCCAACTTTAAATGTTCAAGTTTTAGCAGACTTTTAAAAATATAATTTGTCACTTAAATGGTCTCAATTTTGTATTTAAAATTTGTCCTACAATCAAATGACTTCAAACTTAATATTTGTTTTGATGATAATCATAACTATATATATTTTCTTTAATGTGCTCTTTTAAAAATAACTAAAAAATTCCTGACAACATGTGCTTTGATTTCTTTCTGCAACTCAGATATTTAAAAAATGTTTAGTACAACAAGTGGATTCTAAAGGCCACCTAGATGGGTCTGATTTAATTTGGAGGTTGGGAATTCTTCAGAAATTAATTTGTTTATGTGGGGTGACATAGCATTAAGTCACCTGACACTAAACTTGTGATATGTCCTTCCTCTGCATACTGTTTGTCTTTCCACTGGAAAAGCCCTGTTTCTACAACAACAGGGCAGCTTCTAAGCTAAGGAAGGGCAGGAGTGCAAAAGAGCCCAAGGCCAATTTAAAGAAATTTCAAATGGAGTTCCACCTACAGAACTGGTCTTGGGAATGCTGCAAGAGAAGAAAATGGATTTTAAATGCATAATCCTGAGTACCTGGCTTATAGTTTCATAGCTTTTTGATATAACCTGTAATAACACAGGGAACTAAGTGTTATTAATCACAGATAAGGACACCAAGGCTCAAGGAAGTCACAGACCTGTGAGTTGTGGAAGCAGAATCTGAAGCCCCGGTCACTCTGACTCCAAAACACATGCTCTCTTCACTCTTGCACATCTCTCTAAAGGTCTCGCCCATTCTTTATTTAAACTGCCACCATCATATTCTTCTTAAAATGTAGTTTAGATTAAATGTGCCCCATCCACAAACACCTACAATGGCTGGCAATTATCTACAAGGATAAAACTTAAGCTAGCCATGACAACCATCTCTTTCAGCCTGCTCTTCTACCAATTATGTGTCAGGTTCTGAATGAGGCCACTTATGTTGATTATAGCAGGCCTTTCATATCCATGAGTTCCATATCTGAGAGGTCAACCAATTTTGGAAGGAAAATATTAAAATTTTTTTTAAATTAAAAATAACAATACAAATAATAGAAATAAAAAGAATGCAACAACTATTGACATAGCATTTATGTTGTGTTAGGTATTATAAGTAATCTAGAGATGATTTAAGGAATATGGGAGGATGTGCCTAGGTTATATGCAAATACTATGCCATTTTATATAAGAGTCTTGAGCATCCAGGAATTTTGGGATCTGCAGGGTAGGGAGGTGGGGTCCTGGACCAATTCTCCAAGAGTATTGACGGATGATTGTACTTTACTGAATCATCATAACAAACCCTTGTGCATAGAAACTATGCAAATTAATAGCATTTCTCAGATGGAGATGTTAGGGCCATCTAACTCCAAAGCCTTTGCTCTTATCAACAAACTTAATTAAATGGATGGAAAAGTAGGAAGGAAAGAAAAAAAGAAGGGAAGGTGGAAAGGTGGGAGAGAGAGGAAAAGAAGACTGGGAAAGAGGGAGGAAGGGAGTAAGAATTTATTAAATGCCCAATTTGTACAGAAGATATTTTATTAGGAGGTTGAATATTAAATCATTTAATTCTCAAATCCTGATATTTTTATAGATTGGGAAACTTAAGCTCTGAGATATTAGCATAACAGTGATAAAGCCAGTATTGAGCCCTGGTTATCTTTCCACTTCACATGTCTAATACTATGCTTTGTATATAGTAAGTACTTAATACAAATGGAATGAAATTGAAAAAAAGTGTGTCTGTGGAATAAAGTGCTGCAAACAAGTATTCAATGTCAGTCACATTACCTAAACTAAGGCAAATAACTGTAGGTAAAAATGCATCTAAAAGATAAATGAAAGATCTGTTAAGAAATAGCCCTGAAAAATTACTGAGTTCTCAAACTGAATAGGAATGTTATAGGTACATTCTTAGGTATGTCTGAAGCTTTTGTGAGTGCCCAGAGAAGACCTATGTCTCTTCTGAGAAGCTGTTTTGTTTATGTTGTAGAAATACTGTGGCTGTTGTAACACATTTCCTTTTTGCCTGGTTACCAGGAAGCTCACAATCGAGTCTGTGGCCATCCTTTAGCAATTAGGTAAATATGTATGACAAGAATTTTTGTGCACTTCACTTATCTCAGCTTTACCCTACTTACCTTATTTTCCTATCCTTAATTTTTATTTCCCACAATCTCCTCTCTATTTAGTTTTTATGTTGTTTTACTGCACGTATCACTGCAAACCACCCAAAATTCTTTTTACATCAAGGCAACGTATAAACACAAATAGTACAACTGTACTGTTTTGCTCCTTAATTCAAACAGAACAAAGCCATTGGTCAATTCTAAACTTTTACTGTGTTTGATCAGTGAAAACTGTTATTAAGGTTAAGGTGAATACAATTAAAACACATAATGCAGGTGTATGTATTACATGATCTAGAATAGCATATATTCAAAGTATCACCTTGGTAATCTCAAAGACCCTTTTAGAGGGTCCACTAGATCAAAACTATTTCCATAATAACTCTAAGACATTGTTTGACTTATTCATTCTTATTCTCTCTTGAATGTACGATGGAGATTTCCAGAAACTACATGACAATGATACAATTTGGATGCAAAAGCAGATACCAGAATCAAGCAGTATTCTAATAAATCAGACATTAAAGAGATTCATGAAAATGTAAAGCAAAAACATTCTTCTATTTTTTTACTTTGAAAATATAGTTAATACTAAAAAATGGTATTTATATTACTACCTAATTGATTTGTTATTGTTATCTTAAATATTTTTTGATGTTTTAGTTTTAATATTTAATAAGACAAATATTGGTTGATAAGTCCCACATAAATCAAAACTCTTCAGGGTCTTTGATAATTTTTAAGAGTGTAAAAGGCCCCTGAGACCAAAAAAGTTGAGAACAGCTGGTCTGGAAGGATTAAGAGATTACATCTAGAAGAGATTAGATCTAGAAGGATTAAGGATTAGAAACTACCTGCCATAATGGGAGGTTAGGTCTATAAAATCCTCATAATTAGTAAGTTTGCTCCATACATAACAAAACCAACAACTCTTTCACAGAATGTATGCAACATTATTAACTGAATATATCGAATTTTAGCCATTTCATTGAGAGATACATTAACTAGATGTGGCCTTTTGACTAAAACATGTATAAATAAAACTCAAGGCTTTATATTTATTCCTACACCTACACCTATCCCTAGGAAGGATCTTGAACTTGTACACTTATATATAAATTCTCACCATTTTTTTCCTGTTTAAAGTACAGAGAAGAAAAGAGCCAAACAAGTTTGTTGTTGTTTTTTATGAGTTTGGCCTTTTAAGCTAGTAGCTAGGCAACCAATCAAGTAGTCCTGACAACAGAAAGAAAAAGAACTTAATGATTACATTCAGCCAGGAGCCTACATACAGAACTTCACAGTTGCCCAATGTTATTAGTTCAAATGTAAAATCCAACATTAATAAAACTTACCTTGCTTTTCTCTAATTTTATAGCACTTTTGATCTGTGTATGTTCTTTTAAAAAAACACTATCGCAAGTATAAATATAGCTATTCATTTCAAAGAAATATGTATGAAGCACATATATCTAGATAGACTTCTTTAGCTCATAATTTTAGCATTCACTTCATTAAATTGATGTTTGAAACTCAGATGTGTGTCTTGTTTTAGATTTTAAGTAAAATTGCGCTATCAATCTCACAGAGATGTAGGGAACAAATGAGATGATGGAAAGGAAATGCTGGAGTAAAGTGATCCCGAGCTGGTCTTAGTTTCTTCATCTGTGAAACAAGGACAGTAATACCGACATCCCTGAATTTGGAAAGGTTTAAGAGCGAATATATATGTAATAATATATTTGGAGCATAGAAAGCAGTATAAAAATATTCATTGTCGTGACATAAAGAAAGAGTAGTACACAAATGTTTTTTAAACAGTGACTACTGCTCTGCTTTGCAAATGAGAATTACAATTAGAATTTCTTCCCTTACTGCAAAAATCTCTAATGTGCCCTGCATTCTTCATAGTACAAGTTGTTGTCTTGAGAATAGGTTGACATAGAAAAGCAACACAAACATGTTAGTCAACTGCTCACAAAAATGACAATCCTGATTAATTAGGACTATATATGCCTTTGAAAACAACCAAACCTCACTAGTCTGTGAGCTATAGAAGGAGCTCATTCATTCCCAACACACTTTGCTAAATAATTTTCTCACAAGCCCCTTTCACTTACTGCTGTACAGCTATATTGATCCTCTGTCTAAATTTATCCTGTCATGCAATAATGAATACCTGAATCAATTGTATGAATAACAAGGAGCTATGGTAATTGACAATGCGAAGCAGAAGATGTCCAGTATGTTTTTCTTTTCCAATAAAAGGGGGCAGTATTACATCAGTGTAATACTGATGTACTATTCTGATATTTTTGAAACATATGGGTGAAATGCAAGAATCTACACTTTCAAAAAATGAACAATGGCTTCTTAAATAAATGGGAACAAGTTTACAATGTGCCCCAATGATTAGATATTGTTTTCCTATTTAATTCACTGAAAAATATCATTTGGGTATAAGAAATGTAAATAGCTATCAAGAATCAGGTCAAGCTTTTCTAAAAAAATTATAGATTAAAATTCTGCTTTTGTGGAAACATATTAAAGAATATATTAAATAAGTAGGAACAAAAGCTCCCTAGCACACTAACATAATCAAATTTGAGTATTATTATCAAGTTGGCTTTAGCCAGATCCTAGCAGGTAGCTAGTTTATACAAGTTACTCCAAAAATGAAAAAGAAATATGCATATCCTGACTTTGTAAGAAGCTGCCTGTTAGAATCTAACTAGCCTTTTTTTCTCTTTTAAGACATTTTGGATCCAAGGACCAATAGGTTGACTCATTCACTAGTGGAGAGTATCAAAGAAAGAAAAATTTAAAAACTAAACAACAGATTTGACAAGCTGCCTGCCATCTGAAAGTGAGAAAGAATGTGATATTAATTGAGCATCTTCTGAGCAAGCTATATGCTGTACATATGCTTTTCTTCAAAACATCCCTTCAAGAAAATGGTAATTATCTCCATTTTATAGAAATGATCATTGAGACTCAGAGAGGTTAAATAATTTACTTAAGTAACACAGTTAGAAAATAGCACAGGGAGAACTGAGACCCAGGATTAATCAACTCTAAAATCCATGTTCTTTGTAATCTACATGTAGTCTGTCTTTCTATGACTGCTGTTGGTCTAGCCACCTCTTTTGTTTCTTTGTCTATACCAGCACCATTCAATCCTCTATTTCCTGACTGGTAGCTTTCCAGCGCCAGCAGCAACGGACACCATGGCAGGAAAGAATACCCTACCCAGGTAGAAGGTGACAAGTATAGAGAAAGCAGGGAGCTAAATGCTTTTCTGCTTCGCTGTTTTTATTTATTACCTGCTTTATTTCATCAAAGCTTTGAGATTGCCAATGTAAAATGTAAGATATCATAGGAAATTAATAAATGAATCTGGTATTGTTCTATAAGTGGAAATACAATTAACTAGGAATCAGGAAAGCTGAGATTTAATTTCTGTCCTGCTACAAATACACTATGACTGTGGGTAAGTCCTTTTCTCTCTCTAGGTTTCAGTTTTCCCATATGCAAATTGAAGTGATTGAACTTGATCAAATGTAATGCTCCCTCCAATTCTTTTACTCTACAGTTTTAATTCTACCCATATACTTCAGAGGCAAGTAAAGTGTGATAATAGTGTCCACTGTAGCTCACTTTGACACCTGATGAGGTCAAGTATTTTTCTCAAGTGATTCCCAGATAAGGAAGTGAATAGCAGCTCAGGACACATGTGTACAGATGTGCAATCTGACTTTTCATGTGCAGTTGTGATCAGTAGGTAATCAGTCTACTGGCTCACATAACACCTACGCAGGAAAGCATTCCAACCAATGCTTTCACTGAGTCAGCATTCAAACATCAAGAAGGTCAGAGAGTTACAGAACATACTTTAACATCTACCCCTTCATTAAAAAGGCCCACCCTGCCTTGCATGTCTTCTTGCCAGATGCCCTTAGCTTAGCTCTGAGGAGACTTAGAAGCAGCCTAATTAAAATTCTGTTATGTATTGTCATGACTAAAATACTCTCTATCTTAGAGATGTCAAAACAACAAAATTTGGTAAGCAATTAGGCTATAGTATGATCTAATTGCACTGGTACTTAGACTGGGGTGAAGATGGCTGGTGTTCTTTGTGTGGAAAGCTACAACCCAGGGCGGTAACTTAGACATCTGCTGGCAGGACACTGACAATTCATGCACAGAAGCTATGTTGAAACGATGGAGCAGAATAGCTCATAAGGTGCCATTACAGTCTATTGTCCCTACAATGTATATATTTAACAGATCCTAAATACCCCGTGACACATCGACACAGTCGACAATGACTCCACTGGTGCCGTGCTGGCCAATCAAGTCAATAATGTTTCATTTTAAAGTGCCAAAATAGGGATTTACCCAATACAGTGAGACCCATCATGAGTAAACGTGTAATCATATGGACACATATATGATTCTATAAGTACTGTAAAGACATAAGCATCCCTATGCCTGTTAGTAAGTGTTGGCCCACATTTATGATATATACAAAGACTGTCTTGTACACATCTAATATTACTAAATGTAACAAGCTACAGTGGACACTGATGTGCAGCACAGATCCCCCCCTGCTTCAGGACTGGAAGATTTATTCCCTCAGCTGCTGGAAATGCTGTTGGTAGCTAGCCCTTGGCTGTCGGCCCTCTTCAGCATTGCCTTAGCTGGAGAGAGTCACCTCACTCAAGGTCATGTCCTCTTCCCATGGCGTCACTTATCCAATGACTGGTTGATGCAGGGGTACAAAAGCTCACACTCTCACCCCAACTTAGGACAATTCTGAATGGCCATGGCAGCCTGGAAGCTTCCTATGAGGTTGCTAGAGACCCTAGTTGAGACTGCACCAGAGTACAACCTCTCCCTCTGCACAGTCCTGGGTTTTTTTAAAAAATTAAAACTTGTTTATTTTTTAGAGATGGGGTCTCACTATGCTGTACAGGCTTTTGTCTTCTCCCTTCCCTTAGCAATTCTAAAAGCACTCCCTAATAAACCTGCATGCTGATCTTCATCTCATGACCTGTTTCCCAGGAAACCCAAATCTGTGCCACATTCCTCTGCAAAGAGTGTCCAAATGAGGGAGAGAAGAGGTATGCTTAATAAATTATAAGGTTTTATGTCAGCAACACCACAAAAAATTACCTACAACTGTATTATGAGCTACAAAGAACAAATTCATAAATCTAATGGATAGATCTTATATTTAAGGAAACAGATTATTCCAACGTGAATAACTTTGAAGAGAGTTAAACTGAATTTGTCATAATTCATTTTCCAGTTTAATTGCACATTATACATTAATATTTACCCTCTTTGGCTCAGAAGAAAATCTGATGCTCAGAAGAAAAAGTAGTGCCCCATGGAACCCCATAAAATTAAGACTGATATTTTGATTATAAGAAAGCCAAAGCTACCATCACAGGAATCCATTAGTGCTGTCCTTCATTTATTCTTCTGACTTGAACTAATCTAGCAAGCAATCATAGATACTGATTCTAGATACTAAACAAAGCCTACAAGAATCACAAAATATATGTGCAAAACAGTAACATTATGCAGGAGAGAGACCATGTTAAGGAGAGCTCATGAACACAACATCCCTAGTAATGAACTTTTCCCATGCCCCAAATTCAACCCCAGTAAGGTTGTCTACTGAGAAAACAGCTCCCTTCAACTTGGAAACCAGGGTTTTCTGGTTCCATTGAAACAATTTTGCAGCTTACCTTCTGGGACTCAGTTATATTCAGTGTGATATGTTTTAGGTCAAGTTCAAATTTATCTATCTATCTATCTGTCTATCTGTCTATCTATCTATCTATCTATCTATCATCTATGTATCTATCTTAACCTCATCTCTCATCCCTCTCCCGTGTGTTCCAAAGCAAAATAAAGTTTTATCCTTTTAAACTTCAGACTTTTCCCTCCCAAATGAATTTAAAAAGTCAATGAGAAATACTTAAAATTAATCTGTAGAATTTGAAGTTAATAGTGTCTAAGTTTGAACTTCAACAGATAATACAAATTCAACAATATAGGGTACTATGGAGATAATTTTTGTGTCCCCTCAGAATCCCTTATCTTGAATCCCCAATCTGCAATGTGATGGTCACTGGAGGTGGGTCTTTGGGAGGTAATTAGGTTTAGATGAGGTTATGAGGGTAGAGCCCCCATGATCAGATTAGTACCCTTCTATCAGATAATCAGAATTTTTCACAGTCTACTAATAGCCTCTCAACCAGTCTCCCTGTTTCCATTCTTAACCTCCAATATAGTCCAATCTTCCACAGTAGGCAGAATGATCCTTTTATATGTAAATCAGATCATGTCAATGTCCTGGACAAAATCAGTCTAGGGATTCCCATCACACTCAGAATAAAATGAAAAGCCTTTCCAGGGTGTACCAGGTAATAATAAGCTCTGCCCAGCCTATCACTTTTACTTTATGATCCCCGGCTGTGTCGTCTCTTGTGCCATTCCTGCCACACTGGCCTCCTTGGTGCTGGTCTAATCCTCCAAGGGCCTGCATGTTCATCATTCCTAGTGCCTAGAATGCCCCTGCTCCTGCCTTTCATATGGCCTGGACTGTTGCTTCATTCAGATGTCAATGTCACTTCCTCAGAGAGTCCTTACCACTTCATCTAACATGCCAGCCCTATAACACCCTATTCCTTTAACTTGCTTCTATTTTTTCTCACGGCATTTATTGACTTCCTGCCATTACATTTTCTATTTAATTGTTTATTTCTTCATTGTCTGTGTTCTCCTATTAGAATATAAGCTCTAGGAAAGCAGGTGTCTTTGTCAGATTTGCTCACTGCTGTATCTCCAGCGCCTAGAACAGAGTCCATCATAGAATAAACAATAAATAATTTGCTGGATCAAAAACCAAATGAATGCAATTTGCAAATTGCTTTGTTTTGCTTCATTTTTTTGTCCTGGTTGACAGGAAGTTTAGTATTACATTTAATGGTGAGTCATGGTAACATATTAGTCTTCATTGTAAACACATATGTGTCTTCCTTTTTTAATATTCTGGTACTCTACTTTTATTCTAATAACATCATACATCTCCTTTATTTTAAGATACATCTATTTCAGAATGTGACAGAAAAACACCAATAGGCAGGTAGGTTGGGAGGCAACTTACACTGGGTGGGAAAGGGCGTATTTGTTAATCAACAATAATGCTTACAGATGCTACATGACAGATTTCAGTAAAGTACAAGACAGCCCTCAAGCTGGAAGCCCAAATCTATGGCTGCAGGTTGATACCTGGGAGCCTGGAAAGAACCAGATGAGAGTGAGCCAATAAGTCTAGCAGATCCAGTGACACAAGGAAGCAGTTTTACCTTTTCATTCCTGCAGCTGTTCAGCCCCATATTATTTATGGAGGACAGTTTCCCGTCAACACCATGTGGCTGTTGCTGCTGTTGCTCCCGCTGGATCTGCTCTCGCATCTTCCGCGCCTCCTGAATGGCTTTCATCACTGTATCCTGATCCCCAAAAAGGGCAGGGGAGTTGAGACTAGATAGGATATCTGCATACACAGGATGCATTATTAGATGCTTGTGAGGTCAGACTCCTAAAAAGTACTACTACTATCCCCTCCCCTGTAGAAAGCTGCATTCTCTGAACAAGGAAGGGGTGCACATTTGCTATTTTTTAAACTATACGCTAATATACATAGAACACAGAGCCAGGGCAACCAAGCTGTGCTGGGTTCTTTTAGCCCTTGGAGAAAACCCCAGCACTCCAGCCTACCTGGATTCTGTCTACTCACCTCCTCACAGACTACAGTTCCTAGACTCCAATTGTATACATATTGGGGGAAGGTATTTGCTCTGCCTGTATGTACAACTGGTGCACAATGTTGCCTCTTCTGTGGGGAAATTATGGGGAGGAAGGGGTTGAGGAGTGGGCAGGAGGCAGAGATGTTTGTCCAGGCTACCCATTATAGTTGCTGTGATAATACAACACAGTCATTTCTGGCCCGCAGAAAAAATAAAAAAATCTGTGAGGCCACATGTGTACTTTAGTGATATCTGTATCTGTGTGTTCATATGTCCACTGCAGGAAAGAGGGGGCGGAAGGAATTCACCGTACTCTCCAGTACCCCAGTTGCTGGCTGGTTAATGAAGCATTCTTCTCATCAAGCTGCCTCAGTTATTTACCAAGAGAATGACAACCCATTCCCCACCCCCAGCTCGAACACCCACTGTGATCAGCTCCCTCACTTCATGACAATGAGGCGATATGTGTGGGACTGGTTTTCGCATAACTACAAAGCTTCAAAAAAAAAGTGAGAATAAATATTTACTTCCAGTGTATTTCAAGCAACACAGAAGGAAAATCTTCAATATTAAACTGACTTATTTCCAACGATATCTTGCATTTTACTGTGGGTAAAATGAATACTTTGAATAAGATTTTCCAATTTTAGACAAAAAGAGGGCAATTTTTTGATGATAGGTTTCATCTGCTGTGACAAATGTTAGTGTGATCCACTTGCTTGAGGGCTCGTATAATCATTTCATAGCGTGTGTGTGTGTGTGTGTGTGTGTGTGTGTGTGTATGTGTGTGTATACACCTCACATAGGCAGGACAGAAGAAATGAGTGTAGAATCAAGCTCATACTGGATGTCTGATGTGTACAATGCATGTGCATATGCATTTGAGTTTGGAAAAAATTCCCAAGCTATACATGGAATTTTTTTTTTAAGTTAGTCACTTTTTGGTCCCACAGCTTTTATTTTGGAGCTTTTCTGGTAAAAAGGACATCTCTATCCAATATCACCTGGACGAGAGTGCTGTTCAAACACAGGTGCTATTACTTCAGCCCATTTCTAGCTCATGATCTAAGAAATATGCTCTGCTGAGTAGAGTTCCATAAAAGCAGGGCCTGTGACTCAGTCATCTCTGTCCCTCATGATACTCAGGACAGCAAACAAATGCTTTCCAAACAATTTCAGAGTGAATTCTAGGAGGGCTATTTCAAGGTCAACTCTATAATTTATCTCCTTGTTGGCTTTCTTCCCTCATCTCACAACTTCCAAAAATCCGGCCAAGGGGCATTCATATTCACATGCTGGAAATGATTTAATTCTATCTTCTATATGGATATCACTAACTTGGCATGAAAACTTTCAGGTCCCAAAAAGACATCCTTACTCAAAATGAGAATATGCTCCTGTAGAGATCCAATATTCCAAAATTCATTGAGGAAGATTAACATCTCACTATCAGAAGATTCACTTAGACTCAGCACAATTTAGCAAATATTCTAACTGTGAGTTTACAAAAAGAACACTTGAGTAACATGTGAGAGGACCTAGATTCTAGTCCTGTTTCTGCTAATTAACAGCTGCAGGAGTGTGGGCAACTCATTCTACCTGTAAAAACCACAATGTATGTATTTGTACAATAAGCATAATAATATACTATCTAACTCATAAGATTATTGTGAAACATCAAATCAGATAAAGTAGGCAAGAATGTTTTTTAAGCTGTTAATGGCTATTCTTATACATTATTTTATCTATTGAAATAAGCATTTTAGACTTCAGGACTCAATAATACAAGGAAGGTAATCTGAAGAAATGCTAGGTCTTGTCCCTTTAATCTTTAAATCTGTGTCTGTTTGGAAATTAAGTCTCTTAATTTCCAAAGAGTATAACAAATTAAGAGACTTAATTTCCAAACAAAGAGTATAGTAACAATAATGTTAATGCTTATTCGGCACTGTCTTACTGACAACTGCTTTCACATTTATTGTTTCATCCCACTTATATATGTACATGTATTGATAATCATTCATTCTAGTCATTTTAAATTGAATGCCTTCTAGGTTCTAAACTGCACTAGGCATTTAATATGCATTTTTCTGTTTTAATCCTCATAATAACCTATGAGCTAGTAATACTAGGAAACTGAACTTGAAAATATTAAATAACTTTCTTGGGGTCACATAGCTAGAAAATGAAGGCTCTCTGTCCAAGCCTGCCTCATTCCAAAACCCATGTTTTTTCCTCCATACTTTTCACATAGGGCTATGAATATTCCTAGAGATACTTGGCCATATATGGGGGAGTATAAGGAGCCAGACATTATGACATCTTTTCCTACATATCAATAGTATTTCATATATGTTCTTGAAGTGTGTCATTCACATTTGTTTTAATGCAAAAGTCATATGGGATAAGATGTAAAATTCACATACACTTTGATAGAAGATAAAAATTTCAAATAAATTTTGGTCTTTTGAAAGGTTGCTTTGAAGCCAGGTCCTATGTCCCTGAAAAATTATCTCAGTGTCAAAGCACTGACCATATATAGAAGTTCCTAAGTCTATGATTTGCTGGATCGAACTCATTATCATCTAAAGAATCCATCCCAGCAGGATTTATATTATGACCTTTTCCAAAAGTTCTAATAAAAGAAGATACTAAATTGGGTTATGTTTCAGTAGAAAAGATAAGAGTATTATCTTTTACTAAGGAGCACTTTGGAAACAAGTATCAGTCGTAACTAAACAGGTTTGCTTTCTTTTACCTAATTCGTAAGTCTCTTCCTGGTGTTGACTTTTCCATTTACCTAAAGAGGATCCTCTTCCCAGGCTTCCTCCAATGGGGCTAGGGATGCTGCTTTTGTTTGGCAGATTGACAGGGCTGGTTTTGCTGGCTGGGAAGAGGTTCTGGGTGGGAGACGTTGGGGACTTTACAGGCTCTGCTGTCTTGGGTCGGGATGAGAGATTCAGAGGCTGTGCTGCTGCTTCATCCTACAAGAGTTTAACGTAAATAATTATTTTTACAAAAGACAAATGAAGCACATTATCACTTAGTAAGCCACAGTTATTTTACACCTCAGAGACAATGCCACATTCTCCTACAATAATAACAAAAGAAGCTAATTATCTACCTCCTTGAAGATTCATCGGAAGGAAACCTCATTAATATCCCTGTGTTATGCTTCTATTTACATTAACTGTGTAGTTGGATCATTCTTTTTGCCAAATTAAAATCTGAATTAGCTCACATTACAGCTTAATTTCCTAATGTGTTTTCAGGGATCTAAATTAACCTAGGGCATTTACAAAGAATTATTTAAAATTTCAGCAGCTCTGTAGTGCTTTTGTGTTACTCTCTCTGAAAAGTTCTTGTAGCTATAAATAGTCTCTGCAGCTAATTTCTTAATATATATTTTAAATCAAACAATTGCAAGCACTTTAAAAATGGAAACATGGAAAGCCTTTTTCTGATGTACTAGGCCCCTGCCCAGGGAGCCACATGCCACAGCATGGCTTCTATGTGGCTTTCTGGGTGTGGGCACTCTTCATGGTCTATATTCTGGTCTCTATTCATGTTTAAAATTAATTTTTGCAAAGACCAAGGATAGATTATAATTATGTTACACATACTATGCTATATGCAATTTATTTTTCATGTTTAAAGTGATGTTTCTTTATATGCTTTTCTACATATATTTACAGAATGTCTATTTTAAGATACATGTCCTTCTTCACTGAGACAGTATTCAAATATCTGGCTTGTAACTGTAGTTCATCCAGGATCTTGAAAGCTAAGCTCCTTCCTTTATTTTGTCTCATTTATCCTGCCATAAAATACTTGAAATAACACTTTCATCATCCTAGAAATTTAGTTATAATATGACCATATTTATTTAAATGTTCAGTTTTAAGATCTGCATTATTGTGTTCTAAAATAAAATTGTCGGCAAATGTTAACTCCCACTTTGCTTTTAAGAAGGCAAAGAGAACTAGCTTTTAATGCCGTTGTTTAAAAGACCCAATAGAGTTTGGTAACAGAACATTTTCCCCCTTAGTAACCATGTGACCTTGCTGGGGCTCAATTTCTTCATCTGTGAAAAGAGGGTCTGATACTAGATGATCTCTAAGGTCTCTTCCAGTACTAATATCATTGATTAAGGGGGAACAGAAAGAGAGGCCAGAAAATACTACTTGAGAAGGAGGATTAGAAAGAGAAAATAAAAACAGCATGCGCAAAGAAGCAATTATATACCAAGCACATACTAAGCATTTTCATATACTAGTTCATTTAACCGTCAATGACTATGAGCCTGGCCAGTATTATTCTAAATTTACAAATAGGAAAATGGAGGTCAGAATGACAAAATCGCTTGTCTAAGGCCATATAACGGGGGAAAGAATTTAAATTCTAATTTATTGGACTCCAAATTTCAGGCCCCTTTTCTACTGAACTACCAGAGAAAATAAGTCTATTGTTTGATAATATAGTGATGCCACAGATTTTTTTGTGTGTGTTCATAGGGAAAAGGCAATTTGTCACATACGTTGCAATGTACGTTTATGTATATTTATACATAGGACAGGTTCTCAAGCAACATGGTTACATCCATTATGAATGTCAAAATTATCTTATGTAGTTAATTTCAATTTACTTCCCTTTGCTCTTTATTCAAAGGATGTTTGAACTAGTTTGTTCCTTTACTCACATCTAAATAATAGGGATTTATATGCTAGGTGTTTACTTAATTTTCTCCATGTTTCTTTTATTTGGGGCTCACTGAGCTTCTAAAAAATCTAAATTTAAAGTTTTGATCAAATTTGGAACATTTTCAGTAATTACTTCTTCAAATACAATTTTCTCTTTCTTCCTTTTCTTTCTGGGCCTCTAATTGCATACATTAGTCTATTCGATGTTGCCCCACAGTACTGACCAGTCTTTTTTCTATGCCTTTCATTTTGGATAGTTTTATTGTTATGTCTTCAAGTTCACTAATCTTTTCTTCTGAAATGTCTAAGCTGTTGCTAAACCCATCTAGTATATATATATTTTTAATCTCAAACACTGTATTGTTCATCTGTAGACATTTGATTTAGGTTTTTCATGTCTTGCTTTATCATGCTCACGTTTTCCTCTATCTTCTTGAACATATGGAGTTTATTACATCTTTTTTAACTTTGAAATACTCTAATTTTTTACTTAGTTTTATAATTCAGTAATTGCCACTTTAACCAATAATACCACTGGGCATGGCTATCACCTACCAACTCCCAATTAAGTGAATCCCTTTCCACCATGGCAGAACTCTTGGTCCTCACAGCCTGCCCTGGCCTGACAACTTTGTGCTAACCAAACCTGGTAGAAGGGGAAATAACAATAGCCCTAGGCCAGAATGTCACAGACCCCCACTATTCTTACATATAAGAGGCATAAATATTTTCTCAGATTGTATATAACTTTGGTCATTTTTAAGAATGCCAAAATGACTGTTTTTGTCAGTTTTGTCCAGCTTTATAGGTGATTTTTTAGGAAGGCAGATGCTTATCTCATTTGGCTCTAGTTGCAAGTCTCTTATAATAGTTGTTTTTACTTTCTTATCTACTAATTCTATCATCTGTGTCATTTTGGGGTCTATTTCTATTGATTGATTTTTCTCATTATTCATATATTTTGCTGCTTTGCAAGCCTGATATTTATTGAATGGATGCTACACATTGTAAATTTTACCTTCTGGAGTGACGAAGTTTCTGTATTTCTTTAAATATTTGAAAACTTTATTCTGAGACACAGAACAATTTGATCCTTTTCTAGACTTACTTCTAAGCATTTTTAGGCAAGGTCAGAACAGCCACTAAGTAGGGGTAATTTTTCCCCAGTACTGAGGTTATACCCTTCTGGGGAATCTACTTGATGCCCATGTGTCAGGAGGTCTTTCCACTCTGGCTATTTCTGGTCCTTTGTGAATCTTGCAGCTGTTTTGTTTGCTACATTCTGGTGTTTCCCCTTACCTCAGGTTGTTTCTCACATGCATGTGCTGATCAGTACTCAGCTAAATGCTCAGGGGCAGCCTTTTGCAGATCTTCAGCATTCGTTCTCCATGCAGCTTGCTCCTCTCTGGTACCCTGTCTCACAAATTCCATCTGCATTAGCATCCCTAAACTCTGAACTCTGTCTCTCTACTCAGGGAGCCTATGAAGCTTCCTGCATAGTTGCCTGGAAACTTCCTTCCAATAGTGAGCTGCAAAAATTGTAGTGCCTGCCTCACTTGTTTCTCTTCTCATAGGAATCACTGTCCTGTACTACTATTGTAAATGTCTGAAAACCATTGTTTTATACAATTTTGTCCTGAGTTTTAGTTGTTTAAGCTGGAAGAGTAAATCTGTTTTTGTTCCTTCATCATAGTTGACAATGGAAATCCTCTAGGTGTTTATTTAGGATCTCTCCCTGTGTACAACTAGATATTTCAATCACAACCACTAAAACCACCACACCATCTTCTTTATTATCATAATGACCAGCAGCAGCATCACTACCATCACTAACATTTATAGAATACTCACTATAATACTAGAGGGTGTATTTAAGACCTATAATAATATTAACTCCAGTTTTTTTCAGAGGAGAAAACTAAAGTAGAAAGACACTAAGTGGCTTGGCCAAGGTGATATAGCTAGTAAAAGTGGTAGAACCAGTATTTTAACAGAAACATTCTGACTTCTGATGTTGACAGTTATAGTAGACAAAAGTTTTAGGGGGAAAAGGTACATCAGATCATCTATATTTATTTTTGATACTTTCAGCAAATGTTGCCTATATTCTGTCTGAATTTAATATAAGTAGTCATGTTATATACAGAGAAAAAGCAATGACTATAAAGAGAAACGTGAGAGATTTTGGTAACCACAGTTCTTTAAATTAGCAAACTTTAAGATTATTTTCAGAACATCTTCAGTAATATGAATTATATTTTAAATTTAAAATGTTTGCTTTATGTTTTGGTCTATATATTTTTACCCATATATACAATAAAAAATCTAATAAGTAAAAGAAATATTTCCTTTGTTATTAACATAGAATATGGTCAAGTCAAATTACCCAGAGAGATCTCTAAGAATTTGCATGTGGTCAAGTGAGTAATAAAATTCAGCTGGCTCACAAAGATGGAATAGTAAAAGCAGATATAAACTTGAATTTAACCAAGGAACATTTTACTCATCCAGTAAAGACTTGGTTTGGTGCAGTTCCAGTTGGTCAACTTACTTATAAAATGACTTATTTATGTTAAAATATTTAATACTCAATAGCTCAAGTCACTGATGTTTGATATACTCATACTTTAACAACTACGAGTAAGCAAAGTGTCTTTGAGTTGGAGTGTTCTCTTATTCATAAACACAAACTCTGGGAACATAAAATAGTCTGTTTCCATAAGTGATTCTGTCTTATTAAATGTAAACTTCCTATTGTCATATCTCAATATTTCTAACAGCAGAACATAAATGTTCTCCTATTTCTTTGGAGAATCTAAAAGAATAGGTGGCATTAAATTAATTCCTTTGGCTGGAACATAGACTACTTCTCTTAGTGATTTTCACTTTTTTAGATCTTTGGTATTTGGGATGCACTTTTTTAAAAGACTTCCTGGAATCTCAAAATTCCCATATGCAAATTTTAGAAAACAAAACAATTTCAGTGATTATATAGCATCCAATGATTAATTTGGTTGGTCTCAGCTGTTTCCCTTGTGAAGATTTAATAATTGCAAAATTTCTCCAAATGCAGTACTTTAATCACATTACAATAAAGCATTTGTACTTAGCATACTCCTCCAAGTAGATAAGTCAATTATACAAAACAATTGTTCCTCTGTTTGAATTTGATAATTCAATATAGAAAGCAACTGCAATCATAAAACCAACAAGTACCACCTATAGGTACCAGCTGCAGCACAAAATTGCAGTGGCTCATCAATTTCCCTCTCACCAAGTACCTCCTGGCTGCCCAGTTTCAAGACGCTGAAAATTAGTGAGAGAAGACATCTATTAATGTCCCAGACATAACTTGGGAAAGCCTGTTTATCCTATCACAACTATATGGCATCAAAAGCGTTATTAGGCAATGACAACTCATTCCTTAAAGCCCACATTTTTTTTTCATGAATCAAAGAGCATTTATTAAGGATACAGTATGGATCAGGTATCATGTTAAGACTTTTCATATTTATGATTTTATTTATTTGTCCCATTGCCCTCATTGTAAGGACAGTCCTCTTTATTTTATTTTATTTATTTATTTTTTTAAGTATACTTTAAGTCCACATTTATAACTAGTTTTGAATGAGAGATCTTCATCAACGAACCATACAGAGTCCGACATCAAATTCTATTTTGCACTTCTTTTTAAATCTAATGTTTCAATATCCCAATTCTCTGGTCCTATAAGTTAACTCCCTGCCTGTTTAAGACACATGAAGAGAAATGCCACAAGTCCATGACAAAGACTGGCAATAAAGTCATGGCAATTCATGCCAATGATCATTAAAAAATAAAAGCCAGAATCCAAAGGGGGAAAACTCTCGAGAAGTGAGTTTGCAGATTGAGGTAAAGATCTCACAATACGGCACTATTGTTATCAAAACACCTGTTTCTCAATGCTCAATTATGAAATTTACCATAAAGAGGGACATTTTGGGGTTGCTTTATGTTGCTATGTTTCCTGCTGTTTATGCCCAACATAGCCTGCTTCACTATCTTTCTTGTGAAACTTTTTTCTAAACTGTTTCCACAATGCTGCAAGGCGAGTGTACCTTAACTTGAGTTACAGGGCTGGTCCCTCTCTTTTCATTTTTTATCCCAGTAGGTGAGACCGTCCCTGCTGTGTTTGGTGGCTGTGGAGTTGATGGCATCTTTGCTCCAGGTGACACCTGCATGCTGGCCAGCTGAGCGGCATAGAGCTGCTGCAAAACAGGGAAGACAAACATTGATCTCTTTAAATGCAGCTGAAATTGAGTTTCAAAAGAAAAAACTTACCATATTGTTAGATTTCTCAGACAGCCTTGTAATTTCTTTTTCACTATTTTTAAAAAAGGAAGCTAAGAGAAGGCAAATAATAAAACAGAAAGAAAAAGGACAGGTATGGGAGCCATAGTTCTGTTTCTGGTCCTTCTAGCAACAACTTTATGATCCTGGACAAAGGATTTGATCTCTTTAGAATTCAGGTTTTTTTTTTTAATTGTACAAAAAGGAATTCAACTAAGTAGCCTCTAAGATGCTTTTTAATGCCTAAAATCTTTATTAAAAGTTATTTAAATGTCTGGGATGTCCACTTGTTTAATATTAATATTCATGAATTAAGAAACTAACCTGAACATTTCTAAGGATTCTTGGAAGAACTGTATCATTCTTATTTAGCTCTGACTCTGCATCTCTGGGTATTCTGATCCTTCTGAATAATGAGTGCTGTTCCCAAGGCCACTAAGGCCTAGTGGCAGTCATTGTTTACCCAGGGTCTTATTTCTAGGCAGCGTATAACATAATCCTCAAGAGAATATGGCCAGATTGGTAGCAGTTTTGTTGTTTTTTAAGTCAAGCTTCTCTGAACCCAAACCAGGTAACAAAGTGCTTCCTTCATGCTTCCAAACAGATCACCACACTTCTCTCTTCAGGTCCTGCCTTTGCCTGGGATTCCACATTTATCTTCGTCATATTCTCATTGCTGTTTCAAGGCCTTTTCTGAAGTATTTTCTATAGTTCTCTTTGGCAAACCAATGATCTTATTACTCATTCTATTTACTCAGCTTAAAATGGTTCCTCTTCTCTGAGACATGATAAGCAGACAATCTGACATTACAAATCTTTAAATTATCAACCTCAAAATATGTTGATTTCACTAAATTAAAGCCAAAGATTGAAAGACAGGTGGGCTAACCTCTTTTCATATAATTTTCATTTTTATCAAAGTCATTCTTGTATACAGCTTTACAAGATAAATAGTACTTGAAGGTTTTAAAAAACAAAAAACCAAAACAACAACAACAAAAAGAGCATGACCAAAATGTACAGTGCACAGTCTCCACAGCTTGCAGGATGACCTTCATTTTCCTACCCTGGTCCTCCTTATCTCACCCCCTGTTCTGTGGAGACCATTCCCTTCAATTCATTTAATGGTTTAACTTGTATTTATATCCTTATTTGTAAATCATTCTAAATGTTATATCATTATCTACAGTATAAAGGAAAATGAAAGTTTCACTTTCCTACATTGAACCCCACATGTGCTCCCATGCTTCTCTCTCCAATCTCTTAATGTTAATGTCACAAATTTTAAAATTAGTGTTTACTGTTTTATATTATTTTATGAAGATAATAGCTATGTAGTAAACTATACTTAATTTTATTTCTCAACTTTTTATTTTGTTAGATTTAAGATTTGCCTCATATTTTGTTTTCATAATTTTTATGTAACTATCACTAATTCTCAAACTCTGCATGAAATCAGTAAAACTCTACCCAACGTAATTGAATATATCAGGTAATCTCTGAATCCTGGTTTCTCCCTTGGAGACATCCTTTCTGGAATTCTCAATCTTCTTGCTCCAAATCTGAACTAATTTATTCCTCAGGCCTACCTACTGCAGATCTATGGCACTTGTAATTCCTTTTGCCTCTCTTGTACTGGTGTCCTTGTTTCCCGAGTATCATGTTTTCTTCCCTTTTAGTTAACTGTCTCATTTTGGTACAAGAGCTTCCTGAGAAAGGTGAATGTGAGATTAATTATTTAGGAACTAATATTCTTCTCACTTAGTTGTAGTTTGACTGGTATAGAATTCTAAGTTGAAAATAATTCTGCCTCAGAATTCCAAAGATATTGATATGTTGCCTTCCTATTCTTGTTATTAAGGAAGCCTGACACTATTTTGCTTCCTGATACATACATTCCTTTGTATGTAATCTATTTCCTTCTCTAAAAGCATCAGGATCTTCCCTTTCCACTGAATGTTCTGAAATTTCACTATTATGTCCTTCTGTTGACTTTTACATTCATTGTTCAGTCTTTTCGATCCAAACTCATGTCTTTGTATTCTAGGAAACTTTTTTGATGTTTTTCATTGATAATTTTCTCTCCTCTGTATTCATATTTGATAAATATTAGATTTCCTTATTAACCCTCTATTTTTCTTATTTTTTCTTTTTATTTGCTAATCTTTGACATTTTGTTATACTCTATGACAGAGTTTTTGCAACTTCATCTTCCAAAACTTCTCTGAATGTTTTAAAGTTTCTACCATTATATTTTTAAAGATACTCTTATTCTCTGATTGCTTCTTTTTATAGCATCCTGTTCTCTATTCTGTTTGACAATATTAATTATAGATTTGGGTTTGTTTTTAATGTTTTCTGTTCTCTGCATTGTTACCACTCTTTTCTTCCAAGGTCTTTGAACTCTTTCATATTAGGGGCTTTTCTAAAGTGTCTGGTATTCATTGGCTGTTTGTTCATATATAACAGCAACGTTCTAAAAAGCTGACTGGAAGGTCTAAGTATGGGGTAGACTTATTGATTTATGGGCTTCAGCATAAGGTAATGATGCAGAAAGTCTGCTTTTTCATTGGGAAATCACAAATATCAATATCTACAGGTCATTTATCTTAGACTAGACCATTTTCTTGGAGAGATGTCTTCAAATTCTTGCCTTGATTTGTGTATAGACTTGTATGCCATCATTACATGAGCCAAGCAAGAGAAGGCAGGAGAAGAATCTCATAGTCTGGTCTATCCTGCAGATTTCCTGATTTTCACCATGGCACATCACTCATTCTCAGCTATGCCTGGTGTCCCAAGACATAAACCTCTCAAGTTCTACTTTTCAAGAGAATAAATCTCCAGTGACTTCTGTGAGGTTATGTGCTCATGGGGCTGGAAGGGAGGAGGCAGGGATGGTAGTTACCAGGTTGCATGACATTAGGGAGGGATCATCTTATGTCTATTTTCAACCAGTCATCCTGTCTACAGTTCCACCTTTTACAACTGTTCCTTTAATGATACATGATGCCTTCAATTCCTAAGCATTTTAGAGGTTCAGCTCCCAACTGGGCTTGATTCTTTTTGGCTTTACACTCCTAAAGCTTAGGTATCAGCTTTCTCTTTTTTACTAAGACAGTTATAACTCATCTATCCACTTCTCATATTCCAAATTTTTTGTCTTCTCTTTCCATTTCTACTTGAAGGTTTACACCTATAATCCTTAACCATCAATTTACTAGGATTTGGGTAAAACTGGCAATAAATGAAAATGTTAATCTGCTGTGGTTAACCAGAAGTCAGATACTCCAATCTTAACACTGTTTAATGCTTGAAAACTTCATTCAAATATTTTCTTTTCTTCTTATAATCAAAGTTAAGCCACTACCTTGATGGTCACATTTCTATCATAATAAATAGAAAGCTTCCTAGATCATCAACCACGGAGAAAATAGCTCAAACTTTGCCATATGAGTAGGGGAGAAAAAACAGGTGGTTTGAATGTAATTTCCAGCATTTCTATCATTCAGATGGACAAATAAAAAAAATTACAGTAATCAAAAACAGACCTTTCAGCACATGTAATTAAATGAAAGCTTAATAAAGAATAATTTGCAAGAGCCAGATGTGCTTATGTCATGATTGTTGCTTTCTTTGGAACAATTTTTCTAATATAACAAGCCTCTAAAGAAATTAAAGTTTCATAATTCTGTATGTAATGACTCAGTGGCAAGAAAAATTCACAAGCAGAGTCAGTCACAAGCAGAGTCAGTGCTTTGCTAGCACTTAGGCAAAATGAGGGGGGCATCTTTTTGGTTTCTCTTTTACTCTGTTGTATCATCTTCCTTTGAAATTCAGCCAGATGTCTTCAAAATGGGGACAGGTCAAGCTTCTGAAAATGTCTGCTTGGATTAAGGCAGTGAAAAAAAGTTCTATACTGAATGGAGTCAAGATGGTTACGAGATGAAACATGTTGACTATATAGTCCTGTAGCTGGTATCATAACCAATATATCCTACTATGAGTATTAAAGAGTCAGGAAATCTTAGAGATGCTAACAGTCCTTGGTTATCATTTATGCTTTTTACCTCAATCATTAAAAAGATCAAATAAATGTCAATTTTACTCAATCTTGAGTCCTTTGGGAAACTTGAACTAGTGAAAAATGCAGAAAAACATATTTTTGGAAATACATCTATTTTTTTTTAAAAAAGTTGACTATGAATCCTTCAAATTGAGTGAATAATACAATTACTTTTCAGGAAAAGAGTAGTGTTAATTGCTTCTTTTAAAGCTCTGATAATCATTTATTTTACAGCCCTTTGAAGTGGGTTGTACCTAAGGAAGGCAAGACCACATAAACTCTGAGATTCCATAGAGCTGGTTCTTGTGAGTTGTGATTACTGATACATTAGAGAAAGGAAGAGGTACAGCCACATTCCATAATCCTTTTCAAAGCTGAGTAAACTGGACAGTAGGATATCAGGTAAGATTTAGTAGAATGGGCCTTGAAATAGAAATCAGAAAATTGAGTCCAGTGAAAAGATAGAAGGTATTCACAAAAATTAAAATATCCATATTCTGTCTAACAAAACATATGATTTTAGTATAAATATCATTCTATTCAGATTGAAGATTTTAAGTTTGTCTTGGATAATATGAATGTCATTAAATGAATAGGTATAAGCTTACAAAATAATTTCGCAGCTCACCCTCTAAACTAACATCAGTTGAATTTGTTCCATGTGTAAGACTCTGTGTTAGGAGCTGAGGAGAATTCAAAGCACATAGCTCTAAAGGAGATATAAAATATAAATCCTTAACACTTGATCTGCACTTTTCTTGTGGTGTTTATCAGTATTTTAAACTTCATGTGTAATTATGCACATGTATCTTATCTTGCTTGATACACTGTAAGCTCACTGAAGATATGATCTAATTATTTTTGAATGCTTAGCACCAATAATGGTGCCTTGCAAATAACAGATACCCAATCAATAGTTTCTGATTTAACATACTATACAAAATCATTGCATATTAGGAAGGAAAGACAGCATCTATAAATGAGGCAACACAAGTGGTACATCATTATATTTATTATATATGTGACAAACAATTTTATGATATTAAGGTTAAAAAATAAAAGGCAAAAAAATTTAGTCAAGTTTAATCACACTGTTTCACAGGAAATTATTCTTTTGAAGTAGTTTGCTAAAATTTTGACTAGACAGCTGCTCAGTAACTGTTAGCTTCACTGAACAGTAGTAGCATTTCTAGACACCTAAAAAAATCTAGCTGAAAACCAAAGAAAGAAGGCAATCCCAGTTACAATAGCTACAAAAAAAAAAAAACAGGAATATATTTAAACAAAGAGGTGAAAAATCTGTACAAGGAAAACTATAGAACACTGATGAAAAAAATTGTAGATGACATAAACAAATGGAAAAACATCCAATGGTCATGGATTAGAAGAACCGGTATTGTTAAAATGACCATACTGCCCCCAAAGAATTTAGAGATTCAATTCAATCTCTATAAAAATACCAATGTCATTTTTAATCAAATTAGAAAAAACAATCCTAAAATTCATATGCAACCAAAAAAGAGCCCCAAGAGTCAAGGCAATCCTAAGCAAAAAGAACAAAGCTGGAGGCATCATATTACCTGACTTCAAATTACACTACAAACCTATAGTAATCAAAACAGTATGGTACTTGTGTAAAAATAGACACGTAGATCAATGGAACAGAATAGAGAACTCAGAAATAAAGCCACATACCTAGAGCCAGCTGATCTTTGACAAAATTGATAAGAACATGTATTGGCAAAAGGACATTCTTTTCAATAAATGGTGCTGGGAAAATTGGATTGCATATGCAGGAGAATGAGACTGAATGCCTATCTCTCCCCATATACAAAAATCAACTCAAGATGGATTAAAGACATAAATGTAAGACTGAAACTATTAAAATACCAGAAGAAGACTTAAGAAAACTCTTCTGGGCATTGGTTTAGGCAAAGAATTCATAACTAAAACCTCAAACACAAAAGAAACAAAAACAAAAATAGACAAATGAGACTACGTTAAACTAAAAAGCTTCTGCACAGCAAAATAATCAATCAACAGAATGAACAGACAATCTGCAGAAGGGGAGAATACTTTTGCAAATGGCCTTAAAATTTTCTAATACAAATTATACTGTTTGAGCCATAACTAATGAGTAGTAACATTTTTTCTTCTCAGTCTAGTTATTAACACAGATAGTCTAGTTAATAACAGTGTAGTTATTAACAGTCTAGTTAATAACAAAAAAAAACTATTTATTCTAACCAAATAGCTTTAGTTAGAAAATTTCTTTGCAGACTAATGGTTTAGGAACAGAAAAGGTTAAATTCTGATTAACTATTACATAAGGGTCTACAAAAATGTCATTCCACATATAATTCTCAGATCATAGTTCACAGTCATAATGATTATAATAATGAATATTCATTTCTAAACATAGTTGAGGTTTAAAAATCAACAATATAGTAAAGCTTATGACAGGCTTAGCCAAAGTCCCATAAACATTTAAACTTAGGTGAAGACTGTTTCAGCCTAAATATAGAATGTTTTTCCTGTTTCAATTTTGAAAAATTCACACTGATTGTTTGGGATATTGAATTGTTTCTTTATCCAAGATATATAAAAGACCAGCAGTGTATATGTGTAAAAATAAGCCTAGCTAAATATTTTTTCAAAATTATAAAATTACTTATTTTATAAAAGCACTTTAAGAAATGATTTTACTTTATGGCTTAAAATGTTCCACCTTTAATACTGGCAGCTTTAATAAAGTAGCTAGCATTAAAATCTTGGTAAGCTCAACAATGAGATATTTGACACATAGAACTGAAAGGACATTATCAAATCATTTAGGTTAGTCTGACTTCCTTATTCTGCCAACGAGCTAAGATCTAGCAAGTAGCTTGCCCAAGATCATATAATTAGTATTGAAGTTAGAAGAAGAACTCTCTAGCTATCACTTCAACATTACCAGAATATCTATCACTTAAAAGTAGAAATGGATATAAAATTAGACAAGTTTTGCACCTTTCAAGCACATATCCAGCATCGATAAATTTGACCAATCTCTTAAATAAATTGAATTAAGAAAGTCCTGTGAAGATCTCACCAATCCACAAATAAATACTTCTAACAGTATTTGCACTGCTTTGTGTGCTGTGGCTAGCTTTAAAGATAAATCTGTCTTCCATTTGGATGTTAGTGACACTTTAATAACCAAGCCTGTTTAGATTTAACCCAAAGCAGTAGGTCCTACCAATCAGACTCAGCCTCATGGTGAAACCCTTCAGTGCCTTCCAGTACACATAATGGTCTATAGCAGGACCTAAGAAATGTATTGTGTCAGTAATTGATGTTATACCATGACTGTATTTGAAAAGAGAAGCATGCTTTGTCCAAATATAGCCAAACTGATGTCAAATTATAATGGGTGGTGTCACGATGTAACTATATTTACCATAATTTTATATATATATATATATATATATATATATATATATATATATATATATATATATATATACCTGCTTTCTATGATACAATCATTTAGGATCTCTAATGGAGTGTGCCAAACAGAAAAAGTACAAGGCCTTTTCTCATTATAAACATATGATTTTCATGTAGCAACATAACCAGTCATCTAGTTTTCCAATAATCACCCCAATTCATTAATGCATTAATTCAACAAATATACATTGAGAACTAAACTCAGTGAGGCACTGGGCTGGATATTTTACATTTATTATTTCATTTAATCTTCACAATTATTATATAAGATAGAAATTATTATCCATTTTAGTCAATCTTACTTTTAAGCCTGTATTCTTTCTGCTTTTAAAATTAAATTATTTTAAATAAGCTACACAGTGAACCACAATGAAACCAATTTCTTGTTCCTAGTCATCAGAAAAGGATCACTGTCCAAGGAGAAGAAAGATTATGATGTGACTGCTATTCTGAGCTCTCAAACAGAAAATTGTATTTTCAAATGTCTTACAGTTACTCTCTAAAATGGCATTTCACAATCTTCAAATGGACAAGAAAGAGGTAACAGCACCACCAGTCACCTTGAAGGAATAAGTGTCACAATCAGATCTAGAAAATGTCCTTCTCCAAATCTTCAAGCCATGGTAGAAAACCCCTAAAAAATTAACCCCACATTAATAGACTGATAAGATAAAAAGAAGAACTATGCAAAGTATAAGTAGACAGAGCTTGATAAAATGGGAATTGAGGGGGGCTTTAAATTGGGACCAGTATGCTCCAGTATACAAAAACTAACAGTAAAAAAGAAGGCACAACCTTACACACCAAATTCTTTTAGGAATAGATTCTTCTGTGCTCTGTCATTTCAATTTATTAATTTATTAAGTAGCCTACCAGAATCCACCCCGGAAAGAAAGAAATAAAAATCATCTCTCAGAATACTTCCATACTCATTCTACAAGGCCAGTACTACTTTGATACCAAAACCAGACAAAGCCATACATATATATATATATATGAAGCCATATATATATATGAAGCCATATATATATATGAAGCCATATTACCTCTGATGAATATTGATGCAAAAATCCTCAACAAAATACTAGTAAACCAAGTCTGACAATACATTAAAAAATATCATTCATCATGACCAAGTGGGATTTATCCCTGGGATGCAAGGATGGCGCAACATATACAAATCAATCAATGTGATACATCATATCAACAGAATGAAGAACAAAAATCATATGATCATTTCAACTGATGCTGAAAAAGCATTGATAAAATTCAACATCCCTTCCTGATTTAAAAACCCTAAAAAAACTGGGGATAGAAGGAATATGCCTCAATATAATAAAAGCCGTATATGACAGACACACAGCAAATACCATACTCAATGGAGAAAAACAGAAAGCCTTTCCTCTAAGATCTGGAACATGACAAAGATGTCCACTTTCAACACTGTTATTCAACATATTACTGGAAGTCCTAGCTAGAGCAATCAGACAAGAGAAAAAAACAAAGGGTATCCAAATTGAAAAGGATGAAGTCAAATTATCCTTGTTTACAGATGATATGATCTTATATTTGGAAAAACCTGAAGACTCCACAAAAACCCTATTAGAACTGATAAATACGTTCAGCAAAGTTGCAGGATATAAAATCAACATGTAAAAATCAATAGCATTTCTATATTCTAACAGTGAACAATCTGAAAAAGAAATTAAAAAGTAATGCCACTTACAATAGTCACAAATAAAATTAAATGCCTAAAAATTAACTAAAAAAGTAAAAGATCTCTCTTAGGAAAACTATAAAATACTGATGAAAGAAAGTGAAGAGGAAATCAAAAAATGGAAAGATATTTTGTGTTCATGAATTGGAAGAATCAATATTGTTAAAATGTCCATGCTACCCAAAACAATCTAGAAATTCCATGCAATCCACATCAAAATACCAATGACATTCTTCACAGAAATAGAAAAAAAATCCTAAAACTTATAGTAACCAAAACAGCATAGTACTGGCATAAAAACAGGCACATAGGCCAATGGAACAGAATAGAGAACCCAGAAACAAATCCACACACCTACAGTGAACTCATTTTTAACAAAGCTGCCAAGAATACATGCTGGGGAAAAGACAATCTCTTCAATAAATGGGGCTAGAAAGACAGGATATTCATATGCAGAAGAATGAAACTAGACCCCATCACTAGCCTTATACAAAAATCAAATCCAAATGAATTAAAAACTTAATTCTTAGACAAGACCTCAATGTATGAAACTACTGCAAGCAAACATTGAGGAAACTCTCCAGGATATGGGTCTGGGCAAAGATTTCTTGAGTAATATCCCACAAGAACAGGCAACCAAAGCAAAAATGGACAAATAGAATCAAACCAAGTTAAAAATCTTCTGCACAGCAAAGGAAACAATCAACAAAGTGAAGAGACAATCCCAATAATGGGAGAAAATATTTGCAAACTACTCATCTGACAGGGGATTTATAACTAGAATATATAAGGAGCTCAAACAACTCTTTGGAAAAAATATATTAATCCAATTAAAACATGGGTAAAATATTTGAATAGGTGTTTCTCAAAAGAAGACATACAAATGGCAAACAGGCATATGAAAAGTTGCTCAACATCACTAGTCAGAGAAATGTAAATCAAAACTACAATGACATTATCATCTCACCCCAGTTAAATGACTTATATCCAAAAGACGGTCAATAACAAACGCTGGCAAAAACATGGGAATCCCTGTACACTGTTGGTGAGAATGTAAATTAGTACAACCACTATGGAGCACAATTTGGAGGTTCCTCAAAAAGCTAATAATAGAGTTACCATATGATCTAGCAGTCCCACAGCTGGTATATGCCTAAAAGAAAGGAAATCAGTATATCAAAGAGATATCCGCATCCCCATGTTTATTGCAGCACTGTTTGCAATACCAAAGTTTGCAAGCAATCTAAGTGTCCATCAACAGATGAATGAGTAAAGAAAATGTGGTACTTATACACAGTGGAGTACTATTCAGTCATATAAAAATGAGATTGTCATTTGCAACAACATGATGGAACTGGAGGTCATTATGCCAAGGGAAGTAAGCCAGGCACAGAAAGACAAACATCATGTGTTCTCACTTATTTATGGATCTAAAAATCAAAACAATTGAGCTCATGGAGATAGAGAGTAGAAAGATGGTTATCAGAGGCTAGGAAGGATAATGGGAGGGTTTGGGGCAGGTAAGGATGGTTCATAGGTACAGATAAATAGAAAGAATGGATAAGACCTAAGTTGATATCTCAACAGGGTGACTATAGTCATGCCCAAGGCCATAGGAGCCCACCTTTTGCATCAGTTTGACCTAGATGTGGGACATGGAGTCAAAGAAGATCATTTTGAAGCTTTAAGATTTGACTGCCCTGCTGGATTTCAGACTTGCATAGGGCCTGTAGCCCCTTTGTTTTGGCCAATTTCTCCCATTTGGAATGGGTGAAGTTACCCAATGCCTGTTACTCCCATTGTATCTAGGAATTAACTAACTTGCTTCTGATTTTACAGGCTCATAGGAAGAAGAAACTTGCCTTGTTTCAGGTGAGACTTTAGACTTGGACTTTTGGGCTAATACTGGAATGAGTTAAGACTTTGGGAGACTGCTGGAAAGGCATGATTGTGTTTTGAAATGTGAAGACATGAGATTTGGGAGGAGACTGGGGCAAAATAATATGGTTTTGTTGTGTCCCCACCCAAATTTCATCTTGAATTGTAGTTCCCATAATCCCCATGTGTTGTGGAGGGACCCAGTGAGAGGTAATTGAAACATGGGGGCTGGGTTTTTCCCGTGCTGTTCTCATGATAGTGAATAAGTCTTGGGAGATCTGATGGTTTTATAAAGAGCGGTTCCCCTGCACACACCCTCTTGCCTGACACCATGTAAGACGTGCCTTTGCTCCTCCTTCACCTTCTGCCATGATTGTGAGGCCTTCCCAGCCATGTGGAACTCTGAGTCCATTAAACCTCTTTTTCTTTATAAATTACCCAGTCTCTGGTATGTCCTCATTAGCAGCATGAGGATGGACTAATGCAAGTCAATAATAATTTAAATGTACATTTTAAAAATAACTAAAATAGTGTAACTGGATTGTTTGTAACACAAAGGATAAATGCTTGAGAGGATGGATACCCCACATTATATGATGTGATTATTATGCATTGCATGTCCATATCCAAACATTTCATGTATCTCATACATGAAATAAATATTCACCTACTATGTGCCCACAAAAATTAAAATTTCAATTTAAAAAAATTCCCCTTCAAATACTACCTTCCTATTTGTAGAGGATAAAGAAAGGAAGAAAAAAAATTACTATTCTATAGAAACAGATTCAATCAGTGCTACTGAAAGACATTATCTCTTACCCTTATATTTATCCCCATTTGCTATAGTTCCACAAAATATCGGGGAACCCCAGGCCTAGCCAAGTTACCCTGTAACAGATTCTCTTCTAGTGTGACAGACATCATTCAAGGGGACAATAGAAGTTGGAGGAAACAAGTAGGGTACGGTAGGGTAGGGTAGGGAGGCATCCTTAAGGAGATGTCATCATTTATTTGATTGATGCTGCCTAACACCAAGCCTCAAGCCTAGTTCAGTTCTCCAGGGATATCCTGGATTTTGTTACCTACTCAAAACAATGCTGATGACCACTTCTTTGCCTACCAAGCAAGACATATTATAAAGCTGGGCAAGTTAAGCTGTGAGAAAGTGGAAATGGTGACAGGCGTAATTAAGCAGCCTAATTTTGTGCTTGTTTGGCACAGAGAAGAAAGTGTGTCCATAACGAGTCATTACAGACTGAAAGGAAGGGTAGGGAGAGAGCTTCAAATAATTATTTGAAAAAGATCACAAATACTTTTACTTTTCATAAATCTCCAATGTCAACAAAATGATCTAGGAAATATAGCTGTGATTTTATGGAAAGAAAGAACTGAAGTCCTTTTTTTCAGCATAGAAGGTACTTGTTCAACTACACTCCTAATATTTGAGATGAGAGAACGGGAGTAGGGGAAGAACTACTACACTCCCAGTCCTACATATTAGGTTTATTCCCAAGTAAATCTCCTTGCCCCTCCTGCATATTTTTCTATTGCACCATTTTTTCCTTTCTTATTAAAACTACCTGTCTGTCACAATCCTACTCATCTTTTCAGTCTAAACTCAAGAACCACTTTTTCCTTGAAGCGTTATCTGACTACTGCCTCCTTTGTGCTCCTATCATAGCTCAACCTTTGACCCTGTGCAAATTATGGAATTTCTTTTTTCTTCCCATATTTTTTTCTCCCACCAAATTCTGAGTTCGTTAGGGGAAACCCTGAGGCTTATTTATCTTTATGTCCCTAGCACCTAACATAATGCCTGACATTTTCAGAGGTTCTGTTAATGCTGACCATTAAAACCTCTTTCATATCCATTCTTGCCTCTATCTTCTTGGAATTGCTATCATTTCAGCCCACACCCTTTTCTCCAGAGGTGACCTCCAGAGATGGAGGTCATCTTTCTTTGTTTCTGTCTTCTTACAGTTATAAGCATGTGGGTTCACCATGTAATGCACTGATTTTCTTGCAAACACCAGAAAACAAAATGGTAGCAGAAGAAAGAATTGTGAACATCATATTCTAATACAATCTCTTTGCTACACAGAAGGAAAAAAGCTCATGCCTAGGAAAGGAAAGTGATATGCATAAAAATATCAGCTTGGTGAACAGTAAGTAGAATGAAATCTAGAACCCAGGTTTCCTACTTTCTCTATCGACTGTTCATACATACTCATTTCTCGTTGTGTTCTGTTCTCTTAGTGAACTGCAAATAGAATTTGTACATTCTATCACAACTTTTGGTTTGGGTTATATGAAAAAAATGTTTTTTTCTACCATTATCCTTAAAGAGAAATGTACCTTACAAGTACTCGTAAAGCAATCTTTGGGCACCGTAGGATAATTTAGGTTGTAGAATTTTATTTTAATATTTGTTTTAAAATGTACATATTTTAAACTGCAACCTTAGTAATTAGGTTAAGGTAATTATAATCATGTTAAGGTGTTTTCAGATTTTTAAAATTAAAGTTTATGCAAATACACATAAAGGGCCAAAAATTTGTCTCAGGTGAGAGCAGATTTATTTTCACCCACTTTGAGACTTCTGCCAATTGCCTTTTCACAACAACCAAAAGAAAAATGGAACAAGCATTGACTGTAACCCATGAGAACCAGGACCCATTTGATTCATTCATTAACCCCTGCAGCCAGCTCAAGAATGTCAAGAACAGAAAAATAATTGAGGCTGGGCACGGTGGCTCACGCCTGTAATCCCAGCACTTTGGGAGGTTGAGGCAGGTGGATCATGAGGTCAGGAGATCGCGACCATCCTTGCTAACACGTGAAACCCCGTCTCTACTAAAAATATAAAAAATTAGCCAGGCGTGGTGGCGGGCGCCTGTAGTCCCAGCTACTCGGGAGGTTGAGGCAGGAGAATGGCGTGAACCTGGGAGGCGGAGCTTGCAGTGTGCCGAGATTGCGCCACTGCACTCCAGCCTGGGCAACAGAGTGAGACTCCATCTCAAATAAATAAATAAATAAATAATAAAAATAAATTGAAAGAATAGTTTCCCTAGCTAAAGGTCCTCTTGACTATTTTTCCAAGCACTGGGTAGTTTGCTCCTCTAACATAACTCTTTGAGCTAATGGGGCAGAGGCTGCATTGGGTGTGGAGGTGAGGAGAAGCTGTAGAAAGGGAAAGAGAATAGGCTCAGACCAAAGGTCCTACCCTTACACTAAGAAACTTAAAAAAAATCTGAATCCATCAGATAACAAATCACCCAGTCCATTGTTACAAAAGTAAGCTGGAATTCATTCTTGAATTGCACCAATTATTTTGGAATGCATTCAGGAGAGCATTTCCTTATGGAACATAGTTGCAAATAATTAAGAAACAATGTGGGGAGAGGGGGCCAAGATGGTAGACTAGAAGCAGCCCATGTGTGCTGCTCTCACAGAGAAGAAACAAAAGGGTTAGTGAACACTGACCCTGCAAGCCAATCATCTCTGAAACCACGTCAGTATCCATTAAGGCAACAGAAGGACACCGAGAGCAGAGACGAGTGAAACTGGGCACCAGTCTGTCTGGGCTCAACGCAGAGCCAGGAGAACTTCTCTAACATGGGAAAGGGTGAGAGCCCCCTGGCGGGGGGGCACACTCTCCACAGGGACCTGTGCAAGACTAGGAATGGGAGAATCCTCCTAACCCCCTATATCCCTCCCATCACACTTCTAGACTGAGGCAGAGAGCTACCCAGCCATTTTACAGAAGCAATTCTTGAGTCCAAGGGGACCTCTACAAGTCTTGGGACTGAGAACAGATCAGCACCAGCACCATAGCTCCAACAGAGGTCACAGTTGTGGTGCCTGAGAGCAGTAAGATTGCTTCACCTCCCCTTACCAGACAGGGCTCAGCACCAGCTTCTGGCCCAGTGGTCCCACTTCAGCCTGAACTCAGCCAGCAGCTGTAACTTCCTCTTGTCCCAGGAAACACCCAGACAGCAGGGCAGGCAACTTTACCAAACCCTTCCACTGGTAGCCAGGCAGGCAACACCTGCTAGAGCTTCTAGCCCAGTGGTCTCACTTCAGCCTGAACTCAGCCAGCAGCTGTAACTTCCTCTTGTCCCAGGAAACACCCAGACAGCAGGGCAGGCAACTTTACCAAACCCCTCCACTGGTAGCCAGGCAGGCAACACCTGCTAGAGATTCTAGCCCAGTGGTCTCACTTCTGTCTGAACTTAGCCAGCAGGTGCAGCTTCCTGATGTCCTGGGAAGTGCCCAGAAGGCAGGGTGGATGACTCTACTCAACCCCACCTCTTGTAGCCAGGTGAGCAACACATGTTATAACTTCCAGCCCAGTGGTCCTATTTCTGCCTGGATTTGCAAGGGGACACAGCCTCCTGTTGCCTTGAAAACACCCTGATAGCAGGGCAGGCAACTCCACTGAACCCCACCTCTTGTATCCAGACAGGCCACTCCCACTAAAGCTTCCAGCCCAGTGGTCTTGCTGATGCCTGAATTCTACAGGAAGGTACAACCCAGTCTTTCCCCAGGAATAACTTGAATAGAAAATCAGGGCTGACCTGGTAAGGATACAGCTTGTCTTCCAACTGTCGTCCCTGCCTGAGGGACCCCCATAGACCAGAACACCTAACAAAAGAAATGTAGACATGGAGACAGTAATTGGAGGGGCTCCTTCAAGACCCAGACTAGAATCAAAGCCAGTCAACTGAACCCACCTTTTACCATAATCCAACCCCCAAGGGCATCTAAGAAGATTAAAAAAAAAAAAAAGAAAAACATTCAAAGGATAGCAGCTTCAAAGACTGAAGGAACATCAGCCCACACAGATGAGAAAGAACCAGCGCAAGAACTCTGGCAACTCAAAAAGCCAGAGTGCATTTTTACCTTCAAATGACCACACTAGTACCCCAGCAATGGTTCTTAACCAGGCTGAAATGGCTGAAATGTCAAAAACAGAATTCATTTCTGACTTCTATATGGATAGGAATGAAGATCATCAACATTCAGGAGAAAGTCAAAACCCAATCCAAGGAATCTAAGGAATATAATAAAATGATACAAGAGATAAAAGACAAATAGCCATTTTAAAAAGAACCAAACTGAACTGAGAGAGCTAAAAAACTCACTTCAAGAATTTCATAATACAATTGCAAGTATCAACCAGAATCTACCAAGTTGAGGAAAGAAACTCAGAGCTTCAGGACTGCTTCTCTAAAATAACTCAGTCAGACAAAAACAAAAAAATAAATAATAAAGAAGAATGAATGAAACCTCCAAGAAATATGGGATTATGTAAAGAGACCAAATCTATGACTCTTTGATGCCCTTGAAAGAGAGGAATAGAAGGCAAGCAACTTGGAAAACATGTTTGAAGATATCATCCATGAAAATTTTCCCAACCTCACTAGCTTGGCCAAAATTCGAATCCAGGAAATGCAAAGAACCTCTGTGAGATACTATACAAGATGACTGTCCCTAAGACATACAGTCATCAGATTCTCCAAGGGCAAAATGAAAGAAAAAATGTTAAAGGCAGCTAGAAAGAAGGAGCAGGTAACCTCAAAGGGAACCCCATTAAGCTAATAGCAAACTTTTCAGCAGAAACCCTACAAGCCATAAGAGATTGGGGGCCTATATTCAGCATTCTTAAAAGAAATCCTCACCATGAATTTCATATTCAGACAAACTAAGCTTTATTTTAAGTAAAGGAGAAATCAGACCCTTTCCAGACAAGCAAGTACTAAGGGAATTTATTACCAGCAGACCTGCCTTACAAGAGGCCCTTAAGGGAGTGCTAAATGTGGAAAGGAAAGACCATTACCACCCACCACAAAAACACACTTAAGTACGCAGACTAGTGACAGTATAAAGCAACCACACAATCAAGTCTGAATTATAACCAGCTAACAATATGATGATGGGATCAAACCTGCACATATCAATATTAACTTTGAATGTAAATGGGCTAAATGCCCAATTAAAAGGCATGAAGTGGCACATTGGATAAAGAAAGCAAGACCTAACTATGAGCTGTCTACAGAGACTCATCTCACATTCAGTGACACCCATAGGCTAAAGGTAAAGAGATGGAGAAAAATCTACAAGGCAAACAGAAAACAGAAAAAAGCAGGGATTGCTATGCTAATTTCAGAAAAAAAAACATACTTTAAATAAACAACAATTTAAAAAGACAAAGGAAGGCATTACATAATGGTAAAGGGTTCTATTCAATAAGAAGACCTAACTATCCTAAATATGTATGCACCCAACACAGGAAAACTCAGATTCATAAAGCAAGTTATTAGAGACCTATGAAGAGAGTTAGAGAATCATACAAACATAGATTTCAACACCCCACTGACAGTATTAGACAGCTCATCGAGCCAGAAATCTAACAAATGTATTTGGGCCCTAAACTCAACATTTGACCAAATGGGCCTAACAGCTACAGAACCCTCCACCCCACAAAAAAACAGAATATACATTCTTCTCATCTGTACATGGCAGATATGCTAAAATTGACCACACAATCAGCCATAAATAATCCTCAACAAGTTAAAAAAATAACAAAATCATACCAAACATACTCTCAGACCACAGCATGATAAAAATAGAAATCATTACTAGGAAAATCACTCAAAATTGTACAATTACATGGAAATTAAACAACATGCTCCTGGATGACTTTTGAGTAAACAATGAAATTAAGGCAGAAATCAAGAAATTCCTTGAAATTAATGAGACCAAAGATACAATATACCAGAATTTCTGGGATACAACTAAAGCAGTGTTAAAAGCAGAGTTTATAGTGCTAAATGCCCACATCAAAAAGTTAGACAGATCTCAAATTAACAACCCAATATCACAACTCAATATCCTAGAGGAACTAGAGAAACCAAAGCAAATCAACCCCAAAACTACCAGAAGACAAGAAATAACCACAATCAGAGCTGAACTGAAGGAAACTGAGATGCAAAAAACCATACAAAAAATCAACAAACCTGGTAGTTTGTTATTTGAAAGAATAAATAAGATTAATAGACCACTAGCTAGATTAATAAAGAAAACAGAACAAATAAACACAATTAGAAATTACAAAGGGGACACTACCACTGATGATACAAAATAGAGAAAACTCTCAGTGACTACTATGAACATCTCTATGCAAACAAACTAGAAAACTTAGAAAAAAACGGATAAATTCCTAAAAACATACAACTGCCAAAAATTGAACCAGGAAGAAATCAAATCCCTGAATACACCAATAACAAATTCCAAAATTGAATCAGTAATAAAAAGCCTACCGACAAGAAAAATCCCAGGATTTACAGATGGATTCACAGCTGAATTCTACCAGATGTATAAAGAAGAGGTGGCGCCATTTCTACTGAAACTATTTCTATATACCAACAATGTCCCAACTGAGAGCCAAATCAAAAACTTAATCACATGCACAATAGCCACAAAATGAATTAAATACCTAGGAATACAACTAACCAGGGAGGGGGAAGATCTCTATAATGAGAATTATGAAACACTGCCCAAAGAAATTACAGATGATACTAATGGAAAATGAATGGAAAAACATTCCTTGCTCATGGATAGGATGACTCAATATTGTTAAAATGGCCATACTGCCAAAAGCAATTAAATAGATTCAATGCAATTCCTATCAAACTATCAATGACATTCTTCATAGATATAGAAACATCTATTTTAAAATTCATATAGAACCAAAAAAGAGCTTGAATAGCCAAGGCAATCCTAAGCAAAATATAAAGGTGGAGGCATCACATTACCCGACTACAAACTATACTACAAGGCTACAGTAACCAAAACAGCATGGTGCTAGTAAACAAAACAAACAAACAAAAACAGACACATAGACCAATGGAACAGAATATAGAGCCCAGAAAAAAAGTCACACACCTACTATCATCTGAGCTTTGAAAAAGTGGACAAAAACAAGCAATGAGGAAAGGATTCCCTATTCAATGAATGGTGCTAGAATAACTGGCTATCTGTATTAGTCTATTTTCATACTGCTAAGAAGAAATACCCAAGACTGGGTAATTTATAAAGAAAAAGAGGTTTAATAAGACTCACAGTTCCACATGGCTTGGGAGACCTCACAATCATGGTGGACAGCAAAGGAGGAGCAAAGGCACATCTTACATAGTGGCAGGCAAAAGAGTGTGCGCATGAATGTTTATTGTGGCACTGTTCACAATAGCAAAGACTTGGAACCAACCCAATGTCCATCAATAATAAACTGGATAAAGAAAATGTGACACATATACACCATGGAATACTATGTAGCCATAAAAAAGGATGAGTTCACATTCTTTGCAGGGACATGGATGAAGCTGGAAACCATCATTCTCAGCAAAATATCACAAGGACAGAAAACCAAACACCACACGTTCTCACTCATAAGTGGGAGCTGAACAATGAGAACACATGGACACAGTGAGGGGAATATCACACACCAAGTCCTGTTGGGGAGTGGGGGCTGGGGGAGGGATAGCGTTAGGAGAAATACCTAATGTAAATGATGAGTTGATACATGCAGCTAACCATCATGGCACATGTTAACCTATGTAACAAACCTGCATGTTGTACACATGTGCCCTAGAACTTAAAGTATATAATAATAATAATAAAGAAATTCAAAAAAAGGAACAAAACAAAAACAAAAGTGTGTGTGGAGGGGAACTGCCCTTTATAAAACCATCAGATCTCATGAGACTTATTCACTTCCTGTGAGAACAGCACAGGAAGAACCTTTCCGCATGATTCAATTACCTCTCACTGGGTCCCTCCCATGACATGTGGGGATTATGGGGGCTACAATTCAAGATGAGATTTAGGTGGGGACACAGCCAAACCATATCACTATCCATATGCAGAATACTGAAGCTGGACCCCTTCCTTACACCATATACTAAAATCAATTCAAGATGGATTAAAGACTTAAGTTTAAAACCTAAAACTATAAAAATCCTGGAAGATAACCTAGGAAATACCATTCTGGACATAGTTCCTGGCAAAGATTTAATGACGAAGATACCAAAGCAATTGCAACAAAAACAAAAAATGACAAATGAGATCTAATTAAAGACCTTCTGCAAAGCTAAAGAAATTATCAACAGAATAAATAGACAACCTATAGAATGGGGGAAATATTTGCATACTATACATCTGAAAAAGGTCTAATATGCAGAATCTATAAGGAACTTAAATCAATAAGCAAAAAAAAAAAAAAAGAACCCCAGTAAAGAGTGGGCAAATTACATTAATAGACACTTTTCAAAAGAAGACAGACTCACAGCCAATAAGCATGTAACAAAAGTGCTTAACATCTGTATTAGTCCGTTCTCCCACTGCTATAAAGAAATACCTGAGACTGAGTAATCTATGAAGAAAAAAGTTTTAATTGGCTCATGGTTCTGCAGGCTGTACAGGAAGCATGGCTGGGAGGCCCTAGGAAACTTATAATCATGATGGAAGGCGAAAGGGAAGCAGGCACATCTTACATGTCTGGAACAAGAGGAAGAGAGAGAAGGGGGAGGTACTACACATTTTTTTTTTTTTTTTTTTTTTTTTTTTTGAGACGGAGTCTCTCTCTGTCGCCCAGGCCGGACTGCGGACTGCAGTGGCGCAATCTCGGCTCACTGCAAGCTCCGCTTCCCGGGTTCACGCCATTCTCCTGCCTCAGCCTCCTGAGTAGCTGGGACTACAGGCGCCCGCCACCGCGCCCGGCTAATTTTTTGTATTTTTAGTAGAGACGGGGTTTCACCTTGTTAGCCAGGATGGTCTCGATCTCCTGACCTCATGATCCACCCGCCTCGGCCTCCCAAAGTGCTGGGATTACAGGCGTGAGCCACCGCGCCCGGCCGGTACTACACATTTTTAAACAACCAGATCTCATGAGAACTCACTCACTATTATGAGAACAGCAAGAGGGAAATCCACCACTATGATCAAATCACCTCTGACCAGGTCCTTCTTCCAACACTGGGGATTACAATTCAACATGAGATTTGGGTGGGGAAACAAATCCAAACCATATCAATATCACTAGAGAAATGCATTAGAAAAATGCAAATCAAAACCACAATAAGATGCCATCTCCCACCAGTCAGAATGACTATTATTAAAAAGCCAAAAAATAACAGATACTGGTGTGGTTATATACTGCTTGTAGGAATGCAAGTTAGTTCAGCCATTGTGGAAAGCAGTGTGGTGATTTCTCAAAGAACTTAAAACAAAAGTACCATTTGACCCAGCAATCTCATTATGGGGCATAAACCCAAATGAATATAAATCATTCCACCTCCAAGACACACACGTGTATGTTCATTGCAGCACTACTCACAATAGCAAAGTCATGGAATCAACCTAAATGCCCGTCATAGTAGACTTGATAAAGAAAATGTGGTACATAGACACCATGAAACACTATGCAGCCATGAAAAAGAACCAGATCATGTTCTCTGCAGCAACATGGATGGAGCTGGCAGTCATTATCCTAAGCAAACTAATGCAGGAACAGAAAATCAAATACCACATATTCTCACTTACAAGTAGGAGCTAAACTTTGAGAACACATGGCCATAAAGAAGGGAACAACAGACACTGGGGCCTACTTGAAGGCAGAGAGTAAGAGGAGGAAGAAGATAAAAAAAATATCTATCAGGTACTACACTTATTACCTGGGCGATGAAATAATTTGTACAACAAACCCTTGTGACATGCAATCTATCTAAATAACAAACTTGCCAAAAAAAAAGGTGGAGATGAAATACTCAATCTCTCTCTCTCTGCTTTTTCCAAGTATTTTTTCTTTCAGGGTGCTAAATAAAATATGTTAACATATAATGCCTTATTTACAGAAATAAAAGTTAGTTATTGAAACAATTTGTAATTTAGTTCTTGAAGTAAGAAATACAAAAAGGTGATAATTAGGGCAGTTGAAAATCAGCATTATGGGGATAGATGTGTTTTCCTTTTGTTTCCAAGAGCTGGGCAGACCATGCTGAAGAGATTCAGTTCTCTGAATTTGCTCCAAGTGGTACGGCTTATATTTGTAATGTTCCTTTATCTCTTGTCACAAAGCTTCAGCTCATCAGGTAAACTTTAAATACGTACATCTTGACTCTTCTAATAAGATATAAAAACTCATCAATGAGTCCAGAAATTAGATTTGAAATCTAAGTATTATTTCCCACAAACTAAGAGTCATAAGGAAGTTCTCAATGTGTACATATATTTTAGTACATGTGCTGAGTCCAATCATGTATTTTTAGTAAATGAATATATGTCAATTTACCAATATTTGAATGTGTAATTTCTTAGTAAACAAAAGGTTAATTCAGTCATTCAATCAAATATTATTTATTGAGTTGCTACTATGGGCCAGGTATCATTTTGGTTTTGGAAAAGCAGACGTGGGCAGTGACTTTGTGGGAGGAGGAAGGGAGAACAAGACAGATAAGCATATAGATATGTAAATCTGGTGGTGATATGTGCTATGAAATATAAAGTGATCAGGTATATGAGTATGGGGTAGGCTGGGAGGCTTTCAGAGAGGTCAAGAAAACTCAGAGAAGGGGACATTTGAATAAAGACCTGAGCTAAGTGAGAGAGTAAGCCATGTCATTATATGAGGACAGCATCCAAGCAGAGGCAAAGTATAATTGAAAGTCCTATGGCAAGGGTGTACTTGTGCTTGGAATGTTTGAGGAATAATGAAGAGACCAGTGTAGCTGAGCTGGGCAAGAGGTAATATGTCAGGTGTCAGAAAGATAGCAATGGGGCCAGATCATGTAGGTCTTATATACCATGAAACCGACTTTGTGTTCCATTCTGAGTTTCTGAGTTTCTACGAAACACCATTAAAACAACATGGCAGACCTGGAAATCCCTCAGCAATACCCACATAAGAATCTGGAGATATGCCAGGGCTGCCTTGCCTTGGCCCACAATGACTGCCAAGGAACCAGATGCTGTTGCTTGAAAAATAATGTACACTGCCCAGCTTCTATGCCCTTCGATTTCCATCCATAATGAAGCTTCCAAAAGAACACAGAATAAAGGCAAGCATGGGTAACTGTGTAATGACAAGAAAAAGGTCTTTACTTAAATTGTGAAATATATATACTTGATAAAATAAAATTGCACAAAAGGAAAGTATAAGATTATTCGAATGCTATTTTTTCACTTAATTATTGGACAGAACAAATATTACTAGTTGGAAATGAACATGCTTATTATATCAAAATGTTTTTACTGTTTTTAAGCTAAACTAGGTATTTAATTTCTCAGCAGACTTTGAAAGATTGCAAACAAAAATCATGCTAATGAACAAAAATAATAATACATAGATTTATTAAATATAAATTTCATGTTAATACTAAAGTAAAATATGTGTTTGTTATAAATATCGAGACATAAGGAAGTATTTTGAATTTACTTATAAGTGATCAGGTAGACTAGACAAGAAATATAAAATATCGTCTTCTTACTTTCTTCTTACATTTTCTTCTGTATTTTTTAAATTAAAAAAAATGTTTTACCCCATTTCAAGGCAACTTTACTAACCATCACTTTTTAAACTGCAAATTATTAGTACTGCCAACTGGAGAACTTCAGCACATTTTGCAGCACGTAAATATGCCATCTGTATCCTACAGTAATACCTGTGGCTTAACTCTCTAATTAGCTAAAGAAATGATACCTTATATATATCAACCATAGTAAAAATCATTCAAATAGTATATAATAAGCATACAATGTGCTTTATTGTCATTAGATATGATACTGATATACAGCACAATAATCCACCTTGAAAAATTCCTATAGCAGGTAAAGCAGGTAACAGTTAATATAAAAGACTGAAAATTGCACATGTACCCTAAAACTTAAAGTATAATTAAAAAAAAAAACATTCTCATCACACCAAAAAAAAAATAAGGCGATAGATATGTTAATTACCTTGATTGACTCTTTCTACAATGTATACATAGATCAAAACATCACACTGTACCCCATAAATGTGGACTATTATTATTTGTCAATTATAAATAAATATTTAAGAAAACTAAAAAAAAAAAAAAAAAAGACTGAAAAAGAAATTTAGAAAAAATGAGGTCTTACAAGTTTCTATGAGAGAAAGAATAGTATAGTAAACCACTGTTAACTAGCTGTGTGATCTTGGGCAGTTATTTAATCTCTCTGGGCCTTACATTTCCACATCTGTGAAAATGGGGATAACAATAGAACCTACTCTGAAAGATTTTTGTATGGAGTAAATGAATTAACATGCAGAATGTGCTTAAAACATAGGCACATTATGAAGACTTAATACTCATAGGCTCTTGTTATTCTTAAAGGTACATTCTTCTTTAACAGAAATCACTCTAAAGATCTTATTCAGAAAAATACTTATTGGCATTTTTATTTAATTTAGCAAAAATATATTACTGATGCAAAGATGAAGAAGATATGCTGTCTTTCAGGACATCAAAGATATGCTGTCTCACAGCACGGATGGGAAGAAGACAGGGAGAAAAACATAATATAATAAATGGTATAATGGAAGCATTTACAACTTACTACTGAAACACCATCACTGGGAACAATTAATTTGGACAGAGGAACAGTTAGGTAGGCTTTACTCACAGTGAAGCCCCAGAAAGAGGCCCTTTGTTAACTAAAAGTTTAAAAATAGCCAGGCACAGTGCAACATAGGGAGACCCTGTCTCTAAGACTTTTTTAAAAAAATTAGTCAGGCATGGTGACTCAAGCCTGTAATTTCAGCTATTCCAGAGGCTAAGGTGGGAGGATCACTTGTGCTCAGGAGTTCAAGGCTGAAGTGAGCTATGATTGTACCACGGCACTCCAGCCTGGGCAAGAAAGCAAGATCCCATCTCTAAAAAAAAATAATAATAATTTTTTAAAAATCTAGCAGAATTCACACCAGTCCCTGCAATGAGGAAGCGTTTGGGCTAATGGAGTTTCTGTTCTGTATTTAGTAATATCTCTCCTTTCAGCCCATTCTTTTGGACTCGTACCCCTAGACTGTATTTCACAGAGCTAAGATGTTCACACTAAGGGCCAGTGTGGTGTTGAGAGTCTTAAGATTTATAAAATGCACCACTTCTCTGGAAAAGGAGAAATCACCCTTGGCTCTTCATGTAGGGAACAAGAACTTTCTTTTATCCTTTTTATTGTCAATTTAAAGATGACACAAAAAAAATGAAGGAAAAAATCTTTAAGCATTCACAGTACTAATTTAGGGGAGATTTTTCTAAATCTTAATATCTCCTCTGTGCCTGCCATAACACCCCTAGAAAACTCTCATTACATGATGTAAAATCACAGCTTTAGTTGGTTAAGAGGGCATAATTCCAAGTGGACCATGGAATATTTATGTCGCTATGCAGCTCTTTGAAGGAATAATCTTATGTTTTTATGCCTGTTGTGGGTCAGAGGTTCAAATCAGCACTTCTTTCTGTCACTTCTTATGTGTTTTACTATAATTTACAGCTCAGCAAGATGAATCATAAGACAAAAGTGTCTATTTTATTTCAGCAACTAATTCTAGTTAATCAAAGATTTCCAGCCCAGCAACCCAGCATGAAACTCTGCATGGAAAATATGAGGAGAACAAAGCATTTTGTCAAATAACATATCTCATGATGTAAACACATATGTCTCTTAAAGGAAATTTTATCGTTTCCACATTATCGGCATACAAAAGGAGCATTCTTGTCACAGACCTGGTGCGACTGTGGAGTCATCGTCACTGGAAACAAGAGCCTGATTAGGTTCCCACACAGATATGAATAGACTTTCCTTTTTTAGAGGAATAGCTGCTTTTATTCCTTTTTAAAACAGACTGGTAATTGTCACCCTAAAAACACTGAATTGTACTAGGGCAACATTTGTTTCTGCTCTTTTTTCCCATCTTTTTAGAATCAGCCAATAACATTACTATCCCTTCTGGTTGGTCCTCTTCTGGAAAGTCTGAGTTAATCCACAGCTGTGTGAATGTGAAAAAGGGACACAGCAGGCTAAGTCTGTTGGGTCTCTTGTCTGCTAATAAAGTGAACAGTCTGCAGGACAGATGTTAAGAGGATCTGTTAAATAAGTCAGTGGCAGAGATCCTGACCTCTGCCAAGGAACATTTTATTATTCCAGAAAGGGGCATAATTGCAAGGCATTAACAATTAGAAGAACCATAGCTTTTCTTTATAGATTTCTTACTTCTTGCTTCATTATTTGGTTGAAATACAGTATCAAGGCCCATTCACTGAGAAGCAATGTGCTAAATATGATTGGGCTTAGTATAAACTGCAGATTACAGGATTTCCCCAAATCCCCAGGAAATGGTTGGACCTTGGCTTTGCTTCAGTCTTAAACAGTTTTGTTTATTCAGCATGTATCATTACACTATTTGTACAGTCTCATTTGCCACAGGGTACCATTGTACTAAAGGGACTATCAATCTTACCAAACACAGTGCCTTAACTATTAAATCTAGTGTAATGGGAAATGTAAACTAGAGATCAAATTAAGAGGAATATCACACCATAAAGTTGTTCACTATACCTTATACTACTTTACCATTTATGGTGTGAATAAAATCATGTCTACCACATGCATTCCAAATTCCCTTGTGCAGTGTAAAAGGCACTCTGTGATCTGACCCCTTGCATACCTTTCCAATTTCACCTATGATTGCTCCTGTACACTCAGGCTGTGCCAACTGTTTGTCGTTTCTGAATGTGCCGTGCTGTCTATTGCTTCTACACCTATGGGTAGCTATTCTCTTTGTCTGGAGTGCTTTTTCTCTTCTCTGCATCTTTGCCATTCTGCATCCTTCCCCATAAACCTGGGGAACTTATACCTCCTTTTAAGATTCAATTTTAACATCACCTTATCCATGAAGATTGCCAGTACTTCCCCAGGGGGAGCTAAGCACTTCCTCCTTTCATAGCATTTCACTCGGGGAACACATCTATTTTAACAATTATCACATTGCTTACTAGATTGTGGGCCCTTCAGGGGCAAGAGTCAAATTCTCTTGATCTTAGTGTGCCCAAAATAGAAAAGAGTGCATACTACAGAGTAGGCACTTAATAAACATTTGAGGAATCAATCTATGAATGAACTAATTAAATAATTACTCTTTTCATCGTGTTAGCATAAGCTTATATTCTAGCTTTGTCACTGCTACCAGCACTGTAACAGGGTCTTACACTTTTAATGCCTTACTTTGTTTTGTTAATGAATAATTTTCATTAGATTGGTATATTCGCTTGTGAAAAAAATATATCTCTACTAATACTGATCGCTCATTGACTCCCACTTAGAATAGGTAGGAGCATGAGATATACTGTCCTCTTGGCCAATTCAGTTGAATTTAGTTAAATCTATGTACAAGAAGCAATCAAATTTAGTTATTTACACTGTTGGCTAACAATTCTATACATCTAAACCAGGCCACAGACTAGCTGTGTGGCTTTGGTCAAGTTAATCTATCTCTCTAGACCTCAGTTTCTTCAACTATAAAATTATAAGATTTATATAGCACTTGACAGTGTATAAAGCACTTTTCACAAACATTTTCTTATGTATTCCTCACAACTTCCCTATGGGGGTATTTTTCCTAATCCCATTTGATAAAAGCTAGGTACCAGGAAGATTAATTTGTCCAAGCACATGGAACCAGTGGTAGAGTTGGGACTTGACCCTCAAAGCCTCTGAAGACCTTTCTAGCTCTGAAAGTCTATGGAATTGTACAATCTCATTGCCTATTTGTGAAGGCTTTATTTTCAATAACATGACATTTGTTTCATGATTAGTGGGAAATCTATGTTAAAGTACCCTAATTGTGGAGTGGCTGTCACTTCTTGCTAAAGAGCACTGTACTGGGCCTCATGCTTTTTGAAACCAGGAACAGTCATCAGGCATAGAAATTAGGACAAAAGGGTTTCAAACTGCCTATACACAATCACCTTGGGCAATCAATAAATCAGTATATATATGTACATACACACATGCTATACATACACACACATCTCAAATGATTAGCCCTATACTATCTGTTCCTATCACCTTAAAGTATTACTCATTTAATTTATTTCTTCCTCAGACTATTACTATAAGAGGGCAGTAATTTCTTAGCTTCATTGCTTAAAAGAGTACCTAAGGTACATAGTACATGTTCAATAAATATTTTTCAAATTAATGAATGAATAAGAGAGATACAAGCAGAAGAGTATGGACAAACATATTTATTGAGCATCTACCATGCAGCAGACACTGTACTAAGCAATTTGCTTATATTATCTCATTTAATCCTAACCCCAACCCTACTGAGGGGGTGTCATTATCCCCAGTTCACAGACGAAGAGACTGAGGTTCACAGGAAATTAGCTCATGATCACTTAGCTTTTTTAACTGCAGAATTCTTATGGAACCAAGAAGCACCACTTTCCTGGAACCTCTAATCCATTCACCATTGTATAGACAGAGAACATGTAAGACAGCAAGCCAGCTGGTAAACCAAGGGTAGCATGTTGTTTCAATAAATGGCTACAAATCATCATCTGATGATATATAGTCATCTTTCTGTTTCACAGTGGGGTATGTCTGTATTTGGCAATAGAGTTTCATTAATCAGGAAATGGAGGCAGAGGTAGATCTAAAATCAGGAGGGTTTGGTTGGATATAGGTGAATGATAGATGACTATTTTGTTCTGCATTTAAGAAATGCCTCTTTATCAACACCATTGATAAATGAACGGAGAAGTGAAGAATTTCCACCCAAATTAGTCACATTTAGTCTTCTACTATTTCAACAAAGCTTCTGTCTCTTGGTCTCAGGATCTCACTCTCTTGCCTTCTCTATTGTGTTATGTCTGAGCCAATGACATAACTACACATTATGAATGTACTGCCTCTTGGGCCCTGGAACAAACCCCTATTTGGCCATGAAGAGGATGTTCTGAGCAGGTGAACAGCAACACTGAGAGAGGATATCTTTTTCTTTGTGAGCTAAGGAGCTCCTCAACTCTGGAGGGCAATCCCAGTATGGTGAGGACTGGTTGGGGCACATGCTCCATTCCAGTGACAGTAAGTGTTTCTCCTTTTCTTAAAAAAAAAAATTGCTTTTTTTAAAGCAGACCAAGTGATAAACTATTAAGAAGCTAAACTACCTTTCTTATAGAGTTTTTAAACTGAGCCTCTGAGAAGGAGTTTGATAAAATTCAATGAAGTAATACCTTTGTCCATTTGAGCATTAAATGGCCCATTGAAATACAGCTTAGATGGAGGGAATTTCAAAAGACAGTACTTTCCAATTTTTTTAGAAAATTTCTCTCCCAGCTGACTAGAGCAGAGCTTACAAAATGCAGCTCAATCACTTTCCACAGTCTCTCAGGTCAGCCTCTCACCAGCGTTAATTAAATATAACCCCCTTAGAATACGAGAGGTTAAGTGAGAGCAACATAGCATTCTTATCCAATACATTACTGTGAACATAAATGACCATAATCTGTTTATAAGAAGACTTCTTTTAGCACAGAGGTCTCACTAATGAAAAATTATAAGAGGCAAAGCAACATAATGTGACAACTGTTCATCACAAAACACATTTTAAACTACCCATTTCCACATCCATTGTGCTTAAATAACACATATCATAAAGAAAATTGGTGTAACAGATGGTTTCAGTTCTGGGTAGCAAATGCTACCAGTTTTCAGTGTGATAAAGGGAAACAGTAAAAGCCAGTACATAATTCAGGCAGTCTCTTACCTAAAGGTCTTCCTTCTCCTCAAGTTAGAGACACTTTCCCCACAAGCTTCAAGTTTTAGTATTTTTTCTTTTTTAACTAGATGCTGAATCTTCTATGGCACAACTTGAACAAACTCTAAAACTGAATAATTGCTGAAACAATATGTTTCTATACTAGCCACTTTAAATTAGAAAAGTCTCTTTAAGCTACAGGTTTATGGTTCTAAAAAGTTCCATGCACTGCCCAGAGCTATTTGTAAATTAAATCGTTTAAAATAAAGCTCTTTAATACTCTATAATTAGTCTTGTCTCTCTGAACATGACTTTACTGTAAATGCTCCTTCTTGACTCTCCTATTGTCCCAAGATTCCTGAGAAGAAAGCAGCCAGGCGATAATTCAACATTATTGCTGCTTCAGTGCACTAATCGCTTAAAGAGCAGCAAAGACTCTGTGCTCTCTGCCCCACAGTTCCCGCAGACTCCTGGCCTGAGGCAGGCATCGTGACCCAGCAACATCCAGATGTCAAGAGGAATACCCAGCTCCTAATGCAGCAGGCGCTCCATCCCAGTATGGTCAAACATCTGCTTCATCTGCTGGCATGCAACCTGCTGAACATGCTCAGAGTGCATCCCAGACTAGGGATGGGCAAGGATAGAGCTCCCCAGCTACTCCAGGAGACTCATCAAAACTTTGAAACTATAAGACAGGCCCAGAAACTCTCAAAAAAACAGGGTTCTGGCATTCAGCAAAAACATACTAAACATTTTCCTAAAGGAAAGCCACGGAATAAGATAAGACAGTTTTTATCACAGTAGTTCTACTGCTCATTAAATTCTCTTAGGTTTGACGTTTATTCTGGATGTTAACTGGAAATTTGAAAAATACGTGAACTCTTTGGGATTCTGAGAATGTCATACTGACTTTGAAATTTTTCTCTTTTATAATTTAATTAAGTTGCCTTTAATTCACTTGAATATTATAACAAGAGAAGAATAAATTATACAAGAAAGCTTCTATTCCTATATACCAGTCAACAGAGCTTAATGCCAAGAATCCTGACCAAGAGGTAAAATTTAAAATACACTTAAACCATCTATTACAGTCCTATTTTGTTTACTAGAATAGTAATCTTGTCTAAGTCACTTAACTCTTCTGAGCTTCACTTTCTTCTTCCAAAATATGGGAATAATATTAAAACATTTACACAAAGGCTAAATATAAATTGTTTTTTAACTGTAAAAGGCTATAAAATAGGTATGTGTTTATACATGTATACATATATGTATGTATATATGTGTACACATATAATATTAATACTACTCATGTTTCTTTTAAAAATTTTGTTTTAGAAAGAAATTTAGTCTCCTTTGTAATATCCAATTTACACATCAATTATAGCTAAGAATGATTTCATTCATCCTATGAGATTTCGGTAACTAGCATCCTATAAAACCTAATGAACAGTTCCCAGGTTCTCACCAAATTTCATATTTACTTCACTGTGAAAGGCAGACTTATATACTATTAAACTAAAAAATAATATTCCCTTATTGACAGCCTGAGTACATGATATGCTTAATACTACTGAAGAGAGTTGTGACTGTTCTAGCCAGAAGTGACTGGCTAGAATAAAAGTTTTAGTCTTAAATATCAAAGTGAAGGAAAAAAAAACTGAGGATAAACAGTCTAATAGGTCTTAATTTTAAAAAATTTTCCCACCCAGATTGAGGCAGATGGGATAGGTGAGGATATTTCTGCTAAGATGAGTAAGATTTGCAGTCTCATTTCTTTATTATATATTCCTTTCCTTATTTTCTCTTCTCCCACTAGAAGGTAAAATTCTCAGAGGGCAGGGACTTTGTTTTATTCATTGATACGTCCCCACTATGTAAAATAGGTGTTCTCAATCTTCGCACTATTGGAATTTTAGACTGTATAATTCTTTGCTGTGGGTGGCTGTTCTGTGCTTTGCAGGGTGTTTAGCAGCATCCTCACCCTCTAGACATTGTCAACCACACCCTTGTGGGACAGGGTGGGGGGTGGGGAAAGTTGCCCTCAGCTGAAGACTGCTGTCTAGTACAGGACCTGGCATATAATACGTGCTAAAAAATTTTTTTGCTGAGTAATTGAATTAAATTTATTGTGTTAATTTGCTTGCAAACTTTCTTAAATACTTTTCTTAGGGTAGTTTTAGGTTTGCAGCAAAATTAAGAGGAAAGTAAAGCGATTTCCCATATACTCCCTGTTCCCATACATGTACAGTCTCCCCCATTATAAACAGCCCCCACCTGAGTGGTATATTTGTTACAATTGATGAGCCTACATTGACACATCATAATCACCTAAAGTCCAGAGTTTACATTAGGGTTCACTCTTGGCGTTGTACATTTTATGTGTTTGGACAAATATATAATGACATGTATCTACCATTATACTCTCATACAGAATATTTTCACTACATAATATTTCACTAAAAATCCTCTGTGCTCTGCCTTTTCACCCCTCTCCTCATCCTAAATCCCTGGCACCCACTGATATTTTTACTGTCTCCATAGTTGCGCCCTTTCCAGAATGTCACATAGTTGGAATCATGTAGTATGCTGCCTTTTTCAAATTTCCTGAGCATGATCATTTATAAACTCTCTTTAAATGTAGATTTTGACACAACTCTAATGATACAATAAGTGTTAAGTTATTCCAACAGTTACATTCAAAGCTACCACATGTGATTTCAAGTAAGAAGAATTTTAAAAGGATGTAATACTTCATTCTTTCTTTAATTTAAATGAGTAGATAAATTAGAGGGAAAACTTGATAGGGAATTTGTAGGGTGACAGCAGCTCTATTTCAAACTGGCTTCAAATGAGCACTGTAGGCTTGCACTTTGTATAGTTTGAGATAGTCAAATACACGGATATATTTGAAGCAATAAATTTTTCATACATATCTGTCACTTATTTACTTTTGTTTTAGTTCATACCATTCAAGGTCAATAGCTCTAGGGGAATTGCTGACAAGGCATCAAGGATTATGGTCTAGGTTAATATAGACATTGTAACATCAACCTGTAGCCTGTTGGTTACAGGTATGGTAGCTGGTGCTATAAGAGAAACACACAGTGAGAAATGAACTCAATGCAGTTTATTGGAAATTAAGAATTCTAGTTTAAATCTTTGCTTCTCCAAATGAATATGAAGAGAGAGGCCTTAGGAAATTTATTTGGCTCTAACTTGGTTCCATTTCTTAGTCCATTAAATGGAAATGCAAATACTTGGTTAAATATGCATTGAATGGATATCAGTATCAAATAATTCATGTTTAGAAAACCGGGGGGAAAGCGTTAAATTAGTTCCTCTCAATTTGACTCAAGATGACTCTACTGCTGTCACCAATTATAAGAGAAGAATGAAAGGTAGGAACATATATAATGATTTTTTAAAATCCACATACTACCCACATAGCACCTGATACATATTTAGTGCTTGTTTATTTACATATAATTGAGAAAAGAATCCTTTATTAATGCCATTTAAGCTTGGGAAGATACAGAAGAGAATCCAGTTATTATCCTAATCTTTATAATCTAGAACAGCTAAAATAAAGCAAGATGTTTTCAAATCAGTACATTGAGTTTAAATCATCATAAATTTTCCCTGAGTTTACCTGTAGCATATGAACTCTTCTACAAATAAAACAGAAAAGAGGAACTGGCAGAACAGTAATAGCTATGTGCCAGCTCTAGTGGTCAGAAGTGAGGAGAAACCATCCAACTGTAGCTTCTCAATCTCTTTTAATTAAAATATCGTAAAAAATGTCTTTCTCCTGTTCTGCCTATTCTGTTACCTGGAAGGTCAAATATTTTATCATATATTTTTCTGAATATAAATTTCCTAAATGTTGAATATCCTGACTTATTCCATGGTTGGAAACAGAAGTGAAGCATTTTCTAAAATGCTAGAATGTTTTGCTTTCAAACTTTCTAATGTACCCTTAATCACATCATCTCTCAGAATTCCAACGTAGCTCATTACAACATATACATACATGCAGATATATGATACATAATATCAACCAAAAATATTTTAAAACTTCAGTTTGGTAAAACAGGAATAAAAATACCTGTCATTATTTTAGAAATCATCACATCTTACAAGAAATCTATGTAAATGTAATTACATGCGTTCACACACTGGAAGCTGCCTATTGAGTGGATTAATTAGTGGGGCTAGAGCTAAATGACTGTTGACAAAAATCTTGTATCAGGAGAGATAGAGGACTACATTGGTTTTGAGTATAGCTGACTATCCCACCAATCAAATAACTCAAACACAGTGATTAACAGAGCTTATGTGAGAAGAGCCAACTCTCTGAACTTTCAGGTATTACTTTAAAACCAAATAAAAAGCAAAGTTCCAAAAGAAAATCCAGTTTATCCAATGTTTTAGTTTGAGGGTGGGTATAAACTTCTGCTTCACTGACTACAATGGCAAGCTAGATTTCTAAGCATTAGGAATTGCCTTTATATTTGGCATCCTTCCCTAATCTACCTATATTTCTTTAGCCTCCATTAGGATTCACTTGATACCTGCACTTTTTCTTAAGAAGCCTATCTAGAAAAGTTGTTGACATAAAAGAGTGTCTCTTATAGACAGAGCACTCAACCAAATATTTTCCGGAAAAAAAAAAGGTTTTCAAAGGAGCTTGGGTCCCAGATGTCCACCAAAGATGAAATGCATTAATTCGTCCATTTTGCCAAATACTGTGCTAGGCAATGCTAAGGATTCCACAGTAAACAAAAGAGACAAAAAATTCCCTGAATTAATTAACTTATACTCTAGTAGGTTAGACCCACCCATCAGAAGTACTTTAGACAATAAATCTAGAGTAGAATTGACTGCTTACTGAGGTTACTGAAAAGTTTTACCTATTCTGATGATGGTTCAGGGAACATTTGTGGAAATCTAATACATGCTTTATTATTGCATTTATCATTTATAAGAACCCTGAGAATGTATATTATGCTCATTTTACAATGAAAAAAACTGCAAATGGAGGTATTTTGTAACAGTGCAAGACAACAGAGCAAGAAAGTTATAGTGGAAACTCTAATCCAAAGTTCTAATTCCATAAATGGAGTTAATTCCATTAGCCTACAGCTCATCTAAGCCTAGTTGTAATGGTCCTCCCAAATTCCACCACACTCTTAAAAATCAAGAAAAGAGTCAGAAGGGTGAGTGAAGGCTGATTAAGAGAAAAGCATGCATTCTCTTCAAAGCAGAGCCCCATGGCTGGCATCCTCAAAACAAGCTTTGAGTCAGTTCATTCCTCTTTCTCCATTGGGTAGCCAGTAATAGGTCACCCTAATCATCTATTTATTCCACCCTCTTCTCTATTAGAAATCACAACTTTCCAAGACTGCCCAGCAAAGCTAACTCCATCACCCTCCCATTCCCCCACACCACTGAGGCATCTTTACAATTGCAAATAAGAAGACAGGGTACAACAGACAGTGCAGAGCCTCTAAATACAACATCATAAAGACTCAGGCTGCAACTGAAATAGAAATACAGCATTCTCAATGCTGATGGGCACTTCTTTACTTTCCATTTGTAGCACAAAAATTGACAATATCATTTAAATAAAATATGTGCTTGTATTCATTTTTGCAAAAACTTCAATTGTTCTCCTCCATCTTTGCAAACTTGGCAAGACTTCAGTAGTTTCATTTAAGAATAACGTATGGTTGACAGGTTTTCTTAGTGCTTTAAGACTCTAACTATATTCCTTTCCTCAAATCTCCCCTAAACTACACATAAGACCCATCAAATAACAGTGAAAATTGCATTTATATTGACATTTTTAATTTTCTTATACAATTCTTTCATTTAGGCTACTATCCATACTATCATTATAAGAAATAGTCTGTTAAAATATGTTCCAACTAAAGCTTAGTGAACTTTAAATGCTAGACAAAAATCATTCTCTGAAGCTAATGAAGACAGAAACTCTGCCTGTAACAATATTAAGTTTGTTTTTTTCTGGTGATTCAGAGAAGTGAGCAATCTGTCAGTAATACATTGAGTGAAATTACTTGTCTTGGAGGAATAACTGCTGACAGTCGCTTTATCTCAGGGCTGACCCAAACATCTTCCTGCTGACAAACAAATTACTATGTCTAACTTTGAAAAGGTAACTGGCTTGCTTTAATTTTGATTGGTCTTTCAGAATCTCTTATACATATACTGAGCCCCATCCTTCATTGTATTTTTTTAAAAAGGCAACAAAAGTGTTTTGGGGGGGACAGGTTTGAATTAATAAGTAATAAAAAATAGTAAGAAAAGAATAACCCTATTATTTGATGCTAAGAAAAAGAACTGATACGCTTCCTTCCAAGACTGTTATGTGGATGTGACTGGTAAGTCTTAATGTCTACCCAACATTAAGACTGGCAGTGCCGCCAGTGACTGACTGGGTGAGTGAACACATTACTGAGATAGTATAGTAGGAATTAATTTTCTTCAATAAAGTGATTTTTAAGGCTCATATATTTCACAATCTAAACATATGTCACTGTTTCATAAACAAAATAAATGGATTAAAATAATACATTACCAATATGCTGACACATGGAGATATTTTAATTAGAAATGCTTAAGCTGTGTGATATCTAACTGCTGTATTTGCTAAAGAGAAGCATGCATCATTTAATAAGAAGGCATGAGGCAGGTGGATCACTTTGCATATGGTACCAGATTTTGTTTAATATAAGCTACAACTATGAGGCAACACTACTCCCCATTAAAAACAAAACAAAACAAAACAAAATTAAGGGTCTATCATATTGAAAATAACCATATAAAATGAATAAATACACTGAAGTCCCTTTTTCATTAAAAAAAAAAAGTCATCCAGAGCTTAGTTCCCACGACAATATTTCTTCAGAAACAATCTAACATCATCACTATTTAAAGGCTAAATTTACATGACTGCCTCATTATACTGGTTCCCTTTCCTTAACATTCTTTTTGACTTACTTAAGGACCAATGATAACATAGCTGAAGAAAGCAAATGGCAACTGGTCCTGAAATTTATACGGGTGAGAGAACTGGAATAAGCAGCAGTATAATACATTGTTTACTGTAGCAAGTGCTCTCTGTTCTCTAAAGGTCAAAAGCATTGTAACCTTAGAGTTACAGTTTCTGATTGTTCCCAGGGTTTAATAAATTATCAAAATTAATGGTTCAAACCCCTCAACCTTCAGATATATGAGTATTCATGCCTGCATCTGCTGAACTGTTCAACTAAAAATAGCACTCTTTGGCCTTCTTTCTCCTAATATTGTGCCCCTGAGGCAGAGAAAACCATGCCTTAGATCAGCACAGTAGTATTTTAAAAAATGGTCTTTACGGAATCTTCCTTATTTTAAAGAAAGAAAGTAATGGCATATGCTAATATAAGGAGAGTCTTTCAATTTTAAATAACTTTTCTCTACTTGATAAAATTTCAGGGTATACTTAATATATACCAAATGTTGTTAAGATTTACCCAGGCTCATTAATATTAGAAATGACAACCTTTGAAGGACAAATTAACTGTAACATGAAGTAGAGAACACCATTTCTGAGTAATGCATGCAGTGGGGTGGGGGAGTATATGTGTTATAAGCTTTCCCTCCTAAGAATCTCTGTTTAGAAATAAAACCAGTTAATATCATTGTAATGCTTTCTAAGTAGCAATAGTTTATCATGATCATGTTTCTTGACATAACTGTGACATTTTAGCTTATCAAAGGAGGGGAGAAGACCCTAGCTAGAAAAGAAAGCAGATTTAAATAACAATAAACCAAGATATTATTAAAATATCCCTCTACCCTCGCTCAAGATTTAAAACGTTACTATCTAGCACCTTAGATATGGGTGTCTACTATGCTATTCACAGATGTCCCAATAAACATGCTATACTCATACTAGGAAAGTTTGGGAAACCCATCTTTTAAACAAGGTCGATCTTTTCTAACCAGAGTCCACATGAGCAAACAGATCAAAGGTTTCCTGACATGCAGGAAAAAGGTGCAAAAATAGGAGGTAATAGAACAGAGCAAGAGTAAATAAAAACTGAGGAAACTATCAAAGCATCCAGATTTAAACTGCAAAGCTATGAAGGCTCTTGCATTAATGGTTTACCTGTTTAGCCTAATTAAAGTGACAGACACGTGACATATGCTGTGCTTCTAGATCAGCATCACTACAGCACTACAGAGCTCTGACACTCATATGCATGACATCATGGTTTCCAGAAACCCAACAGAAGCCAGATTTGACACATCAGGGATCAGTGATGGTGTGGGGGTTGGGAGTGGGGGGTGGGAGAGAAGCCGATCTGAGTGAAAAATTAGGCAAAAGAAGAGACTGGGTAGAAACCTGGCTAAGGGAAGATTGATGGGATAGAACACAACACTTCAACAGAAAATCCAAAAGAAAAGTCCAACAGGAAAGTCCAACAGGAGAGAAAGAAAAGTCCCACCAGGAGAGGAAACAGAAAAGTCCAGCAGGAGAGGAAGTCTTGAGTTTGAGCCAAGGCTACCTAATTTCTCATTCTTCCAGGCATTTAAAAGCTCTCAAGCTGACTGTCCTGAGTAGATAAGCTTGCTAGTTGTCATCACACATATAAACTTGTTCCTAATGTCCAGTCATTTCTTTCTAGCTCTCCTAGGCATAGATTTTCAGAATGCCCAGAAATGTGGTACTCACTCTACAGCCAAAAGAAAGCCTTAGAAATTTCTTCTGTCTGTATAGAAGGCAGGAGATATTCTGAAAGTATGTGTCTAATCATGTCTGAGTGGAAACCCCCTCTCTACCTCTTATGTCAAAGCAAAAGAAAAGAGGGAGGCAGTTAACAAGCTCTGGAATTCTACCTTAGGCTACTTCCAAGGGGGTCTTTGGTCTTGTCTCTTCCTTTTCTTAGGAGTGATCATTCCCTATCATTTTCCAAAAAGGTAGATTCACAAGCAGCAGAAAAGGTAACGTCAAAGGGACCTTTCATTGACTACATAGTGTTTGAGCTATACAGACCAGCAGAGCCATCAGAAGTTAAATGTACATCTTGCTAGATGCAATTATTTTCATTTTTGGGTTGAGTTTCCCATCCTAGGTTGGACTATAAAATCTGCTATTATATCTAACCCAGAGAATTAAAGTGTGTTTCAGTTTGAGGTAAACTGTATCCACTTTTTAAAAAATTCAACAGATAGCTGGAAATTCTCCAATATGAGAGTCCCAGTGAGGGACCCCGGTGAGGCAGAAAAGGAATTAAGCATGAAATTGGAGAGAGAAGGACTGGGTTCTTATAGAAGAAAAGGTCTTGGTTTTCATAAGCCATCTTCTCTCAGTGGTAAGAATATCCCAACAAAACAACAAAGGACTCTACTGGAAGGTGAAATATGAAAAGAATACTACAGAAGTTTGTCTTGGAAAAAGCAATCATCCAGGCCCAGGCACCCACCCCTACTTCATTCTGAGAAAACTGAGTACGTAGAATTAGAAATCCTGGGCAATAACCTTGACTCAACGAATATTTTATAGCCTTGGTTAAATAACTTAACCTCTCCAAACCTCAGCTGTTTTATCTATACAAGCAGAATTATATTTGATCAAATTTACAGGGTTATTCTATGGTCAAATAATTTTTTAATGTTTAAGTATTTTTTAAAAAATACTATACAACACTATGCATAAGAAAATATAAAAGAGTGAGGGAAGAAACATGGTTTTGAAGACACTTATAATGTAAAGCTTTTGTGTGAATATATATGGCAAAGAACAACCTTAATTCAGGGGCATTGCTTTGGGATTTGCTTTTTTCTCTGAAAGAAAAGGGGCAAAAGAAGAGCCTCCTTAGGAATGAGAAAAAGGGAAAGATTAAGTTCAGTGTTTAGGTTGAGTGTTTGCCACTTTAAAAAAAAAAAAAAAAAGCCTAGAGTATGACTGAACAATCCAGTCCCCAACCCAATGAAGCATCAATGGAAGCATTCATACCTCAATCTGTTTGTGGTTGTAAGAGTGGCCACCACCATGTTCAAAGGTGTCCAAATTCCTGCCAAAACGGTCACTTAGGCCCTTTAGCCTTTGGTTAATTTGTGGGTGGGAGACATGACCCTTCTGTTTAGTAGCATATTCAGAAAAAAAAAAAAAGACAAAACATACTGTCAGAACTCATGAAACAGAATACATATTTCTAAATCCAGGGTATTGACCACATCAAAAAATAGAAAGTAGAAAGTTTAAGACTCAGTTTCTTTCTTTTACAGAAATTTGGTTACAGTATCAAACAGTGGCACTGATTTCTTGTTTCTGCCTCTGACTCAAGAAGATACTCAATAGCACAGCTATAGGAAGAGAAGAAATATATTAGGTTTATAATAGTGAGGGTTCTTTTTAGACTTGCACCAACTATAGTAGGTTTCAGTGTTAGTAGCGTGAAAGGTGAAGGTTTGCAAGAGAGGTGAGGTTGCTGCTCTTCTTAGGCGAAATTTCTAGCTCTGCTAGGCAGCCCATAATGGGTTACATCTTTATAACTTCCTGGATCATGACTCATGACAAAATTTCTCAAAGTATTGCAGAAATTCTTTATTTGCAGATCCAGTTGGAAACATTCAAAATGATGTTTTTTCATGGGACAATAGTTGTATACTTTTTATGTTCAAGTCACATAGAGACTAGCAACACAAAAATAAAAATGCTTCACCAGATGCTATTCTGTAGATAATTTAAGAAAACTCAAAAATAATTATAGTATATTTTAAGAATAAAAACTATCTTTAATAAAACTTTCTACTATATTGAAGTCAAGTTGTTGATTATCTTATATTCTCTAAATATCCAAATACTGAATGTTTGACTTATTTTAATGATCTCAGCTTTTTGTTTTTATTAATACAAATATACATTCATATTCAAAGTCAACCTCCCATTCAAGTGGTAGTAGTAGAAGGGTATAATGATCAGCTATTCCTATTCCAAACTCACTTTATTGTGAAGAAGATAAGGTGTAAATGATTTTTCAATCAGCTTCCAAAACACTTTCCCCCCAAGTTTAGCTTTATAAATAAGAAACACCAATGCAAAATTTATCAGACACCATGCCCTGACTTTTGACCCTAGAAAGGGTGAGGACACATATATTAAGGAGCAATGCATTTACAATTTACAAAATAATTATCATGTAATTTGAAAATAACAACCCCTTATTCTATGAGCTACAAGAAGGAAAAAATATCCAACATCATTTTTGTTTCAATTTTTATATGCAAAAGCTAATCTGGACATAAGTGGAGACACAGATGAAAAACTAACAAGGAAAAAGCTAACATGTATGCAGTAACAACTAGCCATTGAAATTGTAAAACTATTCACTCATCTGATAGAGAATACATAGTATTAAGTCCTAATGTGATCTTTTCCTTTAAAAATATTGAAACTGGCAGTTTTCTCTTCTATTTGCATTACGATAAGCAAATAAGGTGTTAATCCTTCTGGGCTATGCTTAAAAAATTATTTAACATTCAGGCCATTATTTAGCATACAGCTGGTTAGCAGTTTTCCACTAAAGTACTGGCTCATATCCCACATTTTTTTCTTCTGGCACTTACCTGGAGCTGTAAAGGGCTGAGTCCAGAAGCAGCAGCAGCTGCCATTGTTGATGGAATGAACTGTACGGGGTAGTTATCACCTGTCGGAAAGAACAATGCATACAGGTTTAGACAATGCACAGGGAATTGCAGCAGACAAGTACAAACATGGTCCTTGGATTGCCTGAGCTTTACAACATTGCTCTAAGCCCAAACATCTGCAGAAACAAAAGGCTTAGTTGGGCACAGACTTGCAGTGCTGCCTTGGAACTTTTTGTTAACAGATAGCTGGTAGGCAAACTGGCAAAACATGAATGTGATGTTAAAAAAACTTAAATGTGCAATTCAAGCATGTTCACTCCATTGCGAATCTTGTAATACATCATTTTTTAAGAGTAAAAAAATATCTTTAAGCCAGGCTGACACTCAGTACACTGGGAAAGCATTAAGGCTTTTATATTAGAACAACAAAAAGTTTTGGCTTTGTAGGCAAAGAAGAGTATTAGAGTCCAAAAAGGGCTCTGAGCTATTGACTGCTCATAATTCTAAACTTTATTTATTAAACAAGTTTAAAAATTAAAAAATACAACCTCTTCAATATGATAGGGCTGAGAGGACAGCTAATCTTATCTTCCAGCATTCTGTGAAATGTCTGGTATCCCCATAAGTGTAGAAACCATGTTTGTCTGGATTAACCTCTGGTACTGTACTGGTGGATCCTAGTACAGAATCATGCATACTAAGCACTTATCAAACATATTTTAATGATGCTTTGATTAAATAAATGCGCATTTTACATGGAATATCTGTACTAAACACCTGGTAAAGAGTGAGTATGGTTCAGCAGAGATGAATGCTATATCTTAATGTGTTTCTGACTTCAGATCATTCCTAAAAAGGGAGACGGAAGTACCTTCTGTGACCTAAGAACACAGGCTGTGTGCAGTAACCTGAAGAACCAAAACAAAGTAAGGAGAAACATATCATGACAGAGGTAACTGAAATAAAAATTAGTATGTGTGGATAAATTTCACAATATCAGTGATTTAATGGAGTATCACTTTGGCTTCAGCTACTTATTTAAAGTCAGCGTTATGTAATATCTCTAGGCTATATTTTAATAGGCTGTTCCTCCACACATTTTTGACATTTATAATAATCATGTTGTTTTGCATGAACTTTCCACACTGAAAGCTGAATGTAATAATGAATAGACAGCTTAGAAAGAATCTCAGTAATAAAGGCAGTCAACTGGAAAGCAAGAAAACTTTTTTTGGAGTTGGGGTATGGACACGAATACCTGGAGCCTTCCTGGTGACTCTGGTTCCTGGGAACTCATCCTGCTTGCCATATGAAATGCTACTCAGCTGGCCCAATGTAAATGTTAAGTTGCTTTCACTTTTAACAAATTGTTAGCTTCTAATCTACACAGTCTCTTTGCATCATATCCATAATACCTCATCAGACCATTGAGCACAGTGTGTGCTTGTACACAGTCCAGTAACAATTGGCTTCTGATTGCATATGGAGCGCTGCTACAATGCATTCACTAACATTATATTGTGCTGGTCTCCTATGGAGTAATGTTCAAAATATCTGATCTTGTTTTTCTCCTTCCATGAGGTTGATTTTGGTTTGCAGTACTATATGAGCTTTTTAAAAAAGATAACTAGGCCAAATTATTTTTTATAGTAAATGACTGTCACTTTATGCTTAAACAATTCTACTGATCTTCTTGATATTTAAACTAAATTATCTGAAGGAAGAATATCCTAATCTAAGTCAAATAGTATTTCTTTGGTAGATATCAAGTTTTAAAAAAATCACAAAACGATGCTGAATTAATGATGCTTCAAAAATAGGGGAAAAAAATCACCATTCTAACCATCGACATGGACTGCCTCCTGGAACATTTTAGAGCTGTTCTTTCTTTAAATATCATGCATTATTCATACTAACTCTAAACCACAACCCCCCTCCCTGTAAGTTTAATACCAGTTGCTTTATTTGTACTAAAACATTTTTCATGTCAAACATATTTTAAAAAAATCAAACTCTAAAAGAATTCCCTGGGGCACTCCTTTTTTCATAGCTGTCATGCTTCTGTGCTATGAAATAGCTTTTTTTTTTTTTTTTACAGCTTTTGGCTTGCCAGTTAATTTATTACTATCTCTACCACACCCTATAGTACTTTCCAGCTCACCTGCTGGCTACAAACAGCTTTCTTTCCACTGCTGACAGGCATATTTTAAAAACATTTTTAACTTTTATCCTTCTTTGAATCTGTATACCTGAATATAATCTTTAGAAAGCTATTTCTCCATAACATATCATTGTTTCAACATTAAAAGTAAAAATGAATACATTAGAGCAACAGAGTATATAACAGAGAATGATTAGAAGAAAGAGAACAAGGACAAGGCAGGAGGGGTAGAAGATGAGGGAGAAGAAGAGGGAGATTACAAGTAGAAAAGAAAAATTTAAGAGGGAGAGGGATTTAAGGGTATTGTGAAGTTTAGTTTTTTAATAACAAAGTTGCATGTTTCCCTTATGCTGCTCTAATTTTCTGTGTAAGTCAATCAAGAAAAAGTTCTCAGTGCCTGACTTGGCAAGGAATCAGTCAACATGTTGTAGCAATTTTTTTCAAATTTGTCTCTGGATTTGAAATGCTTTCATGAGGACCCATTCTTTTAAAATTTGTACATGGAAGGTGAAGCTTGTTGAAACAGGTTGGCTTTATGCACTACTGTAATCTGGCCCTTGCTACCTCTAGTGTAAGAAGACAACTTTCAAAAACCAATTTGAGAAATAATGTCCATTCTGTAAATCCATTTTCCAGCTTTCTACATATTTCAACTGACAGTTTTTATCATAAGAGTACAAAACAAAGACAAAGTAGGATTTAAAACTTATGGAAAATTTGCTTGACATTAGTTTCACTTGTCAGAATAGGCAGCATTCCTTTGGAATCAAAACAGCAAGAGTCCCTAAATGAGAGAAAATAAATTCTTAAATTTTCATAGAAACTGACATGAAGCAGAAAATTAGTAAAACTTAACGGCAGGAGAAGGGGAGCTTGTACTAAGAACCTACAACCCATTAGATTCAGGCTACCTCCTGCAATAATGCTTTTAATTTGAATAATTCAGATATAAAGTCTACCTTTTAAAAAAAAAAAAAGCCAAAAATCCCATGGGTAAAAGTCTGTCAATTTACTTTCATTCTTCAGAAAGACAAAGGACTGGGATAGTTGCAGTATCCTGAGATAGTAACTTCAGATGTTAACACATTGAAGAAATAATTTAGAAAGTTTGGAAGGAGTAGAGAGAGAAAAAAAATAAAACAGAACTAGAAGACGGGACAAAAGATTCTTCAGTCGCATACCTCATTTCCCAGCCTCCATAACAGAAGAAAAATATGTTACACATCCCTAACTAACTCAAAAATTATTGTGTGCCAGCATCATAAAATGATAATAAGTTGCCAAACAACTATAGAGCCCACCTTTATGAGCTATAGCCATTCTTGTTACAATATGAACATATTTGAATCACAACCACTGATGCAAACTTGAACATACCACTTAGCATGGATCTTGCCTGGATGCACGCATTTGGTACAGCAAAATATTACAATTCCTCTACACTCTGAGGGAATGCCATAAGTCTGAATTTGTCTTTATGCGAAACCACACTGTAGTAAATGTTAGCAGGTAATAGGTGACACAAAAGCTTCAATTTGTCCTGAGGACAAATGAAAAATAAAATTAGCAAGGATTATAATATATATTGTTGAGATCACTATGTTGTTATTTCTCCTGCTAAATTTCTCCCTTTCTATTCGTCAAAGAATAGATCAATGATGAAAAGAGTCTTGACCTCAGAATTTCTTCTAAGATCATCTGCAGTGTTTTTTCTACCTTTAAGAAAGCTAAGAATCAAGGCTCAACCTTACTTTCTTCACTTATTTCACAGCTGCATCCAAACCCTTGACCAATCATCCGAAAATCTGTGGAATTTGTCACAATGGCAATTAAATAAGTGAGTGTGAATGAACTCACATAAATTCATCCCCATTACATAAAATTGATTTAAAAAATCCTCAGTTTCATACTAGGGATGCAGGGATGGCTTAACATATGGAAATCAATACACATGATACACCACATAAACAGAATTAAAAATAAAACTCACATGATCATCTCAATATATGCAGAAAAAGCATTTAACAAAATCCCAACATCCCTTTGTGATTAAAACCCTCAGCAAAATTAGCATAGAAGGGACATACCTTAAAGCAATAAAAGCCATCTACAACAAACCCACAGCGAACATTATAGTGAATGAGAAAGAGTTGAAAGCATTCTCCCTAAAAGCTGGAACAAGACAAGGATACCCACTTTAACCACTTCTATTCAACATAGTACTGGAAGTCCTAGCAAGAGCAATGAGACAACAGACAGAAAATAGGGGCATCCAAATCGGTAAAAAGGAAGTCAAAGTGTCGCTGTTTGCTCATGATATGATTGTATACCTAGAAAGTCCTAAAGACTAATCCAAAAAGCTCCTAGAACTGGTAAATGAATTCAGCAAAGTTTCAGGATACAAAATTAATGTACACAACGTAGTGGCTCTGCTATACACCAACAGTGACCAAGCTGAGAATCAAATCAAGAACTCAACCCCTTTCACAATAGCTGCAATAAAATAAAATACTTAGGAATATACCTAACTAAAGATGTGAAAGACCTCTACAAGAAAACTACAAAACACTGCTGAAAGAAATCATAGATTATATAAACAAATGGAAACACATCCCATGCTCATGGTTGGGTAGGATCAATATTTTAAAAATGACTATACTGCCAAAAGCAATCTACAAATTCAATGTGATTCCCATAAAAATACCACTATAATTCTTCAAGGAACTAGTAAAAAGAATCCTAAAATATATATGAAACCAAAATGAGCCTGCATAGCCAAAGACAGACTAAGCAAAAAGAATAAATCTGGAGGCACCACATTACCTGACTGCAAACTATACTATAAGGCCATAGTCACCAAAACAGCATGGTACTGGTATGAAAATAGGCACATAGACCAATAGAACAGAATAGAGAACCCAGAAATAAAGCCAAATACTTCCAGCCAACTGATCTTCAACAAAGCAGACAAAAACATAAAATGGGGAAAGACACCCTATTCAACAAATGATGCTGGAATAATTGGCAAGCCACACGTAGAATGAATCTGGATCCTCATCTCTCACCTTGTAAAAAACTTCAGCTCAAGATGGATCAAAGACTTAAATCTAAGACCTGAAACCATAAAGATTCTAGAAGATAACATTGGAAAAAACCCTTCTAGACATTGGCTTAGGCAAAGAATTCATCACCAAGAACCCAAAAGCAAATGCAACAAAAGCAAAGATAAATAGATGGGACTTAATTAAACTAAAAAGCTTCTGCACAACAAAAGAAATAATCAGCAGAGTTAACAGACAACCCACAGAGTGGGAGAGAATCTTCGCAATCTATACATCCAACAAAGAACTAATATCCAGAATCTACAAAGAACTCAAATCGCAAGAAAAAAAACAAACAATCCCATTAAAAAGTGGGCAAAGGACATGAATAGACAATTTTCAAAGGAAGATACACAAATGGCCAATGATCATATAAAAAAAAGCTCAACATCACTAATTGTCAGGGAAGTGCAAATCAAAACCACAAGGCAATACCACCTCACTCCTGCAAGAATGGTCATAATAAAAAAAAAATAAATAATGATACTGGCGTGGATGTGGTGAAAAGGGAACACTTTTACACTGTTGGGAATGTAAACTAGTACAAACACTATGAAAAAGAGTATGAAGAGTCCTTAAAGAACTAAAAGTAGACCTACTGTTTGATCCAGCAATCCCACTACTAGGTATCTACCCAGAGGAAAAGAAGTCACTACATGAAAAAGATACTTGCACATGCATGTTTACAGCAGCACAATTTGCAGTTGCAAAAATATGGAAACAGCCCAAATGCTCATCAATCTACGCATGGATAAAGAAAATGTGGTATATATATATATACACCATGGAATACTACTCAGCCATAAAAGGGAATGAAATAATGGCATTCACAGCAACCTGGTTGGAATTGGAGATTATTATTCTAAGTGAAGTAACTCAGAAATGGAAAACCAAGCATCGTATTCTCACTCACATGTGAGAGTTCAGCTATGAGGAATGCAAAGGCATAAGAATGACACATTGAACTTTGGGGATTGGGGGAAAGGTTGGGGGATAGCGAGGTATAAAAGACTACATATTGGGTACAGTGTACACTGCTTGGGTGATGGGTGCACCAAAATCTCAGAAATCACCACTATTGACATTCAAAAAATAAAACAAATAAAAATTAAAAATTAAAAAATAAACTCTCAAAGTTCATGCCTTCATGATAGCTCATCAATGATATAGCCTCCATCTACAGAGGAGAACACAGTTAAGATTATAGACCTTTAAAAAACTAGGTTAGTTTACACAGCTGAACATATTTTCTTCCTGGACCCCAACACCGATTTAAAAATTAGGGTGCTAATCTGAAGAACCTCAGAAATGCTTTGATTCTGAGTAGATATATTTAAATAATCAACTATTACAATAGCAGTTCATATCTCTGCTTTGAAATACTCTGGAAGAGACAGAAATGAGTGGCTTTACAAGATGTCATTTGCATAACACCACATGTAAAAATTACATTTTATTCACTGAGAAAAGGTCAGATTTTCTTAAGATCACACATACTTAGACCAAGGCCCCAAGAGTATGAAGTGTCAAATCAGAGAACTTCAGTCTGAATTCTATCTCCGCTATTTCAAGATGTGGAACTCTTGGAAAAGTTAACTTTTTTGAGTATCAGTTTCTTATTTTCTTTTAATAAAGCAGAGATGATACCATTTATTACCACTTATATCTAAGAGTTATTATGAAAATTAAATGAGATTACACACATACACACACACACACATACACAGGTTGGGGGTTATTAAATGAGATTACACACATACACACACACACACATACACAGGTTGGGGGTTATCTTGGAAAACAAATGGTGCTCAATAAATGCTAACTAAAACAAAGAAATTAAAAAGAAGCCCTGAATAATTATGCAGTCATAACAATTGTACATTAACCAATTCAACACCTAGGAGAAATGGACAAATTCCTTAAAACATGAATATTACCCAACTCAAGAAGAAATAGAAAACCTCAACAGACCCATAACAAGTAAAGACAATGAATCAATGATCAAAGACCTCCCAGTAAGGAAAAGCTCTGGCCTAGATGGCTTTACCAACGGATTCTGCCAAATGTTTAAAGAAGAATTAATACCAATCCTTTTCAAACTCTTACAAAAAAAAAATGAAGGGGAGGGAGTACTTCTAATTCATTTTATAAGGCTAACATTATCTTGATACCAAAACCAGATAAAGATATCACAGGAAAAGAAAGCTACAGTCCACTATCCCATATAAATATAGATATAAAAATCTTCAACAAAATATTAGCAAAACAAATCCAATGGCAAATTAAAAGAATTACTTACCAGGGCAAAGTGGAATTTATCCCAAGAATGCAAGGGATCAAATCAGTGTCAAGCATTACATTAATAGAACAAAGGGAAAAAAAAACCAACATGATCATCTCAATTGACACAGAATAGGCATCTGACAAAAGTCTAATATTATTCCATCATAAAAAATTCTCAGAAAACTAGTAATAGAGGAAAAAGACCTCGGCATGATGAAACCTATTTATAAAAAGCCTACAGCTGGCCAAGTGTGGTGGCACGTGCCTATAGTCCCAGCTACTTGGGAGGCTGAGGTAGAAAGATTGCTTGAAGCCAGGAGTTCAAGGCCACAGTGAACTATGATCATACCTCTTAATTCTAGCCTGGACAACAGAGCTAGACCCTGTTTGTTAAACAAACAAACAAACATCCACAGCTAACTTCATATTCAATGGTGAAAGACTGAAAGCTTTCCCCTTAAGATCGAGAACAAGACAATAATGTTCACTTTCACTGCTGCTATTCAGTCTTGTAGTGGAAGTGCTAGCCACTGCTATTAGACAAGAAAAAGAAATAAAATGTATCAAATTGGTAAGGGAGAGGTAAAACTATTTGTATTTGCAAATGACATAATCCTATATATAGAAAATCCCAAAGAGTCCCTGAGAAAGCTACTAGAATTAATAAATTCAGCAAAGTTGCAGAGTATAAGCTTAACACGCAAGTATCAGCTGTGTTTCTAAACATCAGCAACGAACAACCCAAAAGAAAATTAAGAAAACAATTTCATTTACGAAAGTATTAAAAAGAACTAAACACTTAGGGATAAATCTAACCAAGGAGATGAAAGACTTGTATGTTGAAAACTATAAAACGTTTTTGAAAGAAATTAAAGATGACATAAATAAATGGAAAAGCATCTGTGCTCATGGGTAGGAAGATTTAACACTGTTAAGATGGCAATACTACCCAAAGCAACCTGCAGAGTCAAAGCAATCCCTATCAAAATTACAACAACCTATTTCACAGAAATGGAAAAGCCAATTCACAAATTAATATGGAATTACAAGAGGTCCCAATAACTAAAACAATCTTGAAAAAGACGAATAAAGTTGGAAAGCTCATAGTTCAAATTTTAACACAAAGCTACAGCAATTAAAACAGGATGGTACTGGCATAAGGAGACATATATATATATATACATATGTGTGTGTGTATATATATATACATATCTACCAATTAAATATAATAGAAAGCTCAAAATTAAAACCTTTACATATATAGTTGATTGATTTTTGACAAAGGTGCAAAAACCATTGAATGGGGGAAGGGATAGTCTTATCAACAAATGTTGTGGGGAAAACTGGACATCCATGTGCAAAAGATGTAAAACAATAGAAAAAGGTTTTACCTTACACAGTATACAAAAATCAACTCAAATGGATCAAAGACATAAACTTAGAAGCTAAAAAAACTAAACCCTTAGAAGAAAACATAGTGGTAAATCTTTATGACATTGGATTTGGCAATGATTTCATTGATATAACATCAAAAGCACAGGCACCAAAGGAAAAAATGGATAAATTGGACTCCATCAAAATTAAGAACTTTAGTGTATAAAAAGATACTATGAAGAATGCTAAAAGACAAATTACAGAATGGGAGAAAATATTTGTAAATGATATATCTGATAAGGTATTAATATCCACAATACACAAATAACTGAAACTCAACAACAACAAAAGCCCAACTCAAAAATGGGAAAACTACTTGAATAGACAGTTCTCCACAGGAGATATCCAAATGGCCAATGAGGACATGAAAAGATGATCAGCATCATAAATCATTAAGGAAATGTAAATCAAAATCACAGCGAGATACCACTTCACACCTACTGGGATGATAATAATAAAAAAATTTAGTTGAAAATAACAAGTGTTAGCAACAATGTGAAGAAATTGGAACCCTCTTACATTTCTCGTGGGAATATAAAATGGCACGGCTACTGTGGAAAACAGTTTGGTGGTTTCTCAAAAGTTTAAACATAGAACTTCATATAATCCATTAATTCAACTCACAGGTATATATCCAAAAGGATTGAAAGTGGGGACTCTAACAAACATTTCTATAACCATATTCACAGAAGTATTATTCATAATAGCCAAAAGGTAGAAACAAACTAAGTGCCTATCAACAGATGAACAGATAAACAAAATGTGATCTGTATACATATATATGTATATATATGTATATATATATACATATATATACATATATATACACAATTGAATATTATTCAGCAATAAAATTATATTTTAATGTATGCTACAATATGGATGGACCTTGAAATGTTATGCTTACCAAAATAAGCTAGACATAGAAGGATAAATATTGTATTATTCCAATTATATGAAGTACCTACAATAAGCAAATGCATAGAGAAAAATAATAGAATAGAGGTTACCAGAGACTAAGGGTAGAGGGATAGAGAGAGTTATTATTTAATGGCTACAGCATTTTTGTTGGGTATGATGAAAAAGTTTTGGGTATGGATTGTGGTGTTGGTTATACAATATTGAAAATATATTAACGCCACTGAGTTATATACTTACAAATGGCTAAAACAATAACTATTATATTATGTATATTTTACTGCAATAAAAAAGAAACATTAGGTATACTTGTAAAATTGTTTTTGGTCGTTGAGCAGAGGGACACTATGACTCAGTCTAACACTCAGCTTTTGGGCCGCATTTCCAATGGATAAGGATGTAGTTTAACAGGCTAAAGTTACTCAGTTTCACCGTCAGACTTTACTCCCAATCTTAGTGCTTTATCATTTTCAGAGAACTTTTAGATATTTTACAAAATTTAATTTTCACGTCCACGTTGGGTAGTGAACAAATCGTGACACATTTCTTAGATGACAAAAAGTGAGGTTCAGCAAGATTAAATGACATGTTCAAGTAAGGATGAAATAAAATAGTCCATGTGAAATATGTAGCACAGTATTTGGCACAGTATCAATCAGTAAGCTTTAGCTATTATTATTATCATATATTATCATATCATAACTAGTGAGTAAATGGAAGACCCAGGAACAGGCAGACATCCTGTTCCTAGGACCTTCTAGGAAACTTCAAGTGTGCTTTCTAGCCGCAATCATGTAAAAAATTCCAACTACATAAAGCAATGGGTCAGCTAAATCAAGCCTGAAGTATGAAGGGGGCTACTCATCGTTTCTGTTTTTCAGGCAAGCTGATCTTGATTGGATATACACATTGGCAACTGTGAAAGATGCTTTATCTTTTAATTTTCTCCAATATTTGTGCTCAAATGTATCTATCTTACTCTTGATTGGTGCACCTCTCTGTATCACAATGTGAAAGAGCAAAGCAACCAAAAGTCTGTGGTTTATGTTCTGGGATCTGATGATGAGTTCCTATCAAGAAATATGTCTCTAATTATAGAACCTGTAAAACATTTTTAAAAATAGGGATTAAAACTCAATAAAGCTATTTCTAGAGAGAACAATCTGAAAGATGCTGTCCTGGAGCTGAACAATCCCTGTGGGCAGCATGCCCCCTCAGCAACCCACTGAGGTGGGAGAGCTTGCCTAGTGTTTACTACACGCTGGGACTCTGAAATGCCCAGAGGCACAGGTCAAATCATAGGGTGGGGAGTGAAGGCCTATAACCCTAAATGTATTTGCTTACACTGTCTTAACATGGATTCAGAAACAGTCAACTTTAACAAACAATGAATGTCACCCCAAGGTAGTCCTTGCTCTCTGGAAATTAAGATAATTATTCAATCAGCTGAAGGCACAAATACCATGAAATCATTTCAGATACGGGAAAGTGGAAAGGGAAAAAAAAAGGAAATTTATTTTTTTCAATTTATAAAGACCAAGGTAGCACTTGTTCATCTTGTTGTTTAGGGAACCAGAATACAAATTTATGCCACCAATTCAAGGTTTTCTTTCAAAAATTTAGTCATTGCTGTCTCACATACATTTCTTTTCTTTTTTATTTTATTTTATTTTATTTCATTTTGTTTTTGAGACAGGGTCTCACTCTGCTGCTAAGACTGGAGTGCAGTGGCAGAATCACGGCTCACTGCTGCCTCAACCTACCGGGCTCAAGCAATCTTCCCACCTCAGCCTCCTGGGTAGCTAGGACTACAGGTGAACACCACCATGCTTTGCTAACTTTTTAATCTTTTTAGAGACAAGGGCTCACTATGTTGTCCAGGCTGGTCTTGAACTCCTGGGCTTGAGTGATCCTCCCACCCCTCAGCCTCCCAACGTGCTGGGATTACAGGCATGAGCCACCACACCCAGCCCTCACATACATTTCAAGTGAAGTTACCATAGCTCAGTTTGGGGCAAAAAGAAGTTGTATTGTACTTGTCCAGTTTCCAGTCCAATAGAAGTCTCTTCACCTAATTCATGTGAATGATAAAAACACTGCATAGATTGATTAAGTCTTCTGAGGATGTAATTTCTCTACTAATAGCGTAAGAACATATAATTTTAATGAATTTTAAACACATTTTTCATATACAATAAAGCCTAGGTTAGCCAAAATATTGAAAGAATTAGAGTTCTGATTAATGAAATTGTCTGACATAATTTAGGAGTCACACGAAAGTAAACACTTTTTTTTACCAACCTTGCTTGTAATTAAAACTCTTCCTACATCTCAAAACCCATTGTCCTGCCTTATCCAACACAGTTTGGCCAACATAATCAAATACAGCTCTGTTACCCCAGGACACTAACTTTAAGCTGCCCTTTGTTCAATAGAAGTAACTAATTTCTGCACAATATTGTCCCAATTTCTCTGTTTTTCTCAGTTACATATTATAATCTCATTAATGCTGTTAGAGAAGACATTTGAAAAATGGTCTAAAATCACTAATAAAACAATATCTTCCCCCATGAAAAGTGGCGGTATTGTTTCAACAAAATTAGGTAAGCAAGATGTCTACGTCTAACAGAAAATAAGACCCATAACTGATTTTGAAATGTGGATAAATTTAACTTTAAAAACACTGAAGTCAAATAGATAATTTCCACATACAGTTCATTTAAAATGTTTCTGGGACTGGTACAGGGGTGTCAAACTCAAATTCAGAATAGAACAGTAAACTTGGCTTACTTCAATGTTCCAAAGAAAGTCAAAATGAAGAAGTAGTTTAGAATGACTTACAGAGATCACAGGAAGACTGAACCACTTCACTAAAAAAAAAAAAAAATTCTCTGAAAAAATATACTCCTGTCCTTAATATAGATGCCAATGTCATAGTAGCTAAGTATACCTTGTTCTAAAAATCATGCTCTAGAAAAATGAATTTTTAACAATTTGAATGACATAATTTTCTCTCAGGTATCCAAAAACCTTTTGGTAATATGAGTTTGATTCATTTATATGTGAGGAATTTTCAGACAGCCCTTAAACTCACCAATCTCATAACATCTCAATTCCTTGAATCATTCGTGTTTTGCCACAGACATCCTACCTTTTCTTACAAAGAAGGAAGTTCTCTATCAAATACAAAAGAGTAATCACTGGCAACAAGCAATTAAAACAGATGCTAAAATGCACTAGGCTTGTTTTTATGCTATTTAATAAGCTTTCTTCTCCAGAATTTTAGTAAAGTGATTTATATTTTATTATTGCTCTAAGCATATTAAAACGCCTTTGTTCACTTTATAAACCACATACACAAAGAAACTGCTGCACGCAGATTTGTTGTACTCAGATTTGATGGTAAATATAATCAGGTTAATATGTTAAAAAGAACTTGACACAGAAATTATTAATGAGTAGAACAAGGTCACTACTTCTGAGCTGAGGTCACTTACAAAGAATGCACAAATGAAATTAAGGTTGACTTTTATTTACTTGACTATCTTCTTACATTGGATTCCTTTGGCAACATATCTTTAAACATTTAAAGCCCTGTTTACAAGGAGGCTCTGAAAGAAGCTTCAAACCATTATGCCCCTAATTGAATTCCCCAGGAGTCCAGTAAACTCCGAGGAAAAAAGAAAAATCACAACATTTGCTAAATCATCTTAAAACATATTTCACTGCAAGGTTACATGACCTGTTTTTTGAGGTTTAAAAATGAATTAAAAAGTACTGAATACTTCATTTTTTTAGATGAAAATCAAAAACAATTTTACCATTAGTGGTAAGCTAATTAAATCAGTCTAGTTTTAACTATCTTTCTAAGAGAAGTCTGACAACAAACAATGACATTTTATACTGAATGTGATCACTTTTCCAGAATATAACAGCTCTCACCAGGAGAAAAGGATCTTTAACCAAAAAACAATTATTCACAGTAAAAGTATGAGAGAGAGCTGACAAAAACATTGTAGTCCCCAGGGAAAGTAGTATCTTATCTGTGAATTCAAGACAAACTCAAGTGGAAGAAGAGAAAGTAAAAGTTTTTAGCAACCAATTAGTTTATTACAATGCCCACTCTTCCCAATTCTAATTTTACTTTAAAATAAGCTTTTATGATATTTTTATTCATAGTTCCCTGGCATGCTCCTGTGTTTGTTGTGAGTACTAAGCATAAACATGCAGATCTGAGCATTTGGAAAAGAATGTTAAATCCCTCTCTACTTACCTGGTTTGTATGTTATTCCAGGGGGGAAGAGGAATCCCTGTTGGGCAGCAGCAGCTGCTGCCAGAGTCCGCTGGTCATGTGGAAAAATTGGGATCATGAGCGGAGGCATGTGACCCTGAACCTGCTAAACAGAAGAGAGCCTATGATCAGACAGGGAGCAAATGTATGCCAAGAAGAATTTGTTTTTCACTCCTGGTGGTGTGCTGGTACCCACACAGCCACCCACCTCTAACCTCATTCCAAATCTGCAATCTGAGAAAATTCAGTTAAAATCCACCAAATCCCTTTTCTGAGATGCTAATAGCATACCGAAGACGTAACTTCATTGTGCATTTGCCTCGTCCCTGCTTCCACCGAACTGTAGTTAATGGTTTTCTTTTCTCTTGACTTTTTTCCTTTTATTTTTTCTTTTAAACAAAGAACTAGAAGAAATAAGTTTGCTTCCTTTCTAGCACTGTACAATGTTGAGAGGTTTTGCCCTTTCACCTGCTTTGCATTCTGTGCTTTCTTTCAAAAACAGTATTTAGTATCCATGGTCAGAAAATAATGTCTAATTAATATATATTCTAAAAGCTGTATCTCCCCAGTTTAGGTATCTTATTTCAAAGCCTCATGCATTATGTTAAACATATAGCTCTTCAGATTTAAGGCTACTACATCTTGGCTCCCAATTAAAGTAATACTCTTTGCCATACACACCTCGATGTAACATATAAATTGCTTGTCTGGCTAAGCAGTTTTACAGCTTTATGCACTACCATGTAGCTCAGTAATTATGGAGTTGTTTTCAGAGAACATTTCATAATAAATCCTACTATATCAAATTTCATTTGACCTCAATAAATGTATCAAAGAGCACAAAAAATGCAAAATAGAAAAATCTTTACTCTATATCAGTATTTGTATTCCATATAAAGAAAATAAGAGCTATGACAGAATCATGCTTGTGAAAATTACATTTTAATTTCCTAGCTTCCTTCTTTACTCTATGCATGCTGCCCGGATTCCAGGATAGCATGACAGGAAGGTTTTGTCCTGGCTTTCAGGGCACAGTTTTATAGGTTGAATACAGGACTTTTCTTATTTAAAGATGAAAACTAAGATATACCAAAAGAAATTATCTTTAAGTTCAAACAGGGTATTTAGCCTTTTCACTGGTATAAAAGGGCTATATTATATCTTTTTTAAGATACAAACCTTTACCAGTAATTCTTCCAACCCCAAACCCTTCCCTGTCTAAATTCCTAAATCTTCTCTTTAGGCAAAATTCCATACACTGGCTAATGACCCTGTTTAATTAGCACTGACTTGCCTTGTCCTGTCCCTGTTCCCTTCATAGCCAGGGACACAGTGCAAAAAATGCTTCTGTGTAGGTCTAAGAGGTTTCGTTTACCAACAGTTTTTCTCTAGGGAAAGCCCTAAGATGTGGGTTAATAAAGGGCAAGCAAAAAATAAACACTTTACAGGATTTTTCTGAATTCATTTCTCAAGAAAATCAACTTATAATAAAAAGGTCTTTGTGCAATTACTACCTTGCCAGTGGGGCATGAAAGAAACTAGCTTTGAGCAGCTATTTCTTCCATTTTAGCTGAGGTAAGCCCAAGTTTCGTACATTAGAGTACAAACTAAGCCTGCTTAAATTGGAGCTGATCCCCCAGTGCCCAGGTCTTGCCTTTAACCCTGAAGAAAAGCACCGGGTTTGCTGTTGAACTCTAGCTTGTTGTACCCTGATGCAAACCTGAGACATCAGAGACGAGGGCACTATTCTATGCCAGAAAATAAAACACAATATTTTTATGGGTTACAATTGTTCAGTGCAAGAGTACATCAAAGGAAATAATTTCATTTGCCTCCAGAAATATGGCCCTAATATGTACCTAAAATATAGCACAGATGGCTTATACTCTAAAAAGGGAGAAAAAGAAAGTGAGGAGTTTGGATATTATATTTATTTATTATTTCTTTCATTTCACAAACATTTATTATGTTGTTATTACTGAGAAGTAGCTGAAGATGTTTGAATATTTAGCTTGAGAGATAAAAGAGGTAAGGTTATCTTCAAATATTTGAAATAATAATGTATGGAAGAAGGATTGGATTAAGACTGAATGGTTAACAGAGGGCAGAACTAGGCTCAAAAGAAGAAATTTCATGGAAATGAAATGCAAAGAAGAACTTTCTAGTAATAAACTATTCTATAGTCACTCTGAGTAAAGAGATGGTATATATCCTTTCCCTAGAGCTGGTCCAGTAAAGAAAGGCTGTATAACACCATATGTTAGAGATGTTTAAAGCAAATACGTAATGAAAAACCTGATTATATAATAACCTTTAGAGCCTTTCCAACTTTATAATTCTATGATTGTTTAAAAGTCAACATTAATACGATAGTGTGATTACAGCCATTCCTTCATTCATTTATCATGCATTTATTTATCGAGGATTTACTAGGTGCCTCTAAAGGCCTTGTTGGCAAAAAGTCTGAACTCAAATCTATATGCTGCTATTTTCTTGACTGTGTAATCTTGAACAGTTACTTAATTGTTCTGAGTCTATTTCTTCATGTAAAAACTGAAGCTAATTATAATACCTTACACAATTATTGTGAGGACCAAATAGACAATAAAAGTATCTCTTGTGGCACAGTACCTGACATAAAAGTAATGCAATGTCACAGTAAATCCTTGTTAGATCCGTGTTCCTTTCTTATATGGTTTGCATATTCAGGACTAGAAATTATCAAATTACTGATAAAACAAGCAATAAAACAAGCAATAGTTGATCTTACTCATAACTCTACTTTAAGAAAGAAAACATGAGCCAACTAAATAATTCAGTTTGGCAGGCAGAGGCTTGTCATGCTTAGCAGACAACATGCCTCACAGAGCATTATCCCATCCCAAGTATCTAGAAAACCATGAGAAAGAAGAGGTGGGAATACATGCTCATTTGAACATGTATTTGGGGCTCTTTGGTGTTATTTATTTAGCAGCATCTTAGAATGAAAACATTATTTTTATATTGGTCGCCCAAGCTCTTCAGATCATGAGACAACAGAAAAAGGTCAATAGCAATTAGAAACCAGAATTAATTCTTGAATCTCAGTGCCTTAAATTACTTCTTTTGTAACTTTCCATCTTCATGAGATAACTAACCAAACTCTCGGGTTCATTTTTAATGCCAAAGAGCTGTAGGTGTTTCATATTAAGATAAGCTGTAAGAATTTAGGTAAATTCATTTCTGTTCATCACACTCTGCAAAGAAAGCTATGTTAGAAACTTCAAATACTAAATATTAGCCCAGAGGCTATTCAATAACTTGAGAGAAAAAGTAAATAAGGAGGAGGTCAAAGGACATTGTGAAAGCAAGAGTAATGACAGAAACATAGAGTTGGAATAGAACTTGGAAATGACCTAACCTAGTAGTTCTCAAAGTGTGGTACCAGACCAGCAGCATCAGCAATATCTGGGAACCTTTTAAAAAAGCAAATTCTTAAACTCTACCCCATACCTACTGAATCAGAAAACTCTGGAATTCAGTCCAACTAATTAAATTTTAGGCTAAAATTTAATTTAGGACAGTGATCTCAAACTTTAGTGTGGATCACAGTCATTCACAGGGCTTGTTAAAACACAGATTGCTTCCTTCTCTCCCCCTGCTCCCCGTCAAGAGTCTTTGAATCAGTAGATCTGAGGTAGGGGTCTGACAGTGTACATTTCTAAAAAGTTCCCAGGTGAAGCTGGGGCTGCTGGTCCAGGGGTCATTCTTTGAGAATCACTAATCTAATCCAAAGCTCACAATTTACACATAGGAAAACAGGTGGCTAGAGAAGGTAAAAGATATGAGCCTAAGGTTACAGTGTCATGACAGTGCTGGATCCAGAGTCCAGAACAGCTAATCACCCTGTCCAGGGCTTTTTCCATTACATCAGAGGGACTTCAGTGATAGAAAAGGGAGAAATCACTGGTTGCACTGTTTTGGCAAAGAAAACCTGGAAGTCTCCAGCTGAAAATAATTTTGTGTTTCAAAAGCATATTGCTGGAGTTTGGATACTATGAATGCTGTTCAATTTTCAATAAATTCCTTCCTTCCTTTCTATTTTTATTTTATTTTATACAGAACACACTGATCTCAGTATCTACCATCATTAATTGTGTAGTTTGTTACAATACATTGATTAGCAATGATCATTTTGTTCCAAGGGTTAAAATTGACTTAAACTTATTTTAAGTAAAACAATAAACTTATTTTAAGTAAAATGATGTAAAAACTCCAAGTGCCCTTTATTAAAGAGAAGCCAGAATATCCAGTAGCTAGTTAGACTCTAGCCTGAGAAAAGGTGATTAAAAGTTCTTCTTATGTCTAATTACATAAGTAATAATAGTAATGATGATGATAATGATGATGATGACCACAGCAGCTAATATTTTTTCTTGTTTTCTATATGTCAAACACTGGAAAAGTGATTTACATACTCTATCTCATTTAATCCTCAAAACCCTGTAAGGTACTAACTACTACTATACTTATTTAATGAGAAAAACAAAACCATGTGAGGTTAAGTAACATAACCAATTAAAAGTTATAGAGTCAGGACTCAAGTCCAGATATGTCAGGGTCAAAGTTCATACTTTTAATATCATATTACATTAAGCATGAAGTCATCCTTTGAAAAACAGATCTAAGATAAGGAATATGATTATTGGTGATAATAATATAATTGTAGGTTTGCATGTGGTTGTAATAAAGAATACAGAGAGATCACATGGATCCTTAATCCAGTTTCCCCAAATGATAACATCTTGCAAAACTACAGTATGACAACACAACCAGAGTACTGACATTGATACAATCCAACAATCTTATTCATAGTTACCTAGTGCAAGGGTCTCCAACCCCTGGGCTGTGGACCAGTACCAGGTTGTGGCCTGTTAGGAACTGGACCACATAGCAGGAGGTAAGCAGCGGGCAAGCAAGTATTACCGCCTGAGCTCTGCCTCCTGTCAGATCAGCTGTGGCATTAGATTCTCATAGGAGCACCAACTCTATTGTGAACTGTGTATGCGAGGGACCTAGCCATGCTCCTTATGAGAATCTAATGCTTGATGATCTGTGGTGGAAAAGTTTCATCCTGAAACCATCCCCCCTCCCCTACCCAGTCCATGCAAAAACTGTCTTCCATAAAACTGGTACCTGGTGCCAAAAAGGTTGGGGATGGCTGCCCTAGTGTGTTAAAGGAATTGTGTCTTTAAAACAAGCAAAGGCAGCTGGGCGTGGTGGCTCATGCCTATAATCCCAGCACTTTGGGAGGCCAAGCCGGGTGGATCAAGAGGTCAAGAGATTGAGATCATCCTGGTCAACATGGTGAGACCCCTGTCTGTCTCTACTAGAAGTACAAAAATTAGCTGGGCATGGTGGGGTGTGCCTGTAGTCCCAGCTGCTCGGGAGGCTGAGGCAGGAGAATCACTTGAACCCAGGAGGCAGAGGTTGCAGTGAGCCGAGATCATGCCACCGCACTCCAGCCTGGCGACAGAGCGAGACTCCATCTCAAAAAACAAAACAAAACAAAAACAAACAAACAAACAAAAAACAAGCAAAGGCAACGAGGGTCTATCAATATTTCTAAATGCCATCTTCTACAGAATGCTCATCAGTATGACCCAATGCAAGTGATATTAGCAGAAAGTATAAATTAAAGCAACAACTTTTCCCTCTCATAGCTTTCCATGTATTATACTTACTAAAAGATTGTCGGTTGAATGTGGAACAGAAATGGAAAGCAAGAGCAAGGTAAGGGGAAAAGACAAGGAAAGAGGCTTGGTGGCCACCTAAGAATCACACAAACATCCAGGATATTTTCCTTTTATGGAAGTTGTGTATTAAAGTCACTGCACTGAGTGCCAGTGCTTAGGGCAGATGAAGAATTCTGAAGATACAGAAAAGCCCCATCCCACTATGAAGAATGTAATACTGCCTTTTCCCTACCTTCCCATCATCCCGTTTTCCCATTTGGTGACATGCCAGGAAAGGCAGTCACATTGGAAACAGCAACCCCCAAAAATATTTTACTAAGAATAAAAAATAATAGAACTCCCCTCACTCCATCAAAGACTGACCAGTCTCCACATGTCTTTTCCAAGAAGTTATCAAAATTTCAAATAGCATCTTTTTTTTCTTGAAAGTGTAACTTTCCCTAAACACAAATTCAGAGATTCTTTAATTATCCTATAGATGAAGAAGTAAAACTGATTTTGCTAGCACAAAGAGCAAAACTAGATGTGGCCAAAATATATCGCTGGGCATGAAAACTGTGTTATTTTTATTGCTTTGAAAGTAAGCACTATCTGGCTGGGTATGTAATTTGAATGACTACCAAGTAACCGGAAACCCCATCACGGGTGAAGCTTAGTGTATCATGAAAGGAATAAACTACCCCAAAGCACAACTGTCCATTAATTCTAAACTTATACAATCCCTAACCAAAGTGTTTCCCTTTTGGAGAGGGTGGGGAACATATTCTTGATCAAATAGGCTACATGCCCAGAAATTTTAATTGCTAGGGTATTCCTCACATCTTTCAGAGAATCAAGACAGCAGCAGATGTGTGTGAAACACTTAGGTTCTGTCTCTTCCAATTCATAAAACAGCATTGTTGCATCAACACTTATCCCCTTTGTTTTCTCTGTGCTAAGTTGTTGATGATGCCATTTTTTGCCATCTGCCCCAGAGCTTCATTAAAGATACATGAATGGGCTAACTGGCCTGATATCTTGTGAGGAACAGGTGCTATTGTTTGTCCCCGAAGACTTGCAGTAAAGATATGACTCTGAATACTTGAGAAAGAGCATCTGCAGCAATCAGTCAGAGAGCAACTTGGCAGAGACCTGGCTATGTGCTAATATGCAAACAGAGTGACACTCAGGGGGCTCATTTTCTCTTTCATGAAGATTATTTAACTTTTTTTAGTAATGGGAAATAAGTATTTGTATTGAAAATCATGTGCATATTAATGTCTATTACTGAGTTAAAGACAGTGCAAAAATGAGGGTTTTTAAATACTTTATCTCTAGAAAATAATTCCTTATGTGATTTAATTGAAGAAAGCTTCTTAAACTGTTGAAAGAAATGTTTCCAATGTGTGTATACCATGACAGAGATGGAGGAAAAGAGAGAAAATAGAGAGTTCAGAAAAAGTGATCTTGGGAGAGAGAGAAGGTGGGAGAGAGAGGTGCAAGAAGTGCAGTCAGAAACAGGGGATGGGGATCAGTTTTCGAAATGACCATATTCATTTTTGCAAAGAATAGCTGACTCATTTGCATAAAGTATTACCACTGTAAAAGCTGCACCATCTAAAGCAAAAGAAATGAAGTCCCCAGAAAACTTAAAGGAAAAGCCTTCAAGGTCAGAAATGTGTCTTCTTATTGCCAAAAAGTGCATGGAAATCCACAGTACATGGACTTATAGTTAATTCTGGAGGTTAGGAGGAAAAATATCTCACTTGACAGGATAAATTCATGCCTTAACAGAAACCCTTTTAGTCTCAAACTTTTTTGTTAAAATCTTTCCAAAATTTTAATACTCTGCTTCGCCCTTCCTTAGAAAGTGTAATGCAGTAGTCAACATACTGAACTTCTCTTTGTTGGCCACAGCCTTAAGTACTCAAAGAAGCCTTAAATTCTATGCTGTGTTCTTTGCTGTTCACTAATTCACAAATCATAAATCATCTCTCAGCAAGTAAGTTGACTGTCCCAAATGGCCTGTGCCATTTATATTTCTATATATCCTGTTGCTCTTATCACAGGCCTAAAAACACAGTAAGTATTTTGTATTAACTGATCAATGGCTGAGAGCCAACCAACTAGGACCTCAGATCTGGTCTTCTGACCACCAATTTTCATAGGGTAGAATTGTTAATGCAACTACAAAAAGTACTGAGCTGTAATCATTCTCATTCCAGAAGAGAACTTAAAACTGACTTTTAAATACATCTTGATATAATCTTGTTCTCTCTTCATTTGTCTTATTTAGCAAATCTGTGGCTGCTACAGCTAATGTAATATATCAAATCCTGCTTCTAGAGAATCTAGCTAGCCCAACAGGAGAATACTAGAATCCTAGCAAGAGCAAATTTAGGACACACATTTTCTAGAGCATTTGAGAACAGAGTCCATTCTTCCCAGGTGTATTCCACCATCCAATGGATATACATTGTACAAACAATGTAACTGCATTCAGAAGAGGATCAATCTTTGCTTGCTTCTGTTTGTTTGTTTGTTTGTTATTTGTTATTGGCAGGTTATTCTCTCTCCCCCCACCCCTTTCTCTCTCTCTCCTTCCCCTCTGTCTCTCTCTTCCCTCCCCCTCCTGCTCTCTCTCTTCTCTCTCTCTCTCTCACTCCCCCTCCTGCTCTCTCTCTTCTCTCTCTCTCTCTCACTCACTCCTCTCTCTCTCTCTCTCTGTCTCTCATAACTTCTCCTCTTCCCTCTTCCTCTTTCCTTTCTCAGGTCCCATCAAGATAAGATACAAAACACTTTGCCACCATTGTTAATATCCATCTCTAATATAATGTAATGTCTTCCCAGGATTTGGCACACTATTCCTAGCACTCTTCAAAATTCTCATTAAAGGGCCAAGTAAACTCCTTAAAAAGTAGAACGAACTCAAGATGTTATAGTTTAAAAGCATCCCTTTACAAACTCAGGATTGGGACTTCAAAGTCATATGTTTTAGTTAAAACATTAATAAAGAGCTAACTTCACATATATATATATATATATATACACACACTTTTCTGCATAAATATACTTCAATGAAAAGTTGGTTTAAAGCAAAAGAAAAAAATAGCTCCAGAAAGTGAGTTCTCTTTTCTAATTTTGATTATTTAACATGCTAAACAAAATGCCTAAATTATTCACAGAATAAACGAAAAAGATTTATCTTGTCACTAGTTTTACTATGTCCTTGCCCAACTACCAAGAGTAAAACACGCAAACAAAGCAGTTTCATTTGCTGGGTTGGTGCTTTAAGATAACTATTTAAAATCTACTTCACAGTCTAGCACTTTCCAACTCTCTTCCATAGTTACAGAGGAAAGAAATAATCTTTGTAAGTAAGAACACAATGACTCTATCAGGTCAACGGTACATGTTTTAAAAATCTTCTTCAGGTATATATTCTGAGAGAAATGTTAATAGCCCTGAAAGGGCCAATCCTTTCCTTTGTGTTAACATCTCTTTTTATATTCTCAGCATACTCTATATACTGAGCATACTCTCAGCATACTGTATGTACTCACTTTATTTGCATTTTTTAAAATGGACAAATATCTCATTAATCTACTAGGATCATATGTAGTCAAAAGTAATTACTTTATTTCTTATTCATTTGTACATGTTCTATTTAATATTGAATTTTCAGAGAAAAGAACATGGATTTAGCACTAACATAATCTTAATTCCTAGTATCTCTTACTTATTTGTCCCCTTATTCCATAAAATGAAGAGCTCAATACTTACACAAATAAAAAGTTAGTTTAGGCCTATTAGACTCATGAGAAACATGCTACTCCAAAAGAGAAGGCAGTGTTGCTTGTCTTAATTCAACTCTTCAACAGCCATTTAGTGAGAACCTATCACTCTATACCTGGTTCTGTGCTGGGCAGTAGAAATATAAAAGTGCCTTAAAGACATCTATAGCCTTGTTTTTTCAGGTAGTGGTATTAGGTTTGTTCTCACTTACATATTAGTACAAATTATCCAGTTTTCAGCTTACTTTGGAATAAGGTCAACAGAGAAAGTTTTGCTTAAAAAGAAAACTAAAGTATAGCAAAAATTCCATTAAGTATCTTTCTCTACTCTATCTATGGTCTACACCCCAGAAAAAAATTGAGAGTATTTTTGAAAACATAAGTCAGATTTCTTTATAAAATGGATGATAAATGTTAATTAAATGTGTTTAAATTATCTTACTATGTTTTAAGAAACTCTCACCAGGAGGGAAATAGAATATCCTGGCCATAAAGAAATTAATAAAACATGCTATGCAAAAGTAAAATGTATGATTCATTTGGAATTAGATATCTACTACCTTTTCAATCCATACAAATGCATAATCTTGTCAATTAAATATTATTGTTAAGGTCTAGTAGTATGTTAAAATCACTTTAAAGTGCAACTAAGGAAAATTCATGTGTGTTTATTACTCCTTAAGGATCTATTAGTGGGTATTTTATTCAGATTCGTGCTGTAAAATCTGCATAAACTCAGCATATTGTTATCCCCATGTGTGCATTTGTTTGGTTAAGGCAGAACAGCAAATCTCAATTTTTGCAACTTCTGGAAAAGTCAAGAGAACTAAAACAGTCTTAATTTTAATAAGATACAAACAGTTATCACTACAGAAGTGAAGAGTTGACTATTATGCAAATAGTCACAGTTAGTGGTCACCAGGCCATCACAGAAGACTGAGCTAGTCAATTACTTTAGATATTTCCAAAGACTAGTGAAGATGAATGTTTCCTATTCCACCCTGTCTTATTTCCAGAGAAGTATGAAACATATTAGAGACTAATGATTGTCATTCCTAAATGGAAACCCCATTAAATACACAATGATCAAAGTGTTTTGCCAAGATAAAAATTATTTTTTTCAAATTTTGTATAAATGCCATTTAAATATGGTAATATTTGTGAATAATATGGCATTCCTTTCTTTGTAACAACCAAATTCAGATATAAACCGTTCATAAACTTTTGACCCACAATGAAGGCAATCTGGCTTTCACCTCTGAAGTATTTTATGCAACCTTATTCTGTTAGCAATGACCAGAGTTCCATTATTAAATTCCTCATCCAGAAATGCAGGTTTACATCTTAAACTATAGGCCTTGTTAAAATTATGCACAAGTAACTTAAAGGCAAGGACTTTCTATCTCTCAAGGGCTCTGTAAAAGACTTTGCACAGAGTAGGGGCTCAACAAATATTTGCTATATAAATGAATTCAAGAACTTGTATTCTATGTTATTTAAAAACTAAGCCATAACAATTCTGATGGTTTTTTAATCTGCTGAATCAAGTCAAAGTCCATTCATCATTTACAGTTCTTCAATGGAGGCAATAGTACAAATCTAGTCCAAACATATTTCCTTATAGTGATCTTTTCTTTTGGCCCTGCTGTGGTCTAACTTTAAAGTTCACCAGTTGGTAAGAAAATATAAAAATTGACTTTATTAATTTCAAGATTTTTTAATGGCTGAGTACTCCTAGTACATGTTGAAATTCCTCTATAGTATCATTTAGAGATGCCTCTAAGCTTCTTTAATATTTCATCATCATCAATTATAATCCTTACTGATAGAAATGATAATTCTCACCCAAAGAGCCAAGAATACAGTTTACCAAAGTAATAATATTTTTAAAAATTGTTATATCACTGTGAGCTCATTATGCAATAATGAATGAATGTCAGAAAAGCATTTAAGCATCAGCTATCATGGAGAGCAGAAGCAGTTTCATCACAAGCAAGAAGGCCTGAGAAACATAGTGTGGCAACTCTAACCAGGACGTAAATAAGATGTCTAAGCTATTGACAGCTGGGGCTCAGCCATGGCAAATTGTCCCTCCTTGGAAGTATCAGTGAGAGACAGTACCTGTACATGTGATTGGGGGGCAGGGAGATAAAGTAAGGCAATATTTATAAAAACTAGATACCAAGGAAAGGCATAAACAATAACTATAATCCCAAGTCAAGTAGTCTTCAGGTTTTCAATCTTTATCACAGTCTCGTCATTTTAGAGTACAAAGCTAATGACATGCACAGTAATGTCATTTTGGAGCATAACCTGCAACCCCTGACCTCCACTCCCAGCATGTGCATTACACACACACACATACTCCTACACCTGCTATCTCCCTTTAATGAACAAGGTGACGCTGAAGATGACTATAAGGATAAGCTAACATGCTGATTTTTAAAAAGCAATTTAATTTTATACTTTTATTTAGTGCCATTTTCATAATAAATAACTTAGATACAAAAAAGAGATGTCGCTGTTAAAGAAGGTAAGGTCCATACTCCCTAGCCTAGGCTGCCTCTCCACAAGATGCTCTTAACATACCCCTGACTCCTCTTTGCCTACTACATTGTACCATGATGTTTCTCCATTTGCTTTCAATAGTTTCTAAGTCTTTGTTCTTACCACATTTTCACCATATGGAATGATCTTTCCTCTCTTCTTTGCCTTCCCAAACCTGACCAATCTTTCAAGGTTCAGCCCAAATTAAACTCTTCCATGAAAATTCCCCAAACATAAATTTCCCTCTGTCAATATTTGCACTGCACATATTGTGTTGAATTATTTAATGGTTTTCCCATGTGGATACATTAATTCATTTATTAAACAAATGTTTCTTTTAAGACCTGACACTATTGTAGGCATTGGGAATACAGTAGAAGACAATATTCCCTACCATCATTTCTAAGAGAAGACAGACAACATACAAAAATACATATATATATGTACATTTGTATGTGTGTATGTACATGTGTGTATACACATATACACATGAACAAATACATACAGATATAATAAATGTAAGTTGATAATAGGAGTTTTAAAGGAAACTAGATAGAGTATGAAGAATGAAAGGCAGAAAGTTGGAGGTAGTAGGTAGAAGGTACAGAGGACTATCTTGGATAGGGATGGCCAAGGAAAGCGTCTCTGAAGAGATAACATCACACAGGGTTAAACGACCTGAGGAAATGTTGCACAGAGCTAGAAGAGAGAAAAGCAACTCAGGCAGAGGGCATGTGAGTGCAAAGGTCAGAGCAGAATGAGCATAGAGAGTGGTAGGGGAAAGGCTAGAAAGACAGGTGGAGATCAGGTTATTTAGGGCCTTGTAGAGCACAGTAAGAAAATCGGAATTGTATTCTTAGTGTGATGGAAAGTCACTGAAGGGTTTTAAAAGGGAGTATTACCATGAGACCTATTTAAGTTTAGAAAGATCACTCTGGTTGCCATGAGGAAAACTGACTATAATAGGGCAAGAATGAACGCAGAGAGACAAGTTTAGAAAATACCTCAGTAGGCCCAAAATGGGGATAATGGGACCAGTTTAGAAAACACCTCAGTAGACCCAAAATGGGGGTAATGGTGGCCTATTTCCATCTTATATATCCTCTCCGCTCAAGTAGAAGGAAAACATCTTGCAAGTAGAAGCTTAGTATGCTACTAGGATGGTGCCTCCAAATATGTCAAAGAGTATCTGATTGATTCATTCATTGATTGACTGACTAAAATATGATCTTTCTAGTGATTCCATATAAGATAGAAGCACATCATTTTCAAATACTTGTACTCATTAATTCCTATAGGGGAGAAGAGTCTAGGATATTATAATCTATTTGGATACTGATACATTACTGTGATTCTTTTCCCCAAATGTTATATCAAATAACATTTCAATGAAATTTCAATGAAATTTTAGGCATCAGAGCAGCTTACTGACAAAAACTAAAAATGTAAATTCTTAGTTCAGTCTCTGTGTAGGAAGTATAGGAATATTTAAAATAATTCAAGTTACCTAACAAATTTTCTATGGAAAAAAATAAACTGTTCATAAAGATCATAAAAGTACAAAGATCGATATATACAAACTGGCTCAAACACTGGTTAAATAAAACTTGTCTTTTTCAGTTAGGGGGAGTTGAGACTAATGTCATCTTTGTGAAATAAAATGGGGATTTCCAAGGTATAGTCCAGTACTGCAGTAATTCACTTCTCATGATACTCCTGCTGTTACAAAGAACAACAAGCCAATAACATTGTTTAGGACTAATAAGCAGCAACCCAATACAATCAATAACTCAGTGCAATCACAGCTGAAAAAGAATACAAACTCAAGCCCAAAGAGAAGTGGAAGGATGGTGGTTCACTCAGGTCAAGAGACAGAAATACTCAGAATTCAAAATGGGAAATGTATACATTGAAACTTTCACATGTTCTTAAAGAAATCATAGGAAGGAAGGAAGGAAGGAAGGAAGGAAGGAAGGAAGGAAGGAAGGAAGGAAGGAAGGAAAGTTTATTTGAGTGAAGTTATTTAACTAATTGCCATTATTCTCTACTCTCCAATTCTCCAATAGTTACAGTAATAACTGTATTTTTCCTATTGGAAATTAGGATACAAGGAAAGAAGAAGTGTAGAAGCATTCACATGGTTATTACAGAACATATATTTAACATTAGGTCTGTTCCTTTCTAGAATATTCAGCACTTGTAGTCACAATACCCATGATATGTGAGTCACATGGCCAAGCATCAATCCACAGATTTAAATTTTTGGCTTTGGGTAGCTTATATTACAACTTGAACTCCCAAGAATGTAGTTACAGATCTGTGAACAGGCATTTTCCATGGCCCTAGTATAACATCCACAATGATCTAAAACTGTGATGATCAAATCTATAGACTTTTTTTTAGTTCCACATGACAGTTCCCCCAAATGAATGACACAAAATCCAGTTTTGATTCTCTTTGATTTAACATTTTAAAAGGCTGGGCTAGCTCCTTTAATACTGCACTACAACTGTAGTTTCCACAGTAGAATAAGGAGTTGAATCTACATAGAAATTATCAGCCAATAACAATAGGTCTTTGTCCAGCTGTGACTACTTCCCTGCTCTACAACCAGTCCTTATCTGGCTCAGGAAATGCCTGTTTTAACTGACAGGTAGGAGATTAAATCTACAGCTGCTGAAACACAATCTCAGCTCTGTTAGATAGGCTTTCATTGAAAAGCACTACAAACACATAATTTGTTTATGTTGTACCAGCAATCTCTGACAAAGCAGACTGTCTAGCTGAGACAAATGTGGTTAAACCCATTTATTGTATTATTTCTGCTACACAGAACAAGCTCTTAAAACACAGAAACTAGACAAGGCACAAAGCTCTAACTGTCTAAAGAAATCAAGAATAGATGACTTCTTGTTACACTAGCCCTTTTTATACAGAAAGCATGTTCTCCCCTGGAAAACATCTATTCCAATTTCTCTTTTAAGTGAGTGGTTCAATTATGTTTATGTTTTCTGTTTTTAAAGTTCTTTTGTTCCTGCCAGCATAAACAGGCATAAAATCACCTAATCACGGAATATCTCTAGATTTAAGAACATGATGAATATTTATAGCAAGTGCTATATCACCCCCTCAAAAAATACCCATAATGATAAATTCTGATGACAATCCAACCTCTTTCAATATTTATTGCAAATTCTTATCATGTTATTTGATTTCTTTATTTCACTTGATGAAAAAATAGCTTTGTAACTCAAAGAATATGAATAGTAGTTTCTTTAAAATTAAGAAGTTATACATAGAAATACCTAATTTTATAAAATAAATATTAATGGGAGAGATTTTTAACAACAACAACGAAGGCTGCTAGTCAAGTGATCATGAATTACTTGCTCCAAGTTAATAATATTAACTAGAAATTGATTTTTGTTGTTTTTGCACTCAAAATCTATTCTTCATGTATACTTACTCACCTCTAGCATTCTGAATATACTGTGTATACATAACTGTAAAATTAGTAATACTGAAGGTTAAAGTCTTTACCTACATCTATTAAATTCTAAAAATTATGCTCAAATATAACAAAAGAACAGATGGTACACAATGTGATTTAAAAATAAGAAAACAGATGCTATAACTCAAACTTGTCAAAAATGTTAGGAAGAATGGTATAATAAACATAAAGATTATAAAACTGTATTTGAAACATGGTCAAAATGATTATTGTTAGCCACTCTCAAACATGTCATTATTCCCTAAAATCTTATTTTATTTTTCCTTAATCATCATCATAAAACTGGAAAGTGAGAAAATAATATTCCAAGTTGGAACATATATGCCACTTGGAACTCTGAGTTAGTCTTAAAATATAGAAAGTGTGTAATAAACAAGCTGAATCCATGGGGTCTCCCTCAAACAGCATGGATAATGAGGGGAATCCATAACAGACATAAACAAACCCAGAAAGATGTCTAGACCCCACATCATTATGTATGATATATGCCCAAAATATATGGACATACATTTGAATGTTCAAGTTCAAACTTGGCTTCTATTAGACTGATTCAGTCACAGCATGTGGTTTCTTTAATAAACAAACCTTACTGTTAGAAAATATTGGGAACTCAAATCATGTATTATGTCCCAGCTAGTTAAAGATGTGGTGCTTTAATGTCCTATATCCCTTGAAGCTTTCTAACAACAGACTGCAAATAACAAAGAAAACTACATCCTAGAAAAGCATATAGAAGTCTTAGATTTTTGTATTACAAGTTGAGAGCAAATACTATACAAATCTAGCATTTCAACATATGTTCAAGAGAAAATATACATTTCCCATTAAAAATTAGAACTAGGTTTAACAATGTGGACTTTGGTTTATATTTTTCATAATGCTTAAGGGTGCTGAATACATTCACATAAAAATGTAATGATTATTTGTCTCACTACAGTAAGTTCTTTGCCATGTTTGACATATACACATATGTATAATATTCATGTATTTAGCTAGCTTTAGAATCACAGACTTTTAGAACTGCAATAGTTTTAGAAAGCCAATTTTCCAATACCTTAATTTTAAACATAAATGCCAGATAAATGGCTTATAATAAAAGTAAGGCCAAAAGAGAAGTGACTTGCCAAGGTCACAAAACTTAAGAACGACCAAACTAAAGTTGGTCTTTAGTATCCAGTTTACTTATCTCACAAAATCAGATTTTCAGGGACAGAAATGATTTAGAGACTATGTAATCTGGTGACTCTAACCTGGAAAGAAGCTCTAGTGAGCTTTTTCTGAAATATATATATATGCCTTCTCCTTCCCTGCCCAGAATACAGCTTAGGCCTAACTACTACATTTGACAGAGGAAATACTTGAGGCACATAGGGATAGTGTGACTTGCCGATGGTGACATAACCTGGTGACTAGATATGCGAATTCCAAGTTCAGGAATTTTCATTTTTATTTCCCAGTTTTCTTTATCTTTTTTATTTATTTATTTATTTTTAGACAGAGTTTCGCTCTTGTTGCCCAGGCAGGAGTGCAATAGCGCAATCTCGGCTCACCGCAACCTCCACCTCCCAGATTCAAGTGATTCTCCTGTCTCAGCCTCCTGAGTAGCTGGGATTATAGGCATGCAACGCCATGCCTGGCATTTTTTTTTTTTTTTTTTTTTTAGTAGAGATGGGGTTTCTCCATGTTGGTCAGGCTGGTCTCGAACTCCCGACCTCAGGTGATCTGCCCACCTTGGCCTCCCAAAGTGCTGGGATTACAGGCATGAGCCACCCCACCTGTCCATCTTTATCTCTTTTTTAAGGTAAAACTTAAATACAAACATACCCTCTTTCTGTCCTCAACTTTAGCCTAAATATGTTTTCTTAAACATAAACCTACATCATGTAAAGAGGATGAAAGCAAATCTCACTTCTGGCAAAATTGATACAAAATTTTATTTTCTGATAATTGCCTCTCTTCCTCTTTTTTTTCCCACTTCCCATCACAACTTTATATGCTGTGACATACATTAAAATCTTCTATTATTCTTTTTTAATGTGAAAATAGTAACTTCTCCACTCATATTCCTCAAAATATACAGAGCTTTACAAAGATAGCTTTTAACAAAATATAAATTGAATTATTTTCCCAAGGGTTAAGGTACTAGTTTTAAAAAGCATACAAGTGAGCAGACTAAATAGAATGTAACAGTATGTAAAAAGGATAAGACATCATGACCAAGTGAGGTTTATTGTGGGAACGCAAGGTTGGTTTCAACTTTGAAAATCAATCAATATAATTCATCATAATAAGAGAATAAAGGAGCAAAAACATAAGGTCATTTCAATAGGTGCAGAGTAACACTTGAAAAAATTTAACACTTATTCATGATTTAAAAAAATAACTTTCAGCAAATTTAAATAGAAGGAAGCTTCCTCAATCTGATTAAAAGTATATTTGAAACACCTACAGCTAATATCATAATCAATAATAGTGAAAGGATCCTTGCTTTCTACCTAAGATCAGACAAAATAGGCAATAATGTCTACTCTCACCACTTCTAATCAATATTGTACTGGATTTCCTCATCAGTCCAATAAGCAAAGGGAAATAAATAAAATGCACACAGTGTGGAAAGAAGTGACATTTATTTTATCTGCAAAAAATATAATCATAATCATAGAAAATCTTAAGAATTTTTTTAAAGTGGCCAGAACTAATAGTAAATTAAGCAGTCACAACATAAAAGGCCAATAACAAAAATAAATTGGCTTTCTATATACTAGTAATAAACAATTAGAAAAAAATTATAACTCCATTTACATTAGCATAAAAATAAAATAGAAAATTTTAACCAAAGTTTATAAGACCTCTACACTAAAAGCTATGAAACATTATAAGGATAATGTACAACATGAGGACTATAGTTAATATTGTATTGTACACTGAAAATTTGCTAAGAGAGTAGAGTGTAAGTGTTCTTACCACCCAAAAAAGGTAACTATAAAAGGTGATGGGTAGGTTAATTTGCTTAACTGTGTTAGTAATTTCACTATGTTTATGCATATCAAAATAGCATATCATACACCATAAATATATACAATTTTTTGAAAATTACAAAGGAAAATTTTGAAACACTAAAATAAATGGAGACATACAACATTCATGGAATGAAAGACTCAATAGTGTTAAGACAGCAAGTCTCCTCAAACTGATTTATAGATTCAACACAACTCAAATCAAAATTCCAGCAGGACATTTTGAATATAGTATGAAGCTGATTCTAAATTTGATATGAAAAAAAATAGTCAAAACAATTAAACAAATAAAATTAGTTAAGTATAGTAAGATGTCAAAACTTACTATAATGCCATTTAGGTATTAGGATGGTATTGGTTTAAGGATGGACATATAAATCAGTGGACCAGAATACAGAGTCCAGAGGTAGATCCACACCTATTTGGTCAATTGATTTTCATAATGATGTCAAGATAATTCAGTGAGAAGATGATAATCTTTAAAATAGGCTTTGCTATAAATAGGTATCTGTAAAGGAAAAAGATGTCTGGACTCTTATCTTATACACAAAATTTAACTCAAAATGCACTAAAACCTAACCATAAGACCTAAAACTGAAAAACGTCTAGAAGAAAACATAAGAGAAAATCTTTGTGACATTGTATTAGGCAAACATTTAAAAACAGAACAAAAGCGTAAACCAGAACAGAAAAAAAAAATGGTAGAATGGGTGTCATTAAAATCGTAAACTTTGCTCTTTAGAAGACATGGTTAAAAAGCTAAGCCACAAAGTAAGAGAAAATATCTGCCAAAAAGAAAAAAAAATAAAGGACTTGTATTCAGAATAATTAAGAAAAACTGGTACAACTCAATAATAAGTCAAATAAATTTATAAAACTGGAATCAAAGAGTTGAATAGACAATTCACAAAAGAAAATATATGAGTGGCCAATAAGTATATGACAGGATGCTCAACATCACCCATCACCCAAGAAATGAAAATCAAAACCACAACAAGATACCCCTAAAATCCACTAGAATGGTAAAAATTTAAAGGATTAATAATGCCAAGTGTTGGTGAGGATGCAGAACAACTAGAACTTTCATACATTGCTGGTTGGAATTAAAAATGATATAGCCACTTTCTTTTACAGAAATTTCTTAAAGAAACACAATTTCCATAAAGCCCTACAATTAATCCACTCTTAGCTACACAAGAAAAATGAAAACATATGTCTGCATAGACTTGCAATAGTACTCCTAAAAGCCAATAGCTGAAATCAACTCAATGACCATTAACTGGAGGAAGGCTAAACAAATTACAGTAAGTCTATTCTATGGAATACTACTTAGCAATGTAAAGTAACAAAATATTGACATACCCAATAACATGAAAAATCTAAGAAATATAAGAATAAATGAAATACATCTAACAGAAAAGACTATTTATTGTATGATTCAATTTATATGAAGTCTTAGAAAAGGCAAAAATATAGTGATATCAATGAATAGGCCCAGGGTTTCAATGGGGGATGCTAACTGCAGAGGACACAAGGAAACTCTTCGGGACTAAAAGTTACATATGGCTCTATACAACTTCCAGAATTCATCAAACACTTAAAATGGATGAATTATTGTGTGTCATTTATATATCCATAAAGCAGGAAAAAAATTGTCCTATAAAGCAGGCATTACTTCATTACTTTCCCATTTTATATATGAGATGACTGTGATTAAGGAAAATTATGTAATTTACCTAAGACTATACCAAGCAAGTGGCAGAGCCAGAATTCAAGCCTATATCTACAGCCTATAATTTCCAAAATTTTACAGCTGCTTCTCAAAAAAAAAGAAAGAAAGAAAGGAAGGAAGAAAGAAAGAAAGAAGGAAGGAAGGAAGGAAGGAAGGAAGGAAGGAAGGAAGGAAGGAAGGAAGGAAGGAAGGAAGGAAAGAAAAAAGAAAGAAAGAAAGAAAGAAAGAAAGAAAGAAAGAAAGAAAGAAAGAAAGAAAGAAAGAAAAAAGAAAGAAAGAAAGAAAGAAAGAAAGAAAGAAAGAAAGAAAAAAGAAAGAAAGAAAGAAAGAAAGAAAGAAAGAAAGAAAGAAAGAAAGAAAGAAAGAAAGAAAGCTTATCTTTGTATCTAGGAAGACATTGGCATGATAAAGGTTTTTCTTTCTCTTTTGTGGGTAAAGGTGGGTACTTATTAACATCATCTTTAGAAAAAGGGAAATTCTACTTTAGCGTTAAACAGAAAAGGGGTTCCATTGGGAAGTCTGGGCTCATTCTATATCCCTCTTGAGCTATCGGGTTACCTTTTTTTTTTTTTTTTGTTCCATTTACACTAACTTGTCACAATGACAGCCTTGTCCTACCTGTTTTTAGCTTTGAATGAAAAGCAATTTTATACCACAAGGACACACAAAATCCACCAAGTACTGCAAACCTGAGCAGCCTATTCCTTCATCTCACAAGCTGATCTCTCAGAATGGCATAACACTAGCATACAGATGAACAAAGCAAGAGTAGGCAGATTTCAATCCTTCTTTTATAGTTTTATTTCATTGAACAGTAAAAAGTATATTATTCATTCAGAGACAGTTGTGATATGGTAAAATAGGCCCTGGAATAAGAGAATTGATGTTAAAAGATCTAACTCAGACCCCAGTAACATAAAAAAAAATGGCCTAATTTTGGTTTTCTTATTAAAAGAGGGTATTGCAAAGAGAAAATGATGTAAAGTGCTTAGTACATAGTGGACATTATCCAGTGAATTTAAATGTAATTATTTCAAAATAGTTCAGTGCTCTCCTAAACAAATGGGGCACACCCCTTTTTGGAGAGTGTTTCAGAATCATGGTGTCTGTGGATATGTATTCTTCATGTTCTCCTTCTCTAGAGATTCATTATGCCCTGAAGGAAAGGGTGGCCCTACCCCACTGCTACAGTTGCTTTTCAAGGAATACATTTTGGGGTGGTAGGTGTATGTGACTTGAGAATCATCAAACCATGTTTGTGAGTGTAGGTAGGAGAAAAAACTCTGAGGAACAGAGCTGGGTCTATGCTATCCTATAAAGATTTTCCATAAGAGCACTGATTAGAGAAGAATCTCTCAAGACAAAAATACCAATATTTTCACTAAAATATCTAAGGGAGGGTAACAGGAAAGGTTCTGAATTATCTTATGAGGCACAAAAATAAAAGGGAGAGACCAAAGACCTAAGGACAGATACTAATCTAATTTGAGACTTATGACATTACAACATTATCATATTATTATACAGGTTTTGTTTTGTTTTGTTTTGTTTTGTTTTGTTTTGTTTGTTTTGAGACGGAGTCTCGCTCTGTTGCCCAGGCTGGAGTGCAATGGTGTGATCTTGGCTCATTGCAACCTCTGCCTCCCAGGTTCAAGCGATTCTCCTGCCTCAGCCTCATGAGTAGCTGGGATGACAGGCGCCCTCCACCATGCCCAGCTAATTTTTGCATTTAGTAGAGACAGGGTTTCACCATGTTGGTCAGGCTGGTCCCGAACTCCTGACCTCATGATCTGCCTGCCTTGGACTCCCAAAGTGCTGGAATTACAGGCGTGAGCCACCACGCCCAACTATTATACAGTTTTAAGCCACTATGGTAATTACATTGGTGATGATAATAATGATTATAGTAATAAAGGCTACACTGATATAGTATTGGCAATGTGCCAGGCACTTTTTTAAGTGCTTTACATGCATTAACACATTTAATTCTCAAAACATCTTCATGAGGTAAATACTGTTATTTTCCCCATTTTACAGATGAGGCACAGAAAAGCTTAATAGCTTGCCTCAAGATCAGGCAGCTATTAAGGGGATGGTCCAGGATTTGAATCCAGGCAGTCTGCCTCCAGAATCCTACTTTTAACCATTGTTCCATATTGCCTAATGATGCTGAGATTTTCAAGACTGGGGCCCTGGGCCACGTTGTAGGAGTGAGAGTAGTGAGGAAAGGGGAAATGAGAGGGAAGTAAGGAAAGCCTTGAAAACTTCTTGAAGAAGGTGTGTATAGTTTGAATTAGTATGTACAGGTATACCTCATGTTATTGTTCTTTGCTTTATTGCACTTCACAGGTAATGTGTTTTTACAAATTGAAGGTTTGTGGCAACCCTGGTCAAGCAAGCCTACCAATGTCATTTTTCCAACAGTATGTGCTCACTTTGTTTCTTTGTGTTACCTTTTGGTAATTCTCGCAATATTTCCAATTCTTTCTTATTATTATATCTGTTGTAGTGATCTGTGATCAGTGATCTTTGTTGTTACTATTGTAGTTGTTTTGGGACACCATAAACCACACCAGTGCAAGAGAGTAAATATTGCATGCGTTCAGGCTGCACCACTGACCAGCTGTTCCCCTGTCTCTCTCCCTTTCCTTAGGCTTCCCTATTCCCTGAGACAACAATATTGAAATTAGGCCAATTAATAACTCTACAATGGCCTCTAAGTGTTCAAGTGAAAGGAAGAGTCACACATCTAGAACTTTCACCACTAGAGAGAAGAAGTCAATGCCTGGCTTCAACACTTCAAAGGACAGGCTGACTCTCTTGGGAGGGGCTAATGCAGCTAGTGACTTTAAGTTGAAGCCAATGCTCATTTACCATTCTGAAAATCCTAGGGTCCATAAGAATTATCTTAAATTTACCTTGCCTGTGCTCTATAAGTGGAAGAACAAAGCCTGGATGAAAACATATCTGTTTACAGCATGGTTTACTGAATATTTAAGCCTACTGTTGAGACCTACTGCTCAGAAAAAAAAAGATTCCTTTCAAAATATTACTGCTCATTAACAATGCAGATCACCCAAGAACTCTGATGGAGATACACATGGAGATTAATGTTGTTTTCATGCCTGCTAACCCAACACTCATTTTGCAGTCCATGGATCAAGGAATAATTTCAACTTTCATAACATTACTTCAGAAATATATTTCATAAGGCTATAGCTTTCATACATAATGATTCCTCAGACAAATCTAGGCAAAATAAATTGAAAACCTTCTGGATTTGCCATTCTAGATGACATTAAAAACATCTGTGATTCTTGGGAGATCAAAATATCAACATGAACAGGAATTTGGAAGTTGATTCCAACCCTCATGGGATGATTTTGAGGGGTTCAAGACTTCAGCAGAGAAAATAGTTGCAGATATGGTGGAAACAGTAAGAGAACTAGAATTAGAAGTGGAGCCTGAAGATGTGACTGAATTATTTCAGTCTTATAATAAAACCTTAATGGATGTGAAGTTGCGCCTTATAGGTGAGCAAAGAAGCTGATTTCTTGAGAGATAATCTACTGAGTGAAAATGGTATGAACATTGTTGAAATAACCACACAAGGTTTAGAATATTACATAAACTTAGTTGATAAAGCATGTAAGGCTTTGAGAGGATTGAAAGATGTTCTACTGTGGGTAAAACGTTATCAAATAGCATTACATGCTGCAGAGAAATCTTTCGTGAAAGAGTCAATTGATGCAGCACTTTCATGGTTGTCTTATTTTTAGAAACTGCTACAGCTACCCAATCTTTAACAACCACCACCCTGACCAGCCAGCAGCCAAGACCCTCCACCAGTAAAAAAGATTATGACTTGCTGAAGGCTCAAATGATCATTAGCATTTTTTTTTGAGGTAGAGACTTGCTGTGTCGCAAGGCTGCAGTGCAGTGGCACAATCTCAGCTCACTGCAACCTTCACCTCCCAGGTTCAAGAAATTCCCCTGCCTCAGCCTCCCAAGTAGCTGGGACTACAGTTGCGCACCAACACGCCCAGCTAATTTTTTTGTATTTTAGTAGAGACGGGGTTTCACCATGTTGGCCAGGATGGTCTCGATCTCCTGACCTCGTCATCCACCCGCCTCGGCCTCCCAAGATCATTAGCATTTTTTAGCAATATAGTATTTTTGGATTAAGGTATGTACATTGTGTGTGTGTGGTTTTTTTTTTTTTTTTTTTGACATAATGCAATTGCACACTTAATAGACCACAGTATAGTGTAACTTTTTTTTAAGAGACAAGGTCTCACTTCGTCACCCAGGCTGGAGTTCAGTGGTGGAATCATAGCTCACTGCCACCTCAAACTCCTAGGCTCAAGGTATCTTCATGTCTCAACCTCCCAAGTAGCTGGGAATATAAGCACATGCCTAATTTTTGAAAATTTTTTTGTAGAGATATGGTCACACCCAACTAATTTTTTAAAAAATTTATTGTAGAAATATAGTCTTGCCATCTTGCCCAGGCTGATCTCAAACTCCTAGGCTCAAGCAATCCTCCTGCCTCAGCCTCCTACAGTGCTGGAATTATCGGTGTAAGCCACCAAACCCAGCCAACATAACTTTTATATGCATTGGGAAACCAAAAAATTCATGCAACTCATTTTATTATGAAATCCACTTTATTGTGGTGGTCTGGAACAGAACCTGAAATGTCCCTGAGGTATGCCTACATAAGTATATAGTCTCTCCAGACCATAAACCAATTTTCATCAACATGTATTTGTGATTCTGGTTTTACTTTGCCTGTTGTAAGAAAAATGAAGCAGAGCATTCAGTATCATGTTACAAGTGATGAGCTTTGTGCTCTGACTTCTACACTGTCTAAGAAAAACTCACAAATACTTAAAATAAATAATATGTGCCTTGGAAGATAAAAATAATTTTTGTGTTGCAACATTAATCTAATCTGAACTTTCTGTAACATTAAAGAATTGTACAAAGTGTTTGTGTTTATCTAAAGAGCATGTGGGGGCCGGGAGCAGTGGCTCATGCCTGTAATCCTAGCACTTTGGGAGGCTGAGGTGGACAGACTGGCTGAGCTCAGGAGTTTGAAATCACCCTGGGCAACATGGTCTCTACTAAAATACAAAAAATTAGCTGGACATGGTGGCATGCGCCTGTAGTCTCAGCTACTCGGGATGCTGAGGCACAAGAATCGCTTGAGCCCAGGAGGCGGAGGTTGCAGTGAGCTGAGATCACACCACTGCACTCTAGCCTGGGCAACAGAGTAAGACTCTCTCTCCAATAAATAAATAAAATAAAATAAATAAATAAATAGCATGTGGGTTGTAAGAGAGTAAGACACACTGTATAATAAAAAGTCCATTGTTTAGATGTCAAAAGACGAGGCTGAGATAATGGTTCTTCTAGTATCTTACTTTTGAGCCAGTAGGTATCAATTTTCTCATCTATCAATGAGATAATAATATTTCTACTGCTTACCTTAAGGAATCAAGGTGAAAACTATCTAAAAGATATGGAAATTATCTGACAAAATGTCTGATATGGTTTGGCTGTGTCCCCACCCAAATCTCATCCTGAATTGTAGTTCCTATAATCCCTACGTGCCATGAGAGGGACCAGGTGGAGATAATTGAATGCTGGGGGCAGTTCCCCCCATCCTGTTCTGGTGATAGTGAGTTAGTTCTCAGGAGATCTGATGGTTTTATAAGGAGCTTCCCCCTTCGCTGGGCACTCATTCTCTCTCCTGCCACCCTGTGAAGATGTGCCTTCTGCCATGATTGTAAGTTTCCTAAGGCCTTCCCCAGCCATGCAAAACTGTGAGTCAATTAAAACTCTTTTCTTTATAAATTACCCAGTCTCAGGTATGTCTTCATAGCAGCATGAGAAGAGACTAATACAATTACACACTATGCAAATATATACATATTTCTTCACATTTACTATAGATACCTACCAGTAAACCAGGAATTTTTAAAATTTGGGGCTTTGCCATAGTTCTACATATAGAATTGCTTCTAGGAATAAAGAAGCTTAATGAATTACATATTTAATGTCTACATTCCAAAAAATAAGTGCTAGATAGTTCCATACTTAACTAATCTATACAACAACACTATTCAGTGGGGCATCATTTTGCCCCTTTACAGTCTAAATAAACAGTGCCTCATAAAGGTTAAGTCTAAAGAGTTTCTAAAAAGAGCCAGGATTCAAAAAATCAAGTGATTCTGATGCCTTCACTTTTGTTATAACTGTCCCAATATATCCTTTATAGCAATAAGATCCAATCCAGAATCATGTGTCATCATGCCTTCTTAGTATCCTCCAATCTGAAATACTCAGTTCTTCCCTGATCTTTATAACCTTAAAAATTTTTTTGTTGTTGTTTTTATTTTTTTATTTTTTTTATTTTATTATTATTATACTTTAAGTTTTAGGGTACATGTGCACAATGTGCAGGTTTATTACATATGTATACATGTGCCATGTTGGTGTGCTGCACCCATTAACTCGTCATTTAGCATTAGGTATATCTCCTAATGCTATCCCTCCCCCCTCCTCCCACCCCACAACAGTCCCCAGAGTGTGATGTTCCCCTTCCTGTGTCCATGTGTTCTCATTGTTCAATTCCCACCTATGAGTGAGAACATGCGGTGTTTGGTTTTTTGTCCTTGCGATAGTTTGCTGAGAATGATGGTTTCCAGTTTCATCCTTGTCCCTACAAAGGACATGAACTCATCATTTTTTATGGCTGCATAGTATTACACGGTGTATATGTGCCACATTTTCTTAATCCAGTCTATCATTTTTGGACATTTGGGTTGGTTTTGGAGATTTCAAGACAGTTATTTTGTAGACTGTACCTAAACTTTTTTCCTAATGTTTCCTTATGATTAGATTCAGGTAATACATTTTTGTCAGACATATCACCAGAAGCGATGCTGTGCTCTTCTCAATATATCCCATCAGGTAATATACATCAATTTATCCCATCACTGTTAATGTCGCCTGAGTAATATAGTATCTACCAGGTTTTTTCCACTATCGTGTTACACTTTTTTTCTACATTTTCCTAAGTACTGTGTGGGGAGATACTTTGAGACTATGTGAATGTATCGTTCTTTATCCAGCTCTCACCCAATAGTTTTAGCATCCCTTCATGTTTCTTGTCAGAATTCATTATTACTATGATGGTTGCCACGTGACTTTCTTTCTGTAATGTCTTGTATATTTATTAGTTGGCACATTAAGGAAGAGCTTTCTCTTCTCTTTTATTTTTTCATTTATTCATAAATACATCAGGTCAGTTCATGAATCCATGTTCTATTCAATAGGATAAATCCATTATTATCATTTTTGATGCCTAAATTGCACCATATATGGACACAGGTTACCCCTTCAAGCTGGATGCTTTATCCTTTTGTTATGCTCTTAAAATTCTTTAAGCACCTCCTCACTTTCTGGAATAATAAAATATTCCAGACTTATCTTGTATTTTCCCTTCCCCAGACCAGATTCAGAAGCACAGTTTTTAGAAGCCAAGATCTCGGTGTGATGTGTTGATATTACTATTGGAGTGTATTTTGCTTCTAAGCTGCCTCACAGAGCTAAGAAATATATTTAGATGTATTATACATATTCACACACATTTATACTTCTCTCTATATAGATATGGACATATATATATAAAACCACAAAGTCACTTTGATACTTCTAATTCCAATATAATACCACAGAGTTTATTCTTATTTTCCTTCATTTCATATTTGTAACTCTTTTCTAAAAGTAAAAAACCTGGCTCATATATTATATATATATATATATATATACATATAATATGACATACGGGAGATAGGAAAAATAAGTATATGTGTGTGTGTATATTTATATGTGTATATGCACACACACATACATGCACACATACATACATATGTATATTTATTTTCTCTCTATCTCTTACATATTACCAACCAATCTCCTCATCCTCCTGAGCCACTTCCCCACTTGACAACCTTCATCCAATAGGACCCAACTCTTGTTAAGCCACCACTATGAGAAGCCACTTTCCTAATAGGATCTTCAAACCCCACTGAGCTGCCACCCAACTCAGGAGCCTTCCACAATTGGTCCTGCTTAATGGCATTTCAACTGAATGAGAAAGGGAGGAGGAAAAGTGGAAGAAAAGCCCTAATATGTTTTATGTTCCTACTTCCTTTTAATTAGACACTACTGTTTCCTCCCTTTCATTTAACTGGGAGGCAGCATTATATTGTATAGTAGAAAGATCACAAGTTTTGAAGCCACAGAGACCTAAGTTTGATACCTGGCTCCAACTAATTAGATGATAACCTTAGCTTCCTCACTTGTCAAATGGTGATAAAATCCATATCATTGCATATTTATGAATATTAAAGAAAATGAACATAATGTGGTTCAGTGTCTGGCAGATAAGACCATAAATCGTAACTATTGTTAAATTGTTAAACTTTAAAGGTAAGCACAAAAATAAAGGCATGTACATGACTAATTAAACCTAAGTGTTGAGGACTATGAGGGTAAAATACCAGCAAAGACAACAGAATAATTCACATTTGCAATAGATCTTGACACCCAGGAACCTAGCTATTGGGCCTTCAGTGTTATGTTCTGCCATGAATAGTGGAGAAATGTGTAAGTAAAGTGGAAATAATATAACAAAAAGTGGGTTTCTTTTCAATTTAAGGATGATCAGAATAGGTGCATAATAACCAGAATAAAAAATATCTCTTAGCTGGGCACAGTGGCTCACACTTTGGGAGGCCAAGGCATGCAGACCACAAATCAGCTGGGTGTCATGGCAGGTGCCTGTAATCCCAGCTACATGGGAAGCTGAGACAGGAGAATCACTTGAACCTGGTGGGCAGGAGTTGCAGTGAGCCAAGATTGCACTGCTGCACTCTAGCCTAGGCAAGAGCAAGACTTCACCTCAAAAAAAAAAAAAAATCTCTTCATGCTCATGCTCAGTATATATGAGTGGTGAAATAGTAAAGGTCATCCTATGGTTCCAAGCAGCATTTGGATTTCTCCATTAGATTTCCATTTAAAAACACTATCATGAGGATGTAGTATTTCCAAGCGAAGAATGGAAGTGAAATGAGATTACAGGTATTCAGGTATCTGAGTGCCTAAAAAGGCGATGAGACAAGTTCCCAGCCCTGACTGCTTCATCTTTCCCAATAAAATATTAATAGAACCAACGGCAGTTCCAAGATGGCCAAATAGGAACAGCTCCAGTGTACAGCTCCCAGCATGAGCAACGCAGAAGACGGGTGATTTCTGCATTTCCAACTGAGGTACCAGGTTCATCTCACTGGGGCTTGTCGGACAGTGGGTGCAGGACACTGGGTGCAGCTCACCGAGCGTGAGCCAAAGCATGGCAAGGCATCACCTCACCCGAAAAGCGCAAGGGGTCAGGGAATTCCCTTTCCTAGCCAAGGGAAGCTATGACAGACAGCACCTGGAAAATCGGGTCACTCCCACCATTTTCCAATGGTCTTAGCAAACGGCACACCAGGAGATTATATTCGGCGCCTGGCTCAGAGGGTCCCACACCCACGGAACCTCACTAATTGCTAGCACAGCAGTCTGAGATCAAACTGCAAGATGGCAGTGAGGCTGGGGGAGGGGTGCCTGCCATTGCTGAGCCTTGAGTTGGTAAACAAAGTGGCCAGGAAGCTCGAACTGGGAGGAGCCCACTGCAGGTCAAGGAGGCCTGCCTGCCTCTGTAGACTCCACCTCTGGAGGCAGGGCAGAGCTGAACAAAAGGCAGCAGAAACCTCTGCAGACTTAAATGTCCCTGTCCGACAGCTTTGAAGAGAGTAGTGGTTCTCCCAGCATGGAGTTTGAGATCTGACAATGGACAGACTGCCTCCTCAAGTGGATCCCTGACCCCCGAGTAGCCTAACTGGGAGGCACCCCCAGTAGGGGCAGCCTGACACCTCACATGGCCAGGCACCCCTCTGAGACAAAGCTTCCAGAGGAACGATCAGGCAGCAACATTTGCTGTTCAGCTATATTTGTTGTTCTGCAGCCTCCACTGCTGATACCCAGGCAAATAGGGTCTGGAGTGGACCTCCAGCAAACTCCAACAGATCTGCAGCTGAGGGTCCTGACTGTTAGAAGGAAAACTAACAAACAGAAAGGACATCCACACTAAAACCCCATCTGTACCTCACCATCATCAAAGACCAAAGGTAGATAAAACCACAAAGATGGGGGAAAAACAGAGCAGAAAAGCTGAAAATTCTAAAAATCAGAGCACCTCTCCTGCTCCAAAGGAACACAGCTCCTCACCAGCAACAGAACAAAGCTGGACAGAGAATGACTTTGACGAGTTCAGAGAAAAAGGCTTCAGATGATCAAACTTCTCTGAGCTAAAGGAGGAAATTCGAACCCATCACAAAGAAGCTAAAAACCTTGAAAAAATATTAGACGAATGGCTAACTAGAATAACCAGTGTAGAGAAGTCCTTAAATGACCTGAGGGAGCTGAAACCATGGCATGAGAACTACGTGACGAATGCCCAAGCTTAAGTAGCCAATTCGATCAACGGGAATAAAGGGTATCAGTGATGGAAGATCAAATGAATGAAATGAAGGGAAAAGAGAAGTTTAGAGAAAAAAGAATAAAAAGAAATGAACAAAGCCACCAAGAAATATGGGACTATGTGAAAAGAGCAAATCTACGTCTGATTGGTATACCTGAAAGTGATGGGGAGAATGGAACCAAGTTGGAAAACACTCTGCAGGATATCATCCAGGAGAATATCCCCAACCTAGCAAGGCAGGCCAACATTCAAATTCAGGAAATACAGAGAACACCACAAAGATACTCCTCGAGAAGAGCAACTCCAAGACACATAATTGTCAGATTCACCGAAGTTAAAATGAAGGAAAAAATGTTAAGGGCAGCCAGAGAGAAAGGTCGGGTTACCCACAAAGGGAAACCCATCAGACTAACAGCGGATCTCTCAGCAGAAACTCTACAAGCCAGAATAGAGTGGGGGCCAATATTCAACATTCTTAAAGAAAAGAATTTTCAACCCAGAATTCCATATCCAGCCAAACTAAGCTTCATAAGTGAAGGAGAAATAAAATCCTTTACAGAGAAGCAAATGCTGAGAGATTTTGTCACCACCAGGCCTGCCCTAAAAGAGCTCCTGAAGGAAGCACTAAACATGGAAAGGAACAACTGGTACCAGCCACTGCAAAAACATGCCAAATTGTAAAGATCATCAAGGCTAGGAAGAAACTGCATCAACTAACGAGCAAAATAACCAGCTAACATCATAATGACAGGATCAAATTCACACATAAGAATATTAACCTTAAATGTAAATGGGCTAAAAGCTCCAATTAAAAGACACAGATTGGCAAATTGGATATAGAGTCAAGACCCATCAGCGTGCTGTATTCAGGAGACCCATTTCACGTGCAGAGACACACATAGGCTCAAAATAAAGGGATGGAGGAAGATCTACCAAGCAAATGGAAAACAAAAAAAGGCAGGGGTTGCAATCCTAGTCTCTGATAAAACAGACTTTAAACCAACAAAGATCAAAAGAGACAAAGAAGGCCATTACATAATGGTAAAGGGAATAATTCAACACGAAGAGCTAAGTATCCTAAATACATATGCACCCAATACAGGAGCACCCAGATTCATAAAGCAAGTCCTTAGAGACCTACAAAGAGACTTAGACTCCCACACAATAATAATGGGAAACTTTAACACCCCACTGTCAACATTAGACAGACCAATGAGACAGAAAGTTAACAAGGATATCCAGGAATTGAACTCAGCTCTGCACCAGGCGGACCTAATAGACATATACAGAACTCTCCACCCCAAATCAACAGAATAATATTCTTCTCAGCACCACACCACACTTATTCCACAATTGACCACATAGTTGGAAGTAAAGCACTCCGCAGCAAATGTAAAAGAACAGAAATTATAATAAACTGTCTCTCAGACCACAGTGCAATCAAACTAGAACTCAAGATTAAGAAACTCACTCAAAACCACTCAACTACATGGAAACTGAACAACCTGCTCCTGAATGACTGCTGGGTACATAAGGAAATGAAGGCAGAAATAAAGATGTTCTTTGAAACCAATGAGAACAAAGACACAACATACCAGAATCTCTGGGACACATTTAAAGCAGTGTGTAGAGGGAAATTTATAGCACTAAATGCCCACAAGAGAAAGCAGGAAAGATCTAAAATGGACACCCTAACATCACAATTAAATGTGTTGGAAGCAAGAGCAAACACATTCAAAAGCTAGCAGAAGGCAAGAAATAACTAAGATCAGAGCAGAACTGAAAGAGATAGAGACACAAAAGACCCTTCAAAAAATCAATGAATCCAGCAGCTGGTTTTTTGAAAAGATCAACAAAATTGATAGAACGCTAGCAAGACTAATAAAGAAGAAAAGAGAGAAGAATCAAATAGACGCAATAAAAAATGATAAAGGGGATATCACCACCAATCCCACAGAAATACAAACTACCATCAGAGAATATTATCAACAACTCTATGCAAATAAACTAGAAAATCTAGAAGAAATGGATAAATTCCTCGACACATACACCCTCCCAAGACTAAACCCAGAAGAAGTTGAATCCCTGAATAGACCAATAACAGGCTCTGAAATTGAGGCAATAATTAATAGCCTACCAATCAAAAAAAGTCCAGGACCAGACGGATTCACAGCTGAATTCTACCAGAGGTACAAGGAGGAGCTGGTACCATTCCTTCTGAAATTATTCCAATCAATAGAAAAAGAGGGAATCCTCCCTAACTCATTTTATGAGGCCAGCATCATCCTGATACCAAAGCCTGGCAGAGACACAACAAAAAAAGAGAATTTTCGACCAATATCCCTGATGAACATCAATGCAAAAATCCTCAATAAAATACTGGCAAACCGAATCCATTAGCACATCAAAAACCTTATCCACCATGATCAAGTGGGCTTCACCCCTGGGATGCAAGGCTGGTTCAACATGCGCAAATCAATAAACGGAATCCAGCATATAAACAGAACCAAAGACAAAAACCACATGATTATCTCAATAGATGCAGAAAAGGCCTTTGACAAAATTCAACAGCCCTTCATGCTAAAAACTCTCAATAAATTAGGTATTGATGGGACATATCTCAAAATAATAAGAGCTATTTATGACAAACCCACAGCCAATATAATACTGAATGGGCAAAAACTGGAAGCATTCCCTTTGAAAACTGGCACAAGACAGGGATGCCCTCTCTCACCACTCCTATTCAACACAATGTTGGAAGTTCTGGCCAGGGCAATCAGGCAGGAGAAAGAAATAAAGGGTATTCAATTAGGAAAAGAGGAAGTCAAATTGTGTCTGTTTGTAGATGACCTGATTGTATATTTAGAAAACCCCATCGTCTCAGCCCAAAATCTCCTTAAGCTGATAAGCAACTTCAGCAAAGTCTCAGGATACAAAATCAATGTACAAAAATCACAAGCATTCTCATACACCAACAACAGACAAACAGAGAACCAAATCATGAGTGAACTCCCATTCACAATTGCTTCAAAGAGAATAAAATACCTAGGAATCCAACTTACAAGGGATGTGAAGGACCTCTTCAAGGAGAACTACAAATTACTGCTCAACAAAATAAAAGAGGACACAAACAAATGGAAGAACATTCCACGCTCATGGGTAGGAAGAATCAATATCGTGAAAATGGCCATACTGTCCAAGGTAATTTATAGATTCAATGCCACTCCCATCAAGCTACCAATGCCTTTCTTCACAGAATTGGAAAAAACTACTTTAAAGTTCATATGGAACCAAAAAAGAGCCCACATTGCCAAGTCAATCCTAAGCCAAAAGAACAAAGCTGGAGGCATCACGCTACCTGACTTCAAACTATACTACAAGGCTACAGTAACCAAAACAGCATGGTACCACTACCAAAACAGAGATATAGACCAATGGAACAGAACAGAGCCCTCAGAAATAATACCACACATCTACAACTATCTGATCTTTGACAAACCTGACAAAAACAAGAAATGGGGAAAGGATTCCCTATTTAATAAATGGTGCTGGGAAAACTGGCTAGCCATATGTAGAAAGCTGAAACTGGATCCCTTCCTTACACCTTATACAAAAATTAATTCAAAATGGATCAAAGACTTAAATGTTAGACCTAAAACCATAAAAACCCTAGAAGAAAACCTAGGCAATACCATTCAGGACATAGGCATGGGCAAGGACTTCATGGCTAAAACACCAAAAGCAATGGCAACAGAAGTCAAAATTGACAAATGGGATCTAATTAAACTAAAGAGCTTCTGCACAGCAAAAGAAACTATCATCAGAGTGAACAGGCAACCTACAGAATGGGAGAAAATTTTTGCAATCTACTTATCTGACAAAGGGCTAATATCCAGAATCTACAAAGAACTCAAACAAATTTACAAGAAAAAAACAAACAACCCCATCAAAAAGTGGGCAAAGGATATGAACAGACACTTCTCAAAAGAAGACTTTTATGCAGCCAACAGACACATGAAAAAATGCTCATCATCACTGGCCATCAGAGAAATGCAAATCAAAGCCACAGTGAGATACCATCTCACACCAGTTAGAACGGTGATCATTAAAAAGTCAGGAAACAACAGGTGCTAGAGAGGATGTGGAGAAATAGGAAAGCTTTTACACTGTTGGTGGGACTGTAAACTAGTTCGACCATTGTGGAAGACAGTGCGGCGATTCCTCAAGGATCCAGAACTAGAAATACCATTTGACCCAGCCATCCCATTACTGGGTATATACCCAAAGGATTATAAATCATGCTGCTATAAAGACACATGCACACGTATGTTCATTGTGGCACTATTCACAATAGCAAAGACTTGGAACCAACCCAAATGTCCAACAATCATAGACTGGATTAAGAAAATGTGGCACATATACAGCATGGAATACTATGCAGCCATAAAAAAGGATGAATTCATGTCCTTTGAGGGACATGGATGAAGCTGGAAACTATCACTCTCAGCAAACTATCGCAAGGACAACAAACCAAACACTGCATGTTCTCACTCATAGGTGGGAATTGAACAATGAGAACACTTGGACACAGGAAGGGGAACATCACACACTGGGGCCTGTTGTGGGGTGGGGGAGGAGGGAAGGATAGCATTAGGAGATATACCTAATGCTAAATGACGAGTTAATGGGTGCGGCACACCAACATGGCACATGTATACATATGTAACAAACCTGCACGTTGTGCACATGTACCCTAGAACTTAAAGTATAATAATAAAAAAAAATAAAAGAGTCCATAAGAAGTTCTTTCACAAAATGTTTCCTTAAAGGGAAAAGGATGGTGGAGTTTGAAATAGTTAAGCATAGCACTATCATTTTTGCTTTTTATGTCACTTCCTTCCCCATGTCCTGCTTAATCCTTTCTCCCCAAATGCAAACTTAAATGAACACCGAAATTTCCTTTTTATTGTACTTCTCACATTTCTTATCTCTTCCCATCCACATGGAATAAAAATAACTTTGTTTACTTCAGCACCCTGAAGAGCACAGCCAGTTTACTACTCTGATGTTCCAGGTCAGATTTAAATCTTCTAGTTACTCTCCTCTTCCTAAATTCTGTTATTCAGTGTGAAATTTAAAACTTACTAATGACTGTACACCAGAAATACAGCCTGGCATGAAGATGTGAATTACCATGAACCTCTTGGTCTTTCACACACCTTTCAAAGGAGATTAACCATTGCTTCATAACTACTTTGTCAAAGCATCTTTTTATACATACACCAAATGCTAGTTAACAAACTATAAAAAACAAGCGATCTGTAATAATTTTTATAGCCATTGAAATGTAGTTGTGTACCATTGCCTGAGCCTGCCTTTTAGCTGATTAACAAATACAGTGAATTTAACTTTGTAGATTCTTAACATTTAAAGACAACAGTCTAAGGCAATTTAAAGTATATTCTGCCAATCAGTTGTTGAGTTAGACCACCCATAGCCTTTTTTTATTCTTCATTGTTTGAATAATATGGGAGGAAATTTAGTGTATACTCTCTTCTTCCTGTATTTTCCAGTTAGATTAAGCTGTTGTCTTCACAATTGCCTCCCAGCTGCTGTGACTTGTGAAAACAACAGACCCTGCTCTGTTGTCTGGAGAAAGCCGGGATTGTTATGAGTAACTTTATTGCAGGCACATGAGTGTGTTAAGACTTTAAAACACGCTCAAATGTCATGTGCACACCCAATGACGGGCAAGAATAATTATGAAAAAACAAGAAATCTATGTCTATGAAACCGTGTTGGACAAAATGGGCCATTCATTGTGTTCCCCTGGGAATGCCTGGACTCTGCAGTCAGAAAACAAAAAAGGCACTTTTTTCCTGCCGTAGGCTGAATGCTTAGCTTTGCCATCTGAGCCCTAAGAAAACATGGGCCCCTCTACTGCTGGCGCACCCACGCACACTAAAAAATATTAATGCCTCTCTCTCCTTACTTTTTTCCAGGCATTCCCTCGTGTAGGCTGTAGCCAATATAATGTCAACACAAAGACAAAATAGTTTATCTAACATCAGTCCCCCACAATTTCCCTCTTGTCCTCAATTAATTGCCCTTCCCCCAACATTAAGAAGAAAAAAAAAGATAACCTTTACTCCAGTGGAAAACTTGTTTCTGGCACAGATTTTAACTGCAGCAATAATCCCTTCTGTACTTTTACATAGTTTTACCAAATACTATGTAAGCATACTCATTTGTCTCCACGTTGTTTCTTCTTCCTTCAAGACTTCTGAAAGTCATTTTGTTGGTTAAAGTTTGTCAGCTCCCTCTCAAAAATGCCCCTTCTCAAAGTTAACTACCACGTGTCCTTCTTGTCAATGTGTGCAAGTATACTACACAAATGGAATGACAAATGAAACTCCAAATCATTTCAGCCCAAACACATTTTTTAATATACAAATTACACTGAAAGTTCAAGGTTTCTAAGCTTTATTGCAATTTTCAAGGGCAGTTATTTTATGTTAAACCATAGGTAAGTTATTTGCTGATTTTCCTAGAGAGATATATTGCACTTTGACGGCCTACTGTAGGCTCTACAGTAATTTCCTTGGCAGCTGAACCAGCAGAAAAAAAAATATGCAATAAACAGATTTCCAAAACAGTAAGCTTTTGCCCAGGATCTTTAATCTTGACCCTTTTCAGTACATTCCAGGAAGAAAACACAGGGAGAATATGTGCTTCATTATAAAGTAGGGAAATAGGAGTCTGATAGGTCATTAAAGACCATAAATTCCTATTTCATCTTCCTTTCCAGAGCTCAGTTCATTGCACTTTTATTCCCGTCCAGCAACCACAGACTTCAGAACCTGCTAGGGACAAAACTGGAAAAGGGAAAACACTTCTTTGGTTGTTTTTTGAAAAATTAGCTATAGAATACTTATGTCAATTCCTTTGACTAGAATAAGGATTTTAAAACTCATCAAGTTTAAATATGTTCTTCATCTTTAGCTAATGAGCAAGTGACTTAGAAAGGCAACAGCTGGAGAAGTGAGATACAAATTTTGTCTGACAATAAAATGTGGTTATCTTTTATTTAGCTAACTGGTGTTAATGACCCAGTAGCAGCCAATGCCAAAAAGAGGCAATTGTGGGTACATGTACACATACCAGCAGAAACCAGGATCTTTTAGTCAACCAACTGGTTGTTTTGACTACACCACTCCCAAAGCAATTGATTTGACTGAATTAAACAATTGGGTTTGAATCTATGATTAAATTAGGGAGTTTGGAAGCATTTTAGAGATTGAGATTATCTAGTTACTTAATTCTAGGCCAGTTCATTCATTCTGTAACATAAGTATATTGAGGCTAGAGATACGGAGACAAAGATAACTCAAGTAGTGTCAAAATCAGTGTGTGGATGCTGTCAGAGACATAAAATAACAATATTGATTACAGAAGTGAGTTAGAGGTGGCATTAATTACATAGGTAAAAAAGGTTACATTTCTCTAAGTTGGGAAGAACTACTTTTATAAGTAACCACTATTCAGAAGGAGACAAATCTTCCAGGCCAAAATGTAAACCCAGAGTTCTTTTCAAACATTTTAGCACAAATAGAAATGGCCCTGGACAAGCTAGCAGAGCCCACATGAGACTACTTCACAGAAGCCACTTTGGGATGGGACGGTCATGAATAACACTTCTACATCTTTCTCTCAAACATGGAGTTGATTTCAGGAAGTTTTCTTGTCCATGCAGCCTAAACAAGATTTCTTCCCTCCCCTGGATCCTAAAACCTATAAACAAATGAAACTCACACTGAAGGAATATTGAGCAAGGAGTCTAGAACTAGTTCTGTCTCTCGGGCTGAAAGATGATGTACTTACAACATAGCCAGCCATCAGACCAGCCACAGATTTGTTTTAACAATTCAACAACATCACCATTCCTCATTCACCCACTTAGCTTAATTTTCCTAGCATCACTTTCACTGCTGAGGTTGTCTCTATTAAGCCATTTTTTTGCATCATTAACTTTTAACCAGGCATCGATAGCTTTATTGTTTAAATTGTGTATGACTTTATTTAACGTCAGCATTTCTTCTAGCTCCTGACAAGAAGTCACATTCTATAACTAATTAAATTGATCCCTGGGAAGCAAAAGCCACTAAATGAAATTATTCGTACCCAAGTGTCAATATATTAAATCAAAGGGCTAATGAGTTGGGTCACTGCTTCTTTTATTGGGAGGCTACAGCAGAATAAGACTCATATTATCCTCTATTTTCTGCTTTAACAATCAATTTTATTTAAACCAAAGGCAGCCAATTAATACTTTTGGATTTTACAGTAAATAATACCTCTTTTATAACATACAAATGGGAAATGGAAAATTTTCTTTGACATATGCAATATATTTTTCACATTTTTTTAATGACATTGGGTCACAGAAACATCTAAGATGATTTAAAAGGTGTTTTGCAAGCAAACGATTTTGAGAAGTTCTAGGTTTCAAGTATTAGCATTACGGGTGTAAATCAGGATGAAAATTTGCCTCTCAGAGCTGACAATAGTGCGTAACGAAAGTGATTAAGAAATGACTGAATTTGTCATGTCAGCTTTTCCGATCGCTCTTGCAGCTGCTGAGTAATACTTTGAATTCACTATTTACATTTGGACACTATTAAAATTCATCACCTAATAGTTCATACCATTCACTGTCTTTGACATAACTTAGCTTCTTTTGACACAATCCCTGCAGACACCATTTTTCTGTTGCTGTTAATTTCATCAACCCAATTCATCCACAGAGAAAATTTCATGTCAAATTATTTGTTCCTGTAAATTTTACATTTTGTTTGGGAGAGTTTCACCCCATAATTTATTGCTTCAGTATTTGGGAAAGAAAAAATCCTCATAAAATCAGATATGGAATCTCTTACATCTGCAAAAACACAAACAATATGGTCTATAAATCATGACTATAGTAAAATTACATTAAAAACTATGGCAAGCTGAAAAATTCAGTTCTATAAAATTAGGCCCAGTGGCAGTTATCTCCTGACAGTGAGGAAACCACCTCTAGGAAACACTGTACTAAAGTAAAACTTAAAATGAAGGTACAAAGAACACATACATAACCAACTGCAACTGCTAAATAACAAATTCAAGCAATGCCTTAATTTTGGTATGAGAACTTTATTTTGTATATCTGGCAATTAGTCAAAATAACAACAGTTAAAGACAGCCTTGAAATACTTTGGGTTGAATTAATATTATTTATGACATAATAAGTTGTCTAAAGTCAATTTTTGTCTCTAATACTTAACTTTGTTGATTTACCACCAGGATCAAATACATCATAGGGAACACCACAGATGTTTTTGACAAAAACATGTTCTTTCACCCACACAGTTTGCTTTTTCAAACATTGAATTAGGGTTTCTTTCTTTGTAGACACAGTGGTTCTTTTTTAAAACAACCTTAAATAGTCACTTTTATCCATTTATAGATGTGTATGCTTTGGAGGTCAAGCATATGCTGTTGTTTCTCACCACAAATGTTTTCCTTCATTTTCAATGGTCAAAAGTCACAGGCGTGTTTGACCCCACCCACAGACAGCTCTGTTCAGTATCTGGAGAACCCAAATCTGGCTGGAGATCACTGAAACCCAGATGCTCACTTCACAAACAAATATAAAGGTATCCCAAAACAGACCAATGGAATTTGACACTGGACTATCAATAAGTTACAAAAACAAAACAAAATACAAATTACTATTTTCTCTGGAATGTATGTATAATTAAAGCCAGAGAACACCCTTTACCATTAATACAGGCTACTGATCTGAACTACCATGCCAAGATGGTCTTGATAAACACATTCTGTTATATAATAGTGACTGAATTAACTAACAGATATTACATTTCCCTCTACTTCCTAGCTTCATGTTTTTAGACACACACACAGAGAGACTCACATACATTCTCAAAAATAGCTTTGATATCTCAAAGATATCAGAAATGATATATTAGAATTACTTTTTTTTTTTTTTGAGACAGGGTCTCACTCTATCGCCCAGGCGATTCTCATGCCTCAGCCTCCCGAGTAGCTGGGATTACAGGTGTGTGCCACCAAGCCCTAATTTTTTGTTTGTTTGTTTGAAATGGAGTCTTGTTCTGTTGCCAGGCTTGAGTGCAGTGGCGCTATCTCGGCTCACAGCAACCTCCACCTCCCAGGTTCAAGAGATTCTCCTGCCTCAGCCTCCCCAGTAGCTGGGACTATAGGTGTGTGCCATCACATCTAGCTAATTTTTGAATTTTTAGTAGAGACAAGGTTTCACCATGTTGGCCAGGGTGGTATCTATCTCTTAACCTTGTGATCCACCCACCTCAGCCTCCCAAAGTGCTGGGATTACAGGCATGAGCCACCATGCCCAGACAATTTTTTGTATTTTGTATTTTTTAGTAGAGATGGGGTTTACCATGTTGGCCAGGCTGGTCTCAAACTCCTAACCTCAAGTGATCCACCCATCTCAGCCTCCAAAAGTGTTGGGATTACAGGCAGGAGTCACTGCACCTGGCCTAGAGTTACTTTTTTAAGGAAAAAAAGTCACAGCCTTGGGAAAGGGAAAAAATTTGTGAACTGATAGTTGTCCCAAATTTGTTTGGCGATATGTCATCCTACAAAGCAGTATTGCACAGGGATATGTAGAGTAAGTTTTACTAAGCCTATCAAAAACAGGGTTAACTACCTCTGATAGGACTGGTTAGACAAATAAATAAAAGATCTCTTCCAGTTACCTCCTAAAATACAATAAAAACCCATACCACTCACTAAGCACAATATGAGCAACTGAACACATAAGACTGAAACCCACTGGGGTCCAACAGACTCAACCTATCTCTTTGTGTCTCAGAGTATAATTGGCAGTAATGACCATCGAACTCTGGTCTCCCTGCCCAAAACCATGCTTACAACTTCCAGTTGCCACTTCTGCCGAAATGCCCACAGAAGTGAATAGACTAGTGAGACAGATATGTGATCTCAAACTCAAGTTTTCCAGCTTACACACTATTGATAAAATACTGAGGAAAATCTAAGCATTTTTAAAAGTCAAAAATAAAAAAAAAATCCAAATTGAGATATAATGAAGTTTAACTTCTTTTCTCTGGAGAGTACCACACAATCTTATTAATTAATCCTAAACCAAGCATAATTCTAAGTTCTACTTTTCTGAAAACAAAACCCATGGCTTTGGGTAATGCTGCCTGATAATAAAAAGGAATATAAAAGTGAAGTAAGATGGCAATTTATTCCTCCCAGCTCAAATCACATTCCTGTCTTCATTACAGTGGCTGGATACCACCAAAAGCTTTATTACCTGTTTCCTATGTTTTGACGTTGGACAAATGCAAGTCATAGCAAAGATAGCCTGAGGCCAACAATGAAGATACCTTACATATCTTAATATTATCAAGGAACTATGCCGTAATCAGGATCCTAACTAGAGTTTGTAAATACATGAAAAAAAAGTAAGAAGCACAATTGGACAGTGTAAAGGGAAAAATAAATGGAGGAAACATTTGCTAACAATCATTACAATAGAATAATAACCCCCCTAATTAACATGCTGCGACAAATTACAGAAATCTATTTTTTATGTAATTTTTCCTTTACGCCACTTATCCCTGTGCAGTATTCTTTTTACCATATTAAAACTCCTTATTTTAAATTGTATGGAACCTACAGAAATCAGCTATTGATGCTTCTTTCTGCTCTATTGTGCTCCCATTTTGCCTTTTAAGTGACTCCTCTTCAACCCTCAGCCAGATCTTTTCTAATCACCTGTCTCCGAATTAAATTAAGTACAGTGGTCTTCTGAATCATTCAACCAGTCTAACTGATTTTTTAAAGCCGTTTAATATTTGCTTACAAAAAAAAATGCAACTTTTTGTCTTTACATAAAGACAAAATAAGAATTATTGTAATATACACATCAAAGTTTCCTGTTTCTATTTCCCCAAGTATAACTTTGTACAAACAACCACAGACTAGCACACAGGCATCTATCTACCTTGATAAATTTGCACCTTGAGTTTGTAACCAGGCATTTCCTGGGCAACCAGTCCTTCAGGGAGTGTTCAAATATTTGTAGTGGGGCAGTTTGGGCTGCACATATTTTAGTTCTTATTCATGCATTCCTCATTTACAAGTCGTGAACCTGGTAAATTTCCGGTTTTAAGACTATCGCTCCTTCTTTTCTGTAGGTGGTCCTTGAACTACCCTCTTTGCTTAACTGTGGAGTGTGGGTCAGACTGATTGTCAGAAAAAAAAAAAAAGTTTTCTTTTTCTTTAGAAATTATTTCCCAGGCCACTCTATCTCTATGTTCAAATTCCCAACTTGGCAAATGAGTCTACAGGTTTTTCAATCAAAACCTCTGCTCTGAAAGATACATCACATAGTGGTTAGGATCCAGGGCTCTAGATTCTCATAGAAAGAGAGGCAGCAGAGTGTAGTGGTTAAGAGCACACATCCTAGAGCCAGACTAAGTCTGAATTCGAGGTCTTCCACTTATTAACTGTATGACCTTGGACAAATTATTTAACCTCTCCATGCTTCACTTTTGTGATCTATAAAAGGGAATAATATTACCTACCTCAATGGGCTATTGTAAGAATTCAATGGATTGAGGTATCTAGAGCCTTAGAATAGTGTCTAACATACAGTAAACACTATATAAGTGTTTTCTGTTAATTAGATTAGAATCTTGGCTAGGCTACTTATTGTGATGCCTTGGGCAAGTTGTTTAACCTCTGTTAAGCCTCCATTTTCTCAGTGGCAAACAGTATTATTGTGTCAATTGAGTAATATAATACATAAGGCATGTATTACAGTATCTAGTACATAGTGAATCATTAGCTATTATGTTAACACATACTTAGTGGCAGTCTAGTGTATCTTCCTCTTCCACAACATGCTTTTATTAAAGGTGAACTAGTTCCAAAGTCTCTATTGCTTTCCCATGCCATCAAATCTACAATCTTTGTTCTAACCAAAGTTTCCAAATTTATTTCCCTTATTCACTAATAAAAACTCTACCATAGGACATCTTTTCATAGGCTATACACTCCAAGCTCGTTATCACATCTTCACTTTAATATTTACTCTCATATTGCCCTTCCCTTCTCCCTGAATATCCAAATCCCATCCAGTCTTTAAGACCAAAGTTCCAGAAAGTTCTTTAAAATTATCCCAATCTTGTATGCTTTTTGTTTCTCTGAGTTCAGTGTGTAAAGGGGACAGTTCCAGTGATTTAGATTGATGTCCTATCTCTCTCACTATGAAACTGTGTGGCCTAGAGCATGTCACTTTGCCTTCTGGTCACAGTTCCCTCAAATACAAAATGATTGGGTTTAAATAGATGATTTCTAAGAGCCCTATCACCACATCATTCTGAGACCTATTGCACTCATATTCACAGTGCAATGCTTATTATAGATGCTTAATAAATATCTCATGCTTGAACCTTCCAGAGCTGAACATATATGGATCAGTCTGTGGGTCCCTTTGCTACTGCCTCTCCTTCTTAATCTCCATCACATGTTCCCATTTCTCTATTACTCCACCCTTTAAATGTTAGTATTTCCGAAAATTCTGCTCTCTACCCTCTTCTCACTCTCATATTTCTAGGCAAACTCATTATTATCCACCTGATAATGATTCCTAAATCTGTATTTCTAACCCAGACTCCATTTCCAAGTTTCAAACTTATATATCCAACATCTGGTAGGTATATCTACCTGAATAATTCAGCATGTCAAAAATAAAACCCTTCTTCTCACCCAGTCCTCCAAACCTGATCATCATCCTGTATTTACATGATCTGTCCACCAATACATCTCTGACTTCACCACATACCACTTCCCCTTGCTCTTTCTACTCCATCTTTACTGGCCTCCTGGCTACACCTAAAACATGCCAAGCACACTCCCACTTCACATACTTTGTAATTCTGTTCCTTCTCCCTGGAATACTTTTTTTTACCCTAATATCCATGTCTCCTGCATTCAATTTATTCAAATCATTTACTCAAAAGGAGGCCTCTCTGAGCTCTATAAATGTGTAACTATCATCACTCTATATTCTTACTTATCCTTAACCTATTTTTCTTCATAGAATTTATCACTACATGATATTTATCTATTTGTTTACAGTCTCTATCTTCCCAAACTTTGTCCATTTTGTTCCTTAGTGTATTATCACTGCTCACTGATAATGAGCAGTGATTTATCATTGGTAAATATTTGTGTAATTAAATAAACACCTATCCTGTTGAACAGAGGTGTCAACTGTCAACCAATGCAGAAATGTGGGAGTTTGCTTAAATTTCTTCTTAGCTAAATCCAATTAATCATGAATTCTATAGATTTATTTCCTCAACATCACACAAACCCATCTCCTCATCTCTATTCCTACTTATACCTCCTTAGCCGAGATTCTGTCATTTCTTCCCTTTTGGATTACTTCAATAGTACCTCAAATGTTCTCCTTGTCTCTACTTTTAGCCTCCTCTTTTGAGGGGGCTAATATCCAAATCCTATCCAGTCTTTAATATCCAATATCTGTATTTCTAACTCAGACTCAATTTACAAGTTTCAAACCTATATATCCAACATCTAGTAAGTATATCTACCTGGATAATTCAGCATGTCAAAAATAAAACCCTTCACCTCACCCAGTCCTCCAAACCTGATTATCATCCTGTATTTACATGTTCTGTCCCCCAGATTTGGTTAATCATTTGGTTAAATGATTCATCCAAGATCACATACCAAATAGATATTCTCCACACTCTCATCAGAGTGATCTTTCTGAAAGGCAAATGTCATCCCATTCTCTTGCTTATATCCTTTAAACTATTGTTCTTAATTGGTCATAAAAGGTCCTTCAATATCTGGTGCATAGCTATACTCTAGCTTCATTTTGCCACACTTGTACTTGTTCACTTCATTCCAGCCTTACTGAGAAATGAATTTATTTGTAGTTCCCTAACATGCAATGTTCTTCATCTCTATGAATCTTTGTTCAGACTCTTCTCTCTGCCTGGACACCTTCCATCCTGGTTCACATTCCTTCTCCTACTTCAAAATTCAGATTCATATCAAATGTCACTTCTTTGAGCAAGCCTCCCTTACTCTATCAATTGGGATTAAATGCTCTTCCTCTGCACTTCTATGGCAGTCAGTGAATATATCTACCATAACACTTAGCACATTATATTGTTGCCATTTACTAGACTGTGAGCTTCCAAAGATAAGTAATTTATCTTTCTTTTTTTATTCTTGTTTCCAGCATAGTACCCAAAGACTAGTAGAAATTTAATAAGAAAACTTTATTAAACTCATTCAATTCAAAAATTGTTGAGTTAATCTCTATGCTGAAATTAAACACATCTCTTCATTCTTGGATACTTTCAATGCATCTAGACACTGTGCCACCAGCTCCTCTCAAATCCCCCCTTAGTTCCTTCCAATTTCTGTACCTTCTCAAAGCTAGTATTTCCAAAAGCCATCATACTCCTTGGTGTATATATTATGTTCTTGTGGCTTTCGTAGGGTATGACTCCCAGGTACAACTTGTTCTCTTCTGTTCAAAATGAAACTGATGCCAAAATGCAACAACAACAATTAGTGAATCTCATTAATAGATTTCTTTTCCCACATCTCCCAAGAGTCAACTTATCTTTATCTCAACTGTAATTTATATATAAAAATCATATGATAAATGTCCTGTTTCTTCATATTATTGGTAACACAAATGATGACTAAATGTGTATGCACATGAATATGTGTGGAGAGGGGGCACCCAGGCAAAATGAAGAAATTGTAGGCAAGGCTTCCAGGAGTAATAAAAAAATTCCTCTTATCTGCTTGTGGCTTTCCTGGGTGTTCTTTTAGGAATTCAGAAAAAAGATCTTGGTGAATGTGATATGGGAATTGATATAAAATTTTGCTCTATGTGAACTGACTCATCATTATTATTATGACTACACACTTTTTCAATTTATATTTGCCAAAGTATTTCTCTACACATTAACTCTAATAATTCTTGCATTAGTCCTATGTGCTTGAAGTTACAGGTGTGTGTGTGTGTGTGTGTGTGTGTGTGTGTATCTGTGTGTTTGTTATCTTTTTACAGAAAAGTCTCACAAAGGTTAAATGATTCATCCAAGATCACATGCCAAATAGATAGCAGAGCCAGACTTTGAAATTATTATTTTCACCATTTTCCATCTCCTTTCTTTGCAGGAGAAAGACAATGCAAATAGTCCCAATAAGCTCACCTTATACCTAAATCATATCTACCAATGATACTACAGAAATAAACACTTTTAAGAGAATACTATCATCAAACTGTTTATTAGTTTTTCTGCTGTTAGCCAAAATTATCTAATATTAATTCCTTATCCAAAATGACTTAATGCTCCCAGCTGTGTTTAAATCCTCTTTTCCTATCCCCTCCTCTAACTTAGACACAAATTAACACTAGCATGAGAACGCTAAAGATCAGTTCATTTGAGGATTCAAGACTTTAGGATAAATATTACTGTTTCTTATATTTCTTATCTTTTCTACCTACCTTATTTCTCAACATTTTCATACAGCTCTCCAAAACAGTTACGTGAAAATAAATTGGTGTTTGGTTTTAAAAAATACTTTGTTTCCTCCCTTTAATATTTTTATTTGGCCTTATAGTATCAGTAGGTAATTTGACAGAGAAATATTAGATGATGTGAACTTGTGAACTGATAGAAAAAATAAGGTAAAAAGACCTTTATGCAGTATTCTGAGTAATATAAAATCTAAAATATATACCTACAGATTTTAGTAACCTAATAACTATGCACACAACTTTGGAATCTTTTAAATTTTTGACCAGGGGAATTTTGGGTTAAATTTAAAATGTAATAAAGTTTGTAACATACACATTTACTAATAAAATAGTCTCCATTCTATTGACATTTATTGGCTTGCAGAACAATCAGACTTTTGATAAGTCTGTTTCTACCTATAAAAATCTACTTAATGCAACAGAACATTAGGTAGGTGAAACTTCATTATTACCAAATGTATGTAAAGTGGCAGAATTTGGAGGACAAGTACTAAAACATGGAGCAAAATTTCTAAAGCAGATTTTTTCATAACAGTTCTGCCGTAGACAAAGTCATGGGGTGGGAAACTCGGAAAGGGGACTAACATACCAGAAATGCAGGCCTCAATGGTATTGGCAAGACCTGATAAAATTGCCTTAGCATAATACTAACATATTGCATTAATGTAACGTACAAGGCTGCTGCAGATGGGGTTCTCTAAAAGCTACAAGATAGGTTTACGGTTTAAGGTACAAGATATTTACTAGGGAACAACACTTGTAAACAGGAAAGAGAAGAAGACAAGATTGGGCAGAGGAAGAAATTGAACTATAGTATTGGCCTAAGAATACTTCATCCAACTCAGCAGGAAGCCCTGAAGTCAGTGTCTAATTTCAAACCTGAAAGGCCCAAACTTCACATCCATGTCCTTCACTCAAATGGGAGAGCCTGGGAAGGATATGACCTGGGGTTAAGTGGCTCTCTGCAGCTCAGGCAAACTACAGGAGCTGACAGATGGAAGCTGTATGTTTTACAGTATTTCTGTGGCTGGGAAGCAAGTGCATCCTTAGTGATGTGTCTGGATAACACATGCCCATATATACCATAATGACTTATCTTAAATACCAGTTTGTGGCATTATGCTAAGTGTTGTAAAATTACTTTACGGGGTGGAGGCTAATGTGGTTTTTAACATGAAGGTGAAAAAATAATAATCCTTTATGTTAAAGCAGAGTAGTCTATAAGCCTGTCAAAGAACACAGAAAATACACTGTCAGAAATTATGGATTGAGGATAAAATGTAATTTAAGAATGTTTCATTTTCTTAAACTAGATTCTGTTCAGACTTCTAAATTTTTCTTCTTTCCTGAAGCCTACAAAAGCAGCACAGTGAGCCCAGGGGGCTAATTATTTCTGACCATGAATGACTTTAAAATATTTCTAAGTTACTAAAACATTTTTGGAACTGAGCTCTCTTTTTAAAATTCTTCAATTAATTCCAAATTCTCAAAAAAACTACAAGAAAGTTTTAAACTCTTGATCCAAAACCGATGATACTAGTTAAATAACATGCAGCCACTTTAGTTCAAGAATCAATGATTTAAATATTTGATTGCTTAGCTTTTTAATGTTTCTGTACTTTATCACACCCAGTTGAATGCTGGTAAATCAGCTTTCAAAAAAAAAGTGGGGGAGGGTGATATGGAGCATTTGCCAGTTTCCATGGTGTAAATGGTTGATTTCAATCCACCATGGTTGATTTCAACCTATAAACATGATGTCACTGGACAAGAAGTTGGGAAAAGATACACACAGTTGGTTCTTATGAGCCAGTGTGAGTTGGCTCCAGCACAACATTAGTACACCTATTTCTTTATTTTCTCTTTATTCTTGGATTGTGTGAGGACTGTAACACTTAAGATTTGACAATGAATTTGATATATATATATATATATCAGATATATATGTCTTATGTTTAAGATTATGTATAAAGTCATATATATAGTCTTGTATATATATATATATAGTCTTAGACATAAGAATTATTTTAGTAGCTAATAGGCTCTAGTAGCTGTTCCCCTAATCCAAATATTATGTCAAGTTTATTTAAAGTAGTAATGGAAACCAAATTACAACAACAAAAATCACATCCAATGCACATTCTGAAAAGGGCACAAAGAGTGGGATTCTGAACAGACAAAAGCAGGACAAAGGAAAAATGCTGACCTCCTTTACTAGCGCCACAAAACTCCTGCTGAGACAAAAAGCTGCTCCTCATAGTCAAGTCGGATCTCTACCATATAACACTCCTGGTGCTAAGTTTTCTCATTTTTCTTTTTTCTTCTGTCCTTTGACATAACTAGAACCTGGCACATGGTAGTACTTACTGAAAAAGTGAATTGCAGACATTTTCTTGTTCTCACTTGGCCTTGCCTTAGTGTGTTTCTCTGCCATTCACTGTTCCAACATACTAACTCATGGCAGGAGGCTAAAGTTAAGGATATTTTATCAGATTCTGGTTGTTTATGGTCCTCACTCTCTTATCCCTTCCTGGAACTATGAAAATAAATTAATAGACTATTCTGTTTCTTCCTTGTCCTAAATTTAATGCAAGGATTCTGTGCAATTATATATAATAGAGTTTTCAAGTCTTTCAATTTTTACATACAACTGTAATAATTGTTCCTTGCTTGGAAAAATCAAAACTTTAAGTTCAGGATGATGGATAGCAACTTCATCAAACTAGAAATCTGTGGAAATTTCCAAATTTTTACCCAGACATTCTTGCTTATAATTACAACTAGCTGCATCTTATATCCTTCAAAACAGAAAGAATTAGGTTCAGAATATTAAGATATCCATATAGGTCAGAATATTTTTATTTCTTTGAAGACCTTTAAAGTCCGATATTACAAAACCAACTCTGTCAGTAACTAGATGTTTTCAGGACATAACATGTGATCTTGGACAAGCAATACCCTTGATATAGTTTGGATATTTGTCCCCACCCAAATCTCATGTTGAATTATAATTCCCAACGTTGGAGGCAGGGCCTGGTGAGAGGTGTTTGGATCATGGGTGTGGATCCCACGTGGCTTGGTGCTGGCTTCACAATAGTGAGTTCTCATGAAATCTGGTCATTTAAAAGTGTGTGGCATCTCCCCCTCACACTCTCTTGCTCCTGCTTTCCCATGTGAGTTGCCAGCTCCACCTTTGACTTCCGTCATGATTGTAAGTTTCCTGAGGCTTCATAAAAAGCCAAGCAGATGCCCAGTGCCTTGCTTTCTGTACAGCCTGCAGAACCATGAGCCTTTTCTTTATAAATTACCCAGTCTCGAGTATTTATTTATATCAATTCAAGAATAGCCTAATATACCCCTTAAACAGATGATAGTCCATCTTTAACAGCCTTGGTTTTCTTAAGTGTAAAATGAGTGGTTTGAACTGAGTCAGTATTTTCCACGCTTTGTGGTTGTGACCAATTAGAAGGACAGAGTTGGCTTTTTAAAAATAGAATAGAATAGGGAAAATGAAAAAAGGGAAAGAAAAAAGGAAGAAAAGTGAGAAGAAAGAGGAAGGAGTATATGGGTAGAATGAGATTAAAGAAAGAAGAGAGTAGGGTGAATAAAGATGAGAGAGACAAGATAATAAAAAAGAATGAAAAAGAGTGGAAAGATAGTGTAAAAAGGGGAAAAGAAAAATAAAAGGATCAGATAAGAGTATGAAAAAAGAGGAGGGAAGAGAAAATAAAAAAGGAAGATAAAAAGAAAATATCTCATACAGAGAACATTACATGTTGTAAGACAAGTCTCATTTAATGAAATTTCTGTTTCTGTTATACACACATGTGTATGTATGTGCTATATGCATGTATTGGGTAGTGATGTGAAATGAACTTCTTACTGTGGTTGGTCTGAAAAAAGTTGAAAGTCAGTGATCTAAGTTCTCAAGGTCCCTTTCACCCAAAACAGTTTAAGATCCTATAGATTTTTACTATGCCTTTTATAAATGAATTTATTTAAAGGGATAACAAAATTATATTTATAGAAAATAAACATGTGGAAAGGATTGCAACTACTGATAGAATGTATAATCCTAACTTTTTAGAAGGTTAGGTAGCATTCATCAAACAATGGTCTAAACCAGGCTTTCTCAGCCAATATCTCAGGAAAAACAAAATCTGGAGGGGAAGAAAACAAACTCTTCCCACACATACTTTCCAAATCAAGTTTGAGGATGAAAAGTATCTCTCCCTTAAAGTGAAAAACAAATCTTGCTAATAAATCTTGACTAAAGTCCTAAGTTATAGGTTAAAGCATTCTTCTGGGGCCTTGACGCTACATGATTTTGGCTTCTAAGCCTAACCCAAAAGGAATGGCAATCCAAGCAAGATAGCAACCTGCACTATCTTCCTCTGTGGTTCCTGTGAACTGCAGTTAATCATGTGGTATGTATTTTGTCTTCTATGAAAAGTTGGGGCATTGACAGGTATATTTGTAACTCAACCATGGAACCAGGGCTAGTTCTACTTAAGGCCCTTTATTTCTGAAAGAGACAGGTTGCGAGACAAAGAAGAGCTGAGCCTCTAGAAATTCTTTTTCAGGTGTTTTGTTTTGTTTTGTTTTTGAGGCAAGGTCTCGCTCTGTCACCCAGTTTGGAGAGCTGTGGCATGATTTTGGCTCACTGCAGCTTCAAACTCCCAGGCTCAAGTGATCCCACCTCAGCCTACCCAGTAGCACCACCATGCTTGGGTAATTTTAATTCCTTTTTGTAGAGATGAAGGTCTCACTATGTTGCCCAGGCTGGTCTCAAACTCCTGGGCTCAAGCAATCTTCCTGCCTTCACTTTCCACAGTGTTAGGATTACAGGGGTGAGCCACCATGCCCAGCCTAGAAATTCTTAAATAGACATTAACTATACCTTGCTTAAAAGTGCTGTATGATACCATGTTCAATTTAAAGCAAATAAAATGTATGTAAAGTAGTGTCTTGCTTGTCTACCATTTCACTTTCCTCCATCAGAATCAGTGGATCTTCAGTATTTAACTGTTCAGTTTATAATAATTATTTTTGTACTTGTTTTCAAGATGTTCTGCAACTGTTCTCGCATTTTAAAATACATGGACATTTTGTCTCTCTGGCTCCTTTGAAAGTTCATGGAGAGGGCCGGGCACAGTGGCTCACGCCTGTAATCCCAGCAATTTGGGAGGCCGAGGCGGGCGGATCACGAGGTCAGGGGTTGAGACCAGCCTGGCCAACATAGTAAAACCCCGTCTCTACTAAACTACAAAAGAAATTAGCCAGGGGTAGTGGTGTGCACCTGTAATCCCAGCTACTTGGGAGGCTAAGGCAGGAGAATCACTTGAACCTGGGAGGCGAAAGGTGGTGAGCCGAGATCGCACCACTGCACTCCAGCCTGAGCAACAGAGCGAGACTTGGTATCAAAAAAAAAAAAAAAGAAAGAAAGAAAGAAAAAAGAAAGTCCACAGAGAGACAACAGTATGTCTCATATTTCCTGTATTGATTGACTTCATATAGCTAATTTCAGTCTTCTTACACAGAGCAGATATGCTTTAAGGCTGTGAAATTAACTGGTTCTTTTTATCTATATTGCTAACTGCAGCTTTTCCTATTGTTGATTACTAAAATAACAAATAGTAAAGCAGTTCTTTAAAAATCTACTTTTAGAGGAATGATTTTCAGTATATTTTCTCAGGAGTTCCAGCAAGTGTTACTGTTCTACTTGGTATTTGCAAGCCACAAATACTAACTTGAAAGCCATAAATACTACCATCGCATTTAAGGGATATACCCTTGATGTTGATAGAGCTAAAATACTTAATCTATGATCAGTCAACAAAGCTCATTAAAATTTTACTAAATTAAAAATCATTTTACTTAGTATGATTATTGCTCAAATGTCTCTCTTACTAAACTGTGAGTTTCTTAAAGGCAGAGACATTATCTTTTTCACCTTGGTACCTTTAGCTAAGAACTAAGGGACTTAAATGTTTAAAGAATTGAACTAAATCTACAACTCTCAAGATTTCTTATTTTAACATAATATACATAAGAATTATAGAAGTTAAAATGCTTAAAAAGATACCAGTCAGTAAACTAAGGCTGTAAAAACTATATCCCTTACTATTCCTTTCTGAAGTTTCCCCAAGGAACTACATAGCATTACTGATTTTCAAAAACTATAGTAAAGTTCAGTAATGCTAAATGACGAATCCTAGGCCAGGTGCAGTGGCTCACACCTGTAATCCCAGCACTTTGGGAGGCCAAGGCGGGCAGATCACTTGAGGTCAGGAGTTCAAGACCAGCCTGGCCAACATGGTGAAACCCTGTCTCTACTAAAAGTACAAAAATTAGCCAGGCATGGTGGCATGTGCCTGTAATCTCAGCTACTCAGGAGGCTGAGACATGAGAATCGCTTGAACCTGGGAGGTGGAGGTTGCAGTGAGCCAAGATGGCGCCACTGCACTACAGCCTGGGCAACAGAGCAAGACTCTGTCTCAAAAAAAAAAAAAAATCCTAAAAGACTAAATACATAGCATTTAAGGAGGTAATATTTGTAAAGGACTTATAAAAGTCCCTAGTATATAATAAGTACTCAATATTAGCTATGTATTTGAGCCCTTCTTAGAAATACAAATTATTCACTAATTTAGAGATAGAAATGAAGGACAATGAAACTGTAGTATAAATGTATACAGTCCAATTTGCTCTTTCTAGGCATTTTAATTAAGATCAGAGTCAACCCAAAAAGGAATTTAAGTGATTTTTTTTTAATGAACCAACTATGGACTGTTTATTTCACCCACATTACCAACTTTAATCAAGTAGGAATTTAACAGCTGATTAATCAGCAAACATCTCCGAATTGGATAGACTTTACCTCAGTCAAAAGATCAAACCAAATCCTAAGTTTCCAACATTCTGTTTAATTCATAGCACTATTAACTAAATATTTTAGTACAATTTGTTTCATATGTGTGCTTCTGCAATATTTGCTTCAATAAGTGATGAACATATAATGGAAGAAAAAAATAACTTTGAATGTTTCCTTCTTTGTCCATTAAAATGATTTAAGATTTCAACTATTCAATTCAACAACATCTCCCATGTGCAAAGTATCAAACTAGGCATGTTGGGAATACAAAAATGAATACGACCTCAGACTTCAGGTAGGCTATGATCTTGTAGGAGGGACAAGACATGAATGAACAGCTAAAATACAATGCATGTAGTATGTGCTATTTAAAAGGCCCAAGGGACTGTGGAAGCTCAGAAGAGAAAGAGATAACCTTGACTGAGTCAGGGGAAAGCAGTGGTGGTGATCAGTGAAGGCTTCATGGAACCAGGCCATAATGAAATTCTAGGCTTTAAAAAGACAAAGATAAATGTGAGGAAAATGGGTATTCCAAGTAGAAAAAACATTATGACAACTGATTTGGAGATGTGAAAGTATGAGTCGTGTTCTGAAAATTATACACAGACAAGTTTATTAACTAGTACAAAGTAAAGCTAGAAATAGCTTTACTGAGAGTAGGAACCATGTTATGGAGGGCCATGAACATTAGGCTAAAAACACTGAACTTTGAAAACTACGCATACATTGACACTCTCAAATGTACATTTTCAGTCCTTATCTGTCCTCTGAATTCCAGTCATGTATGTCCTACTGCTTACTCAATATCTCCAAACGGATCTCTAATAAGTATTTCAACAAAATAGTTCAACACTAAACTTTTGATATTCTCCCTCCAACTTCCAGACCCTCACTCACTGCTGATATCTGTTCTTCTTACAGCTTTTCCAGTGAATGGCAGAATCTCAGTGAATGTCAACTCCATTTTTCTAGTTGCTTAGGTCAAAATCCTTGACTTTCCTCTCTCCTTTTCACTCTAAATCTCGTTGGCTTTGCTCTTACAATATATCTAGAATTGACTTCTCACTATTAACCTGGTCCAAGTTACCAACACTTTGCCTAAAATGCCTTCTCATGGTCTCCCTCCTTCTACCCTTCCACCCTTTCGTCTAATTGCAACACAGTAGCCAGAATGAGCCTGTCAAAACCCAAGTCAGGGCACGCCGTTCTTTCCAATGGTCTCCCATCCCATTTGAAGACTAAAGTCCTTACAACGATGTAAAAGATCATCTGTGTTCTCATTTCCTACTCTTTTCTCTTTCGTTCACTCACTAAAATTACCCCTACCCTGGCCAGCCATACTGTCCCTGATGCTCCTTAGCTAAAGCTAGCAAGCCCCCATCAGCTAGCATGCTCTGCTGTTTCCTCTGCCCTGGAAGGATCTTTCTCCTGATATGCGTATGACTTGCTTCTTCCATTCCTGTGGGTCTTTTCTTAAATACTACCTTCTCCCTTAAGTACGTACCCACACACCCTATTTAAAATTGCAGTACCTCTTTCCCATTCCCTTTCCTCCTTCCCTGCTTTTTCTCCATAGCAGTTCTTGTAGTGTGCAGTAATTTTACTTATCTATTTAATGCCTGCCTCCCCACAGTGGAATGTAAACTTAGCAGAGCAGGGATTTTTGTAGATTGCCATATCCTCAAAGACCAAAGGAGTATCAGAAACATAACAACTGCTTAATGAAAGTTTGTCAAATCAAAATCATAGTCAATAGGACACCATTGGAGATATCTCAACAGAAAAGAAACACAATGAGAAGTTGACTTTAGGAAGAATATTCTGGAATAGACATATAAATTGGAAAGGGACAAACTAAAGTGGGGGAGACAATTTCAGACTGTTTCAGCAGTTTTGGCATGACATAACATGAATCTAATGTGATAAGAGGTATTTTGAGGTAAATTAGACTAGAATTGGCAATTCTATGATGCATAAAGGAAAAATAGGTATCAAATATGATTTGGAGTGATGACGTCATTTATAAGAACAGGAAGTATAAAAATAGAGGCAGGTTTATAAAGAAATGATATTGTTCATTTTGGATAACATCTTAAATAATAAAGGGAAAGCAAGCTTAACCTAATTAATTCATGTCATAAATAAGGGTCCTAGAATTTTTTGTGACTCTCATTTCTGAAGTCCCTACTGTTTCTCATATTCAGATGCACTTCAATTCTGGAACAAATATAGCTTAGACATTAGTTTAAGTGGTTTGGAACATGTTATTTCTACTAAAATATACTTTCTTATGGAAACCACTATATTTCTGGGTAGAAAGCAAGGATGCTAAGGAAAAGCACCTGGGAGGAAATGGCTTTTACTTTTTTCTTCTCCAAGTCACATAGTCACCATTTCACATTCTAAGTAAAGATACCACCCCATATCCTTCAGAGTTAGGTCATCATGGCTGTACACAAGGCTCAGACACTTTCAGAAGTTATTTATACTCTAGTAGAAATAGGCATGCAGGTGGAAATTATGGTTTTTTTGCTACAACTGCTAATAGCATATGAAAAATCTGATTCATTCACAAAGACCACTTTGATAATGAGATGTAACCAAGTTATCGGTCAGCTGTCCATCATTACAAATCAAATCAACAATTTCTTCGCCTTTTCTATCATGCCACACACAGCTACCATGTACAGCAGAATGTTGTTCCCATGAAATGATACTGTTGCGTGTCTGACTTTGTGCCAAACTTCCATATTTGAGGATTTCCTAATTTTTCTATATTAAAAAGTCAAAATGTAAGCTTGTAATATTTGGGGAATTTTTAACAAATTTATTGTAAACACTCTAAAATTATGTCATTTATTTTATTTCAGATCCATTTTTATTCTTAAAACATAGAAGTTTAGAGTTGGAAGAGCCCTTCATTTATAGATAATGCTTCTTTGTAAATAATTCAAATAACTGGTACATCCTGCTTTAAAACCATACAAAATAGATGAATCAGAAGACAATTATTGTTTGCATTTAAGTAGTCCTATCATTATAATATAATATGATATAAAAGTTGCAGCACAAATACATTTAAATGTTTATAGATCATTACCTGCTAAAAGAAGTTACTAAGCTTGAAAGGAAAAGTACAGAAATTTAAATATCAGTAGTCAAAAATTAAGATAAATGGCTAATGAGGATTATAATACAAGTTGAAAGGGAAAATGATCAAGTTTACAAAGTCTTTTTTAAAAAATATGAGTGATGAAAGTAGAGACATACCTGTAACCTCTTACATATACCCCTTTAACAGATGGATTTTCTTCTAGAAATTGAAACAAACTAAGAGAATCATAGCCAAACACTCACAGAAAATGTTGAAATAAAGATTCCCTCCATATTTTAAGCAATTACTGTCTAAAGAAAGGATTCACAGTGTTGCCAAGGATGCTGCTTAGTAAATAGTTTAAATTCCTTCCACTTGAGACAGAAAAGATCCAAAGTATATTAGTCTTTCCCCTCCCCCTCTAGTGAATTAATATTCCATGATATACACCACCATGAGGTGCTGATGGGGGCACCTCTTTTCAATGAACAGAGATCAGCAAATGGCTATTTCACAAAAAATTAAAATACACCCTTGTAATTTTAATGTGTGTTTATGTAAAAAAAAAAAAAGTGGTAGATTCATGTTAATAAACCTTGCTTAGGGAAAAAATAAAATAGTTGCTAAGCCATCGTGAGTAATTAGCCTTTTAGCATCCCCTTTCTTCAAGAATGCTTCCTCCTGTGTTGGTTCTTTTAAATAGCTCCAGTCCTGGCTGTCTTTGTTGGGCTTCGAAATTGTTCACATATGAGAGAAATTAAGCCCTCATTTAACAGAGACACATGCCTGTCAAGACCAGAGGAACAAAGACTAGTCCCTGGGGCCTGTTCAGCTCCCAGAGGCTGCTACTCATTCTGTTAGCAATGTGTATAAAACCTTTACAGAATGTGTATAAAACCCAATAAATCATTTCATCTGCTGTGCTTAATACATGAGAGCTCTAACCACTTTTCAAAGTGTTTTCTCTTTCTTATACAACTTCACAGCTACTTAGTCTTAAAAAAAAAAAACCTTTCTATCATTCATTTTTTTCAGAATGCAATGACTTTTTTAGTCAAAAACATAATGAGAATGTCCCCAGTCGGCATAAAAGAAGAAGCTTATCTTTTTAGATTTCTTGCCAGATATCTTTCCCACATTTTATGGTTAATAATTAGAATACTCATTTTGTAAAGTGACGGTACATCTCCCAGCTGCTTTTAAACCTAGCTTTGGAAGCTAGCCCTGGCAAAACTGAAATGGTTAAGGACCCGAATGGGACGGACTTGCTGTCCTCTTCAAATTCAATACATTTTGTCCCTTTGGAACACAGGGGCACATGTTCTGTCAAGGTGGAGATTAAAACTACTGCGTAACAGCTCTTTTAACTAGGCAAGGGAAATGGTCTTCTTATAAGCCCAACTAAAATACCCTTTGTGCATTCTCATTTCCAAAGAAAATATGGTGCTCTTTTGAAAAAAGACCACATTATCATTTATGTACAAATCAATCCTATACTGTCCCCTGCTTCATTTCCCACCTATTTCTCCCCCTACGGAAAAACATGAAGGCTATGGGAAAAGATTAAAGACCAGACTTTAAAAGCCCTCCAGTTTAGACCTACCCTTATCCAAAGTAGAGTAAGGAAGGTCTGTGGAGAAATGAGTATTTGTCCATAATTATTAAAATAAATACTTCATTTAAAAGTAAAATGCTGTTTAACCTGATTGTGTTGCATGTAGAGCAAACTTACCAAGGAGTTACTCTAGCAAAGATAATCTTTCCACAGAAACACTGGGAGTTCCAGGGCTAACAGCTTCAATCCTCAAGATGCTGTGAACCCCCAAAATAATAAGAAGCTGGTAGCACAAGAAACTTCACCCTACTCAGCAGGGGGAGAAAAAGCAGATCTGGATTTGATAAGTAAAACCAGATCTACCCAATGGTTATATGGTAAAGCCCTGCAATTAATGGGGAACATAAACAGTCCAAGAAGCCAGTATTGTAGTAGTTTCTCCACAATTGGTTTCATTCATATCTAGTTAGATATTAATCAGATGCATAACTGGCACAAATGCTCTGTACAAACACAGAACGGTACACGTGTCTGGTTATTAAAAAATGAAATAGAGTACATCAGACTCTTTTACATTCATATTTTTGTATCCCAAATGATTTATCATTTTTAAATAATATCTTTTTTTAAATTTTAAACCACAAATCACATCCTGCAGGCCTTAGCAAAGGCAGATGTCAGGATGTGGTAGTACAACAAAATAAATTAAATAACCCTTGAAAAAATAAAACAAAGTTTATTTATAAAAAATGACATTAAGGTGAACTGCCTAATAAGAACATGGATTTGCTTAAATAAAACATTATATGGTTCTGTTTTGGATTCATCCCTAAAGCCCTGAAAGATATTAGAATTTTAGTGAGTAATTACCCTATTTACTACAAACAAAATGGGAGGAAATCAGAAAACCGTATTAAGCTCTACCACACATCAGAAATGAAATTCTCTCATTTTTAAATCCTGCGACCCAATAAATTGTAGTTGGAAAATGTACTGGGACTAGAAATTGAAACTTAACAAGTTAGAAATGAAGAAATGGCCAAAAGAATATCCATATCAACATTATCCTTCAAGCAGGAGACCCAGTTCTAGAAAGCATAACTGAGAAGTCTCCCTTCACAGCTTAAGTGTTTTGAGACTGCCTGAACCCACCCCCGACACTCAACACCACCCCCACAGTTAGACAAAGTTCTAGCCACTTAACACATCTCTTTTCAAATGAAAATGCAACACTTGGGGTGAAAACAAGAGAGACTAGGAAAAGGTGTTATGTGCTATATATGCCACTGACATAATACTTCAAAAGGATATGCAGTAATTTCCTGCAATTAATACCTTAGCAAAGCTATAAGGATTTGTTTCCAAAAATTATGATATTTCACTTGCAACACTAAAATTAAGTTTGTGTCACTCTTTCCATTATATAGCCGTAATGTCAGGAGTTTGTCACTGGCTGCAGAAATGTGTTTGCTGTTCCCTGAAAGCAGGCCTTTACAGGCCCTCTTCTTAAATGTATTTTTCTAAAAATCACCTACAGCCATTATTTCATGGGGCAAGCATTACAAGCCATCACAATACTTCACAAAGGAAACCTGAATTTGATCTCATCATTCCAGACCCTTCAATGGTTTGAAATGGAAACATCCTCCTAAGAGGACACGTCTTATGCTATGGCCAAACTTGACGTTTGCCTTTGAGCTTCCTAAGCACGACTATCTACTGCTCTCCTTTTTTAAAGTAACAGAGTCAATTCCTGTCATCTAGAATCAGAGGCCAGAGTTGCAAGGAACTTCAGTGATAATCCTGAACAATAATCCTTCTTCAAATATATGGAAAATGAAAAGGCAGAAAAGTCATTTGCTGCAGGACAGGTAGTTGCTAGCAGAACAAAGACTAGGCAGGCATAGACATCCTGAGTTCAAGTCTAGGCTACTTTCTGTCAACTAATCTAATCATCTTTCTGTCATTGTTCTAATACTATTTCGTCTCCAAGTTGGGGCTGCAGACTTTACATAAGAGTGAGAAGAACAACTTCTGCTGAGAGTAGATCAGTTATCATCTCCATGCCTTTTTTTTCCTGGGCTTGAAATTGTGGCCTCCCAGAGCCAAAGAGGACGTATAAGTCTATGGAATTTACTGTGTTCCAGGAAAAGCTGGTTGGGAGGATAAGAGTTAGAAACATGTATAGATATCAGTAAAACAGACTGAAAGCATTGGCAAGATCTATGCCTACATAGAAAAGTGAAGTTAGGCTCTTGAAGTTGGCATCCACACAACTGCTTTTCTGTTAAAGTTTTCTGATTTAGTTCCAATGTGGATTGTTAGGTCCACTGGTCTTTGAGAGGGCCCTCTCATGGACTCCATCTTAGAACTGGAGTATATCCTTGGAACTTCTAAGCTCCTGGGGGGTTTCTTTTGGGAGGGAGGTTTCAGACCATTGTTGATTCCATAGAAGAAGTAACCTAAGCTCTATGTTTAGGACCTTGGCCTCCATATCAATGCAGTATCTTTCCTTCTCAGTAAGACTGACAGTAGAGACCCAAATTTGTAATACACTCTATATATCAAGTGGTTAAGTATATGATGTTTAGGGCAAATGTCTTTGAGTATTAAAATTATTTGTATTAATTTTCTTGCTTTGGGTTTTTAGTTTTTTTGTTTTTTTTTTTTAAACTACTAGAAAAGTGTTTGTTTTTTTTAAAGAAACTACTAGACAAGAAAAACTACTAGTAAATTTTTTATTTAGAAACCACTGGAAAAGAAAAATTACTAGAAAAGAAGTTTTAAAACTAAAAAACTAGAGCAAGAAAAGTAGTCAAAATAACTTTACTACTCAAAGACATTTTTTCTGTAGTTTTTTCTTAAATTTCTAACATATATGGCTTTTGTATATTAAAAAAGTTGAAATTTTTATATTATTTATTTATTTTATTTCATTATTGATTTAGAGACAGAGTCTTTCTCCATAGCCCAGGATGGAGTGCAGTGATCATAGCTCAATGCAGCCTAAAACTCCTGTGCTCAAGAGATCCCCCTACCTCAGCCTCCCAAGTAGCTAGGACTACAGATGCATGCCATCACACCCAGTTAATTTTTAACCTTTCCTTTGTTTCTTTTTTTTTTTTTTTTGTCCATGAGTGGAGAGTCAAATTCTCACCTCTCAGACAAAAATGGGCTTTGCTATTAGATCCATAGTGCTTGTGAAGTTAGAAGGATGGTAAATGAACCTTTCCAATTTATTTTATAGCATTTTAAACACAGTTGAAGTTATGAAGCCACTGCAGAAAACTCAACTGCAGACATTTTAAGAGAAAAATTTTCCACTGAAACATACATGTATCAAAAGTTAGAGTCCAGACTACAACCTGACTGAGGATGTACTCAACCCTTAATTCTGACTATGAATTCCTTAACTTTCATTGTTTGATATTACAACTTTAACATTTTCTTAATGGATTGAGCAGTGGATAAAAGTAATTCAGCTTCTTACAGGAGATACTATACTTTTTGCATCATTTATTTGCTGTTATTTTGTACAAGTAAAAATCCATGACTCTAACATTAATAACTTTGAGTGGGAAGTTACTATATGTGAATTAAAAATGGTTATGTCAGTACATCCCCTCAGCATTTAAAAGATATTTCCCTGTGCTATATCAAGTGTCACATAGTATATCAATTTTTATTTCCCATCTCTCAAGTCTGGTATGCATACTGTTTAACTTCTTAAATTCTAAGTATAGACATAATTCACAAAAGCTAGGCAAATGCTTGACTTACAGGAGATGGCATACATAAGATTTATATGAACAACTTTATTTTCAGCAAGAAGGACTTTTGCATTTTGTGCAGCTAAAACACATAATTTCAACTGTCTTTAAAAAGCTATAAAATAAATTGGAAAGGTTCATTTACCATCCTTCTAACTTCACAAGCACTATGAATCTAATAGCAAAGCCCATTTTAGTCTGAGAGGTGAGAATTTGACTCTGTTTTTTGAAAATAAAATGTTATGCTCTCTTTTATACAATCTCCAAGCTGCTCTAATACTTGGTCAACCATTTCTGAGTGCCTGACAAACCTTACTCTCACTCACTGACAGTTGAAAAGCTCTCGTTTGGCAGCCAGGGAAAATTGTTGCACTTTATTTTCCTCTGTACTATCATGGTGATAATAATTGATTATAGTACCTACACATTGATTATTCTATATTCACATCACTAATTTGTGGGTTCTAAATATGCATGTGTGTATAGATACAAATGTGTGTATATGTGCACATGTAGAATATGTACATGAAGGTTTCTCTATTAGAAACTCTGAAATTATTCCTATACCTAGTCATACAAGAACAAAAACAACAATGATAGTGGTATGTATTATGCTTAAGCAATTACTAGGGGTTTTATATAATTATCTCAAAGCTACTGTAAGGTATTGTAATTATCTTTAGGAATTAGGAAATACAGGCTGAGAGACATTAAGTAACTTGTCTTACAGCTACTAAGTAACAAAACAGACTACAGCGCTAACAGGTAGTGGAATTGTTATTTAAACCCTAATTTATTTATCTCCAATACCTGCACTGGTTCTATAAAATTTTTAAATTACATACATTCCGAAATAACACATCTTATTCTCTACATCTTTTGTTTATATGTACAAATTTACTTAAAAGTAGATTCAGAGTCATACATTCCTTACATATGTCAGGATGCAAGATTTTTTCTATGTCTTAAAGTTTTAAAAAACACTTTTAAAAAATGGGTTGATGTTTGTGTTAAAATTTATTCTGTTTAGAAAGTTAAAAGCCAAATGGCATCTGAGATTTTATTTTCTAACTTTTTTGTCTTATTTTTGTCTTATTTTGTGCTTCATTTTTTTCATACACCTTCTCCAAAAGACACAGACCTTCTGATGTCTATACAATTTTAGCTTGCCAATATCCTCATAGACAAATAAAAATCAAGTTATTAGAAAAACTAACTAAATTTATTTAAATTGTTTAAACCATGGTCCATTAAAAGCTTTCTAGCTAGTAAGTAAAACAGCTATGACCAAAATGAAAAGTATATTTTAACTCATCATGAACTATTTAAGGTATACTCCAACCCTCAGGATGGATGGATGGACGGACAGACGGACGGACGGATGGATGGATGGATGGATGGATGGATGGATGGATGGATGAGACAGAGAGAGAGAGAGAGAGAGATTCAACCTAAATCTAAACAACTTAGCATTAACCTTTAATCATTTAATCTTCATTACCCTGTATAGAGCAGTATTTTTCCATTCTGATTACCCACTAGAATCATCTATAAACTTTTCAATACTCTCCATGCTCAGACTGTATCCAAGACCAATTAAATAAAAATCTTTGGGATAGGCATCAGTATTTTTAACAAGATTCCAAGTGATTACAAGGGACAACCAAGGTTGAGAACCACTAGCATGGAATGCTGTCACTCACTGCTCACATTCATCAGATGAAGAAGGTAGTTATAAAAAAAAGTTATTAATATTAAAGGTGTCTGACCCTCAGTATAGTGACACATCACGTTAAAGCCCTCAGGAAGTAGTATAATTAACTGTCTAAAAGGTTCATATGTAAACACCAAAAGAGTCACCCAGCCATATACACACCTCCCATTGCACTACAAAAAGATTCCAATTATATTCTTTTTATCTCTTGCCTTGTAGGTATATACCCACAGCTATAGTAGTTCTAAGGGTAGAGAGAGTCTAGTGGCAAATTTTCTATTTTTTCTATTTAAGGATAAAGAGAATGTAATGACATTTTAGATGTTAGGTATTATTAGACACATTTTGTAAACTAGGAAACTGAAGTGCAGTAAGATTTATTCAAGTCACAAAAAGGGCAAATGGAGAAAGGATCTGAAATACTGGAAACAGTGCTCCATCAGGCATCAAGAAACCTGGGTTCCCCTTGTGGCTCTGATAATACTTGCTTTTTAAGCTCAGACAAGCCTCTGGTCTATACCTCAGTTTCCTCGTGTAATCTAAAGGCTTTGGACTAGATTAAGCATGCCCAAAGGTTTTATATATCATAGATCAGCAAAATTTCAAAGACAAGCAAAAGTGGAGACTTACATATAGTTGGGAACTTTTTATTTTACCAAATAAAACTATTGAAAAACAAAGAAAGCACATACCACCTATTATCACCAATACTTCATAGAAAGGACATTTTAATTCCCCAAAAGGTGGAAAAACATAATCTCAGGGTTATTTTAAAGTATGGCTTATGATAAACTTACTATATTGTCTTCAACATGGATAGCTACCTATTCTCCCTCTATCCAGTGAATGAGAATCATGATGACGTTTTCGAGTTTAACATTCTGTGAAAGTGCTGGCAGGGTAGAGGGGGAATGTTTAATACAACTCTTACTGTAGTACTCTTTCAAGGGTTCCCCAAAATTCCATTAGAGAACTATCTTCATAATTTTGTCATATCCAAGTACCTAATTACTATTTGCTTAAGATTTTAATTTGACTTTTTCTTTTGGTGTATATACACTTCAAAAGGAAACTTCATATTATACTTCAAATAGAAAATTAAAATCACCTGCCGTAAATAGAAGCTAACCAGATAACCATGTAAAGGAAAACATTAAATTTATTTAAATTCCAGCTGACTGCCATATTGCATCCAAAGGCTCTGAGAATAAGATGATCTCTCTCTCTCTCTCTCTCTCTCTCTCATTCTCTCTCTCTCTCTCTGATTTTAGTACATACTAGAAGAGTATTAAAGACTAACATTAAACTGAGCCCTCAATATAATGAGAAGGATCAAGGAAAAAAAAAATAGAAGAGAGACATTTTCCTATTCAGTATTATGTAATGTCACATGCTGGCCTCACCTGGAACATCTGGCCCACTCTGCTGCACCTCACTCTGCCTCTGAAGAGGTAAGGCACTCTTCCACTTTAATTCCGGAAAGAAGCAGAGACTGGTTTCCCTGAATTTTTAGTACCACTGGTTTGGGAGAGAGCTGGGGAGTACAGTGCAGTCTAAGAGATAAGCACAGATAGAGAAGGGCGGGTTGTGTAGAGACTGAAGTAACTGAAGGATAGCGCAGAAAAAGCTTTGAGATTCACCTTCAGGTTTTGGTATGCTGAATGAGATCTTTGCCATAAGGCCACACTCGGAAAAACAGGTAACTAGCTGATTCCATTGAGTAGCTCTTGGGATCTGGTCAGTTCTCTTATTTTTAGGCGCATTCCAACTATAACAAACAGTCTAGCATGACTAATGTGGAAAAACTAAAGTGTAGTTTTAGTTCACAACAAGAATTTGTAATTTTTGCTGTTATAGCCCTTGCTAGTCATAATTATAGCAGCTTTACCTATTCTTTATAACCCAGAAACTTTATTATTAAAATGTTTGAAGCAGACTATAGAGCATCTATCATGACTTTTAAAGTTAATTAGATTACATAAAAGAAATAATTAGATTTGCATTTTTATCTTGGTTTTAAACATCCAAAGATCACAACAGCCTGCCTGTGGGCAATTAAAAACAGCATACAGCAGAGACATAGAGAGAGGAAAGAGGGTCTGTTTTTCCTGGCTAATTCATGATTGAAGATAGAATTACAAAATATTTTAAGGGCTTGCGGAAGCTAGGGGCTAATCCTAGACTTCTAAGCTTTGTTTATACCCCTCATTTCTTTGCAAGGGAGTATCATATGTATGTACAGTGCCAATAGAAGTATCAAATTACTTTCAATAGGTTTATTTAGTCCTTTTCAGAGAAAGTTGGAAGGAGATCCATTACCTGATCAATAACATACAAAAAACGACTATTTGCCAGAGCCAAAACAGGAGCACTGTAATTGCATTTTGTTCATCAATGATAAATACAAATAACAAAGAAATACAACCTAAGACAGAGGGACTATGTGGGATTGAAGTCAGCTTCTGACTGTCCTCGGTTTTTCTGTTGGGTGCTCCAGCCATTTCCAAAAGACAATAAATGGAAGGTGCAGCTCTTAAAATTAGAGGTCAATTAGATACTTAATGATGAAACATATCTCCAATATATATCTATTATTATTATGCTAGCAAAAAATTAATTAACTAGGTCAAGCAGGTCATGAAGGCTAATGTACAAAGCAATTATTTCTGATCTTTAGACAACTACTTCACATAAAAAGGTAGTCCTTTATTCTGCTCAGCAGATACCTGAAATGCCTGTAGTTAATCATATTGAAGGAAACAAAAGGTAAGGTCTATCTCCTTAAAAGGTGAGAGGACATCTCAAGTTATTATGTTTAATTGTTTAAGGACAATCACTTCCTTGCTGATAATATTAGCATCTTTCTGGTTACCAAAAAGGAAGAAAGGATAACACACATTTAATGATGCTCTACCACGTGGGAAACATACAGACTCACAAAATATATAAATAGCACACAGGAATATATTATAATCAAAATTAAAAACACTGTATATGAAAGATAATCATATATGCTTAAGAACAGAGTACAACTTCAGTGAAGTAATGAACACTGGTTTGGGTAAAAGAAAATAAGCAATATGTATTTCAACATTTAAAAGAAAAAGTTTTCAGATAAGACAAAGAATATTTGCAAAGACGCAGCAATGGCATTTAGTTCAGGCCTTCTACAAATAAAGTTTGCCATCTAATGCATATGTTAAATGATGAGGGGAGGGCAATGAATATTGCACATTAATCATAAAGAAAACAAGGCACTAAAAATTTCAAGTCTCACGATTTTACCCAAAAAAGACACATGTGTATGAATTGACTAAATCATTGGCCCTTGCCCAGAAAGCCAAATGCCTAAATAAAACCCCATCCAGCCAGTCCATTCTTAAGAGATCGTTGTTTAGTTAGTTATGTGAGGAGAGGACACTGCCTATATAGCTCACAATATAAGCCACTTGAATAACTCTAAAATTGGAGTCTGAAGAGACACAAATAATTGGATAATACTATTCATCCCTGGAAAAGGAAGTTTCTCACAGAGATATTTTAATGAGCTGAATTCTTTTGCAAAGACTCAGTTCTAGTTGCAAAATTCCATCGTTAAATGTGTTCCTATTGATGTGCTATAGAAACCAAAGAATGTGGTATATTGGATCCATAAAAAAAATCTCCAGATTCAAAACCATGGCCTGGTCAAATGAGGTTAGATGAATAAATATGTGAAAAAAATCAAGAAATGAGGATTTATAAAATATTTTCTGTTTTGCCTAGAATTGTCTTATATTTAATCATTGATTAAAATACTGTAAACATGCTTTGATCTGTTTACAACTGTCAAATTAATTAAAAGTGAATTCTGTTTACCAGTTAGCATAACTCAGAAGTAAAATGCTTCGAAATATTAGCTAAGATACTACAGTTCAATGAGTGGGAGGGGGAGGATGAAATTACTGAAGCAGTTATCTTTCCTTTGAAATTACAGCCTATGAATCAATATTCCCAACTCCAAAGATCCATATTCCATGACCTATTAGTTTTGCTTTCCATAGACTTGGTAAAAAATATGCTATTTCTGTCCTGGAAATATCAAAAATATCTATTTTTTTCCTGGGCTCCATATCAGGAGAATTACTTCACATGTAAAAAATTAGAGAAATCATCATTTTCCCCAAAGCACAGAGGGATCTGAATTTACAAAGCAAACATTCTCCGAAAAGACCTAATATTAAAGTGATATTTTAATAATCATTTATAATTATTATCCTGATTTATTAAAAGGTAAAAATGGACTCATCAAAACTATAAAAACAGTTCACAAAATCATACATCTTACTTTTCCAACACGGTTTACTTGGCTTTAGAAGAATCTATTTAAAAGTTTAGTTAGAATTTACGAAGGCAAAATAATGTTAAAAAATATATTCAAGGAAGACATATAAATAAAATTGTTCTTAACTGCACATATAAGTTCTGAATAATTGCAAATAAAATAAACATGGGAACTTTTACAATACTATCTTAATCATGCCTTTTCCTATTTCTAATGAAAAATCCTGTTTTTCAATTTGTGGAAGCCATTCATTCATTTTCATTTGTTTCCATTATAATAGACCCAGATGTGTCTGTGTGGGGTTGTTACAAGAGGTTAGGCACTCTTCCCTTTGTTTCTATTAAAGCTTGCAAATTGGGGGGAAAAAAACAGTACTATTTCAGAAGACAGCATTCTAAACTAGAGGAACGATTTTGAATGCAACCACCTCATACTCATGACCCATAGCCAGTTGCCATGATTTAATCTTGCTGACCATGTAAGCTAATAGGTTCTAGGACTCAAGATATAAAAAGAAAAAAAAAGTGTCAAACTTGCTCAAATTGTCTCTGTATTCATCATTTGCTTTTGAAAGAGAAGTTAAGTTTCATTTTTAATATATTTAATAATCTTTAATTCACCTTTAATAATTTTGTTTTATCCTTTGTTCTGTTTTGGGTTCAAATGAGAAAGTGTTTCTTTTTTTGATAGAAAAAAAATGTTTGAAGCATCCCTCAAGTCTCATATTTTGCTCAGAAAGCATTTAAAATTAATCCAACAATAATCTCTCTCTTAAATTTGATTAAATTTCAAAAGCCATATTTGAAAATATAGTTACCCTTTCCCCTTCCAAAAAAAAAAAAAAAGAAAGTCTGAATGTCAAATACCTGTTTTGTAAGTCTCAGAGATGAATACATTTTGTGATTTTGTGTAAGGAGTACGTGTTTTTCAGCATTTGAAAAATTTTTTGAATGGTCTCACATGTAGAAGGTAAATACTGACAAGATATGCCATAAAGCAGTAGCTCAGGACAGAATGAACTATAAATACAGGTCTTATTGCTTTCTCTTATTTTTTAAAAAATTTGAGTTCTTATTACAAAGAATCTTATATTTCTAAAGTGAATGTAACTCTGACATTGACTATCTTTATTTTATAATTTATACTGCTAAGTTCAAGTGCTGATTAGCTTAAATTAAAAAATTAAACAACAAGAAATATCCACACATTTTAAAAGCAATCAAACTTCTATTAGAAAACTTGAAAAACATTACTCCTATCTTTTCAAATTGATGTTTCCAAATGTTCATTCCAATGAATATTTTAAGATCATGTTCTGTAGTTTTCTGAAAAAGATGTAGTCAATTTATACTACACAATCATATATAAGTAATACACACTAAAAATATTTCATTAAAATATTCTGAACTGATTTGGTTGCTGTTCACCTGGAGTTCTCAGTGCCACAGGAAAACATCAGTGAAGACAACCAGTCAGTATAAACAGCACTGGACTAAGAAGTAAAATATATTAGAAAAGAATAAACAAGTAAGTTATAAAGCAGTAGTAAAAACAATAATTAACTGATATAAGAACACCTCAGGGAACTTCCTCCATTCCTGCTTTACAAATAGGAGAAACAGAGAGAACTAAACGATCATGTTATTTAACACCTACTGAGTTCCTACAGAGGGATCTACAGAAAAATGTAGGAAGCCACAGGCTAAAAATCTTGACCTGAGCAGTAGGAGCTACACTGAAAATTCTAATAAGGGCAGAACAAGGGAACACCTGGACAGTTATTTAATTAAGGGTCTCAGCATGAGTCATAAAAGAGATATCAGGATGAGAAATTATTCCAAGATTTAATTGTAAAGGCTGACTGTCAAAAATGCCAGACATTACAACTCATCTATATTTGGACTTTTTATTTTGCAACATGTGTACTTGAATATGGAATACTGAATACGACAAAAACCAACAAAAAAGTTGGCTAAGATCTCCTACTGAAAATAGCTGGACAAAATGCCAATTAGGTAAAGGGACTGCTTCAGATACCAAATTAGTACTTTAAGTGCAGTAACTACCTGGAACACTGAGTATGATTAACAAAATGAAGCAAGGATCGAAGGTAAAATCCTTGTTATTCATCAATGAGATAGAATATTGCAGTAAACTATGACCTCATGCTACTGATTTTTTTTTTAAAATACAGAAGGGCATGATATTAACCTCAAGAAAAGTAATAACATAATTCAGAATACACTGGCCCAGCTAGTTTGAATCAAGATCCCAGCAGGTTCTCCAATAATCAAGGGAAACAAGAGTCTACCGTAGGATAGGCATAACTCTGTGATCAGTGTTTCTAAGGATTAGTCACTAGACAGCCAGTTCCTTATTCTAGGGCTTTCTAGAAGTCACACACCTATATTTCTATTTGGAAAGGGAAACCATTTTCCTTGCCTATCTCAAATAGCTGTTCATTGAGTTAACCATCAAGTATCTAAAAGAATGTCGGAAATCAGACCATCACCTTTCCTCCCCAGATCATTGTAATTATGATCTATATATTTTTACATTGCCATAAGAAAAAGGGATTTTCTACACCATGTCATAATTATTCAGGAACAAGTTTTTCTTCCTTTTTAGACTGTAAGCTCCTTGAAGACAAACTATCACTCATTAATCTCTCTATTCCCTTTAGCATCTAGAAGGAATACAATTAATATTTGTTAAGGAACAAATTATTAACAGCCTTTTTCCAGATTTTTCTCATAATTGGTCCAATTAGTCCTAACAAGTAAATTAAAAGTAAGTTCTCTCTACAGTACTATTACATGGTAAAATACAAAACAGAAAGTGGTCAGTGGCAATAAAAAATACCATCTGTATGCTACCTGGGAGACCATTAGGTTCCCAGTAAGTAGTGTTAGGCAAAAGGCAAAAAGAAAAAAGATAAGGGTTATTTTGCTTACATATCACATCAGAGAATAATGCTTAGGCCACCATCTAGTCCATATTTCTTACATTCAATTATAGAATTGTGCACAACATCCTTGAAAACAGCCTTATTGGTGCTGTTTATAAGACAGGGGTACATCTGCAGAGTTTTAAATTCCATTTTCAAGGAGGAAAGTATCTAAGTATAATCAGACGAGAGTAATAAAATACACTGACCTGGATCTGTTGCTGCAGGAGATTAATTTTGTGCTGCTGTTGCAGAAGTTGCTGCTGTTGTCTCGCAATCTATCAGAAATAAAGTTTCATTAAGTTAAAATGAAATGCTTACACCTCTGCCATTACCTCAGGTATTTCTCCTGGTATTACAACAATCTTTTACCGCACCTCTATGTGAAAGAGTTCCTATAAAATGAGAGAGGCCAAATCAGAAAGATGGATGAAAGGAAAAATTTTTAAACAAGTGCCACCTCTCTGCTTTATCTGTAGGAAAACTACCCCTTCTATTATATTTGTGAGCTATTCACCTATATCTGCACTGGTCAGCTGGAAATCATGGGATTTTAGAAATCGAATCCTTGTAGAATAGAGATAGAAAAATCTCTGGCTACATTTTTCTAAATGGCTTAATTTGGATGTAAAAAGTAAAATCTGTAAGCAAAGACAGGAAAAATCTTCGTATTATTGCTTAATATGGTCTATGTTGGCAAAACCTTTCCTGATACAAAGATTTTCAGAACTGATACATTTACAAATATTGTTAAAGGAGTGCCAAAGGACACAGCAAAAAGTAAAAAATCTTTAGCTTTTTTTGTTGATGCTGTATGTGATGTACAAAATATTTTTAAAAACAAATTAAGCTGTAATTTAACATTTATCCATTTATCCTTTTGAGAACAATGTGTTTATTTCATAGTACAGGATCTATATACAAATTTTATATTTCCTTGTTTCATCCAACAATCAAATTCAACATCTAAACACATTATCTGGTCTATAAAAAGAAATGTTAACCATTTAATGCAAGCCCTACTGATGACTGTCTCTGGCCCTCAGGAGGTCAAATAGCTTCCTTAGGATAATAGTGTTTACTATGAAGTATGAGTCAGGCATCAGGCCACTATTGACTCAAAAGCTGAGCTGCTACAGCTCGAAGTCCAGAGAGATGATCCTTAGTGAGAACACACTCACTGCCAACCTAGGAAGCCAGAGAGAAAAGCAGCCAGAGAGCACTCAGGACTTTGTTTAGTAGTGCCTTTTTGTCAAGAGTGTCTTTTCTTCCTATTTCTTCCTACTTCCAAAGCCAGTATTCTAGAATGGGTTATGTTGGAAGTGAAAATGAGTGTAAATCAGTTCCAAGCTATATACTTCCCAAGCCTTTTTAATGTTTTAGCCTATGCAGGGGGTAGTGCCCAAATTATATTTCATTCAGCACAAGATGACAAAATAGCAGTCTGCTTCTAAATGTTGCTTTCTGATTTTGGATGACAACTGGTTCCTACTGGAAGCCATGATAAAGCTGCCCCTAATGTAGACTACAGTGTGAGAAATGAGACTCCTCCTTGTCAGAGCTTTATACTTAAAGTGGAAATAGTATTTAATCAGGTTGGGATGGCCCACTCTGCTTGTGGATATTCAAATCAGAAATGTACAACTCATTCTGCAGCTCTAGGTATAGATGCTGGATCCTCTGAATATTTATTTCTTCTTAGCAAACCAGTGAAATGCCACTAGGCATCTAATATTGATGGTCCCTCCTAAATGATAAAGTGCTGCATAGAAATGCATCCAAAACACCACAGTGCAATTACTATCATCCACTCTAGACGTATGGGTTTGACACAGTGAAGTATGGTACATAAGCGCCATGTGGCTCAAATTCTGAATTTTATTTGCCAATAGGTTGAGCTACATGCTCGCTTCATTGAGCATGACAACCTAGTTTTAAGTGTCATTTAATTTTCATTTTGAAATATAATTACAAAGTGTTCACTGTAAGATATCACTCGTCTGCAAATGTGTCAAGATTAATTTGTGCTAGCTTATTCACAAGTGTCAATAGTTAATTACTGTGTCATCTCTGGATGGCTAAATGACATTCTAACTTCTGATTTTTTACAGTGTTCCTTTATGTTATTTTCCATTAGGGGCTGAGTCCATATTCCTACATGTGGGCAAATATTCAAGCATATAAAATACCAGACATCACAACTCATTAAAATCAACAGAGCATATATTGCTCTATATACTCCTATAAAATACATTTAACTGAAAAGATAATTCCAGTAATAATGTCAGATTCCTAAAAACTGCACATTAATTTAGATCTGTCTGATCTAAAGCATCAGGGACTACTCTATAGGATCATTGTTAGATTAATGTACTCTTATGAGACAAGAAAAAACATTTGGGAAAGTGATTTATTTTTAAAAGACATACATTTAAACTTTGCTATTTTTTCTTCATTCTCAATTCTAAGTCAATCAGGTCAAATACTTTTAGGAACGATGTACTAATTTGTATTCAATGACTTACCTATGCTATAAATAGTGACCATGTGATGTATCATCCAAACCAAGAAAACTTTCACAAGTAAAAGGAGGCAGGGTATTATTACTCTAGAAAACAGGCATTATACCAGGGCTATCTGGGGAAAACTGAAATGTATGGTCACCTCTTTGGACTTTAAACCTGAAGAAAATCATTGCACCAATGAGCTAAAAGATTCCCAAAGTTTTTCTGGAACAGAACCCCCTTTTTCTGGGAGGAAAATAAGGCCCAGAGAAAAGTCACTTACTCATAGTGAAGCTACAGAGGGATTATATGTGATGTCTATATGAATAAGCATCCCCAAATCATTAATCAAATCCAAACCTGAAACAATGTATCATTTTAGTTATGCCCAGTTGCTATGATGCCTTTTTTGTACACATATTCCCTCAAAATTCTTGAAGACCCTAGATTTCCAGAAGGCTTTGTTTTTTTTTTCCATCTTTTCTTATTTTTATTTTTATTTTTTAGGAAAGCTTACAACAAATAAGCCAATCAATTTGATTACTCTCTGAGCCTGGCACATTCCACATCTCCAGTTCGTCAGTGCCTTTTGCAGGGCTCACCTGTTCTTGCTGTTGGCGAGCAAGGTCCATTTGCTGCCGTTGTTTCTCAATTTGTGACGCTGCCAGTTTTTTCTGTTCATCATGCGCTGCCAGTAGCTGCTCCCGTAAACTGATCAGCTGGGTAATCATGGTGGAGAGCTGCCGTTCTTTTTCTGCCAGGCTCTCAGGTGTACCTAAAATGGAAGCAAGAAGAGATCTCACAAGCTTGAGAAATACCTGGACGAATAAGGGAAAGGAGGGCAGAATTTAGAAAGGGACTATCCTAAGACATTTAAAGATCTGGGACAATGACTGGAGGCCATTGAGGGTACAGGAACACCAGAGAGTAATTACAGCAGTGGAATGAAAGCTAGGGTTCCTCACTGTTCCTGCCAAGAGAAAGTATTGTCACTGGTAAAATTCTCACTCACTCTCCCCTCTTGCTCTAAAAAAAGCAGACTTACCCCATTTTCTCCTTTTTGCCCCCAATCTATCTGATTAAGCTAGGAAATCCATGATATTTAATATGAAAGATCAGAAACTATAGATTATATTAATATTCTATAATCACCTCTAAGCTCAGTGACTAACAGTATCTAAGACATAGTAGGTGCTTAATAAAAGTTACTTGAGGAAGTTTCTGATCCTTACCCTCACAAAATTTTCTATTGTACAAAGATATGTCACTGAAGTTTAGAAGTTAGCAGTCAATCTCTTGGCCATAGAGAGAATACTACAGAGAGAATTAAAACTGCCTCAGGTGAGAAAAGATTGAATGTGATTTTTTTTTTTCCTGAGAAAGGATCAAGTAAAATTCCCAAGTTCATCTGTAAAGGCAACAGTGTTGCTTGGGGGGCTCTATCACCCCTTTGTCATTTGTCATTTTTCAAAGAGAAAAAAACACATTCAAGGTTGAAAAGGTTATGCATAAGGATATGCTGTTTAATGAATATGATGTCGCTGAACACTTATGGTATGCACTAATGGTGCTGAACAGTCTTTTTATGGGCAAATTGCACAGCTCTCCTAAGTAAACGGTACAGAATCCTTTTGTGAATCTAAATTAGAGCATTTTACCGCAGCATAAGATAAGAATTTCAACCCACTGTATCTGAACCACACAGATTTCATTATGAAGAAATGATCTGTGATTTGAAAGCTTTTCAGAAAAATGCCACCAGCTGTCAAAGGGGACAAAGATTGCCAATTTTTGTGTGTGCAGAAGGAGAGACTTCCAACCTCCTTATGAAACCCCCTCATTCCTACTAAGAAAGCACCATTACAATCCCAGAAAATATTTTAATTATGAGTGGCCTTATTTTTAAAGTAGCCCAAAGGAGAAAGAGAAACTTCAGAGGATGCAGGCTAGCACTTGTTAGTATATGATTTCTGAAAGGTAGGACTGACATCAACAGAGAAGCTACCACATTTAGGACTATCGTGGGATTCTTAATGTCAACTCAGGTCCAAAAAAAAAAAAAAAAAGAAAAGCTGTCAGTATCTCTTATATCCTCAGATTTACTGAGCTCAATGATGGCCTAAAATCAAAATTAAAGGAAAAATAAAGTTGTTAGAAAGTGTATTCCACTGATAAGGAAACAAATACTGTATCAAGGCTAGTCGCCAGCTACTCCTTCTAGATCCTGGAATTTATTAAAAGAAAATGGGTTTTTACTTCAGCAATGGGAATTTCATCTTGGTAAAAGGAAGAATTTATTGATCCAGAACTTCCAAAATACAAAAGCAGGTTCCCAAAAAGAATCATAAGATCCATAAGATCTCTTGAAAAGGACAAAAAGTTCAACTAATGTATTTGTTAATATATACAGGAATGAGAAAATACAACACAAGAATGATATTTTTTAAATTTACATATTGAATAAATTTTTAATTCAATAAACATTTTCTGAATTGCCACTATGTATCAGGTACTATAACAAGAACTAAGGACAGCATGGCAAGTAGAAGCAGACACAGTCCCTATTCTTAGGCATTTTGTAGTTCAAAATTTGAAGAGATAGGCTGGGCACGGTGGCTCATGTCTGTATCCTAGCACTTTGGGAGGCTGAGGCAGGTGGCTCGCCTTAGGTCAGGAGTTCAAGACCAGCCTGACCAATACGGTGAATCCCCTTCTCTACTAAAAATACAAAAATTAGCTGGGCATAGGGGTGGGTACCTGTAGTCCCAGCTACTTGGGAGGCTGAGGCAGGAGAATAGCTTGAACCTGGGAAGCAGAGGTTGCAGTGAGCCAAGGCCATGCCACTGCACTCCAGCCTGGGTGTAGGAGTGAGACTCCATCTCAAAAACAAACAAACAAAAAAATTGAAGAGACACCTTAATCATGTAATCAAACATGTAAATGTAAACTACAACTACATAGGAATACAAATAAGACAAATGTTCTGTGGGAGTTTAACCAAATTTGGGTGCCCAAGTTCAGGGAAAGTAATCTGAAAAAGCAACAAATTAACAGAAGGATAAATAGGAGTTAACTAGACGAAGAGTTGGAGCATGGTTTGAAGGAGCTTTCCAGAAAACGTGAAATTGCAATGACAAGGAAACTACAACTGAAGAAAGGGTTGCAAGAGGGTGGTTGGTGGTCAAGGAGCTTTTCCAAAAAAGAAAACGCTATAGGCAAAGGTCATGTGTGTGTGCATGTGTGTGTGTGTGTGTGTGTGTACACATATGTTGGGGATGGGGGGCAGTTTGGTGTGTTCCAGAAATTGAAAGAAGTTAGTGAAACTTGAGCAAGGAAAATAAACAGGAATAGAGCATTAGATTAGGCTAGAGAGCTAGTAAGAGGGCATACCATTCAGCCCCTTATAGACCATGTGTGATGATCTACCTATTTATTCTAAGAATGATTCCTAATCACTAAAGTATTTTACGAAATGAGTGATATGGTCATTTTGGTTGCAGTGTGGTGAATAGATTGGAAAGACATGAGATAAATGGGATGTATACGTATTTTATTATTATATTTTGTGCAATATTCTAACATACGTGTAATTGTATCATAATACCTGTCTATATGATATAAGTTAAGAGAAGGTTTATTGGATATAGTGATAGTTACTGTACTATAATTTTTTGTTAATAAAGAAGAGCTTACACAGGAAATTTTGGGCAAGGACCAATACCAGAGTTGGATCTAGTATTTAGATTCCCCAATAAATACTGGAAATTTTTCTCTTCTTCCATCTTAAACAATCTTTCAATCATCTTCAACTTACTCCCCTTTCTCCTCTGCATAGGCACAGAGAGGCTAAAGATAATACCTAAGTGACTTCTTAGCCTCTTCTGTTCACAGTGAAGCCAAAAGATTTATAAATGCATTGGTGCTTCCAGGGTTAATAGATATATATAAGTATAACTGAATTTATGGAATAACACCATTTAGCTGAATCCAATTGTAAACAGTCAGTGGCATCTAAATTTTTTCTTTGGACTTAAAAGATACACGTTTAAGAAGAAAATGCAGAAAGCAGTATTTTTAAAATGAGAATTTAAACACTCATATAAGGCTGTCACTATTTTTTCCTTAAACTTGAGGAGTACATACAGTCAACCCCCGCTATCTATAGGTTGCACATCCACTTATTCAACCAAGCACAGACTCAGCCAATCTCGAACTGAAAATATTTTTAAAATAATAACAACACAATAAAAAATAACACAAATAAAACAACACAATATAACAACTATTCACACAGCATTTACATTGTATTAGGTGTTATAAGTAATCCACAGATGATATGAAGTATGTGAAAGAATGTGCATGGGTTATATGCAAATACCAGGCCATTTTACATAAGGAACTTGAGCATCCTCAGATTTTTTAATGTATATATTTTGAATAGTGGCATTAAAAATGAAGTTGGAGTGAAGCATAGTAGTGTAACAAGTCTGAAATTCCCCCTGTATTGGGGATCATATATATAGCCAAGTAGCCCTTGGGGCTCAAATTAGGGAAAAAACACCATACAATAGCTTATATTCAAAATGTGCAGATTAATTTGTGTGTGTGCGTGGCAGTGGGAGGGGGATGCATTTTTCTGTTCTGTACCCACTGTATTTGTTCGGGTATAATGGTTTGAAGCCAAGCATTTAAGACCTATAATGCAGATTTTCCTGTTTTAATTAACAGCATGTGTTCATGCCACTGTAATAAAAATAACATCAAGTCTAAATCACACTGACCATCCAACCTGTGAATACAAGTTTTTTTATCTTAAAAAAATTAAACATGAAACTTTACCATGGCAAAGGAACTACAATTGTAAGAGCTGCTGAAAGAACAGATAATGATGAGACATAAAGGAGCAACCAAAATATAGTTAAGTTTTGTTAAGGATGGCAAAAGATCTTCGAATGCTCTTATGCATTAACTCTATATAGAAAATAGTATATTGGCCAGGCACAGAGGCTCATGCCTGTAATCCCAACACTTTGAGAGGCCGAGGTGGGGGGATCGCTTGAAGCCCAGAGTTTGAGAACTACATGGGCAACATAGTAAGAACCTGTCTCTCCAAAAATTTTTTTGTAAAAAATAAGCTAAGCATAGTAGCACACACCTGTAGTCCCAGCTACACAGAAGGCTGAGGCAGGAGCATTACTCGAGCCCAGGAGTTCAAGACTGCAGTGAGCCATGATTGCGCCACTGCACTCCAGCCTGGGTGGAAGAGACTATCTCTCAAAAACAAAGAAAAGAAAAATCATGTCCTAAATCATGTTTGGAGGTTTGAAAAAATCAACTTGGAAAAAAAGTAAACCAACTTCTGATGATCTGCCCAGGCCAGCAGAGGTCATCAGGAGCTACCTAACATCATCTGTTTCATGTCCTTCAAGCTATCTTAAAATGATTCTCTAAAAAGCACTGCCAGAAAATAGTCTTCTGCCCAGCTCCCACATAAAAACAGAGGTAGTTTCACAAACCACAAAAAGGGAACCAGCAAAAACACTTCTGTACACAGCTTCTCTACAAGTCAGCATGCCTTTTATCCAACATCACACAGTGTGCGCCTGACACTCTCTACTATAAACTGTATCTGTTCTCCAACTCCAAAGACAGTGCAGCAGGGTTTTTTTTTTCTTTTTTTTCTTTTTTTTTCTTTTTTTTTGTTCCATGGGGTCGTCTTTATCCCCAAACCACATCTGTCTTGAGTTTCTCTCAGATTAGTCAGGTGGATCAGTGCTCCCCAGGGCCTGCTCCAGCTGAAGTATTTTAATTTGACTAAACACCTGATTTATTTTATCTCTCCGATGAGAAAGGCAGTTTGTCTTAATAGAGCCTGTCAGCCCACAGCCCCATTCACAGCAATTTACAGGCAGCCAGGGACGCTGGAAGAGAAGAGTGCCGTGATTCTGTATTTTATCCTCCTCCAGAAAGCACCTAAAAGCAGCTATTCACTGCTACTGCATGTGGCATTTTAGAACTGAATTAGCTTTTTATTCAAGTAACTACACTTGTTGTGAATAGCTTATCTGTAAAATTGCTACATTCACTACTGATTTTATTAACCTTTGGCTCTATCACAAAATGGTCTTCAGTTAGGAAAGACCTTTAAAATTGACACATTTTTTTTTCTTAGGGGCCTTTATTCCAGTGACTTCAGATTTACTGAATTTGATCCATTGAATTCTTTACCAGTTGTACTTAAAATTTTGAGTCTCAATAGGAAGTCAATAATGCGTAAATAAGGAAACACTTTTCAAAATATAAATATGATGACAATTTCCCCCATCAAAAGTTTTCAAATACCATCTTTCATTATAACAGTTTCAAAATCAGCCCTCTAGCCTTTTTTGGTCACAATCTGAAGAACTTGAAAAAAAATAACTGAAATGTACTATTTTTTTTTTAACTTTACAAACTATTACTACCTGTCCCCAGGCCCAAAGCCACAGAGAAGATTCAAAACAGATGAGAATTTAGGTAAAATGAGATAAATAAGGCAATTCTCTTATTGATATAGCATGAAAAATTAAAATAAAAAATTAAGTTTAAAATGTATTTAAAAGCCTTTTTTTACATCAGTTCACAAAAGTTAGCACTACAGTCTGCTAATTTTGCCCTTATGAAATATATATAATCAAAATCAGTGGTGCTAGAAATAAGACTGGTCATTGGGAAGTCACTGAAGACCAGATCTGGATAAGGCAGGCAACTTGCAGGGCACTTTACTAAATGGAGATTTACCTCACCTCTTCCACAGTATTCCCATACCTAGAACTTTTACAATATAAAAATCTTAAACAGGTCATTCATTAAATAGATATTCTCTGAAAGGGAGTCACCACTATGTGATGACAACTAAGTTTTTCTAATGAGAAAATCTAGAAACAACACAGCAACGGAGAAAGAGAAAAAGAGTTAAGAGAGGAAAAGAGAGAAAATGAGTACGAGAACAGCTAAATTAAATTTTGTGCATTTCTCCACATCCTTTCTATCTCTAATAAAATGGGCTAGGCATGGTGGCTCACAATTGCAATCCTAGCAATTTGGGAGGCTAAGGTGGCAGCATCTCTTGAGACCAGGAGGTTGATGCTGCAGTGAGCTATGATTGCATCGCTGCACCCCAGTCTGGGCGACAGGGTGAGATCCTGTCTTTAAAAAAAAAATAAAAATAAATGAAGGGCAATGGTGTTAACATACCAAGCCAAATAAAATTAATAGTCAACTAATGGCATTCTCTAGAAACATGTCCCAGGGAATTTAAAATGAGATTTAAACCTAGACATTCTCCTGTATTAGATCAATGCACACATTAATAAACTTAATCGGACTTAATGAAATTATAAGAAACCTGGGTAACTAACAAATGTCTGTGTTTAGAGTAGTGGGTAGGGGTGGCACTGACACTGGAGTGGAGTTCTGATGAAGATACACTTTTTCACATAAATCCTAGAAAGATTAAAGCACTTAACAGTAATTCCAAAGCAACATCAATCAAGGAACTCAGCCAACAATCCAGAAAGATTGTAAATTAAGTTGAAAACAAAAGCTCTTAAGAATCAATTCCCTGGTCAGTTCTAATTTTTTTAATGGATATCGTTTTAGAAGAAAGCCAAAATAACAATGCTAGTCATAAAAGAAAGCTGCATTGCTCTTTTCTACCCACAGATAACCTGGGAAAACTGCTGCATCTTTACACTGCAGCCTCCTCACACATCTGATGGACTGTGATGTCTCCACTTCACAAGCTCAGTCCATCATTTAGCATTGGCCGTTTTGGATACAGCCTTCTTTTAAATGTCACAAAACATAGCAACAAAAAGTCAACAAAAAATAAACAGGGTAAGCTGAAGAGACTAACAATCTATCAGAAGGTCCCCTGATAAAAGTTACTTTGTGGTGACTGCCTGAGAAAGGAACCCCTGTCCCAGCATACCAGCAGCTAATTTGAGTTCTGAATCCAATAGCAGTTTTAAAAGCTTTCCACACTAAATGGCCCTAGTGCATCATAAAGATAAAGGATTTCAGTACAAAACCACCACAAAGACCTCTATTATCTTATCAGTCTTTGGTTACAACAGCTGAACCAATATGACTAAATTCTGAATGACTTTTTTCAAAACAGCAGAATACTGGAATTTCTTTGTTTTCTCATCAGTCAGCTATTGTCATTGCTCCCATATGCTACTGTCCATTCCTCAGTAAATAAAAAGTTTAATAAATGCAGCAATTGTGCTCTTAGGAATCACTTAGGGACCACTTCACAGGAAGTGTGCCTCATGAGTTGAGGTATAGGCTGTTTGTTACTGTTGTTGTTGTTTTCTTTTTCACTGAATGTATGAGAATTTCCTTCTTGATATTCACCTTTAAAATGTCATTAGAATCTACAGTGTACTAACAAGGCAAAAATACCCAGGTATTTCCTAAATTAAGATCAAACTCTCCTATACCAGGCACACTCAAGTCTCCTACTTCCCCTCTTCCTGGCTGCAAAAGGAAGTCTATTCCTGGATCAACTGAGGTCTATTCATGTCGCAAATCCTAACAGAGCAAGAACAATCCATGGAATCCTGCCATCTAGGCTCCCAACCTCACAGCTGGGCTTTTAGCCCATTGTGCTTTATAAGCCCATCCTTTTTGGATCTGGAAACGAAGGTATTCTGAAACTTCTCTCCTTCAATATAAGACAGACTGTCTTTACATTACTGTTCTCTGTGGGTGACTGCCAGTCACTGGCTACATCTCCATAACCTACACATAAAAATAGTAATTTCTGGCCTTTCAGAAACATGAAATTCTTTTGTCCTTTAAAGGGGAAAAACAATTAAATCATTTGTGTCAATATCACCACCAAGTATTGCAGGATTGGCTCTTTCTCTAGAAGCTCCATGAGCGTTAGGAGAGGAAGGGAAGGAGTAAGAAAAATAGACTTTATTAACAAGGCATTTTCTTAAAAATTCTTGTTATCTTAATCCTCATCCAAAAAGTTACATTGTTATTTTCATTTCACAGATGAAAAACTAAGCTATTGAGACAGAAAGTAATTTGACCAAGTCATAGAGCATTTAATTGAATTTGAATTCACATCTTCTGATTTTTAATCCAAGCGAGTCTAGAGTCTAAGAAAGAGGTATCTTCCCTCATCTCACACTTAGAATACATAGTTAGGGAATTTCTAAAAGTTAGGAGCAATGTTCTGAGGTACCAAGAATCCTAATGCTATTTACAGCTAAGAGATATACAACTAAAAGGAATGAAGAAATGTACAACTTCTCAGTTAAGGCTTTGTTTACAAAATAAGGCAAAAAGCTTGGCTAGCAATCAGACAACCAAAGAGGTCAATAAATTGAACTTTGACATCTTATGGATGTGAAAACAGATCTTGACATTAAGTGACATGTCTGAATTACTCTAGAAATTAGCAGCAAGCCTGGCAGACCAGATTCTCTGTATGCTTATTCCCCAACCCTTCTCTTCCCAAATAGCATATGGCTTCCTGGTTTCAGGCCCAAATACAGTAATTATGCAGACTCCGACATTCTCTGGCATTCTCCGGCATTCTCCAGCATTCCAGATACAATATTTACAACACCCATGAAAGTATGAGAAATACACTCAAATATTTGCAGGAGTCCAGTGTCCTGCTGCCCCGGGTGCAGTGTATATGTAGGCTGAGGCTGTCAGGTTCTAGCCAAGAGAAAGGTATGTGGAGAAGTCTAGGAAGTGAGTCTAGCATGATTTGAGAAACCTCCCAGATACAACTAAGGCTTGGGACAGTTGCCCATACAAACATACCACATACTGTGCCCATTTCTAGGGTGTATTTACAATTTGCCTAGAGGAAATCAAGGGAATCTCTGCTCTAGCCCACTATGCCCCTTCATACAATAATAATAGCTTAAACTTATACTACAATTGCTTTGCACTGGGAAAAGCTTTATATATTAAGTCATCTATTCCTCACAACAGTCCTATGAAGTAGGTCATATTGTTACCTCCACTTTAAAGACAAGGAAACTGAAGCATGCAAAAGTAACGCAGCTTGCCCAAATCCTTAGCTATTAAATCATATATCTGAGATTCAAAATCAGAAAGTCTGGCAACAGATTCTGTCCTCTTAACCACTATGATAAATGGAGAATGGAACTCCTGAATGTCCTACCTTCTCAAAATTACTTTACCCAACAGACAATGTAGCTGAGATTTTCCTTATAATCTATTTTTAAGGATGTTTTATTTTGTTGGAATATAATATTTCCTAAATATACTGTTTACTAAAGTGAAAGCACTTATCTAGGGAATTATCTATGACACTCTATTTTCTTTAAAATATCCCAGCGACTAGTACAATGTCCTGTGACCTTTCAGTCCAAGTCACAAATATCCAACACAGCTTGTAGTCATCTAATTTACTCTCCTCTTCCATACTCACTGTCATACTCTTTTTTTTTCTTACTCTGATCTTGTTCCCTCCAAGTTCACTGGTGCTCAGACTTCTACCTTGATTCCTAATTTTCATTCCACTGGACCTCTGGACTTGGACTCTCAAATGGTAGAAATTTGGCTTCCCCAACAGACTGATTTGACTGGTCCTCTGTCTTCTTCTTCTTCTTCTTTTTTTTTTTTTTTTTTTTTGAGATGGAGTCTCACTCTGTTACCCAGGCTGGAGTGCAGTGGTGTGATCTCGGCTCACTGCAGCCTCCACCTCCTGGGTTCAAGTGATTCTCCTGCCTCAGCCTCCCAAGTAGCTGGAACTACAGGTGCCTGCCACCACGCCTGGCTAATTTTTGTATATTTAGTAGAGATGGGGTTTCACCATGTTTCACAGGCTGGTCTTGAACTCCTGACCTCAGGTGATCTGCCCACCTTGTCCTCCCAAAGTGGTGGGATTACAGGCGGGAGCCACCACGCCCAACATCCTCTGGCTTTTTAGTGCCCCATTTTGGCTCCTCTACGAATTCCCCATTCCAGGTCTGTCATGAAACACATCCCTGCCCCCAAATCATTTGATCAGCAAACTAGAGAGTCCAGTTCAGTCATGTTTTTTCTGTGTTGTCTGTAGCTCTCAGGACATCCTAGTGGGTGTGGCTGTTGCAACTACTGAGACTTTAATGAAAACAGGCGCTTAAAAAAACCTTCAATTCCAATGAAACTGACCGACAAGGGAGATTATGTTTTTATATAATCATAGATAGCTCATAGTTTCCTGAATTACAGTGCTGAGTATATATGATCAGGTAACAGGCAAGTAACACAGATCCCACCTATCACAAACTCATATTGTGAGTCTATAGAGGGAAAATGGAACTGGAAATTTCATATTGATTCTAAAAACTGCTGTTTCTTTTATTGTTCTTTTATAGTTAAATATAGCTGGATAAATAGCATGTTCTTTTCATTCACAATGTTGACCTTAATAATGATTCCTGGGTAAAATAGGTGCTGCCAAATATATCTCATCAGTGTATTATGAAAATAAAACTTCTTTCAAGATTATCTAATGTTTCCTATGTAGCATTCACAATATTCAGGGCACAGAAAATAATGGAATGTCAAAGAGAAGAAAAGACAGTTAAAGCCTGGGTCCAGAAATGACCAAGAGTCTCCTGTCACAGGATTATTTTGAACATGCTAAAGTAGAACATGAATAAAATTCTAAAAAGAAATTTCTAAGCCTCTACTTATAAAAATTAAAAGTTAATATACATTTGTTCAACCTATAAAAAATAATTTGTCACAAATAGGATGTCCTATTCTCACACTAGGACATTCGTCACAAATTCTTAGAAAAGCTTAATTCAAGATTTCCTGTTGTTGTTGTTGTTGTTGTTGTTGTTGTTGTTGTTGTTGTTTTGAGATGGCGTTTTGCACTTCTTGCCCAAGCTGGAGTGCAGTGGCTCGATCTTGGCTCACTGCAGCCTCCACCTCCCCAGCTCAAGCAATTCTCCTGCATCAGCCTCCCGAGTAGCTGGGATTACAGGCGCCTGCCACCACGCCCTGCTAATTTTTTTTTCTTTTTTTTTTTTTTTTTGTATTTTTAGTAGAGATGGGGTTTCACCATGTTGGCCAGGCTGGGCTCAAACTCCTGGCCTCAGGTGATCCACCCACCTTGGCCTCCCAAAGTGCCAGCCAATTCAAGATTTTTAAAGATTTAAAATCACTTTATGCAATAATTGTAGATTATAAATTGAGTTTAAGAAGAAGCTTATAAAACTCACTTTCTAACGTAACTTTAAAATGCTCATGGTTTTTCAACTTTCAGATCAATAAAAATAAGGGTTTTTAAATTTTTTAGCTTGAAAGCAAAAACTGGATATGTAATCCTGAGACAAGAAGGAAAAAATACGTTAAATTATGAGCCTCATAAGGAATATAATACCACAACTGGTAGTACTTAAAAACAACCTCAGCAGTGGTGGACATCACCTTTTGAAGAGGCAAACATCTGAAAAGGCGATGAGATTATCACAAAACTTGAATTTAAACGTAATACTTTAAAAGATCATTGCTTGTAAAAAAATTATTATAGCATCAATGGTCCCAGAAGGATTGTAGAGGGAGCAAATACAGATCTCAAGGATGTTTTCCCTACTACACTCTCTTTGCTCCCTACCCAAGTTCAAAGCCTTTGCTGTGAATTAGGTAAGAATCTACTCTAGTGCTACTCATAATTCTACCGAGAAAACTGGTGGAGAGGAAGAACAAATGATAAGCCACAATGTATACTTCCTACGTGTCAGCTCCTTAAGGGGAGGATCTGTGTCACATGCATCTCTGTGACAAGGCACAAACATGACTACATGTCTACTACTGATTTTGTGCTCAGTAAATTTGAAATGAACTAATAACCAACTCTAAATAATTAGTTCTCAGAATAGTTGGTGATAGACGGCCAAAGAAATTAACAAACCAGAAAGAATTGCTTTGAACTACAGGAGTATCTGAGCCATATCTGAGTTAATTCTAGTTTGGTAACCATTGTAACTAACTGAACTCACCAGCCATCCCCACTGTTGCACAAGTGGTAGAAAATCAAATCTAAGAGAAGACAAGAGATAAAGAATTTGAACTAAAAAACATTCAATAAACACTTTTTTTTAGCACAAATGATCGTCCAAACACTTTCTATGTGCTAGGATTAGCATTTCGCATTTTTTCTCTACTGCAACAAACTTGGGAAAATGATGCTGAGGAAGGTTAAAAATATGTCCAAGATCACACAGCTTGTTAGCTTGTAATCAATAGAGCTATGATTCCTAAGCCAGTTGGTCTGAATACCCAACCCCAGCCTCTTTTCAGTAAACTATAAATGTTTCTGGAAAAAAGAGAAATTTTAAAAAAAGTTAACTAGTTTAAGACAATGACTTCACATAGCCTTCAAGCCTTCTTCCTGCATTTTAAAACATTAAAGTACGCTGTTGGGAGATACAGTGATATTAAAAGGCACACTAATTTATATTTAGGATAATTACAATTTAATGTTATTTAAGGTCCGTGAACAGTAAAAGAAGTCTGATGGCTCAGGGAACTAGTCTCCATCAACAGACTTGAAAATTCTGTATTCAGAAAATATTACATCTAGAAATTCAATTTTTAATTGTGTGAAAAATTCAAACAGTTCTAGTAACATAAACTATAATTTAGAAGGCAGAATCAACTACAGGACCAAATAAATTATACAAACTAAGCAATTTTACAGGAAAAATTTCACAAGAATTTATATTATTATATTAACTCTTTCTAACATCACCTTCTTCCAGTAAAATTAAATTATATGTCAATACACTGGTATCAGAAAACAGGTTCTAATTCTTAATTGCCCAAAGAAATGACTGTCCATGGAGTCACAGATGATTGATAAATTAATTCACCTTCCATAATGCCACCAAAGCTTTTGTAGGAGAATGTTTTCAGAAGTTATACTTTAGATAAAAAACAAGCCATTCTTTAGTTGAATCTCAAAAGTTGGAAGAATGACCCTGTGTCACTATTAGTTGGTCCAGATATCAGGTTTCTCAGTTCTTAAATCTGCCTCCTACTCAGTCTTCTCACTCTGTATTTTGTACACCCTTACTAGCCAAGAAGATTTTGGCTAGCTGACTCACTTTCTACAGTTTAAGAAATTTATAGGCATATTGAATACATTTTTACAAGCTATCAGCAACCCCATTTGAGAATCCTGTTCTACTTCTCAAAAACAGTTTTAATTAAATGGGTATTTGTAGCTAGTTTCTTTTATACTTAAGGTTTAAAACAGAGTTGAAAGTTTTTAAAGTGCTCATTGACTTTCTAAAAACAATGCATTCTTTCCATCATACTGACACATCTATAGAATATCTCTTAATCTCTTTCTAAAATGTAAATAGGATCCTGTCTAAATGTTTAAAGTGTTGTGATTCCAAAAGTACTCAATTATCATGCACTGATGAAAAAACTGTTATGTTCTTTGACAAAGAAAATCTACTTGATCACCTTTTTGGCAACAATAATATATAAAATCTTCTAAATTACTTGATTACATCATTTTTATATTAGTTTGTTTACTATTAGCTGGTTCTCCAAACCTATAACAGTTCCAGACATATAGTAGGTCTTAAAAAAAATACAGGCTGGGCGCGATGGCTCCTGCCTGTAATCCCAGCACTTTGGGAGGCTGAGGCAGGTGGATCACCTGAGATCAGGAGTTTGAGACCAGCCTGGCCAACATGTTGAAACTCTGTCTCTACTAAAAATATATACATATATATAAAACTAGCCAGGCATGGTGGTGGGCACCTGTAATCCCAGCTACTAGGGAGGCTGAGGCAGGAGAATTGCTTGAACCCAGGAGACGGAGGTTGCAGTGAGCTGACACGGTGCCATGCACTCCAACCTCGGTGACAGAGTGAGACTCCGTCTCAAAAAAAAAAAAAAAATCCCTTTAAGGATTCCATCATGTGAAGTCATTCATAAAATACATCATCCAACCTACGACATTTTAAATGAAAGGAGGTGCTGTTAATTATTATGTCAAGAACACAGGTATAGAAACCAGGACAATACCAGGTAAGCCAGGATATATGAATACACAATCACAACTTGTTCTCATTTAATGTCAGTTTCTGACAAGGTAATATTACATAAATAGAACCCTATAGTTGATTTTTAAATGTCATAAAAATTTCCTGGAATAAATTTATGTAGCTGGCAAGCTGAAATATGAATGGCACTATTCTTTAGAATAATTAGGCTCAATTCATCACTATTTAAAATATGTAGAAACTCATAATAAACAAATATATAAATGTATATATTATATATTCTATATATAGATAGATATAACTCATTAAAGTAAACCTAACAATGTATAGGTTCTAATAATCTTGGTTTCATAAAGTTTGTTCAAATGCTCCTTATTTGCAAAGTATTTTTTTTTTTTTCTTTTTTTTTTTTTTTGAGACGGAGTCTCGCTCTGTCGCCCAGGCTGGAGTGCAGTGGCGGGATCTCGGCTCACTGCAAGCTCCGCCTCCCGGGTTCACGCCATTCTCCTGCCTCAGCCTCCCAAGTAGCTGGGACTACAGGCGCCCGCCACTACGCCCGGCTAATTTTTTGTATTTTTAGTAGAGACGGGGTTTCACCGTTTTAGCCGGGATGGTCTCGATCTCCTGACCTCGTGATCCGCCCGCCTCGGCCTCCCAAAGTGCTGGGATTACAGGCGTGAGCCACCGCGCCCGGCCTGCAAAGTATTTTTAAGAGAGATTTTTAATTTAAAATTCATAGAAATAATAAATTTATTTTTCATGAAAAGTGACTCCCAATTAAGGATATATGAAGATCATTCCGATTTTTCCCATTTTAGAAGTGAAAAACTTATACTTTCACTACTAATTAACTAAATAACAGAAAAATGCCCATGTAAAAAATGAGAGTATTAAAATATCTAAATTTTACAGCACTATTATGAATTTTAATTTTTATATTAAGCACATGTTCAACTCTTATACGATGAAAATACACACAAAGAAAACATAAACCAATGAAAAATTTTCATTTGCTTCTGAAGATTCTAAGGCCATGTTATTAATATACACATAGTGAAGACATAATGAATTTTATTGTAAAGGAAGACTAGTAGAATGTCCTGTGTAGCATAAAAATCGTAAAGCAAAAACTTTCCCACATTATTTTAAGCAGAAAACTCAACCAAATTTCTGAAATCTAGATAAGACTTCCAATTCAACAAAAGCCATGGAACAAATGGCTGCTGAATAAATTCCACGAAAAAAAGTATTTTTCCCCATTCAACAAGATAGTATTAGAAAATCTACAGCCTACAATTATTCAAGAGATTTTATAATTAAGTTTCTAGAAAATTACTAGCAATGTGGTTTAACCAATTTCTCACTAACATTAAAAAATAATTCCCCAATCATATGAGCAGGAACACAAAAGACAACCACCTATCTCTCCAGAACTGAACTACACTTGAGTTCTAAAATTTTCAAGCTTATACCTAGTCAGTTCTAACTAGAAGTTTCCAAGAATGGCTTTTAAAAAAAGAAGGAATTGGAAGGCTATAAATGAAATATAATTACTAACCTAACACAGAAATAAATGTATTTAATATAGCTAACTACTAAAGACTACTCGTAATTTTAAAACCAATGAATCTAAACCAGATGAAGATAAAAAGGCACTGTGAAAACAAGCAAACACCAAAATACATAGAAAATCTATGACATGACTGGGAAAAAAAAGATTCTGCCATTCGTGGATGTTTCAAGCACTGCTTTATAGGAATCTCTGAGTAAAGTTGTAACTGTTAGTAAATACTAATAAAAGCCACAGAAAAGGTAGTACAATCAGGGTTTCAAAGAAAGGAGAAAAATCTGAAATACTAAAGTGAGCATCAATTAGGAATTCTGAGGACCACAAAAATCCAAAGGCAAGTGATTAAATCACTACAACCCAATGTAACTGAATATAGGTTTGGTGCCCTTCAGGTTTCTTTTCTTTGGAACCAAATTCAGTTAAACAATAACTGTTACCATTTTTATAAAAATTTAGCTTTCTGACATTTTTCTTTAAGCAAAGAGTGAATTAACAAACTCATGGCAGGGAAAAAAAAGGAAGGAGAAAAAGTAACTCAAGCATTACAGCACTCTTCTACATGGCAAGGAGATGAATGAAACAAACAAGACTCTCCCAAGAAGATTCATATTGCAAGTAAGAGTTTTTGGCCAATATATTTCTTGTAGGTAATATACTTTGAATTCAGACAAAACACTTTCAAGGTTTAATTATCAACACAACAAACCAAAGACAAGAGTTCCCAAACATCAGACATGGTTATATCAAACATAAACGCTTAAATCCATTCATGAGCTAAATATAAACATCTGAAGTAGCTACTGTTGGAGTTATCTGTGCAACTAAGAGCACAGGTAATCAAGAATTGCCTACATATACACTTTTGTTCCCTCCATTGGTTCAAATTAATTGAGCAATCAAGAGCAGCTTAGAACACTTAGAGTCAAGAAGAATTCTCTTTGTCAACCCAAATAATTATAAGGCAGAGATCATCAGCAATAGTGAGGTGATACTATTGTTACTATCATTCATGTTATTATCATTATAAAGTAAAAAACCATGGTAGAAATTCTACCGGCATTGCAACTCTACCAAGATAAAAATACAAAGTAAGTAATTTTCAGTATGAAGCTTCTCATCTTAACCTATTTTCTCTGAATTAGTAAAGTGAAAAAAAATATCAAAAAATGGACTTAGCCTAAAACCTTATATCAAAAAGTTTACGTGAGGCAATGCACATGTTAATTAACTAGATTTAGTCAATCCACAATGTATACATACTTCAAAACATCATATTGTACACAAGAGATACATACAATTTTATTGTCAATTAAAAAAAAAACACCACTTTTTAAGTAGCTGTTATCACCACCACCAATTTACATATGATGAAACATACAAAGAGGATACATGATTGACCCAAAATTTAAACTCTAACTTAAAACCTATTTCCCTTTCCACTTCAAAACATCCAATTCTTCTAGGCTAATATCTGAGAATAAATTTTCGTATCTCTAAATTTCATGGTTCTCATTAGTACTAAAGCAACAGTGTGCTTATTTTCCCAACCTAGAGTCCCAGATTGATCCTATAAACTGAAGAACTGGAGACCTGGAGGAAGGGAGAGGACATGTGGGGGTGTGGTGTGTGTAGTATGCCTGGTATGTGTATATCTATACAGTTCCAAAAGTGTTTTCCAATTTGAACTTCAACAATTGTTACAAAGGTCACTGCATAGCTGAGCTTTTTAGCGGGGAAGAGAAACATTAAGAAAGAAAAAGAAAGAAAGAAAAAAAACAACTTTACTTTCCCCAATCAGCCCAGCTTATTTGTTCTCTACTATATTTCTGACCCCTGGTTCAACCGTGATTAATCTATATCTGGAGGTGATTTTTTAAAAAATCTATCTTATCTATTAAAAACTAAATTGAATTGTCTTTTTAAGAGTACACTTATTCAAACAATTACACACTCAGGAAATCAATGTTGTAAAGAGTCAAAGAGATCATTCAACCCCCAAGTTTGACAAATAAGAAAGCTGAAAGCCAGAGGGGAAAGTGACATGCCTGATGTCAGATAGCTAATTAGCTAGTGACAGAGTTAGGACTAGAACCTAGAAGTCCTAATTCTCAGTTCAGAACTCCTTCTGCTATAACATGCTTCCTCTTTTTAAAAAAAAATCAAGGGAAATAATGCACTTTAAATCTCTCTTGGTAGATAGTTGATTTTCGTTATCATTTTCCTCAGTTCACTTAAGAAGCAACATTGGTTCTTAATTCAGCACTTTAATTTTCCATGTCTAACATGTAATTTAACAATGAAATGCTCATCTAATAGCAGAAGCAATTTATAGGAAAGTATTTTGTGAGACACAACTTGTCTAATGATACTAAGAATTCCACGATAGAACCAGCATATGAGTTTTCATATGTGCTAGTTAAGGGAGGAGATTAACCATAGTTTAAATGATATTTTTTTCAGAAATAGCAAATTGAGATCTTCTATAGGGAAAACAGTTACATATGGGCTTTGAAAGACTTCAATGCCCATCACTGATCAAATTTAACCACTGACATATGGGCCACAAGAATCCTTGCATTTCATTTGCCCATGTATTTGAAAACTTGAGTGCTCAAGGGATTCCCCAGATCCTAATTTCCTTTTAATAAGAGTAAGAGCTTATGTAAAATATGGTAGTCTAAGTTCTTTGGAAACAAGGTATCAAAATAACAAGAAATTATAATTTTAAAAAATCAGTGCCATACTGGGAGTGTAGAAAAATAGAAATGCAGAGTTATGAAGATTTAACAGCCAAAATGAGGCCAGATAAATCACGTAAGTATATAGTTATTAAGCATTTGTTGGTATATAGAAAATGACAGAGAAGTAGAAAAAAATTAAACTCAAAAAATAGTACTATGCTCATCTTACAATTTATAAGTTGTTTAATAAGAGCTATTAAAGTACATAAAATATTTCATTAACTATGAAGTTACAGAGTGGAAGGTTTCTGGAATGTAAGTCAGGAGATCTGGGTTCTAGTTTCAATTTTGCCACCTTGTACAAGTAATTCTCTGGGCTTCCATTTACCTGCCTGTAATATGAGAGGTTGAACTAGGTAACCTATAAGGATACTTCTAGTTTGGGTTACAATGCTAGAAATAGTCCTTTAGTGTGGGCTCTCTGCAATATTAAAAATGTATGGAAGTAATTCAATTTTTACTATGCCTGTAAAGATCATTAATATTTTGGTAGCATTAGAAAAAAAAAACACTTATGTTACTGAGAATGGCAAATGTATGTATGTTGTATATATACACACATATACACATTTATTAGGTTAATATTATGTGTTAATGTACAACTAGCATTAACTTTTCAGATGCGATATTTTTGTTAATTTTAAGAGTATTCTGCATTATAAAGGTCAATTTCTTTTACATTATAACTAATGTCAGTTTGGCCAACAAACTCACTAATTCACAAAATACATTTTTATCTCTTTATATTTACAAAAGACCTCTGTTGGAATAAAAACAGAATACAGAAGGTGAACTTACATCATTCTGTATATGAGGAAATATAACTTTTAATTCTTTGATTTGTTACAGTTTCATATGTAAATTTAGTGAGTTTTGTTTGCATATTGTAATAATAATCAGACTGAGGAAGAAGTATGGTGAAGTGTTTAAGAGCTTGGGTTCTGGAGTCAGATTCCCCAGTTTAAAATCTTTGCTATGCCACTTCCTAGAACAGTAACTTTGGTCTCGTTTTATCTTGTGTAAAATTGGAATAGTGATAGAGTATTGTATAGATCAAGTGAGTTAACGCAAGTTAATACATGTGAAGCACTTAGAACAGTTGCCTTCACATAGTGAGCACTCAATAAATACTTGCCATTATGATCATATAATGTCTATATTAAAATCTATTTTAGAGTCTTAAGAATGAAGAACAAAAGTAGCGTAATATAGAAATATTATGATTTATTTTATCCTGTTTAATAAATTTACATAATCACAGACACTTTCATTGACTAGAAAGTGTCACTTTATCCCAACCTCTGGAAAGTTGGAAATTCAGGCATGGTAGATATGATCATGTCACTCTCTGAGTTTAAACTCTTCAAAGGCTCTCAACTAATAAAGTCCAGACTTTCCAACATGATATACATAGCACTTCATGATTTTGCCATTACTTGCCCATCTCGCCTCATCTAACTTTTGACATCCAAATTTAGCACACACCGACCCCTACTACAAATGCACATACACATATACCACTATTTTCACTGAAAACATAAAAATCTCCAGAAAAGTCATTTCTCTCTCATGCTGCTGTGTCTTACCCACTCTATTCACACTGCCCAAAACACTCTTCTACCCATCTTTCCAACTGTTAGTACTATTTTAAAAGTGAGAAATTAAGAAGAAACCAAATGCTTATCAATAGAAGAATGTATAAACAAAGTATTATTTATTGATAGCTAGGAATATTATGCAGACAGCCCTCAAACTGATGAAAAGAACAAATTCGGCTGGGCGCGGTGGCTCACGCCTGTAATCCTAGCACTTTGGGAAGCCGAGGTGGGCGGATCATGAGGTCAGGAGATCGAGACCATCCTGGCTAACACGGTGAAACCCCATCAAAATACAAAAAATTAGCCAGGCATGGTGGCGGGCACCTGTAGTCCCAGCTACTCGGGAGGCTGAGGCAGGAGAATGGCCTGAACCTGGGAGGCAGAGCTTGCAGTGAGCCGAGATCGCACCACTGCACCCACCTTGGGCGACAGAGCGAGACTCCATCTCAAAAAAAAAAAAAAAGTAAAGAACAAATTCATTTATTTAACAAATATTTATTGAGGACATTTTATGTGCTGTTCTAGATTTTACAGGTTAGTGAACAAAATAAACAAAAATTTTATCCCCAAGAATGAGGTATAGTTTGTACTGTTTTTTGAAAAAAAAGAAAGTTGCATAGCACATTTGTATTTTTAAAAATATAATTTTTTAAAACTAAAATATGCATAGGAATGTGTTGCATAAACAACAAGTATCAACAGTGATTGTCTGTGGGCTGTGCAATAAGGCCAGCAGAGACAAAGGAATGAGAAAATTTTATTTATTCTTTATATACTTCTATATTGATATTGTATAATAGTCTACATTAATAAATACTAATTTACAATTTTTGAAATTATTAAGAAGAAAATATTTCTTGCTCAAGGCTAACTAATTAAGTTATTTCTTCCCAACATAAAAGGATTATTTCTACTAAAGGTCACTTAAAGAAAGTTGAGATAGAATTTGAAGTAAGAAGATATTTAAAGAAATTAATTTCCTTCTATCTGATGTTTTGAATAATTGTGTAGACTTTTTAAAAATAAATAAACATTTAATTCTATGGGAAGAGAGTGCCTATTTCCTTCATCAGTATTACATACACATCTGTCATTTGAATTTCATACCTTCAACTCTCATGTACTCCAAAAAGCATTTTGGACACTATCAGGGTATGAATATAATATAGCCATACACCTAAATTGTATGCATAAAACTACTTTTCTAATAATACTATAATCTTTTCTGTCTTTTTCACTGTATTGGTATTTTCTCTAATGGTGCAAAAGCAATGGTGAGTGAAATTCCTGGCGCTTTCGCACAAATTAAGGCAGTGGCACTCAACTGTACTAGTCTTTGAAATCAGAGTAGACTGCTTTTTTAAAAAATAGAACAGCATTTTTACTTGAAAAAATGACTGACAGACAAAGAGTGGTTATTTAGATTTGAATTTTTAACAGGTATTTTCCCAAAAATGAAACAAAGTGAGCTTTTCACTTGAAGGAAAACAACTAACTGTATTTGTTTGTCAGTGATAGAATCTGAGCCTCCAAATTAGCAAATATGGTATTAATGGATGTGATGTTTTTACATTGCATTATGAAATATGTCAACATTTGGAAGTTCTATATAACTCAGAGATATAACATCTTCCAAATGACCAATACAAAATCTTACAAAAGCATGCAATGGTAAAAGATCCATTCAAATTGTAAGTCAGATCAATGGATTTTAATATCATGTAATAAAATATGAAGATGCTTTATATTTCAGATTCCACATCATCATTCTACTTGTAAATTTTGATGTAGTATTGAAGAATATCCACAAATATCTCAATAAGCTATTAAAATATTTCATTTTCTAAATACATATATGTGTGGGCTTCATACACTTCAACCAAAACAACATATTGTGACAGACTGAATGCAGAAGCATACATGGGAATTCATCTCCTCTTAAGCCTGAAATACAAAAAATTTATGAAATTGTAACATAATGCCACTCTTCTCACAAAATTGTTTTTGTAAAAGTATGTTGTTTTGGCAATAAGTTTATTGTTATTTTAAACAAATTAGTATTTTAAATTTTTTCTCAGTTTTAATTTCTAATACTAGAATATAAGTGGACAAAAGCTATAAAAATGAAAGCTTTTCGGGGGTCTTCATTAGCTTTTAAGACTTAAAAACAACCTAAAGGTATGAGAACTGCTGTGTACTATGTAAGTGATTCTGGGTTACTAGTCTGACTAAGCTCTATGCAAACTGAGTTAACTGGTTCCCCAATTCTAAGACATACTAGACACTCAAATATGTGTGAAATGTAAATGATCCTCAAAAATATTTCTGGGCCCGGCAGGGTGGCTCACACCGGTAATCCCAGCACTTTGGGAGGCCGAAGTGGGAGGATCACTTGAGTGCAGGAGTTGGAGACTAGCCTGGATAACATGGCAAAACCCCGTCTCTACTAAAATACACAAATTAGCTGGGCGTGGTGGTGAGTGCCTGTCCCCAGCTACTCAGGAGGCCAAGACACAAGAATCGTTTCAGCCTGGAAGGCGGAGATGGTAGTGAGCTAAGCTCGTACCACAGCACTCCAACCTGGGTGACAGCATGAGACTCTGTCTCAAAAAAAAGAAAAAATTATATATATTTTTTTTTCTGGAAAAATAAATACATTTTTGAATAAATGAAAAATGTGAGTTTTAAATCAGAACTGAGGTGGAAAACTAGCTCCAATACTTACTAGGCTTTTCAGTTTGGGACAAATTATTATTGCTTTTTCTGAGCCTTAGTTTCTCCATATATAAAAATAAGATTTATAGTATCTATTCAACAGAATTGCTATAAATGTGTTTTCAATATTGTTAATAAGACAGTATGTGGAGAAAGTGAAACCCACATACACTACTGGTTGGAATGTAAAATGGTATAGCTGCTTTGGAATCAGTCTATCAGTTCCTCCAAAGGTTAAACAGAGTTACTAGATGACCCAGCAATTCCATCTCTAGGTATTTATACCCAAAAGGAATAAAAACATATCCACACAAAATTTTATACACAAATGTTCATAGCAGCACTATTCATAATAGCAAAAAAAGAGAAACAACCCATGTTCATCAACTGATGAATGGTGAATAAAATGTGGCATATAGCCATAGAGTGTAATATCATGTGGCAATAAAAAGGAACGAGGTACTGATACATGCTACAACATGGATGAGCCTGGAAAACATTGTGCTAAGTTAAAGAAGCCAGTCACAAAAGACCACATATATAATTCCATTCATATGAAATGTCCAGAATAGGCAAATCTACAGAGATAGAAAGTAGATTAGTGGTTGTTTAGGGGTGGGGAGTTGTGACGAAATGGGAAGTGACTGCTAAAAGGTAAGAAATTTCTCTGAGGGTGATGTACATATTCTAAAATTGATGGTGGCAGATGAATCTTGTGGTCTTGCAGTATAAACTAACTAGAATTCCCAATCAGGAGCAGTTCCATATAGGTGGAGAGAAGTCAGGATACGAAGACAGAATAAAAGCAACTACTCCAAACAGCCTTCTCTCACACTCACAGGCTTCTTAGGCATCTCTCGCACTCACTACATTTAACCAATCGTTCAATAAATATAATTTACCTGGGTCAGGCAGTGAACCGACACATACTGTTTTCATGCAACTTACTTTCTAGTGGAGGAACTCAGACAATAAATACAAGAAATGACCAATTAAAGGGATAGTAAGAGATAGTAAACGCTGTAGAAGAAAACAGCTGAGTAGGTGGAAGAGGTTCTAATTTTAAGCAAGATAGTCAAGGTAGTTCTCCCAAAGAAGATGACTTTTCAGCAAGAATTTGAAAGAGCTTAAAACATGATCCGTGGGAATACTTAGGAGTAGAGAATTCTAAGAATAAAAAACAGATGCAAAAGTCCTAATGTGGTGCCTCTTTGGGAAGAATCAGTAGGTAAACACATAAAAATAAAAAAATTTAAAAAGCAAAGGGGAGATTAATAGAAGATGAAATTAAAGAGGTAAAAGGGAACCAACCATATGTATCTTGATAGGATGTTTAGGGCCATCATAAGCACTCTGGCCTTTACTTATATTAATATGAGGATACATTAGAGGGTTTTTGAGCAATGGAGTAATGTGACTTAACTTTTTAAAAGGTTAGTCTGGCTTCTGTGTGGAAAACAGACTGTGTGGAGACAAAGGAGAAAGCAGGGATTTAAGCTAGGAGGCTTTTACAATAATCCAAGCAAGAGAGATTAATGGCCTGGACCAAGGTGATAGCAATGGCAAATTTAAGCTGGATAATTTGAGGAGAGTTAAATTAAAAAAAAAAACTATTTACAAAAATATGGGGCAAGGTTTAAGGAAAACAAAAAGGGATAGTGCTGTATCCAGGAGACAGTTACAGGATGAAGCTGTCATTATACCCAGGCTTCTAGGGTAAGGTGAGAGAATGGTTCCTGGAATCTGGAGAATGTAGTTGTATGAAGAGGGTCATGAAAGGTTACAACCAGTCTATAGCAATCTGGCAAGAAAAGAGCTAAGACCAGGGAGAAGACACTGATGCCACTCTTCTCCTGTTCTCCACAGTGTCTCACATTGGTTGAACCCAACTGGAAGTCAAAGAGAAAGGGAAATCACTAACATGGTGCATAAAAGTTGAACTCCCAGAGCACAGAGCAAGTTTAGAAGGATTAAGAGAGAAGCAAATGGAAAATATGTACCACAGTGAAAAATCAAAGTTGATTTCCAGGTTTTTTACCTGAACACCTAGCACAGAGTTGCCGTTACTGAGATGAGAAAGATTTTAGGTGTGGTAGATTTTGGAAAGAAAATCAGGAGTTCTCTTTTAGACATATTAAAAGTTTACAGTTTTCAGGTAGAAATGTACAGTAGAAAATAAAAAAAGAACCTCCTCCAGTTGACTGAAGGCTTTGGTACCCTCACCCATCCTGTGACAAGAAGTCAGAAAAAGGCCAACAGATACACTGTAAACAGATATGAGGCCTAGGCAAGTTAGAAAACTTCTCTTGGTGAAGCAGAGTGGCATGGATAGTCTGAGAAAAGCTGTTAGCTCTAATACCAGAAGATGATGACAAATCACATTTATCCAGCAGTCTCCTGTGCCTCTGAGGCAGAGCTTGCTTTTATTTTTTTAACATTTAATCCACTAAATTTAGTGTTTATCAATTCAATGAATATTTTTATACTATTACATACATATGAGTTTATAAGAAAATATCTATGGTATTATTTTTACATGTTTTCAGTTTATATAAATTTTATCATATACTAGATATATAATTTTATGTCTTTCATTTAATATTATGTTTTTAAATTCACACGTTGATATGCATTGCTATTGTATATTTGACTGCTTCTTTATTTTGACTGCTATTATAAACAATGCTATAATGAACATTCTTGTATATGTGCAAGAGTTTCTTTAGGATATAAATATATAACTATAAAAGTTGGATTGTTAATGCATAGAGTATGTGCATCTTCAACTTTGCTAGATATAGCTAAACTTTTCTCAAAGCAGATATATAAACTTAGACCCTCACAAGTAGTTTATGAGAATCTCAGCTCCTCACACTTAATTTTTTTCCAATCCGATGGATGCAAAATGGCGTCTTATTTTTTCTTTAATTTGCATTTCCCTATTCTTCAGACATCCTCTTCTGCAAATTGCCTATTTAATTTTGAGCAAGTTTGAATCTCACAAGCTATGTCTATCACATGGATTTTGGTTCCATGATGTTAAAGGCCAGGTCTGTCTGTTCAAGTATCTTCATGCCAAAGCCAAAAAGCAGTACTCTGAACAAAGAGAATTTTGAGTTTTCCTTGCAGAAGCCACAAAACCTAACAGTGGTGACTCTCAGGAGACCTTGAGGTCATCTTTGTTAAAATCTCCCTCTCATCTTAATCCTGAACTTTTGTACCTTTGGTTAATTTGATTCCTGGACCTCAAATCTAGGATAAATGACTCTAGGGTGGCACATGGAGCTGGATACTAGGAAGGTGTCAGAGTGCTAAAAGTGTCTCAATGTTATGCCCAGAAAGCTTAGCTGGCATGGGTTTAGTATATCAGGGAAAATACTAGATACAAAATTATAAATGCAAATAGTTCTCTCTTTTTCTCTTAGAGTTTTATTTACTTTGAAAGGATAAATCTAATATTTTTCTTCTTCTTTAGTATTTTCCTTAGCATGTCTAAATCTCTCTGTCTGCCGCACCCTGTCTTTCCCTGTATATGTTTTTGCATCTCTCTGACACCTAGTTAAACACTCAAAATCTGTATTAAACACAATGAAGAATGCATACATAAAAACATGAGTATTAAATACAATGAAAAATACCACTCAAAACAGGAAGCTGCCTTGCTGACAGTTTGATGAAGGAAAGATAGAAGGATCAGCTTTCCCATTAGCCATCAGTGGAGATGAGAAAATTTCAAGTAACCCACAAAAGCTGATATGCTCCACCAAGCACACAGTATACATGTGAGAAAAATAGATTTTAATATAATTTCAGCATTTCTGTATATAAGTTATGATCCATTCCCACAGGATTTTAATACATCTTCCTCAGTGAAGAAAAAAGTCTGTATTTCTTGCAACAATATACAAATAAGTAAAAAAAAATTATGAACACCAATTTCAAAACTAACTTCATTTAATAGAATTCTTCCATCAAAATCTTGTTTTCAGAAAGCTCACTAAATTTGACATAATATTATTTCTTGGCTTCTTTAAAGTATGGTATCATAGAAACGTCTTGTTATATATACCTGTAGATTCTACATTTTGATAGCATTAGAACTCCCCAAAAGACTTAGCCTTTTATGGCTATTATAATATAGAAGAACACTGTCCAATAGAGCTTTCTTATGATAATGGAAATGTTCTACATCTATGCTGCCTAATATGATAGCCATAACAAGGTATGTTAAGTAAGCCTTAAAATGCAGCCAATGTTACTGAGGAACTGATGTTAATTTTAGTTAATTTGATTTGAATTGATTAAGTAGCCACATGTGGCTAATAGCTTCAGTATTGGGCAACACAGGTTTAGAATAGTCTAGAAAATTTTTCCTTCTATCTAGCCATAAACATTAGTCTATAACTATACTAAGCAGGTAACTAGGACAGGACAATCTCACCCTAGAATCAAAGGTCACAACACTCTCAAGTACTATTTGTAGTGACCTATTTCTCTTCTTCTGTCAGTGCTGAATTACTGGGTACTTACTACCTAGTCCTTCTGCATCTTATACGCTGACTCATTTTTAACAGAGCTTACTTTTTGACACTTGTTATCTAATGCACAGGTGCTTGGGTAACTGCCTTTATGTTCTTCATTCTCCTAACTTACATTCTTGGACCTCTCTGATCCCTTAGAGTGACTCAACTGCTAAAATAACCATTACCCGCTGCTCCTATACTGTCAGTGTTGATTGTCTAAACTCTATTTCTCTATAAGGAGATGCCATATTCACATCCCCATTCATGACTTTAGCCATACCTAAAGTATCTGTCTAACATATGGTTTTAAGTATACTCATGGGTCTGATTTCTCTTGGCTTCCCCCTCAAGCACTGGAACCAATTTTTTTTTTTTTTTTTTTTTGAGACGGAGTTTCGCTCTTTTGCCCAAGCTGGAGTGAAGTGGCACCATCTCGGCTCACTGCAACCTCCGCCCCCTGGGTTCAAGCAATTCTCCTGCCTCAGCCTCCTGAGTAGCCGGGATGACAGGCACACACCACCACACCCAGCTAATTTTTGTATTTTTAGTAGATACGGGGTTTTACCATGTTGATCCGGCTGGCCTCGAACTCCTGATCTCATGATCAGCTGACCTCGGCCTCCCAAAGTGCTGGGATTACAGGCGTGAGCCATCGCGCCCAGCCTAGAACTTTTTAAGTAGAACCTGTTTAAGATAATTTGATGACTTAATCCTCAAAATAATAATGTCCTCTATATATTCCCAAATTCAAAACACTTGTCATTTCATGAGTACTAGCTATTTCATCATCATGATGAGCAAAAGAGAACAAAGCTGACTCCCTAAAATATCTTCAGGAATACCGGAAAATTATGGTACGAATAGAAAGATGTCAAGACAATCAAGCAATTAATAGATTTCAGGGTGAGATAAAGGCTATGGGAATAGTAGTAAGGAGTCATTATAAGAGAGATGACAATCTTCCTTTAACTATTTCTCAAAGTTTTAATTTAATAATTAACCACACCACAATTTGTTATTAAAGTTCTATTCATGATTCATAAGTTTTTGCAGTAAACACAGAAATACATATGCCACTATGCTAACAATGTAAGAATCCCAGAAGTCTAGCCAGCATCCAGTTTCCAAAGCTTATATTCTATAATTACTCTCATGACTTATCTAGGCACCCTGTCAACTGTCTAATAGCCAGAGATGATTCACTGTTGCGTTGTAGATCACATTATCCTAGAAAGCCAGAATAATATGAAATAATCCTTGACAGCAAATTAGAAAAGCCATGCTATACTAAAGGAGAAGATCCTCAAACCTGAAAAATTTAAATTAAAAGGGAAAATTTACAGGGGAAATTTGAAAAGAAAAATTATAGGCTTTTTCTGTAATTCTAGTCCCACAATTCTCAAAAAAAGAAGTAAATTTCACAGTTAAGAATATGACATTCTCATATAGAGGATGATCACTGTTTTTGTTGTTTGATTTTGGTTTTGTTTTTCTGTTTGTTTAGGTCAAAGAGTAGTATGAAAGATTTGAAAAGTGCACGAGGAAATGTGTTCCAATAATGTCTAGAGTAGATGTTAGTATGCCTTGGTGACAAGGGCAGGAGCTTTAGCATCATATAGTCCTCAATTCAAATCCTGGTTTAGCCACTATTTTGCTGTCTTGAACAAAATTATGTCATTGTTCTGAGCCTCTGTTCACTCTTTTGGAAATGGAGGACAATGATGCCCATCTCATGGCACTGGTTTGAGGATTAAGTGAGATAAAATACACAAAATCACTGTGATACAAAGTATTTGCCCAAAAAATGTTAGTCCTTGTTTTTGTCAGCGCTTTCTCTCTCACTTCTTGGTAGGACTTTAAAAATAGGAATTTCTCATGTCTGAATGGTAGAAAATATGAAATTACATAAACCCCACATAACCTAACACAATGATGGGCAAATAATAAGCACTTTAAAAAGATTTGTGGAGTGACTGAGATTCTACAAATGCATTCCTTCTCGAAAAGAAGGATGGATGAGATGAATTCTCAAGATCCCTTCCTGGTTCTGAGATTAATGTTCCAACCAAAAAGCTTTTCTTAGTGTCAACCACAATAAGAATCAGTTCATCAGCAGAGAGGAAAGGGCATTTTTTGTGGTCCTACTTCCAGTTTTCTTTATGAAATATAATACAGAGAGTCTCTTCAGAACCCTTCCTGCACTCTTAAGCAAATTCTTCTTTTCAGACTAAAAAAAAAAAAAAATCATAACTCTTCCCTCTAGTATTTCATGTCATCTCATTCAATCATCACTTCTTATTCATTTTTTCTTCATTATTAATTCTAATTCCATCACAAATGAGTCTTTGTAAATACTCAAAAAATGGCCCAGGTACAGAGAGCCATGTCAGATAGTGGTGATTCCCCTCTTCTTCTTCCTAATATCAAAACTGAATAGTACACAGAAAGAGACTTGGGAAAGTAACAAGTATTCCAGTAAAATGCTTCTCAACATCCATCTGGGAGGGCAACAGTAAACCATGATAGCCATGGCTGAGAAATTCACAGTCAACTGTGAGGGTTAGAGAACAGCCATCATGCTTTGAGGCAAATGCCTACTGGCACAAAACTATGATTGGAAAAACAAAAGAGCTCCTTTCAGTAACCGGTTAACAAGAAATCCAGAATGCTCAATGGATGTGAAAGCCTGTATTTAAGCAAAACCACAGCATGGTCGTGCCCATTTCATTTTCTTTAGCTTTCTTAATAAACTTCTATTTATGCTCCCTTGATGTTACGGACATAAACTTCAGGGTCTCAGTAGGTTTTCCCACATATTAGACTAGAAAAATTTCTAGCCCTATACACTTACGTAAAGCACTCTTTGTATACTTTACTGTCTCTTGACATCCTGCAACCTGAGCACAACAGCTACGTGTTTGAACAGTAGAGGTGGTTTTACTAACTTGAGTAAAAATGTGTTCCTGGGTCCAGATAAAACTAAAGTTTCTTTATAAAGAGTTATATAAGTTAGAAATTGCTGTCGATGAATATCAAAGTAGTAAAAACCTACCTATTTATAATATGGTCAGAGGTATATCTCAATGTACTTCTAAAATAAAAAATAAAGTAAAATCTTCATTTAAAAAGGATGATTATGAGCCAATATTAAAAATGTCTTAACAGTCATAAAGATGTACAGAAGATTTCTTTTACAATCACACTCCTATAAGTAACCATATAGTTTCTAGCCAACTTTAAAATCAGACTGTTTCCAATAGAAGGCTAACATTTTATTTCTAATAATCTCTACTTCTGAGTCTATTTGAAGAGTATAGTCAAAGACAGGAGCCATGTGCATATGTACAGTTTCAAGTCGATCTATACTCCTGCCCTAATTCTTGTGGCTTGAACCCATTCCAGATGCTCTGCCTTACTCTGTGGTTTGTATTTGAGGTCCCCTCTCCTGATTCATTGCATTCCCATGATTGACAAACAGATTCAGCTATGAAAATAAACAGTTACCTGCCTGTAATTGGTTTATAACAGCTGCACTGCTGTAGCACTTCTAAAACATGGTGAAGTCGCCTCCTAGATAAGTTTCCTGTTCACTTCAGTAGGGGGTTAGCGGGTGTTGATTTTATGTTTGCTTCTTACCATGAAGAATTTCTTATTGTTCATCAATATATTCAGTACATATGATCTATATACATTTTATGGACCAAAATACATTATTTTTATTATTTTTAACCCCCGCAAATTAAATTTAAATAAGCACAGACTGGATTTTAATTTTCTAAACTGATGTGCCTTTTTAAATTGAATACAGAATAGTCTTCAAATGGAAAGGGCCACTTTTTTTTACTGAATTAATGTGAAACATACTACCACTTTATTGCTAGATTAAAATGTTAGACTAGAAGAAATAACCTAGTAGTTTGTCTCATAATATCAATTGAATTATATGAAATGCATCAAACTAGTTACAATACAAGCTACTACTTACATACTACAAACAATTGCAACTCTCTCTGCACATCAGAATAAGAGATTAGAACTTAACATTTTAAAATTCCTGTGGAAATCAAATGTATTTTAAGTATCAGCTCTGATTATTTAATCAGACAACTTGCATTTTGCCCTGGCTAATTTTGAAGGCTGATAATATTTTACTCATAAAAATAATTGTGCACCTGTTGTGATGGAAGCCTAGTTAAACAAATGTTAATAGGAATGTAACTCTTTGCTTTAAGCATAAGAACACAAGTCTCTCATTACTATTATATGAAAAAACATATTTTAAAGCTATGAAAAATATCTCATTTTAAATCTCCCCTCTTTCATGGAGAGATATTTAAGAATATTATTAAAACATGTATAAAAATAGTCGCACATTAACTTGAAAGAAAACTAACACTGGTGATGTCGACCGAACAAAATGGATGTGGAGTTCCTCCTTTCATTTAATACTTGGGTTTTTCTACCTTACTCTATTCCCTGGCCAAACCATTTTCATGATATTGAATCATTTCCGTGAAACATGTACTTTTCTTACCAGTTCATGATCAAAGGAGAAAATAAAAAGTGGGTTTACAAAAGCTGTACCCCTCTTGCACTCTTCTTATTTTCAGAACCTTTCAGCATTAGGGATCTTTTTCAGTACCCAAATTCTCTGAGCTTTAAAAACGTGCTAGGCACTCATGGAAGAGAGAGTCTTAGACCTTTACTCGGTTATTTCTATCATTTTGTATAGACTTTCTAAGAGCTACCAACTTGTGTCTCCTCAGTCCATTTCCAGGTATAATCAAATCCTAAGTGCTGAAAAGAGGCTTGAGGAAAAATAATTTGTCTGAAGTTAAATTAGCTAAATTTTGAGCTCAGTTGTATTCATCTCTTATTGACTTCCATAAGGAAGTTGCCTTGCAATTGGCTCAGCGTTTTTAAGGTTATATTTAAAAGGTAATTTTATTTAAAATCACCTAAATTTTGGAACCCTATCCTTTACTATGTCAGGCCCATTCTAATTTTATCTTGGTTAGTGCAATAGAAGTTTACTAGCAGAGTACACGAATGAGTGCATTTTTTAAATGACCTAAATTCTCTGTAGTTTTCTTTTTCAGTATTTTAATGCAGACATTTGGATTGAAAGGGAATCACAAGTAAACGGAATAATTGCTCAAATTTCCTCAGTGCATTAAATATGCACTCAGTAGTAATTACTAACAGTAGCAACACATTTAAAAATGTAGAGAATAATGTACAATTTATGCTTATTTCAAGGCCCTTATTCATAAAAATACCATTTGGATGAAAATACACATATTTTATTAAGTGGTTAGCCCAGTAATTTTTTAAAATTCAGACAAATGACCTAAATACTAAGTATGTAGGAGGTCTAGTACTATGGGCCAGTTCCTAATGCGACATAGCTATCCCTTGAGACTTTGGTTAAGAACAGACTCTAAACTAAAGATATACCCAGAGCACATCCTAGTACCTAGGGTGCTAGGCACAGAGCATTCCTGGGCCTATAAATAGCATGGAGATGGAGATTAATTATGATCCCATGCATTTTTCTTTCAAAAACCAGCTATGTATAAATATTATCACAAATGTCCATTTTAAAACTATATGTTTATTCAAACATAAAAGGCTAAAGTGAAATAAAGCAAATTAATAATAGTAAAATCTTTTAAAATGTTTTTCATAATTTTGTGTTCACTAATTCACATTATAAAAATCTCATTGTAACTTTTAAAATAAATGTGTATATATATTAAAATCTCACTATCACAGTTACACTAAAAATATCCATATTAACTGTGTGTTCAGAAATATTACATGTGAATAACCCATTTTAACAGGAAGCCCTCTAAGTTTTAGCTACCACTATAATAAAATACCAGAAGCAAAATTATATAGAAAACAACATTTTAGGTAAAATAATTTGGCCTGTACTTAAACCAGATGATTTAATAATACTGCAAGGGGTTGAGAGGCATATAATAGCTAAACTACCTGTTACAAGACGGGAATGAAGCTGAATAGGCTAGTATTTACCAGGCCTAGATTATTCAAAAATGTTTTAATTATCAATAAATTGAATATCATTTTTGGTTGAGCAAACGTTGGTGACATGAACTACGCTGTAAACTTGACATTTATGATTATACCAATTTCTGGGGCTTCCTTGCAATATTATACATGTTTAATCGTTTCCCATGAGATAATTTGTGATACAAGAGGTAATGACAGTTCCAGGTCCCTATTGGTGGCACATATCCAAATTCTCTTGTTCCTATTCCTACTGGAAAACTATTTACCAAGAATCTATCTTGTCAGTCACTTTACAACTACCTGTCTAATCTTCACATTAATCCTGAAATGCATGGTTGTTGTTGTTGTTGTTTTTTAACCACTTTTCAGGTTAGCAAGTTGAGAGTAAAATAGGTTAAATAAACAGATCAATTTATACCTATCATGAATCAAACCCACATGTGATCAACTCCACAGTTCATGTTTATTATGTCACAGGCGCAGATCCAGGGGAAGAAAGCAACTAATTTCTTTAAGCCATTAACTTCATTCAGAGTTTCATAGAATCTCTGAAGTCTTAAATGTGACTAAGTTGCTTTGTAGTTATTACTGAGTAGTTAACTTATTGTCAAGGTAATTATGTGCTAATCTAAGGTTCTAGTCCAGCAGTTCTCAAAATGTGGTTCTTAGATCCCTGGGAATCCCAGAGAACTATTCAAGGTGTCCCTGAAATAATTTTCATAGTTTTTATAGTAATGCTAAGACATTATTTGCATGTTACAGTGATGACATTTGCATTGATTATGCAAATAAAATAGTGAGTAAAACCACTGGTTTCTTAGCATGAATCAAAGGAACCAAACTTTGTAGTCATTGTATTCTTCACCATCATACACTTGTAATAAAACAAGTAAATAAACAAAAAAACTAATGTCACTTAAGAATGTCCTTGATGAAACCAATAAAAATTATTAATTTTATTAAATGGTGACTTTTAAGTACATATACTTTTAATAGTCTATGTGATGAAATGAGAAGCACTTCTCTTACACATATAAGTATAACAGTTGTTTCAAGGAAAACCACCACTTGTGCTTTTATTGGCATTGGAAGCTGAACTTTATCAAAGCTATTTGTATACAGCAACACTTTCATTTGAAATAACAACTAAGAAAATATTATTATTCAGACCTCAATATTTGGCAAGTGAGGCTTGTCACTTCAAGAAAAGTAAAAGTAATTGACAGTATTGGTTAAAATAATTCATTCAAGGGAAAATGACAGTTTTGGAAAACTTCTATCTGCCATCAAGAGCATGACAGTTTCCAAATACTTTTAAAGACTTTTCTGATGAGATTGGTGGTGATATTAATGAATGCAATTTTCTGATATTACATAATGAAATGTGTCAACATAAGGAAAAGAGTTATACACAATGTTACAAAATCATGCATGGAGTAAAAGATTCATTCAAAGTTAAGGTTAAACCAATAGATTTTAATATAAAAGTATGAAAAGTCCATTGATAGGGTTTCAGATCCTCTACTGGACCTAACTTTTAAGAAACTGCCACTTGCCAAATTTGGTGAAGTATCAAAGAAGAATATTCACAATAGCACGAAAAGGTTGTAAAATACTCCTCTCTTTAACTCCATATCAAAATGAGGTCAGATTGCCTTCATACACTTCAATCAAAAATTTATCAAAGCCGACTAAATGCAGAAACAGATACGAGTCCAACATCTATTAACCCATACATTAAAGAGATCTGAAAAATGTAAACCAATGCCACTCTTCTCACTAATTTGTTTTTGTTTAGCTATTTGGTTACAGCTATTTTTCATAAAAATTTGTTTCATGTTACTATGCAGTGGTACCATGATAGCTCACTGTAGCCCTGAACCCCTGGGCTAAAACGATCTGCCTGCCTCAGCTTCTCCAGTAGCTAAGACTACAGGCACATGTCACCACACCCAGCTACTTTTTTTAATTTTTTGTAGAGATGGGGTCTTGCTATATTGCCCAGGCTGGTCTTGAACTCCTATCTGCAAGCATTCCTCTTGCTTTGGCTTCCCAAAGTGCTGGGATTACAGGTCTGAGCCACTGCAGTTGGCCCTACGTACAAGGTTTAATATCATAACTTCTAAATGAATTAGTAAGTACTTTTAAATTTTCTCGTTTAATTTCTACAGAATAGATACAAACAAACACAAACCAAGCTTTGTGGGGTCCTCAATAAAAATGTAAGAGTGCAAATGTCTCCTGTCAAAAATTTGAGCACTTCATTTCTAGTCATTCTATTAAATATTTTCAGTTGCAAGTACTAAAATATGATGTGTTGTTGCCTACTGTAGCATTTATTGATTCCCTACTTCATGCCACCCTATAAAGTACATATTTTCTCTCTAACACTCTCAATAAAATTCAGAAGCTAAGTAGGTAGTACCATCCATTTTCTTTTGTACAAATAAGAAAACTAATCCCTTTCACCTTTATTATTCAGTCTTTTTTAAAATAATATTTTTTATTCAAAAAGCAATGCATAACGCATCGTTTTAAAAAGTCCTACAGTACGAATTATGCAGCACAAAATTTAAAAATCAGCCCCACCCTAAACCATTCATTTCCTACTGCACAGTCAACGTCTGTTAACAGTTTACTAAATATCCTTCCAGTAATTTTCTAGGTATATATAATTTACTACACAAATTGATGCACAGAATACTCTCCTCAGTTTTTCTCTGACATTTTTAATAGTTCCAGAGATGTTAATCATCATTAAACCAACCAATCATTCAGGTAATACAGAGATGCTGGGCTAAAAGTCTCTAAATCAGTGACCCCATTTCTCCCACCACAGTGCAGAGTAAGTGAGAATTAAGTTTATGTCCTCGGAGGCATTTTCATTTAACACTCAACTTGTCTCATTTCTTTATCGAGATAAGAAAATGCTACAAAAATGGGACTAAATTTACCACCCCAAAATGTTATGAAATCAGCATTCTAAGTTATAGAAGTTCTTTTGATTTACCTAAACACATTTCACTCTCAGATTCATATTATTCTGATGTTACCCTGTCATCTCTCATTCCACTATGAGTCATAATCCAATCTATAGGTGTGTATTAATGTATGGATGTATAGATGTAGATATAGATGTTAATGGCTGTCTTCAGTTCTGGGTTTGTACATTAATACTGAAACAAAAATTGTTTGTATTCAAAGAATACTAGCTACTTTAATAGAGAAAGGTTCCCCCTCAGCCTAAATCTAACACACATCATTTAAGCTCCAGTATGTTTTCACTAATTCCACACAGGGCGATTACAGATGTCCTGCTAGCCACCATTTCCTGGTAAGCAATCTGAATGGCTTCCAGGAAATTGCTAATGACCTTCATTTTACTTAAAATCTAGGCTTCAATTAGTAATAGTTTTTCTTCTCCATGTTAGCTATGTTTATTTTCATCATAGCAATTGGAAGAAAAAAGTAAAATGTCTTGTATTTGTATTATATCAAAACATATCCTTTTTTGTTTCAATATGTCACCAAATAGACTAATACATATTTAATATAATCATAATTGTGTAAGAATACTTTGGATCATTTTACTTTAAACCAATTTTGCCTCCTTTCCCTACTCTAGGCTGTAGCTATTCCTAAAATTAGCCTTTTAAAAACAAAATCAATAGAAATATTTTATAATTGGTGACTATTTTCACATATAAGAACATTTTATAATTGAAATTTTTGAAACCAGGTATGATTTTTAGTTTTACACTTTTAATTATAATAATTAACTACAAACAATAAGTTTCAGATTCTTTTTCAGTGAATATAAAATATGATTATGTGGTCAATGTAACAATAACAAAGAACAATTTTAGCCAGTATTATATTTATAATCAGAACCTGTTATTAAACTTCAGTGTTTTCTTTTACATAAACATTGATTTCACTAATTAGATTCAACTGATCTTTTCCCCAACATATTGATTTCTTTTAATCCCAACAGTTAACAATGATTCTAATGTATCATAATACTTTAGACCTTAATCATATGGTAGGAATTCTTTCCAGTAGCTTTTGTTTGAGTTTTAATTAAGAAGACCTTGTGTCTCTAACCCCAAGTGGGGGGAGGTTTTAATTGCTTTTATGTATATCACACAGACTTCAAAAGAAGTAAAAGATGTTGATAACAGAGAGTACAAAGGAGAGCTTTGAAATGTCTACATTCATGCAAAGTGGTATAATTAAAAAAAACTATGGGTGTTGCTGTATAATGTATATACATATTTATAAAACTAGCTGCTGTATGCATTTGTTGTTAGCAAAAAGAGTCCATGGGTTCTGCAATAATTACTCACTATTGATAACAAAACAATCAAGAGACTATGTAAAATGGACTAAACATGCTATTTTGGGGGAATATTAAGTTTCCACCTTAGTAATTTACTATATGATTTAGAGCAGTGACTTTTCTCTTCTGGATATTGAGATCCTTATATGAAAAGTAAGAAGTTGGATTACACAAAACACAAAGCACCTCCAGCTCTAACTTTTGGAGATTCTATGATTCTAGATATTACTCTGAAGTTCTACAATTACACAGACATACACAGAAAATACTGGCAAACATTATTTCATTAAAACTGGAAAAGGAAAAACATCTGTTGTGACAATCTTTTTTACAAGTCAGTCTCTAGATCAATATAGCATTTGTTTAATTATTATAGAAATAACAATTTATATTTTTAAAAATCTATAAAATCTGAACATTGATAGTTACTGTTTTGATACTTTTTTCTAAAGAGACAGCAAAAATCCCTAGGTATGTGAACTTTGCTATTAAAAATTTTATCAGAGTTGAAAAGTGGCAGATGATTAATCTCTAAGCATTTCTAGTTTTTTTTAAGTTCCACCAGATATAACAATTGCTGTAAATTTGTAAGTAGAAATTCAATAAAAATTCATTCATAAGCAAATATGCAAAGTTTACAGCCATAGCTCTTGTAAAACCACTCTAGTCCTTCTGTGATTGCCTAAAACAGAAAAAAGTAGTAACTATGAATTGCTATTCAAAAAAAAAAAAAAAACAGAGTATTCTGTAGAAAAGGCAATGCATGGAATAAGCAATCAAAGTACTTACATATACTTTAGGGCCTTATGATAGAAATGAACAAACTAGGAGAGAGAACTGGATTTTAAGATAGTAACCTGTGTTGCAGAACACTAATTCTATGGGAATGCTGTTAGATCCATCCTGACCCTTTGGTGATAACAGCACTGCTTAAGTTACTTCAAGAATAACCTACACTATTTGATCTTCAAAGATCTATCATGCAGTGAAAAAAACCATGACTTTTGTGTTTCTGTGCACTCCTCCGAAGATTTATGCTTGCAATCAAAACTAAAAATGAAACCAGGCCCTCAGTGGCACTTAGTAGCAGTGTTGTAATAAATTTGCATTTTAATTCAGTATTTGCACCAAACCCAACCATAATATGCTTGTACTATTTGATGTATGCAGTTCCTAATTTTACTTCTTTTAGTAAAACCCTAATAAAGTAACAGGGAGTAATGCTTCCAGTCTTTAACAGTGAACTATAATGATAGTATTTAGGTTCTATAACCAAACTTTTCAGACATATTAGTTGAGTAACTGTAATAAGTAACAGTTTTCAACAGTGCCTTTGAAAAACATTGGGAATCATTTGTAGAATTTTCCATCAAAAAGTATCTGTTTAGTCAATTTTTTTTTCTGTCAGAAGAGACTGTTATTTTTCTAAGCTAAAGAAGAGTATACCTACAAGAACATCTACCTTGATCCCTAAATGTAAATATTGAAATAATTAATCGTAAATGACCAAGGAAAGAAAACACGATTTTCCTTATTTGGTTGCTATCACATAATTGTGTTTTTTTTGTTTTTGTTTTTGTTTTTTTTTTCTCTCTTATCTTCTGTGTGTTTGTCAAACACAAGCACAAACAGTTTGTGCTAACTCAAACAACCAACATTACTGTGTCCCTGGCACATTGCCCAGGGAGGCACCTTCACACTAAGGAGGAAATGCCCGACACAGCACAGAGGAGCATGTGTGCAAAACAGGCAGGCTGACTAAGATGATCTCAGCCATGAAGGTTAGACCCACTCAGGGAGACAGAGAATGAATCCTCATGCTCTAGACATCATGTAGTATGTCACCATTGCATTTAGAAATATCTCATAAATAACTATGGCATCTTCATTCCTTTAGTATAACTCAAACATAGATACAGATGGGTTATGGGCCCTACCAGTAGTTCTGTCTTACCCTGTATCCTTCCACCATATTTCTTCACCCCTGTCTCTCATTCAGGTAAAGATCAAGATAAATACTACTACATGGAGAACTGTATTATCTATATCACTCCTGGTTTGCCATACTGCCTAATTTACATAGAAAAGGGTAAAAGTGGAGTTATTTTAGTTGTTTGTGGGTTGCGGGAGGGAGGAACAGCCCATAATCTATCTTTTTCTTGCTCCCACTGCAGAATTCAAAGTCTTTAAAGAATAACTACTTTGTATTGTATTAAGCAGAGTATTCAGAGACCAAGATTCAAACCCTACTTTCACAACTTTCTGAGCGACCCTGAACAAGATACCTAATTCCCTCAGTCTCATTTTACTCATATATAAAATCAGTATAATAATATTTTCCACACTGGATTGTTATATGTCTCAAATAAAATAATGTTAGATGTTTACTTTGTAAACAATAAGATGTCTTACAAAAGTTACTTACCAAATTATTTATTGACAGGAAACAGAACATATTTTGAAAGTCAGTCTTCTAATTAAGAAAGTATAATAACTGTAGTATTAATTTGAAAGGAACCTTAGGAGATCATGAAGATAACATTCCACCAGCATGGGGATACCCTGTACAACATCTCTGCTTAAAATTTTCCAGAACCCAATTTTCATTTATTTTATTAATTCATCCTTTAATTCATTGATTCATTCGTTCAACAAATATTTATTATTTCTGAATTTTTAATGTTTTTTTTTTCAAGACAGGGTCTCACTCTGTTACCCAGACTGGAATGTAGTGGTGCAATCACAGTCTCAACCTCCTGGGGTCAAGCGATCTTCCTGCCTTGACCTTCTGAGTAACTGGGACTAAAGGTGCGCCTCACCAGGCCCAACTCATTCAACAAATATTTATTGAACATCTACTTATACTTGAGGCACTCTCTACTAATGCAGTCCAATCTTATCAATGTCACAGCTATAAGTTCTTAATTTCCATTTTTTATTAAGAACAAGTTCCCTATTACCTTAACCCCCTAAAACAGCAGAAAACACATATTATCCTCTTCTATCCAATAAAACTTCAAGTCAAATAATATGTATTAGGCCAAACTTCCCTAGGTCTTTAATTACTATTCACACTAAATGTTCAGAACTCTTTACTATTCTAGTCATTCTGATAAATACTAATGTAACAATAGATCTCTTAAAAATATGAGACCCAGGCCGGGTGCAGTGGCTCATGCCTGTAATTCCAGCACTTTGGGAGGCCAAGGCAGGCGGATCAGCTGAGGTCATGAGTTCAAGTCCAGTCTCACCAACATGGTGAAACCCTGTCTCTACTAAAAATACAAAAACTAGCCAGGCGTGGTGGCACATGCCTGTAATCCCAGCTACTCAGGAGGCTAAGGCAGGAGAATCGCTTGAACCCGGGAGGCAGAGGTTGCAGTGAGCCGAGACTGCACCAATGCACTCCTGCCTAGGCGACAGAACAAGACCCCATCTCAAAAGAAAAAAAAAAAATGAGACCCCAACTGGGACACAACACTTCAGATGCACCCAGGCCAAAGTAAAAGTGTAAACATTTTATTCTGTATTTCATTTAAAGTTTTAATAATAAAGTTATTTTGTAATAATTGTAATAATATTAACTTGGTTTGAATCCTGATTTTAGATGACTACTATTAAATTTATGCCAATTATAGCATTCTATCCTCAGTAATGCTAGAAAGGAGGCTACATATGAAAAAATGGTAGGGAGTTAAGGAGAGATTTTCTATTTAAGAATATTATGAATGGTGGTTAACAGGGGTAGGAGAGAGAGAGGAATAGGGAGATGTAGGTCAAAGGGTACAAAGTTGCAGGTATGTAGGATGAATAAGTCTATAGCTCTACTCTACAACATAAAAACTGAAGTTGATAATATTGTGCTGCATGCTGTAAATCTGCTAGGAGAGTATATTTTAGGTGCTTTTACCACACACACAGAACAAGGTAACTATGTGAGGTGATGCATATGTTAATTTGCTTGACTAGTAATCATTTCACTGTATGTATGTATATCAAAACTTCATGCTGTCCACCTTACATATAGACAATAAAAAAAGAATATTAGGCATGACTCAGGTACATACTCATACAAATTTCTATGATTCAGTGTTTCTCAGATTTTAGCAGTCTTCCAACTCCTATCAAGGAGTTTTAGAAACATTGCTTTACGTTAATCAGATATAAAATTTTATGAGAAACCACTGGTTTTTTAAGTAAAATCTAAAAGGGAAAATAATAATCTATTATTTCTTAAATATGTAAAAATATTAAGCTCCCTGAGTTGAAGAATCATTGCCCTTATCCATTCTACTGCTCACACTTGACTCTCCTAGCACCTACCCATCACATAGAATTTTCCAATGGCAGTGATAAAGGCTGAGTTCTCTCCCTTTCCCAGCTTCATTACACTCTAGGACTCTAAGAGAATATGTGCAGTTAAGAATGATATATAAACACAGATCAGCTAGAAAATAATATAAATGTTGAATATTTAGAAAATAATGACAGAGTTCTAAAAGCACAAACTTATGGGATGAATAAAGCTATTTCTAGAAATATATTCATAGCCAAAAGTACCATTATCATTAAATAAAAATTTGTTAAGTGAAGTATTCAAGTTAAAAGATACCAAAAAACAAACAAAAGAAAAGGCATAAGAATAACAGGAAAGGAGAGATAATAAGGGTAAAAGCAAAATGAATTAATAGGCATATTGAAAAGCAGCAGAATTGACAAATCCAAAAACTGGATTATTGGGGGAGGTAGAGCAATAAATAGAAAAACCACTAGCAAGTAAAATTGAAGAACAAAAAAGAGAAAACAAATATGCAAAATTAAATATGGGATCTATAACAGCAAATAAATGGAAGAACTAAAAATAAAATATGTATATGAAGTCAATGAGATTTGAAAATCTCATGAGATATACAATTCTGTAAGAGTTTTCTTCTCTTTAAAAATTAATTAGGAAAACTATTTTATGGCAAAACTGACTTAAAAGAAAAGTAGAAAATGTTAAAAAGAAATCTCCAAAGAAAATTCTAGGCCTAGATGTTTTATGAGAATATTTTTCAGAATTTCAAGGAATAAGTAGTTCATGTTATTTATTCAACATTTTACATAACCAAGAAAAAGAGGAAAAGTTTTTCAATTCAACTATGAACACTGCTACTAAAAAATTAACAAAAGTAATATAAACATGGAAAACTCTAATCAATTTATAATTACAGTTGTAAAAATAACTATAACAACTATAATATGAGCAAATAAAATGATGCAGTACATTTAAACAAGACTATACCACGACTAATCAGGGTTTATTTCAATGACAAATTTGAAAAACAAAACCTAATAAGATATTCCATGAAATAAAATGCAAGTTATTTTAATAGACCAAACTCCTAGTAGACTAGAACAATATCTTTAAATGAAAAAGGATATTTTAATCAAGTCAATAGAATATTTAATATGAAATATTAAAAACAATTCCATAAATTAAAAATTACACTGAAATATCTGTATTACTTCTCTATTACTTAATATTATTCTTGGCATTCAAGGCAATGAACGTATGAAGGGTGGGTGGGAGTTGGGTAGCAAAGAGACATATAACTACCAAAAAGGAAGAGAAAACATATCTATTGAAATATGACTACACCTAAAAGTCAATAGAGGCAAGTTACAAAATTAACCAGCAAAATTCAATAGCATCCCTAAATATAACAAAAGGAAAATAGAATGAAAAATATCTCATTCACAAGAGTAAGCAAAAATATTAAATACTAAGAAAACATCAAAGGAAATGTGCAAATGTGCAGAATTATTGAGAGACATAAAATAACTGAATAAATGACTTTGAATGGAGCAATTCAATAGTATAAAGATGTCAGTTCATCCTACCCTTTCATATAAATGTAATATAATCTTTTAAAAAATCACTTTGGAATTTTAATTAACAACTTGATAAAATAAATTAAAGATAAACTTTAAAGAAGTATGGAAGCACCTTAAAGAAAAATTATGAGTGTAGTCTTGCAATACTTACTTTTGAAGGATACTAAAGTTACAGTGATTAATATAGCATAGTACTAATAAAAGTTTAGATGGAAAAATCAATGGAATAGAACCAAAATCTGATAAATGGTTCCAAATATGTAATCAGAGTGTAATAAAAGATGCCATTTCAAGTCAGAGGAGGTAAGATGGATTATTTAATAAACAGTATAGATATTTGGTTAACTGCTTGAGAATAAAATTAAGTTATATTTCTAGTTGACATTATTCATCAAAACATATTTAAGATGTATTATATAGGTAAGTGTTTAAAAATATAGCCAACTAATTGGATGAAAATATAGCAGAATATTGTTCAATTTCAGGATGAAGAAGCCTTTCTAAACAAACCCCCTATAGAAAAAAGCATTAAAGAAGGGATGGAAAGATTGACAGCAAAACCAGAAAATAAAGCAAATGACAAAATGCAACATATATCACAAATAAAGTTTAATACTATTCAAACATATATTAAGAGTTCTTAGAAAACACTGAGAACTGGACAAGTCTTTTAAAGAAAAAATGGGCAACCAACATACATATGCAGTTCACAAAGGAAGAGATATTTAATTGCAAATTAATGTAGATATAACACCTCATTCTCACTAATAGTCAAAAAACTCATTAAATCAACAATGATATGTTTTTTCCCCTATAAAAATGGCAAGAAATTTTTAAATTAATAATACTTGTTATTCAGGGCAAGAGAATAAAAACCTGCAGATATTACTGGTGAGAGCACAAAATACTACACTCTTCCTGAAGGGTAACTGGCAATATGAATCAAAAGTCTTTTTAAAAAGAACAAACTCTTTGGCCCAGGAATTTCACTTTCAAGAATATAACCTAAATAACCACTAATAAGTTGATAAGTCTTAATAAAAATGTTTTCTGTTTTCAAAATAGGTGCTCTTTAAACCAACAAACAATAAAAACAACTTAAATGTTGAAGAAAAGGCCCAGTTACATTATGAAAACCTCATTTTATGCAATACTTTCTGCCAACAAAAATAATATTTTAGAAGATAACTCAATCTCAGGAAAATTCATAATATATCATTAAGTGGGGAAAATAGATTACAAAAAAATTATAATGGGATGATTCTAATTTTGTGGGGAAAATTAACATAAGTATGCATAATTTAAAATGGAAAGAATATACAATAAGATACAAGTAGAATTAAAAGATAATTTCACTACCTTTTTGTTTTTTTGTATGTTTCTTACAGATAAATACATATGAATTTTATAATCAGAAAAATATAAGAGCTATCAAAAATACACAATGCTTGAGATATAATATTAAATACTGATAACCCATGATTGTATGTATTCCTCAAAGATATAATTTAGGTCACCTTAAAATTTCAGGAAAATGAGAAGTAATTTAGGTGGATAATAACTGGCCTGGTTTCCACCAGAATAAAAATGTATGTTGAGTTTTGGTAGCAGTTTACTCAAACTATTTCAATACTATTTTAACTGATTTTTTCATTTTTAAATTAATATATTCTTGGTACATTTTCTGTAAAAGATATTAGGATGTATGAAGAGATGATAATGGAGAATAAATAAAGATAAATTTAGTAAGAATCTTATATTTTATGCCCATAAGAAACTCAGAATAACACACAAATGAAAGTTCACATATCACAAAGAATCCAGAAAAAAAGGTTAAAGAATTTGAAAAGGCTAATTTTTCATGTGATTCACTTTTGTGATTTATACATTCCAAGTATCCAAGACTAGCACATTTTTTAAATTTTGAATTCAAAATTAGACTTAAATATAAAGAAAGACGGAAAGGGGGGGAGAAAATATACCCTGAAGTACAAAAACTCCATGTTGAATTATAACATAATAAAATGTTAGTTTTCACATTACTAAGAGAAAGCAGGACCCTCATCTTTCATGCTGGAAAAAGCTTGCCTTTGTACAAACCATTTCTGTTCTCACTGTTATAAAAAGGAATGACTTTGGAAAGGGAAGAAAACACAGAATGACGTGCAAAGTAGCAAACACCATGTTATTGCAGCTGGATAGAGAATATGTCACTAATGACTTTCTTTGTATCCATCAATAAGTTGAGTTTCTTTTTTTTTCCAAGACAGCAAATGGCCTTTATGGGTACAAAACAGAAGTAGGGGAACTCAAAATAATATCCAATTTCCACTGGTTTCGATACATAATTAGTTAATGCAATGATTTATTAATTATTTGCTGGGAAAAAAGATGACTTCCTTTTCTCTTCACTTGAATTGAACATGACATGCCTGAAAACTAGGAAATTTTCTGTAGTAAATTCAAAATAACATTTACATTAGATAATTATTATCAAATTTTCATCTTAACTCAGATATTATCCATGACCAATAGGAAGATTCACCTAAAGTTGTTGGATAAATTCAGAAAACTAATGTAACTAAGTACCCAAATTGTTAGTGCAAATCACAGTGATGACTGTCCGTAAGGATTGACAAAGTTGATGCGTGATCATGAATTTCATTCATAATGCAAAAATAATAATAATACAGCACTTCTTCTCCATAAATGAATCAGCAAGAGTTTGGTTAGTAGGCAAAAAGTATAACTCTCAACTGATAAGGTAACTTACTATCTGAATGGATTGGGATAGTCCACTTCTTAACATGTCTAAAAATAATAATATCAATCACGTATATTCAAAAGTAAAGATGTTTATTCTCATCTGAGTCAGAGACCACAAAATGCTAAACCTGATGAAATTTGAGCTTTATCAACATGGGATCGTCTGTGTATATTAATAATAACCACCAAACTTAAACTCATGAGTACTTTCTTAAGTGCCAGGTACTGTTCTAAGAACTATACATGTATTAACTTCTTAATGAGCCTATGAAGGAAATACTTGTATTATCCTCATTTTATAGATGAGGATTATAAAACATAAAACAGGCCCGGTGCGGTGACTCACACCTGTAATCCTAGCAATTTGGGAGGCCAAGACAGGCAGATCACGAGGTCAAGAGATCAAGAACATCCTGGTCAGCCTGGTGAAACCCCTCTCCACTAAAAATACAAAAATTAACTGGGCGTGGTGGTGCACGCCTATAGGCCCAGCTACTCAGGGGGCTGAGGCAGGAGAATCGCTTGAACCTGGGAGGCAGAGGTTGCAGTGAGCTGAGATCACGCCACTGCACTCCAGCCTGGCAACAGAGTGAGACTGCATCTCAAAAAAAAAAAAAAAAGAAAAGAAAAGAAAGAAAAAGAAAAAAAGAAAACTTCAGTGGCTTGTCCAAAGTTACTCTGTCCAGTGACAGAGCCAGGATTTGAACCAACGTAAACAAGCTTCAGAATCCCCCAATAAACCATTATGTACAGCACATTCTATAAACATTTTTAAAGGTGCTACAGGCAACCCATTTTGATTAGAAGAAATTCAAAATAATTTGGATTCATAAATTAAGCTATTATTATAATTTTAAGAGGGAAAACTAAGACTATCTTTAGCTTAATTTGCTCATCTTTTAACATAAGGTTTTTATACTTTTTTGTGAAGTAAATTAATGAGGCAGCATATCCTATAAGTTATATGTTTATAGACTAATACAAAAAGTGGGGAAATTTTTCAGTTTGTAAACATTGCAAGGAATAAAAGCTCAGAAACCTATAATATTCACCCTCTCATGTACAATCAAATGTTACATGTAAGATTTACTGTTACAGTACAGAAGATCAGCAAATACATTGTTATACAAAATAACATCACATCACTGCATTGACATGTTCGATATATTTTATGTTGTACCTTTAATTTCTCCAAGAAGTTCACTGGTATTTAGTCTTTCCATTTTTTCCTTCCAATCTTTTGAAAGTAGTTTTTCCATGCAGGAGGAATCTATTAAAATACAAAAGTAAGTATTAAAAATATATATTTATTACAAATTTAGAAAGTCAGTTTATGGGGAAATTCTCATTTAAGAATGCATAAAGCTGTTTTTGTTGCTGTAGCTTGAACCCCAGGATATAGAAAATTACATTATTCTATAATGTGTATTATAAAATACCACCACAAAGTTTATTTTTACCAGATAATTATTTAAACTATCATCTAAGAGAAAAAAGATAATGCTCAATAATCTGTTTTAGTATTATAATTCTATTAATATTCAATCAGCATTTGTCATTTCTTAGACTGATAGTACAGAAAAGAGGGCTCTTTCCTATTAGTTTAACATTAGATACTCCTTTTAATCCAGGCAATATTTTTTAAGTCCAAGCAAAATGTATGTGCTGTGCAAGAAACAATAACAGATAATCAAGAGAGAAGAGCCCAATCAATCTGTAACCACTTAGTTCTTAAAAAAGAAATCTAACTTTTATAAAATATCCAATTAAAGCAAAACAAGAAGAAAATGAAATTAAGATGTTCTCTGACCCCTAGTAATAAAACTGCTAAAATTTTTCTCTTATGTAAAAACTGATACATATTTTTATTAAATAAATACCTATATAAATGCCATTTATTATTTGCCCCACTGTATTTCTAAATAGCATACTAAAATACAGGGAGTAATTACACTTGTTTTTATCAAGATTCATAAAGACTACAGAAATCCAAACTTTAGAATGTCTTGATAATTACCAAATTTTTCTCAATGAGTTATTTCTGCTCTCTATGCAAATGGATTTGCAACTGGTGCTACTGCTTACCACTATTTATTTGTATCTTTTAAGCCTCAAATCTTAACAAATAGGTCATGTTTCCAAAAGGGAATGCAGATTTAAATACTAAATCCTTAGTGCAAAGCATACTCCCATAAAACTTTAACATTCCAAGTGTCAAAATTCTGATAACTTCCTTTTAAAATTATATTTAAAACAGTTACTCCAATTCTAAATGCCTTTTCTCTCTCGTATCAGCACCTATCTCTTTAGTATTTTCCCTTTCATTTTTTATTTTCTCCAGCTTCTAAATCCTCCTTGAATTTTTCAGAATGACAGTAAGGTCAAGATGGATCTAAAGGGCTTTAGAAGCTAGATAAGCTTCAGAAAAAGACCATGAGCCCTGGCTAAGAGATGAGAAGACCACTGCATGGTTAGAAAGTATTGGTGAAAAAACAATTAACATTTGTCTGTGACACTATCAATCAATCAAGGAAGGGATAGAATCCAGATCAGTGTGTTGTAAAAACGGCTGATGAAGAACAACCATCCGAACTGGCTATCACAGAGCTGAAGTTCTTTCTAAATAGAAGTCAGCTTGATTTTATTAAATGAAAGCTCCTTGCCCATTCCCTTACTTCTTCCCTCCCGTTTTCCTTCCTTCCTACCTTCCTTCTTTCTTTATTCCATTATTTCCTATTATTTTCTCAGTCTTCAACAAATGATCTACTACTGTGCTTCAAAATTGGATTCTGAGTGATGTTCCAATGGAGCCTACATGCAGATGCATATGTTCGGGTTGCATTTAATTGCTTAAATAGCCTCTTACTATTTTTTATTCAAATTCAGAAATGAGATATATATTTTGTTCTATACTTATTTTGTTTTTATGCTAAAGTCATAAAAATGATAATACTAAGTTAAGAGTTAGGAAGCAATTCTTCAAATCCATGCCTGTCACAGATTGCTTTTTCTCAAATCAGGTTTGAATTTCTGAAAGAGATTGATATAACGTTAGAGTATGGATAAGAATAGTCAACAAAAAGTTTTTATTTTAATATCCTACCCAATTCTGTTTTTTTTAGCCTTTCATATGTTATATCAGTGCACTAAGCTAATAATTACTGATACAATTACAAAAGCATAACTTTTTTAGCTAAAGTTTGAGTTGAGAGCATATAGTATAGTAGTCAAAGATAAAAGCCCAATTTATTTGTAATAATAACAAATTCAGAGCAAGTCCATATACTAGGATTAAATGCATTTTAGGATGTAAAACAGGCTAAAATATGTCTCTCATTTCTATAAATAGACCTGAAATCTTTTAGAGCTCCAAGAAAAGAATGCTAAAACTTCATGGGAGAAAAAGAGAGCTATATGAACAACAGGAATACACACTTAAACCATGTGGACACAGCTTTATATAAAAGCTACTCATTAATAAAATGGCTAATAACTTCAAAGCGTTTCGCATTCCTATTAGAAAATTAATCCTTACTGCAATGCTCAGTTAATCTAGCTATATGAGTTCCCATTTCAGTAGAAGAAATTGAGGGAAAAAATAAAGCAGCCTTTGCATATCTACATTTTCAGCCATGAAAATATTTAATAGCAACCACTGATTGCCTTTATCTATAGGACAATGAAAGTTAGTACATACAAGCTTATCAATGTTTAATCTCAGGACTAGGAGATTCCAGGAAGACTCGAACCTGTAAGAAAGTCTCTTGACAAATGACTGCTTTCTACCCCATTATCTGACTGCCAAACCTCTAGAGGCATACCACAATTGGTGCTAAGCATTCTCCACGTAATAATATAAAGTAAGTAGGATGATATTTTTTCTCAGAAGTGAATTGTTACTAAGCACTCTATAAGCAGAAGACACTACTGCTACCACCAAAAGGTTCCTGATTTGAAATGAGAAAATATGTAATTGATACAAAGTTACAAATAAAATTTATGTTTTCAAATTTCTATCTCAAAACAATATCCAGGTATGGGTACAAATTAAAAGTAAGGATCCATTCCCTTTGTGCCACATTCCTCAACTACATTAATGGGACATTAGTATTACAGAGGCAATTGATCAGATCAGACTTTGACCTATTCTGATCAAGCATAAATGCAAAAATCAAAGTGGTAAAAATAAGCAAAGAAGGCCTGTTTGCATTATGTACATGGAAAGAATAAGATCACACTGAGTGGCTTTAACACAGTAATCATGTAAGATTCCAAATGGAAAAAAAGGACTGAACAGCCCCAAGACACTCTTGGATTATTTTATAAACATAAATATATTTTACAAATTAATTTGAAAACAATTAACTAATTAGTTACAATGCTGCCACCATCCTCAAAACAATTAAACAATATGCAGTAAATTTATTATCTGACTTTGACTTTTCCAAGTTTAATGTCTTTAAGTTGTCATCATCTGAAAAACAGGAGAGAAAATATATGCTTTTTGGAAATGGAAATAAAGAATCACAACATTACAGCATGAAAAATGTCACCATAATATGTACATATTTTTAAAAAATGAACGTAAGTCATAATGCTAAAGTAGCATTATGCTAAAGTCGTATTGAAATAGAAAATGCCAAAATTAATTCCTCTTACTTTGAAAGAATCTGTTTCCATTAACCAATATTTATTCAATGAAATGCAGGACTTTATCTTCTCTAATTTTTATAAATAATAATGATTAAAAGAGTACTATCAAAAATCGCGAGCTGGACTTCAGTTCTCACCTATAATTTAAGCAAGGATGTAAACGTTTTGATGTATTATAAATTATCAGTTGCATTGTTTCTGGTTTTTTCTTTCCCTTTTCAAATTAAAGCTTTTCTCTTTCAAGAAATTTGAGAGAAAAGGAAGATAGAATTCAGAACTATTTTGTTTTTAAAATATCATGCATAATAAATTACAAAGCAATGTTTCTGCTTCCTAAGTACTTAGGTTTCGGGCCAGGTAAGTCAAGAATGCTTTATCACAGCTGAGTAATGTTTTCGCTAATTAACTTAGTAATTAATTTTATGATGTAAGAAAAATGAAAAGAAAGAGTATGTGAGATATTGATTTCCTAATCTGTGTGGTGATATTTTGGGAACAATTTTAAATTACTTCTAGTCAGACAAACCTGCAGCAGTATTAACTCCCACACTGTACAAAATAAAGGTATTTCAGATAGATCAAAAATAAATAAACAAATTGTCATTAAACTTACAGCATGGGGAAGAGGAAGAGATAATGTGACAAATCTTTATTGCACTTTACAACAATCTACCTATAAGCAAACACTTATTTTCCCTTTACCTCGTGATATTTAAACTTAGAAATGCTAAAACACTAGAAACAACATAAAAAATATCTTCAAAATATTTTAGTGAGGAGAACAATTACTGCTGGCTCTATGTGCAGATTTTCTGTTGCTTATTAACACTTTGAGAAAATAGTAAAGCAATTCCTTTTATTTTTACCATAGGAATCATAAATTTCAAATGTAATAAATTTTTCTATTTACCCAAGAACAATGATAACTTATCAAAAGTATCCATGACCTTGGTTTACAATTAAATCCAGCAAAATATATTTATATCCCCACTGATTATCCATCTCACATTTTTCATTAGGAAACACAGAGTTGCACATGCCAGTTACTGTACATTTTTCCACAGTGGCAAGTGCTCCACAATACAGTGGGATAAAATTGGAACTTGGAGAGCTTGAAGAGCACTCTTAAATTTTAATTAAAACCCTCCAAGCTCACTAAAAATAATTAGACACTAAAATGTGCCAGTTTTATTTTGAAGTCACTATAACGTACAAAGCACACTCCCTGACGACTGCTCATGCTCTTCTCTCTCTCTCCCCCTCTCCCTCTCTCTCCAATGAAACAACTGATTTTCCAAATAAGAACAAGGGAGTATAAATAGAGGCTGTTTTCAGGCCTGCTCTTCACGCTGGGAAGCTGACAGAAAGACAGCGGAGTGGGTTTTTCAGACTACACCAAATAAACCTAGAATAACTTCCCTAACCAAGAGTACGAATCACTAACAAACTCTAGATAAAATCCAGTCTGCAAGTAACACCATGAGTTATATTACTGATCTTTTTTGATCCAAAAGTCAAACCTTTAACCTCTTAAATGTTTTTGCTATCTTAAAATATCTCATACAATACTATATTCCGTCCTATTTTTAGCCAAGCAGCAAGAGAAAGCATGCCTTTCCCATACAGCAGGGCAATGATATAAACATCAACACAGATGCTCTGCCAGGAGGAGCTGGACTTCTCAAGCACTTGATCATTAAGGAATGCACCAACTGTTTTGGATAATCTCGTGCCAGCTCCCCTTTTGCTCCACACTCCCCTCTGGGAGTGGCCAATCTTGTCCTGGTCCTAATTTTTCATTTTACTCCTCCATAACACCCCTCCCCCATTACCAAAAAGATGAGAAATGGCATTTATGCCTAGCAATGAAAAAGCAGGCTCACTTCCCCAAACAGACCAAAACTTTAAAACAATTAACCCTCCCCTCTTCTTTCAGATAAATTACTAAGTATAAAATGCAATCTGTTTCCTTTGTTTACTCAATATGAACAATTTGTAAATGACTCAAGGATAAAATTCAGAAAATGTTGTGCTAAATTAGAACCATTATAAACATGCTAATGACTCAATGCTTGAGTAAAACATGCATGATCGGTGTGAAAAAATAGATTTAGTTCCTGTGAAATTCTGTTGTGCTGCCTTAAAACGATTTGGTCATTAAATCAGATATATTCCTTCCAGGAAAAATGTTAATTCCAAAACCACTTTACTAGATAATATAGTGTGTGTGTGTGTGTGTGTGTGTGTGTGTGTGTGTGTGTGGCAGTGGAAGCTATTGGAAATGTAATTAGAACTGTTAGATGCAAGATTTTGGAATGCTCATAAGGAAGAAAAAGCTCCATACCACATTTGAAACCTGTACATACACATACAGACATCATCATAATCGGTACAATATTCTCTCTATACACAATTTTTATCTGCCAAATTCTTAGATATTTTTTTCATAGGCATTCCTTAAAACCAGTACTTAACATACGTCAATGAAAGTCACATTGTTCTATAGGTGCAGGTAAGAGTTATCTCTTTTATCTGCTTTCCAAGGCTGCCTAACACCTATAACAATAACAGAAATTGTTCAAAAGCAACTTCTGAAATTTCCTTCAAAGCACAACTGTTATCAATGCCAATCTAGAAAAAGAGGGAAACATACAGCGGATGATTCAGAAACCTATGGCCTGCTGCTATAACTAAAAAAGACTTCAATGATCATAAAGACCAATACCCTCATTTCAGAAATGAGAAAACAGAGTCAAGATAAGGAAGTCACCTGTCTTGCCAATGTCAAAATGTTGGTGACAGAGCCCTAACTACAGTGCAGTGCTTGTTTTGCTGACATGACTATTTAAATCATTATTTGAACATAGGTTTGATTGTCCCCACAATGTAGTATCCAAAAGTGAAAAATAAAAAAATTACTAATTATTTGCTTCAGATATGAAGTAAGACACTCTAATTCTTTGGAGAGGGGTGCAAAAAATCCTGCATATTGCAATGAAAACCAATAGTGGTCAACTGCCAGTTCTCCTATGCACACTCACTTATGCTGGTTTTCCTTTCCTCCACAATTCTTTTTCCATAATGCTTTATTTTGTTTGAATTAAAAGCTCTCCTTTTCTGAATACCATCCACTAATGAATAGGTAACAGTTTCCTAAAATTACTGTTGAACTCATAAGGTAATTCCTTCCAAGGTAAGTTTTATTTTCATCTATCAGAAGTACATGTGCAGGCTGAAGCCTTGGTTTTTCACTGTATCTTATTGCCCAGGAGGCCTTCAGATGTGCCACAATTTTAATGGAATAAAAACATTCCATTAGAAACTATGGCTGTCCATGTTGCTAAAATATTACTCATCGTGACATCTTCTCTATCCCCTATTTTCTGCTCCTGCTTTTTGGGTTCTACAACTATTTGTTTTATTTTTACTTTTTAAAATACATACTTCACTTTTTTAAAACTGTATTCTAATTTCTGTGGAGATAATAATTTCTGTATCCAGTGTGTCCTATATTCTTTATTTTGGTTTCTTTGGGAAAATATTTCTGACTGCTGTTGTCTTGATGAGAGTGGTCAATCATAGTTCTATGTTGCTTGCCTTCTACTGCTCCCCCTTGCCACACAAAGACAAATTCAATCCAATCAGAATTACTTGCTGGAACTATCTAAAGGCTCTCTCATGCTCAGGTTGGAAGCTATATGCATGTGGACAGTCATGACCATCCCACCTGGCACATAGATAGAGCCTGCCTGCAATAAGAGTGAATGAAGCCAAAAATAGAAAGAAAAGCAGAAGGAGCAGCAGTAAGAATGGATACAGAAAAAAATCTTTACCTCATGTTAGCATACTTACATCCCAAAATAGATAAAACAGAATTTTATTCCTGGGCTTTTGGTAATGTAAGCCAATACATTCCTATTAATTTGAGTTGGGTTTCTGCAAGTTGCAACTTAAAAAAATCTAAACATTATGAAAACCATAACCAAAAGTGTCATACATACACGAATGTGCTATATTCTAAATTTTAACCATCTGGAAACCACCAAAGAGTTAACTTGTACTACCACATTGAAATATTTATTATGTATACAGTCATGAGCTGCATAAAGACAAACTCCACATACAATGGTAGTCTTGCATAAGAGTATAATGTCATATATTTACTGTAACTTTTCTATGTTTAGATCCACAATTATTTATCATTGTATTACAACTGCCTACAGTGTTTAGTACAGTAACATGCTGCACAGGTTTGTAGCCTAAGATCAATAGGTTATACTATATAGCCTAGGTGTGTACTAGGCCATACCATGTAGGTTTGTGTAAGTACCCTCTATGATGTTTGCATGACAATGAAATTGCCTAAGGATGCATTTCTCTGAATGTATCCTCATTGTGAAGCGACATGTGACTGTGCTTTGAAACAAACTTCTTGCTTCATTGAAAGATATACAAAGACCTTAAGGTAAATGTTTAAAGCATTGCTACTTACAATAACTTGTCTATATAAATTAGGACTTTCTCAACATGATGCAACCAAAAGAAAACACACCAGAAATTAAGTGAAAACTGAGGCTCATTAAAAAAAAACAAAAAAAAAACCTTTCCTCTGAGATCAGCAGTCCCTAATTTCAAAGTTACGTGTTCAAAACAGCTTCACTGTTCTGATTAATTGACTTTATAGTTAATGCCATAATATTAAATTATAAAATGTTTTTACTGATAAAATATCCATTTTTATCTATTTTACTTTATATATTGGCAATCCACAAAAGATCAATTTAAAACAAGGTTATAGTCCTCAATTTGGTTTTAAGGACCCTTTATAGTTTGACCCTGCTGATTAAGTTCCTATTATTCTATTTACTTGAAACTCTTCTTTTTGTCCAAATGAGTACACCAAGCATGCCTATCTCCACTGTACATACCTGTGCTTTTTCACTTCCCCTCTTTGATCACCACATCCTCCTGACCTGAATGTCTCCCCACTTTTTGACTTACGAAAAACCCTCCTATTCTACTGTGCCTACATCAAATGCCAACTCCTCAATTATGCCTTGATTCATCACTTCAAACATAAATTCTCGTCCCCTCAAGGAAAATAATTAACACTTGCTGAGCACATATCTGTCAGGCACTGTATTTTTTATATTCTTCTCATGTATTAATCAACTAATTTAACTCTAAATTTCATGACTCCTTTTACATCTACCACCACTAGTACTTATCAATTTTTACCACCATCTGATTAATTATGTGATCAAGTTTATACCACAATACGATAACTACATATTAAGTTTCTTGATGGTCAGGGAATGTTTCTGATACCACTTTGTGTTTTTCCATAATGCTTAACCCAGAGCTCTGCACATAATAAGTGCTAAAACTAATTCCTTGATATACATAAAAAGATCAAGACTATTGTGTGTCAAGCAGCTATAAAACTAGTTTTTTTAATTAACTATATTCATATATAATTTACATATAATAAAATGCGCCCATTTAAAATATAAATTTAATAAGTTTTGACAAATTATATACTCATGTAGCTCCACCCTCCCGAAAGAAGATACAGAACATTTCTAAAAAGTTATCTTATGCTCCCTTTCCAGGCAATCATCCATGCTCCTGGACTCAGGCAACCACTGATATGATTTCTATCACTATAAAATAATTTTGCCTATTCTTGAATTTCATAAAAATGAAAGTATACAATATATTCTTTTTTGGATATGGATTCATTCACTCAGCATAAAGTTCTTGAGATTCATTCCTGTTGTAGCATGAATTAGTAGTCTGGTCCTTTTTATTAATTTCCATTTTATGAACACACCACATAATGTGTGTATAATGTGTATCTATTCATCTGTCTATGGACATGTGGGTTGTTTTCAGTTTAGATGTATTAGAAATAAAACTAATATACAAATTCATTCACAAGTCTTTTTATGAATATATATCTATTTTTCCCCCTTAAAAATTGAATTTCCTGTAAAATTGGGGAGCTATGTGCCTGACTTTATTTTTATAAACTGCCAAAAGGTTTTCCAAAGTGGTTGCACCATTTTATACTTCTACCAACAACGTATGAGTGTTCTAGTTGTTTCATATCCTCAACAATATGTCTTAGTGTTAGCACTTTAATTTTGTCACCCAGAGGATAAGAAGTGGTATTTTAATGTAGTTTTATTTGTATTTCCTTAATGACTAAGATATTGAGCATATTTTCATATGCTTTTTGACCATTCATATATATTTTGCCCATTTTTACACTGGGTTGTGAAGTCGTCTCTCAAATATATGTAATGTAAACATTTTTACCTAGTCTACAGCATGCCTTTTTGTTTTCACAAGGTGTCTTTTGAGGAGCTAGAGTTTTCACTTTAATGTGATTTGATTATCAATTTTTTAATGACTAGTATTTTCTGGATTCTCTCTATGAAATTTTTGTCTTTTCAATATCACAAAGATTTTTTTCCTATGTTTTCTTCTAGAAACTTTAGAGTTTAGTTTTATATTTAGGTCTATGATCAATTTTAATTTATTTTGTATGTATGGCATGAGGTAAAAGATAAAGTCAGTTTTCTTTCATATAAATATCCAGTTGTTCCAGCAACATTTTTCAAAAAGATTATCTTTTTCCCAATGAGTTATCTTGTCTTAACTGTTGAAAATCAAATGACTGTGTATAGAGTGTGTATGTGTGTGTGTGTTTGTGTGTGTGTTTGTAGATCTATTTCTTAATTCTTTTCTGTTCTATTAATCAATTCATTATCCTCACTATAATACCAAACTGTCTTCATTGTTGCAGCCTTACAATAAGTTTTGAAATCACGTGGAATAAGAATTTGTTCTTCTATTTCAAATTTGTTTTGGCTACGCTAGGTCCTTTGCATTTTCAGATAAATTTTAGAATTGGTTTGCCTACCAAAAAAGAAAAGACTTTCTGGAATTCTGATTGAATTTGTCTTGAATTTACAGGCAATTTTTAAGACTATATTTAATATTAGCATTTAAAGATATAAATTTCCTTCTAAGTATTACTTTAGCTGCATCCCACACATTTCGTTAGGTTGGGTTTTCATTATCATTTAGTTTAAAATACTTTACAATTTTCCTTGTTCTTTCTTCTTTGGTAAGTGGTTTATTTAGAAATATGTGGTTTAATTGCCAAATAATTTGAATTTAAAAATGTTTCATATTGTTATTGATTTGTACTTCATTTCCATGTCAGAAAATATACCCATTATAGTTTCATTCATTTTACATTTGAGATTTGTTTTATAGTCCAGCATGTGCCTTATCTTGGGGATGTTCCTTATTCCCTTGAAAATAATAATTATCCAGATGTTTTTTAGTGTAGTGTTCTAGCAACATCAGTTAGGTTAAGTTGATAATTTTGTTCAGGTCTTCTACAGTCTTACAGATTTTTCTGTCTACTTGTTTTATCATATTCTAAAAGAGGTGTGTTAAAATCACCAAGAATAATTAGATTGTGGCTGTGTCTTTTTCTTCTTTTAGTTCTGTCATTATTTTGCTTCATGTATTTTAAAGCTCTGTTATTATTAATACATGTATATATGCAGAAATATTATGTCTTCTTGGTTAATTGAACCTTTAATCATTATGAAATGTCCTTCTTTATCTCTGATAATATTCCTTCTCCTGGAGTCTACTTTTATATTAATATAGCCTTTTAAGCCTTCTTATCATTAGTGTTTTCATGGTACATCTTCAAAAAACTTTTAACATATTTACATCTTTATATTTATTATGTCTCTTGTAGTTAGCATATTAATTGGGTCTTGTTTTTTGTTAATCCAATCTGATAATCTCTGCCTTTTAAAAATTAGTATAATTAGTCCATTTAGATTTAATGTAATAACTGTTAAGTCTACCATCTTGCTATTTTTAATTTGTCCTTTGTTCCTTTGTTCCTCTTTTCTTGGCTTTTTAATTATTATTTTTTTTAGAATTCTACTTATCTCCTTTGTTGGTTTATTAACTATACCTCTTTATTTCATTATTTAAATGATTGATCCAGGGTTTATTATATGCATCTTTAACTTACAACAGTCTACCTTCAATAATATACCATTTCAAATACAATGTAAGGAACTTTAAAACACCTTTATTTTGTATTATTGCTGTCATAGGTATTAGTTCCATATGTTTTAAACCTCATTATACATGGTTATTGTTTATTCTATAGAATCAATCATATTTTAAGTAAATTAATCATTAGAAATTAAATGTCATATATTTGCCTCCAGAGTAACCATTTACAGTAACCTTCATTACTTTTTAAAATCTAAGTTTCCATCTAGTATTATTTTCTTCAGCCTGAAGAAGTTTTTTAAAATTTTTAAAATTAAAATCTGCTAGCAATAAATTGTCTGAACTTTTATTTTTCTTTAATGTCTTTATTTCACCTTCAGATGTGAATATTTTTTCTAATTATAAAATTGTAGGTTGCAATTTTTTTAGGACCTCAAAGTATGTCATTGTGATATCTAACTGAATTGTTTCTGATGTGAGGAATCATTTCTATCTTTGCTCCACTGTATATAACATATCTTTGGCTACTTCTAAGACTCTCTTTCATTTGTTTCCAGCCATTTGATTTTGATGTGCTTTGGTATACATTCTTCCCTGTGTTTATACTTCTTGGATCTAAGGGATTATATTTTTTAACAAATTTATTTATTTTTAATTTTTCATTATTATGGGCACATAATAGTTGTATATATTTACAGGTACATGTGATGTTTTGATACAAGCATGCAATGTGTAAATATCAAATCAAGGTAACTTGGGTATCCATCACCTTAAGTATTTGCCATTTCTTTGTGTTAGAAACATTCCAGTTCTATTCTTCTAGTTATTTTTAAATACATAGCAAATTATCATTAACTATAGAAACCCTCCTGTGATACCAAATACTAGCTCTTTTTCATTATATATATTTTTGTACCCATCAACTATCCCCATTTTATCCCCTGCTCCCCATTATCCTTCCCAGCTACTGGTAATCATCATTCTACTATCTATGTCCGTGAGTTCATTTGTTTTTTAAGCTCTCACATATGAGTGAGAATATGTCACAAATATCTTTCTGTGACTGGCTTATTTTTCTTAACGTAATATCCTTTTGTTGAATCCATGTTGTTGTAAACAACAAGATTTTATTCCTTTTTATCGCTGAATAATATTTATTGTGTATATGTGCCATGTACCACATTTTATATCCATTCATCTGTTGATAGACACTTAGGTTGACTCCGTATTTGGCTATTGTGAGTAGTGCTGCAATAAATATGGAAATGCAGACATCTCAATATACTGATTTCCTTTCTGTATTAGTCCATTCTCATGCTGCTGTAAAGAACTGCCCGAGACTGGGTAATTTATAAAGAAAACAGCTTTAATTGACTCACAGTTCTGCAGGGCTGGGGAGGCCTCAGGAAATTTACAATCATGGCAGAAGGGAAAGCAAACATGTCCATCTTCACATGGTGATAGGAAGGAGAAGAATGAGAACTGAGTAAAGTGGGAAGCCCCTTATAAAACCATCAGATCTTATGAGAACTTACTGTCACAAGAATAGCATGGGGTAAACCACCTACAATTACCTCCCACCAGGTCCCTTCCATGACACATGGGGACTATAAGAACTACAATTCAAGATGAGATTTGGGTGGGGAAACAGCCAAACCATATCATTTTGCCCCTGGTCCCTCCCAAATTTCATGTCCTCACATTTCAAAACACAACAATGCCCTTCCCACAGTCCCCAAAGTCTTAACTCATTTCACCATTAACTCAAAAGTCTAAGTCCAAAATCTCATCTGAGACAAGGCAAGACCCTTCTGCCTATGAGCCTGTAAAATCAAAAGCAAGTTAGTTACTTCCTAGATAAAATAGGGGTACAGACATTGGGTAAATACACCCATTCCAAATGGGAGAAATTGGCCAAAACAAAGGGGTTACAGGCCCCACGCAAGTCTGAAATCCAATAAGGCAGTCATTAAACCTTAAAGTTCCAAAATGACCTCCTTTGACTCCATGTCTCACATCCAGGTCATGCAGATACAAAAGGTGGGCTTCCATGGCCTTGGACAACTCTGCCTCTGTGGCTTTGCAAGGTAAAGCCCAACCCCTGGCTGCTTTCAGTGGCTGGCATTGAGTGTCTGTGGCTTTACCAGGCACACAGTGCAAGCTGTCGGTGGATCTACCATTTTGGGTCTGGAGAATGGTGGCCCTCTTCTCACAGCTCTACTAGGCAGTGCCCCAGTGGGGACTCTGTGTAGGGGTTCCAATCCCACATTTTCCTTCCACACTGCCCTATCAGAGGTTCTCCATGACAGCTCCACCTCTGCAGCAAACTTCTACCTGGACATCCTGGTGTTTCCATACATCCTCTGAAATCTAGGCAAAGGTTCCAAAACCTCAATTCTTGACTACTGTGCACCCTCAGATCCTACCCCTCGTGAAAGTTGCCAAGGCTTGGGCCTTGCACCCTCTGAAGCAACAGCCTGAGCTGTACTTTTGCCCCTTGTAGCCACAGCAGGAGCTGAAGCATCTGGAATGCAAGGCATCATATCCCAAAGCTACACAGTGCAGGGGGGCCTTGGGCCTGGCCCACAGAACCATTTTTCCCTCCTAGGCCTTTTGGCCTGTAATGGGAGGGGCTGCTGTGAAGGTCTCTGACATGCTCTGGAGACATTTTCCCCATTGTCTTAGTGACTAACACTTGGCTCCAGCTGGGCACGGTGGCTCATGCCTGTAATCCCAGCACTTTGGGAGCCCAAGGAAGGCAGATTATGAGGTCAGGAGATTGAGACAATCCTGGCTAACACGGTGAAACCCCATCTCTACTAAAAATACAAAAAGAAAATTAGCTGGGCATGGTGGCACATGCCTGTAGTCCCAGCTACTCGGGAAGCTGAGGCAGGAAAATCACTTGAACCCACTAGGCAGAGGTTGCAGTGAGCCAAGATCGCACCACTGCACTCCAGCTTCGGCAACAGAGGCTCTGTCTCAAAAAAAAAAAAGAAAAAGAAAAAAAAAATTGACTCCTTGTTACTTATGCAAATTTCTGCAGCAGGCTTGAATTTCTCCCCAGAAAATGGGTTTTTCTTTTCTATCACATCGTTAGGCTGCAAATTTTCCAAACTTTTATGCTCTGCCTCTTCTTGAACACTTGGCCGCTTAGAAATTTCTTCTGCCAGATATCTTAAAGCATCATTCTCAAGTTGAAAGTTCCACAAATCTCTAGGGCAGGGACAAAGTGCTGCCAGTCTCTTTGTAATGCAAAACAAGAGTCACCTTTGCTCCAGTTCCCAACAAGTTCCTTATCTCCATCTGAGCCCACTTCAGCCTGGACTTCATTGTCCATATCACTATCAGAATTTTGGTCAAAGCCATTCAACAAGTCTCTAGGAAGTTCCAAACTTTTCCACATCTTCCTATCTTCTTCTGAGCACTCCAAACTGTTCCAACCTCTGCCTGTTATCCAGTTCCAAAGTCACTTCCACATTTTTGGGTATCTTTGTAGCAGCACAAAATTCTACCAGTACCAATTTATCTGACATGTACCAGTAATAAATTTACCAAATTATACCAAAAATAAATTTATCAGACCCAGTACCAGGATCTGATAAATGCCACCAGGTAGAAAGCCAAGCTAATCTCATGGCTTACTTTATTTTCCTTCTCTCATATACTGCAGTCTAGTGCTAACTATTGTCTAATTTCTTAAAACAGTTATTTCATACAGTTGATCAAGTGTTCTCATTGTTTATATTACGAGGTTAATTCCAGTACCAGTTACTTCTTTATGGCCAGAAGCAGAAGTAGAATATTACTTTTTAAAAGGCTGTTGTCTCAGAAAATGATTCTCTACGATTTACTTTTTTAAAAGACAGTTTAGGGGTTTCCCCACTAAGTTTCTATAATATTTTGGCTTTCATTTAGAGGCAGAGGGGAAGCCAAACTTTATAAAGCAGGAGTCCCCAACCCCTGGGCCATGGACTGGTACCAGCCTTACTGGTACCAGCATTACCACCTGAGCTCTGCCTCCTGTGAGATCAGCAGTGGCGTTTGATTCTCATAGGACTGAGAACCTTATTGTGAATGGTACATGCAAGAGATCTATACTGTGCTCTCCTTATGATAAAGAATTTTGAGTGCCATTAAATTTTATAAAACATAATTGCAAGCCACGGCCTTGCCTTTTTTAGAATAATAGAATATCAAGGCTAAAAGAGCTTCTGGAGATTTAACAGAATGAAAATAGGAAACCATAAGCTTAAAACCTAGCATTAGAAATTATATCACATATAAATGGACTAAGCATGACATATTAAAGAAAGATAGTAAAAAGCGAATGAAAACCAGATCTCAATTAGGTTGTTTATAACAGATAAACTTTAACTATAAAAACACAAAAAATATTCAAAGTAAACAAGATAAGTGGGGTTATATCATGTAAACACTAACTCCAAAAAAGCTGATGTAGATGTATTAATATCAGATAATTAATATTCTAAGTCAAGAAGCATCAATAAAGAAAAGTATCACATAATAATAACAGGAAAATTCCAACAATCCTAAAATTACATAAAACCAATAACATAAACCAAAGCTGACAAAGAAAAATAAGATATATCCACATGATTGAGATTTTAACATAGCTGCCTCAATAGAATAAGAGAAAAATCAACAGAGATATAGAATATTTAAATAATAAGATTAACTTACATTAACTAATTCACATATATCAAACATTACACTCAACAATTACAAAATATACATTTTGTTCAAGTGCACATAGAAAATGACTCATATAGATCACATGTTGAATGATAAATCAAGTCTAAACAAATTTTAAAACCATAGAGTGTATGGCCTTTTATCACAATGGAATCAAAACAGAATTCTGTAATAGAAATATAACTAGAAAGTCCCTCAAATGATTGGGATTAAAACAATCTATGGGGCAAAAATAAACACAGTGAAAATTAGAAAATATTTCAAACTGAGTTATAATGAAAATCTGACATCTCAAATTTTTATGTCTGCTAATGCAGTTATTAGAACTTTAAATTAGTATATTACAAAAGCAGAAAGGTTAAAAATTAATTACCTAAGCTCTATCTTAAAAGCTGGAAAAAGAAATAAACGCCCAAAAATGAACAATTAAGGAAATACCAGAGAGCATCAGTGAAATAGAAACTGTAGTCTCACAGAGCAAAATAAGCAAAACTAAAAGATAGTTCTTTGAAAAGATTAATGAAATTAATAAACTTTTAGGAAGATTGATCAAGTAATAAAGAGCAAAAACATTATTTATATCAATAATGAAAAAGGAGACATTATTCCATATATATGTATTCTTACAGACATTGATAAAGAGAATAGTATGAAGATTATGCTAATAAATTTGAAACTTTAAATAAAACAGAAAACTTCCTGCAAAATATACATATCAAAATAGAAAACAGAAATAGTGCTATATAAAGATATTGGATCTATAATGTAAAGCCCTCTCACAGAGATGACTCCAGGTCCTGATTGCCACACTGGTGAATTGTTCCAAACATTCATGGAGGAAATAATACCAATGTAGTACAAACTTGGGAAACACTATCCAACTCATGTTAGGGGACCAGCCAAATATCGACAGGGACATTATGAAAAAAAAATAACTTCCAGAATCTCCGTCATAATCATAGATGCAAAAATTCTCAAAAAAATTAGCAAATATAATCTGACAATATATAAAAGGACCAAGAGGGTTTATTCCAGGAATGCGAAGTTGCTTGAAGATTCAAACACCAATCAATATAACATAATAAACATAAAAAATCACATAATTATATAAGATGCAAATAAAACACTTTATAACATTCAGTATCCATTTGTAATTTTCTTTTAAAAAAAAAGAACTCTCAGCAATGTAAGACTAGGAGAGTACCTTCAGAAAACATCATTATTAATGGTAAAACAATGAATGCTTTCGTCTGAACTCAGGAACAAAACAAAAATATCTACTATTACTCCTCTATGCAATATTATCCTGGTGATCTTAGAGAAATAAGAAAAAGAAGCAAAAAGAACATATCGTAGACTTCCCGTTTCCAGTCCAGCATATAAGGAACTCAGCAGTCTTCACTTCATCCTAACAAGTAAATAGCTGAATAAACTGAAAAGTCAACAGCTCTTCTTAGATTCATCAGAGAAGTGAGGTCACCCAACAGATTGCTGCCCCTCAGATTCCAGAGAAAGACAGGCAAAAACAGAGAATCACAGCTTACCAGAGGAGAAACCCAGGAACAGAAACCTCCACAGGAACCAGTGTCGGTAGGAACTTTGGAACTGTGATCTACGAACTGCTGGATGCTCAGGGTGCACAACTCTCAGAGTTAAGAACTCCAAGGATACCCAGTCAAAAGGGGATGGCCACACTTTGGGGAGTTTTACCTCCAGAAGCTCTACCAGGTCCTCACAGAGAGTGTCAGAGGAAAATTCCCGTGTGATTCCAGCAGGGGGAGGAGATTAAGAAGCATTTTTAAATACACCACAACATTCTGTTCTTTTTAACAAGTCCTGCCTTCAGGAAAAACGATTTTTCCAGAGCCTAACCTGCTGTTTTATCACAGCATAACCTACCTAGGGTAAGGGAAATACCCAACTCCAACCCCCTCAAGCCTTCCACTTGGGAGAAGGAAAATACTCAACTCCAGCCCACTCCAGCCATCCTCTCCCACCTAAGCAGGGAAATTATTGAGAAGCATTCATGAAATTCACAGTCTGAAGACACAGGCTCACCAAAAACCTGAGATGTAATCATAGGACTATGGAATTCTTACCCTTCCCTCACACGTTACCACTACATGACTAAAGTCCTATTTATTACGGTTCCTTTTACCCAGTACATCATGTCTGCCTTTCAACAAAAAATTATAAGACATACCAAAAGGCAAAAAACAGTTTAAAGAAACTGGACAGGCTGGGCACGGTGGCTCACACCTGTAATCCCAGCACTTTGGGAGGCCTAGGCGGGCAGATCACCTGAGGTAGGGAGTTCGAGACCAGCCTGACTAACATGGAGAAAACCTGTCTCTACTAAATATACAAAAAATTAGCCGGGCATGGTGGTGCATGCCTACAATCCCAGCTATTCAGGAGGCTGAGGTAGGAGAATCCATTGAACCCAGGAGGCGGAGGTTGCAGTGAACCAAGATCACACCATTGCACTCCAGCGTAGGTAACAAGAGCAAAATTCCGTGTCAAAAAAAAAAGAAACTGAACAAGCATCAGAGCCAGAGTCAAATGTAGCAGTCCTATGAGGAATGTTTAGAATTATTGGACCAAATTTTTAAAATATATAATTAATATGGCTAAGAATTTTAGTAGAAAAAGTAGAGAGTATGCAGACACAGGTGCATAATGTGAGCAGAGAGACATAAATCTAAGAAATAATCAAAAATAAAGGCTAGAGATTAAAAATGCTGTCACAAAAATGAAGAATGCCTTTGCTGGGCTCACTAGTAGACTGGATATGACTAAGAAAAGAATCTGTGAACTAGAGGATATATCAACAGAAATCTCCAAAGGAAAATAAGACTGGAAAAAAAAACCCAGAATATCCAATAACTGTGGAACAACTACAAATGGTATATCATATGTATAATGGGAATACCAGAAGGAAAAGAAAAAGAGAAAGGAACAGAAACAATATTTGAAGCAACAATTCCTGAGAATTTTCTCAAATTAATGTCAGACACCAAACCACACAGATCCAGGAGGCACAAAGAACACTAAGTATGATAAATGTCCAAAAAAATACACCTAGGCACATCATATTCAAACCTCAGAAAATAAAAAATAAAAGAAAAACCTTGAAAGAAGTCCAGGGTTGAGGAAGTGGGTGGAAAACACTTAACCTATAGAGGAGCAAAGAAAAGAATTACATATGACTTCTCCTCAGAAACCATGCAAACAAGAATATGGAGTGAAATATTTAAAGTGATGAAAAAAAAAACACTTAGCATTTTGTACCTGTAAAATTATCCTTCAAAAGTAAAGTAGAAATGAAGACTTTCTCAGACAAATAAAAATTGAGGAAATGTGTTGCCAGGAGATGTTGAAGTTCTTCAGGGAGAAGGAAAATTATATAGTTTAGAAACTCAGATGTGCATACAAAAAGGAAGAGCATTAATAAAAGAAAACTCTATTTTCTTATTCTTGATTGATCTAGAGATAAGTTTGTTCAAAATAATAGCATCAATGTACTTGATTACATATACAGGTATATTACATTCATATATATTACATACATGTATAGTTATACATAAGAATATCATTTTTCATATGTATATGCTTATGTATATGTGAAGGAATGACAGCAGTAATACAAGGGATGGGATAGAGGAATTCAGAATATTTTGTTATTATGAGGTACCTGCACACCTTGTGATGCAGTATAGTTATTTGAAAGCGGACTTGGATTAATTGTAACTGAATATTGTAAACTCTAGGCCAACCACTTAAAAGAAGTATAACTGATATCTTAACAAAATAAGAGAAAATGGAATAATATAAATGCTCGATTAAAACCACAAAAGGCAAAAAAAAGGCAGGGAAAGCAAAAATAAAAATGAACGACAAGGACAAATAGAAAACAGTACCAAATATGGGTAGGTACTAATCCAACTACACCAATAATCATAAATGTCAGGGGTCTAAATACACCAATCTAAAAACAGAGATTGTCAGAGTGGGTCAAAAAAAATAAGACCCAACTATATATTATCTATAGGAAACCACTTTACATATAAAGATAAATATAGATTAAAATAAGAGATGGAGAAAGATATACCATGCTAACATATCAAAATAAGTGGAAGTAGCAATAGTAATAAGACAAAGCAGACTTCAGAACAAGGACAGTTATCAGGAATAAAAAGAGTATTTCAAAATGTTAAAGGGGTCATACTCCTAAAGACATAACAATCCTTACTATATATACACCTAATAACAGAATATCAAAATATATGAGGCAAAAACTGCCAGGAGAAATAGATGAATTCACTATTATAGTTGAAGATTTTAACACCCCTCTATGAGAAGTGGACAAGTTCAGCAGGTAGAAAATCAGTAAGAACATCATTGAACTCAGCAACACCATCAATCAACTAGATGTAATTGATATCTATAGACTACTTCATCCACCAACAGCAGTTTACACATTCTTCTCAAACTCATATGGAACAGTCACCAAAACAGACCACATTCTGGGCTATAAAACACAACAAGTTGAAAACAATTGAAATAATATGTCTGCTCTCAAACCACAATGGTTTTAAACTAGAAATCGGTAACAGAATGATAGCTGGAATAACCCAAAATACATGAAGATTAAACAACACACTTTTAAATAACACATGTGTTAATGAAGAAATCTCAAGAGAAAATTTAAAATATTTTGTACTAAATTGAAATAAAAATACAACTTCTCAAAGTGTGCGGGATGCAGTGAAAGCAGTGCTGAGAGGGAAGCATACAGCATCAATCTAAAAGCGATAAGCTGAGCCTCCACTTTAGAAAACTAGAAAAAGAAGAGCAAATTGAGTACAAAGTAAGAGAAGAAAAGAAATAATGAAAACTAGACCTGAAGTCAACAGAACTGAAAACAGGAAATCAAAAAAGAAAGCCAATAAAACCAAAAGCTAGTTTTTGGAAAGACCAATAAAATAGATGAACTTCTAGCCAGACTAAAGGAAAAAAAAAAAAGAGACGACGCAAATTGGTAATATCAGAAATGAGGGAGGGAATATCATTACAGTTCCCATGGACAATTAGAAATCTTTTTAACAACTCCATAGCCACAAACTTGATAGCCTAGATGAAATGAACTAATTCCTTGAAAGATACAATCTGCAACAATTCACACAAGAGAAACGACACAATCTGCCAAAATTCATGCTGAAAGTCCTTTATATATTAAAGAAATTAAATCAGTAATTAGTAACCTTCCAAAACAGAAGCAACAGGCCCAGATTATGGAATAAATGATGCCAATTCTATATCATTTCTTTCAGAAGATAGAAGCAAAGGGAATCTTTCCTAACTCATTTTATCAGGTCAGCATTATCCTAATATCAAAACTAGACAAGGATATTATAAGAAAATAAAAACCATACATCAGTAACTCTCATGAACACAAATGCAAAAATCCTCAAGAAAATATTAGCTAATTGAATCAAATAATGTGTTAAAAGAATTATATACCACAATCAAGTGGGATTTATCCCAGTTATGCTAGGCTGGCTCACCACTCAAAAAATCAATTAATGGAATACATCACACATCAACAGGCTAACAATGATAAATCATATGATCATATTGATCCAGAAAAACATTTGACAAAATTCAACGCCCATTCATGGTTTAAAAAAGAACTCTCAGCAAGCTAGAAATAGAGGGAATGTCCTCAACTTGGTAAAGAACATCTATAAAAAACATTGAGCTAACATCACATGTAATGGTGAGAAACTCAAAGCTTTCCCAGTAAGATTAGAAACAAGGGGAGGATGTCCCCTCTTACCACTGTTTTTCAACATCATACTGGAAGTCCTAGCTAATGCAGTTTAAAAATAAAATAAATAAAATAAAATAAAGGGTATACAGATTGGGATGAAAAAATGAAACTGTCTTTGATCACAGATGACATGATCATCTGAGTAGAAAATAAGACATAATTGACAAAAATTCCTGGAACCAGTATGTAATTATAGCGAGGTTGCAAAATACAAGGCTAATATACAAAAGTCAACCACTTTCCTATTTATTAGCAAAGACCAAGTGGAATTTGAAATGAAAAACACATTACCATTCATATTATCACTCTAAGAAATGAAACATTTTGGTATACATTTAATAAAATATGTAAAAATCTATATGAAGAAAACTATAAAATCCTGATAAAAGATATTAAGGAAGAACTAAATAAATTAGAGATATTCCATGTTTATGGATTGAAAGACTCAATATTGTCAAGATGTCCATTCTTCCCCATTTGATCTATAGATTCAATGCAATCCCAATCAAAATTGCAGCAAATTGTTTTGAGGATATCAACAAACTGATTCTAAAGTTTCTATGAAGAGGCAAAAGACACAGAATAGCCAACTTACTATTGAAGAAGAACAGCAAAGTCAGAAAACTGACACTATCCAACTTCAAGACTCAATATAAAGCTACAATAATCAGGACTGTGTGGTACTGGTAAAAGAAAAAAAATCGTTGAATGGAACAGAACAGAGCGCTCATAAACAGACTCACATAAATATGGTCAACTGATTTTTGACATAAAGCAAAGGCAATCTAAAGGAGAAAAGATAATCCTTTGAACAAATGATGCTGAAAAAACTGGACATTTATGTGCAAAAGGAGGAGTCTAGACATATATCTTATGCTCTTCACAAAAATTAACTCAAAATTGATCATAGACCTAAATGTAAAACACAAAACTAAAAAATTTCTAGAGATAACATAGGAGAAAACTTAGATGATCTTAGGTATAGCAATAACTTTTTAGCCAGAACACTAAAGGCACAATCCATTAAAGAAATAATTGATAGACAAGGCTTTATTAAAATTAAAAGCTACTGCTCTGTGAAAGACACTGTTAAGATAATGAAAAAACATGCCACAGACTGGGAAAAAAATATTTGCAAAAGACATATCTGATAAAGGAATGTTAGCCAAAATATACAAATAACTCTTAAAACACAATAAGAAAACAACAATCCAATTAAAAAATGGTAAAAGACCTGAACAGACACCACCAAAGAAGATACACAGATGCAAGTAAACATATGAAAAGATGTCCAATATCATATATTATTAGAGATATCACTCTTTAATTAAAAGAATTTAAAAAAATGACATATCACTACATGCCTATTAGAAGGAACAAAATAGAAAATACTGATAATACCAAATGCTGGTGAAGATGTGGATCAGCAGGAACGCTCATTCATTGTTCATGGAAATGCAAAATAGTACACAACTTAGTACAGGACACTTTGGCAGTTTCTTATAAAACTAACATTCTCTAATCATACAATCTAGTAATCATGTTCTTTGGTTTTTCTCAAATAAAAACTTATGTCCACACAAAAACCTACACAGAAATGTTTATAGCAGCTTCATTCATAATTGCTCGAACCTGGAAACAATCAAGATGTCTTTCAGCAGGTGAGTGGATAAATAAACTGTGGTACATCCAGACAATGAAACATTATTCTGCACTGAAAATAAATGAGCTACCAAGCTATGAAAAGACGCGAAGGAAACTTAAATGCATTTAAGTGAAAAAAGCCAATCTCATAAAGCTATTATGCATACTGTAATATCCAAACTATCTGGCATTCTAGAAAAAATAAAACTATGAAGATATTAAAAAGATTAATGGTTGCCAGGGATTGGGGGAGGGATGAATACATAGAATACAGAGTATTTTTTTACGGTAGTGAAACTATTCTGTATGATACTGCAATACTACAATGGTGGATAGATGTCATTATACATTTGTCAAAACCTATAGAATGTACACCACCAACAGTGAACCATAATATAAACTATAAACTCTGGGTGATAATGATGTCAACATAAGTTTATCTGTTGCAACAAATCTACCACTCTGTTATGAGATGTTGATAATAGGGGAGTCTGAGAGGGAGGGACGGGCTATATACATGTATATACACACACACACACATATATATACATATATATACACACATTATATATACATATATACACACACATATATACATATATACACACACATACATATATGTATGTATAGAAACTCTCTGTACTTTGCACTCTATTTTTTGTGAACCTGAAACTGCTATTAAAAATTAAGTTTATTAATTTTAAAAAACATGTAAAGGAGAAAAGAAATAAAATTCACCATTCACAAACAATTTGGTTGTATATATAGAAATAAATTTAAAACCTAAAATAAAGTATTAGAATTAAGAAATATATTTAGCAAGATCATTGGATATGAGGCTAATATGAAAATATATTTATTTCAAATATTTGCAAAAAATAGAAAATAAATTTTAAAAAACAATAAATCTACAAAATATACAGGGTGTTTACATACATCCATTAAAACCCTACAAAATATTACTTTAATAATTTTCTGAAATCCTAAATAAATAGATGGACATATTCTGCTCATACATTGGAAATCACAACATTCTTAAGAAGTAAATTCTCCCTAAATTGATATATAAACACATTGCAATCCCAATTAAAATCCCAGTAAGTATTTTCTTTTAAATTGACAAGTATATCTAAAATGTATATGTAAACACAAAGGCCCATAATCAGTAAAAAAAATTTTGAGTAAGAACAAAATTAAAGGAGCTGACTGCCTTATGAATTTATTGTGAAGCTACAGTTAGTAAATAGCTTGCATTGATACAATGGTAACCAATAGACATAGAACAAAATAGAACAAATATCTGCTACAACATTTAAACTCAAAGACATTATGATGAGTGGAAAAAGTCAAACACAAGAAAAGTGTATACTTTATAGTTCCATTTATATGAAGTTCAAGAAGAAAACAAAATTAATCTATGGTAATAAGAGTGAGAATAGTTACTATCTTTCAGGGGTTATGATTGGGAGGGAGGAAGAGGGAGTCTTCCAGGATACTAGAAATGTTCTATATCTTGCTATGGATGGTGGTTACACACATAAAAATGTGGTGGAATATAAACACATATAAAAATTTAGTGAAAGATACACTTAAGATTGCATATTTTACCACACGCATGTTATACTTCAATGTCCCAAATATGTGTGTGTGTGTGTGTGTGTGTGTGTGTATATATACACATATACATATATATATTCATTTATGTATTTATTTTTAGACGGAGTCTCGCTGTCATCCAGCTTGGAGTGCAGTGGCCCAATCTCGGCTCACAGCAAGCTCTGCCTGCTGGGTTCATGCCATTCTCCTGCCTCAGCCTCCCGAGTAGCTGGGACTACAGGCACCTGCCACCACACTTGGCTAATTTTTTGTATTTTTTAGTAGAGACGGGGTTTCACCATGTTAGCCACGATGGTCTCGATCTCCTGACCTCGTGATCCACTCACCTCGGCCTCCCAAAGTGCTGGGATTACAGGCGTGAGCCACTGTGCCCGGGCCAATGTCCCAAATTTTAAAATAAAGAAGTACTATTCTTTATTTACACAAATCCTTAAGTAATATATGTTATATTGTGAAAATGAAAATAAATACCATTTTTTTAAAGTTACTTCCCCATTTGTTGAGGTAAAATGTTTAACCTAGCTGGCCTCTAGAGACTACTTCAGAGATCAACACAACTATTGCCTGAGCCAAAAAGAGATCATCTGACATTTGGCTATGGACAAGCCATGCTCTTCAGAATAGGAACAAAACTGAAATTATAAGATCTCAAGGTGTCTGAAAAATATATGTATTTTTGTCTTGGTTCAATAAAAGGGACACACTGTCTACCTGCTCTAGCTAGAAGTAAAATGACACCTTCTATGTGACCATTATCATCCGAAGACAAGTAGCTGGGGAATTAGGAATGAAGCAATCTAGGAAAGGTACAAAGTTTCTCCAACCTTTAATTTCCAATCATCCAAACATTTACCCTTAGAATAAAACCCAAAATCCTTCATATAGCTTAAAAGGTCCCCCATGTTCTGGAACCCACTTACCTCTCCAGCTATTCTCACCACTCTCTACTCTCTCCCTCATACTACACAGTCTTATTGTACTGAAATTCTTTAAATTCCCCCAAAGCACCAGCTGCTATCTGCTATATTCCTTCTCTCTTGTGACCTTCACACATACTCCTCCCTCTGTCTGAAACATTCAACCACTCCATTTCATCTAACTAACTCCTATTCATTCAGTTATAATTTAAAAGTCATTTCCTCAATAATGCCTTCAACAGTCCATTGTAATATTATATTACCTAAATCATGACTTTTGTCATACTTTGTTATAATTAATTTACCATCAATCTTCTCTATCAGACTATAAGCTCTATGAGGCCAAGAAATCCATCTGTCTTGCTCACTACTATATCGTTATCAGGCACAGCCATTGGCATATGGTAGACACTAAACAAAAATATGTGGAATCAATGAAAATAAATGATCAGAAGATTTAGCATGCAGTAAATCTTACTGGATCCTTAGAACAATCAAATAATATTTTGTGCACTTAAATTTAATACTATGTTTTAATCAATGTTTATTTTCTGTAATTTTTTTCTGCCATAGACTTCAGTTCTTTTTAATGTAACAAAAGGTTGGCTATGCTTAGAGCACCACAGAAAACATTTCAAAGGGAGTACTGGTAGTAGTAGAGAGCCAAGTAAAAACGGGGAAAAATACAATATCAGGTGTAAACCCACCCACCCCACCAGGAAATTCTTCTGGGGTATATACTCTGAGCACTGAAGTTTTGTGTAGTTTTTCTTAATAATGGGAGTCTTCTTTTATTTGAAAAAAAAAATGACCTACAAATGAGTGATAGCTTACAAATTCAATGCAGTCTAGGTCAGACCATTAGTCTTTAGAAGAATCATTTCTGTCAGAGTTAAGGTGGTAAATTAAGTAATCACCAGGATTTTGAAAACTTCTATCACAAAATTTTATATCAATTTTAACCTGTATTCATTTTCAACATTTACATTTTAAGTGAAAAGATAATAAAAGCTGAAAGTATGCTTTTGAAAAGGAAAAAATGTTGCAGCACCAAAAACAAGATCGAAATCTAAATATGTTCCCTTTTCTTATTATTTTGAGGGGGGAATAGAAAAAATGAAAACAAATTATCAACTAAGTACTGTTCTGCAAAAATTTCAAACACTGAGCAGTTCTTTTGATTACATAAAGCACAAAGGCTCTTTCAACAGCTCCCTAAACAGCTTGATGATGAACTTGATGTTCTTCTTAATCCTCTATTCAAATTTGACAACTGTTAATAGTGTCAAAGAGAATCCATCTATAAACTAAATTGGAGGCTAATGTTATACATCTATGAGTTTTGGCTCTATATGAGCATCAAATGTGCGAACATAACTTCTTACTACTAAATGGCAAGTCAAGCACATCAACAATGTAGTCCTGAAAACCAGTCAGCTCTTAGTATACAAGGAGTGTGTACATTTATTGGTCTAAATGAATATAGGAACATATAGTAAAATATATAAACACAGACCAGATACTGAACTAAAGTGAGGAGGAAAATCACTGCCAAGATAGGCAGAAACATTTCTTAGGAAGCTGAAATGTAACATTGCTGAACAAACGAAAATAGTGAAGCCAGTCTAAAAGTGTGCTCTTTAAAAGAGACAATGTCTCAGAGTGCAAGTTCTGTAAATCATTAGCTATAGCCACAAACCAAAGTGTAATATTTAAAGAAGAGAGCTGCATACCATACCAATAAACTGTCACAAGGGTGATAGTATCTGTAGCTGTGCTATCCTTAGAGAGTGCATTTGCCAGATAACATAGTGCTTTTTACATATGAAATTATGTTTTCCATACAGATGTTTGAAATATATAGGCATTGGCTTTACTGCAATAAATGCCCCTGTGACTCAACCAAAGGAAGAAAAACTGTGGTAACATCTTGAGTTCAGATCAATGATGCATTTAGATCAAAGTGCAGAGAAGAATTCTTAGGTCTTTCCTGAGTTTGATGTAAGAATCTTAAAAAGCAAAATAGTTAGTGGCTGAGAAATACTATTCTATGGCTATGTGACAGTTCCAAACCTAAAAAATCTACCATTTCAATTAGTTGCTAAATCTTTATTTAATATCTACTCTATTCTCAAACATCACAAAACTTGCCAAGTTATCCACCGCCAGATGATTTTTCTCCCTCAAATTCACCTGTCTTTGTCACTGTAAGATGTTCTCAAAATCCAAAACTTAAACATCTGCAGGTAAAGTAAGCATTCTGATAATTAGGGAGTTTATGTCAAGTGGCTTTTATCAAGGATAACAACAGTAATAAAAATATTAATAATAACAATGATGGTGATGAACTCTAAACTTAAAAGAGACTCCAATGCGAGTTGAAATTGCTTAAGAACAATAGCCTTGATCCTAATTTATAGTTTCCCAAAGAACCCTAGAGTTCTCCTAGATGTAACTTACTCTGTATCACAATACTAAGTCCTAATCACTCCCATTGCATTCCTAACCAAAACAAAATTTCCAGGAGTAATTATATGCAGCTTATTATAGCTTCAATTTGTACTATAGAAAGTGAAAGTATTCTATGCTTTCTATTTTAAACTTTTGCAAGGAACTATTGTAAGCCATTGAATAGAATCCTTGATACACCTTCAAGTAAGCTGCTCATCAGATATGGAAGAAAGGATAATCCATAGTACCTGAGAGTTTATATATTTGTTTTCTCAAAGTCTTCAAGTAACAGTGACTGGGCATTTGGCACTTCCAGTAATTGCAGAATATCAGGACAGAATTCCAGGTCTAAGTAACATAATTCATGGTAACATAATTCATAGTGGAAAAGTAAGCTTCAAATTGTTTTGGGGTGTTCATCAGGAAAGGCATTTTGCATATAAAAACTCATGGTCAAAATGTATTTTTTTAACTTCAAACATACCAAAATTGCAAAAATAGTACAGAGATTTCTTACAGATCCTTCATCCAAAGTCCTCAAATGTTAACAGTTTATACTCATTCTATCATTTATATTCTCTATCTCTCCCTGTCTCTACAGTACAATATTTTTAGTACTTTTATTCTTTGGACTTAAAATACATAGTCAAAATACTGGTCCAATGTTATTTAGGTAGTCCCACCCACTACCCCTATACATGCTCAGTATGGTTATATCATCTGAAATACAGTTAAATCCCTTTGTCTCTGTGTGTAATCATTTGGGTTCTTCATTCATGTTTGTTTGTTTGTATATTTAGTATGAGAAATAGTAGTATGGTTCTGAAATACACAAATATATGAAAAGTAGTCACTCAACTACTAATCCCCATCCCATCCATTCTACCCTACTCACACCAACCCCATCTTTTCTACTCCATTTGCACCCATCATCTCTAGATAACCAGTCTCAATAGTTTATAGTTTACCCTTCCTCTGTTTCTTTCTGCACAATTGAACAGATATGTGTATGTTATCTCATTTCTTCTTCCTTCTATACAAAAGATGGCATTCTATAAACATTCTTCTAAATTTATATTAAATTACATTGGAAATCACTTCATACCAAATTACAGATAGTTTCTTCAATCTTTTTTATAGCTACATATACTCCATTGTGGGACTGCAGCATAATTTATTTAATCACTCTCCTATATGCATATGTAGGTTGTTTGCAATTACAAATAATAAGTCAACAAACAGCTTTTTGCATATCTTTTTTCATATCACTGAAGGTGTATCTTCAGGGTAAATTCCAAGAAGAGGACTACTGGATCAAAAGAAAGTGTATATGTTGTTTTGACAGATGCTGTGAAATTTGTTTCTGAAAGACTTATAATAACTTCCATGCCCTCCAAAATAGAATACCTGTTTCTTCACAACCTTGACAGAAGAATGTGTTTCACATCTTTAATTTTCAACAATTCAATGAGCTAGAATTGTCATCTCAATATAGTTTTAATTTGCATTACTTGGATTACCCACTTCTAGCCAAGACGGAGGCTGAATTTACCCTCCTGCAAAAAAAAAAAAAAAAGAAGCTTAAAAAACTTTGAGAAATAAGGTTTCAAGATTGCTCATCAAGCAACAAAGAGCAGTATCCCTTGAGAGAGAGTAAACAAATGAGTGAGCCCTACCATTTTCCCAGCTTACTGCCTGGAGAGAGTTTCCAGGCTACAGTACAAGGCAGAAGAACTCAGGTAAAGCCTATTTTCCAGAGTCAAGAGATTGAACTAAAAGTTCAAAAAGACTTAGGTGGCTAGAAATTACATGGCACAGTACTGAAGAATGACAAGCTTCAGAGAAAGGAATCCAGAGATCTGCAGAGGGGTCCCTTGAGTGCTCTACTGAGTACGACGGCCAGATGCATGTGAGAAAACTCATGAAGCCAGAAAAAGAATTGTCTGAAAGGATTAGAGAGACCCATCCCAGCTGCTCATAAAGGCCTGGGAATAGTCCTATCTTCACTAGCCAACGTGGAAATAGTCATGATTTGGTGCATCACACAGAAAATTCAGAAGGGCTTTTAGAAGCCTCAGTTGTGGGGTAAAACTAGCATTAGACTAGATAAATCCTGCCTTATCCTGCTTGGAAACTTAAAAACAATACCCTAAAGGATCAAACTGTTTCCAAGAAACTTAAAGCATCCCAAGACAAAGCCTAAGAATATTTATAGGAATATCCAACAAGGTAAAATTCACCATGGCTAGTATTCAACTTTTTAAAAATCAGGTGTGCAGAGAAGCAGGAAAATATGACCCTAATGAGGAGAACTATCAATCAAATGAAACTGAACTAACGATGACAGAGATATTAAAATTAACAAAGACATTAAAAGAGTTATTAAAACTATATTTTTTACATGTTTGCTAAGCTAGTAGAAAGATGTAAAAGGTTAAATGGAGGTATGAAACACATGTAAACAAAAAATTATTTTAATCAAATGTCTAGAGCTAAAAACCAAAATGTCTGAAATGAAAAACATACTGAATAAATCAAATGTCCAATTAAATATTGCAGAAAAAATTAGTAATCTTGTTGACATAGCAGTAGAAACTATCTAAAATGAAATGCAGACAGAAAATGTAAAAAAAAATGAACAGAGCATCAGTAAGCTGTGAGACAATATCAAGTGGTCTAATATATGCATAACTAGAGTCCTCAAATATAAGGAGAGAGGAAGAAAAAATATTGAAAATATAATGGCTGAAATTTCTTCAAATTTGATGAAAACTATAAATCTTTAAATTCAAACCAAGCACAAGAAATATGAAGAAAACTACACAAAGGTACATCATAATTAACTTGCTTAGAACCAGTGAATTAAAGAGAAAATTCTGAAAAGTAATCCCCCAAAAAGGCAGGTTATTGTAGAGGAACTAAAATCATGTGACAGCTGATTCCTCATTGAAAACAACTCAGGCCAGAAGACAATTGTGCAACATTTTTAAGTACTAAAATAAAAAATAAAACTCTACCTAGAATTCTATATCCAGCAAAAATATCTTTCAAACAAAAAGATGAAATAAAAAATTTTAGACACATAAAAGCTGATAGAATTTATCACCAGCAGATCTGGACTGTAAGGAATATTAAAGGAAATCCATCAAGCAAAAAAATTATATTGAAGGAGATCTGTATCTACAAAAAGGAATTAAGAGTAACAGAAATAACAATAACATGGGTGTATATTTAATTTTTTCTTTTTATTTAAATATTATTTAATGATAATTTGCTGTTTAGAGCAAAAAGAATATCAATGTATTTTAAGATTTATAAGATAAGTAGAATCCAAATGTATAACAACAATAATAAAATCTGGAAGAGAAATTAAAGTATACGTTTATTGTACTATAGTGTAAATACTATGAACATCTCTTGAAGGTGGACTGTAAGTTGAAGATGTATACAATTAAACTCCAAGGCAATCACCAAAATAATGCAACAGAAAGTCATAGCTAATAAACCAGCAAAAAATATACATGGTATTATTTTAAAAATCAAAAGAAAGAAAAATAACAGACTGTATCATGCATATAAAAAACATGAGCAAAATGATAGACTTAAATACAACCATATCAAAGCTCACACAGATAATCCCAATTAAATATACATGGCAGTCTCTTCAATAGATGGAGCTGGGAAAACTGGATAACCCGTATGTAAAAGAATGAAACTCACTCTTATTTTATACCACATACAAAATCAACTCAAAATAGATTAAAGATTTAAACATAAACTTGAAACTATAAAACTCCTAGAAGAAAACATAGAGGAAAAACTATACAACACTTGTCTGGGCAATGATTTTTTAGATTTCATTCCAAAAATGCAGGCAGCAAAAGCAAAAATAGACAAATGGGATTACGTTAAAATTAAAAAAAAACTTCTGCACAACAAATGAAACAATTAACAGAGTGAAGACAATCTACAAATTGGGAAAAAATATTTACAAGCCATACATCTGATAAGGGATTAACGTCCAAAATATATAAAGAAGTCAAACAACTTTATAAAAGAAAAACAAATAATTTGATTAAGAAATAGACAAAAGGCCTGAATACACATTTCTCAAAAGAAGGCGTATAAGTGGCTAAGAAATACATTTACAAAGCTTGAAATCATTAATCACAAGGGAGATGCAAATCAAAATCATATGGAGATATCATTGCACACCTGTTTAGAATAGCTAGTATAAAAAGGACCAAAGATAACCAGTGTTGGCAAGGATGTGGAGAAAAGGGAATTTTTGTATACTGTTAGTGGGTATGTAAGTTAGTATAGCCATTATGAAAAACTGTATGCAGGTTCCTGAAAAACCTAAAAATATAATTAACATATAATCCAGCAATTCCATTTCTGGGAATTTACCTGAACGATTTAAAATCAGTATGTCAAAGAGATGTCTGCATGCCTATGTTCACTGCAGCACTATTCACAATAGCCAAGTTATGGAATATCAAGCTAAGTGTCCATCAATGGATGAATGGATAAAGAAAATGTGGCATATGTACACAAAAGAATACTATTCAGCCTTAATAAAGGAAGAAAGATGTCATTTGCAATAACATGGATGGAATTGGAGAACATCATGCTAAGTCAAATAAGCCAAACACAGAAAGACAAATACCACATTTTCACTTATATGTGGAATTTAAAACAACTCAACTCACAGAAGGAGAGAGTAGAATGGTGGTTACCAGAGTCTAGGGTATGGGGAAATGGAGAGATGGCAATCAATGGCTACAAAGCCACAGTTAGATAAGAAAAATAAGTGTTTTTTTTAGACATATTGTATAGCATGGTGAATATAGCTAGTAATTGAGTACTGCACATTTCAATATCACTAAGAGAGTAAATCACGAATGTTTTTGTCACAAAAATGTCAAATATTTGACATGATGAATAGGTTAGTTTAATCACTCCACATCATTTTCAAAAATCATCATATCATCATGTACCCCATAAATACATACAACTATAATTTGTCAATACATAACATTAAAAAGTTAGAGATAGTCAAGCTGGATAAAAAGCAAAACTCATATATACCTTGATAAGACTATGTTGCTATATAAATATCAAAGTAGAGTTTAGAGCAAAAACTATTATCAGGGATAAAGAGGATCATTTCATAATGGCAAAGTATATGATATGATATGATATATGATGATACGATAGAGAAGACGGTCATTCTAATTGTTTATGCACCTAGTAACAGAGCTTCAAAATATACGTATCACAAACTGATATAACTACAAGAAGAAATGACAAATTCACAATTGTAAGTCAGATAATTCAACACCCCTTTCTTAATATCTGACAGTCGTATCGCTTCAATAATTGAAAATAGTATCTCTTCATAGGCTACATAGGGCCATTTTTACATTTGTTTTTTGAATTGTCTATCCATGTCCTTTTCTCTTTGTTTTGAGATTTTTTTGTCCTTATTTCCCTCAAATTTTCAGAAATTCCAGAGTTCTTTATATATTAGGAATATTAGTCCTTTATTTTTTATATATGGACAAATATTTTCTCTCAATTTGTAGGTTTTGTTTTGGTTTTACTTATGATCTTTTTAACATGCAAATACTTTTATTTGTATGTATTCAAATCTAGCATGCTTTTCCTTTATTATCTCTGGATTCTGAGTCATAAGGCCTTTCATTCAAGAGAAATTCACCTATGTTTTCTTGCAATATATTGCTTTTTTTTTTAACCCTTAGATCTCTGATCATTTTGGAGTTTATTCTTTTCTATAGTATTAAGTATAGATCTAACGTTATCTTTTTTAAATGGCTACCGCATTTGAATTTAATATATGGCTATACCATATATTAAAAAGTTTATCTATGCCCTAGTGATTTGAAATGCTAACTTCATTATATACTAAACTTCCACACATATTTGGGTTTAATTATGGACTTTATTCTCCTTGTTTATTCATTTGCCATTACTGTACTCCATAGTTTTAATTACAGACTTTATAGTTTGCTTTAATGTCTATTAGGACTATTCTCATACCCCCTGCATTTGTAATTTTCTTTTTAAGTATATTCCTCACTATTCTTGCATGTTTGTTTATCCATATGAACTTTAGTATCAACTTGACTAGCCTCATCATAAAAACTTCGGGGAATGTGTTACATTTATAAATTATAAATTTATAAAAATTTAAAAATTATAAATTAACTTATAAATAACTAACTTCTTCATGATGTTGAGTTGCCCTATCCACCAAAAGGGGATGTCGTTTTATTTGTTCAGATGTACTACTGTGTCTTTTAGGATTATTTTAAAGCTTTCCTCATATGAAATTTGTATATTTTCTTTTAAGTTTACTCCTAAATATTTAATCTTCTTTGTTGCTACGGCAAATGGTGTTTTTTCTACCATTAATTATATCCTCTAATTGGCTGTGCTATTTTCTACAAAAGCTATTAATTGTTGTATATTAATTTTACCACGGAAGAATTTTTCTTTTATTATAAAATTTATTTTCTAAGCATTCCTAGGTATGCTATCACATCATCTGCCAATATAGATAATTTTACTTCGTTACAACTTCTTATACCTCTAATTCATTTATCTTGTATAATTGCATTGGCTAATACCTTCAGAAAAATGTTGAATATAGTGGTGACAGTGGGCAGCTTGGCCTTGTTCCTGATCTTAAGGGAAATTCCTGTAGCATTTCTTCATATGTAAGTTGTACACTTTAGAACTAGAGTATTTTGTCCTGTTAATAAATAATCAATAATATCTGATAAGGGTTTAATATTAGCAATATATAAAGAAATTCTACAACTTGACAACCAAAAGACAACCCAATTTTAAAATGGGCAAAGGACTTGAACAGGCATTTCTCCAAAGAATATCTACAAATGGCCAAGATGCACATGAAAAGATGCTCAACATCATTAATCACTTGGGAAATGCAAATCACAACTGCAATGACATATGACTTCACATCTGCTAGAATGACTATAATTTTTAAAAAAGAAAATAAAAATGACAAATGTTTGTTAAGGATGTGGAAAAATTGGAATCCTCCTACATTGCGGGGGAGGCGAGGAATAAATTGGTGTAGTCACTGTGGAAAACAGTTTTGCAATTCCTCAAAAAGCTAAACATGGAATTATTTTATGACCCAGCAATTCCATTCCTAGGTTTATACTCAAAAGAATGAAAATATGAATTCAGATACATATATGCCAATGTTGTGCATTGCACCATTATTACCAATAGCCATAATGTAAAAACAAACCAAGTGCCCATCAATAGATGAATGAACAAACAAAATGTAATAACACACACACACACAAACACACACACACACAGGAATATTATTCAGCCATAAGAAGGAGTGTAGTTTTGACACATGCTACAGCATAAATGAATCTTGAAAACATGTTATGCTAGTTGATAAAAGTCATACACAAAAGGGCAAATATTATATAATTCTACCTAGTCATATCTAGAATAAGTAGATTCATAGAGACAGAAAGTACAGTAGAGGTTACCAGGGAGTTTCAGGACTGGGGAATGGGAAGTTATTGTTTGCTGATTACAGAGTTTCTATTTAGGGTAATGAAAGAGTTTTGGGAATAGTGGTGATAGTTATAAAAACTATGAATGTAATTAAGAGTAATGAATTGTACACTTAAAATGGCTAAAACTGTAACTTTTATGTTATATTTATTTTACCACAGTAGAAATCAGAGAAAGAATACATCCATTTATATTTTGAGTATTTTATCAAAAATGTGTTACAAATTATTTTGCAGCTTTTTTCAACATTTTGGAGATTATTCCAAGACTTTTTTTCCTTAGATCCATAAATATAATATATTCTATTAAGGAATATCCAAGCTTGCACTACTGGAATAATTCCACTTGAACTTTGTATAATCTATTATTAATGTGGTATTTGATTATACTTGCTCATATTTTATTTAGTATTTTTCCATCAATATTTATGTGAATTTCTGCAATTTACTTTTATGGTACTGTTTTCTCAGTCTAGGTATAACGTTATAGTTACTTCATAAACATATTTAGAAAGTTTCCTCTATTTTCAGTGCTCTGGAATGATTTATGGAGCACTGGGACTATCTGGTGTTTGAAGATATGATAGCATTCTCCTGTAAAACTTTCTGGGCCTAGTGCTTTAAGAGTATTTCTGTGATAACTTTCTTTATCTCCTCTATGGAAATCAATCTCTTTAGGCTTTCTATCTTTAACAGAGTCAATTTTGGTTATTTTTATTTCTCTAGAAAATGATCCACATTACATTGGTTTTCAAATTTATTTGCATATAAATGTAAAAAGTGGGATCTTTTGATTTTTATATTTTTCTGTAATTTAATTGTCATTTTACTTTTGTCACTCAATATTTTGCGTGTTTATGTTTTTGTTTTCAAGTTACTGATCAATTTAGTTAAAATTTGTATTACATATTAATTATTTTTAAACTATATTTTGATTAAACTGTTTTAAAATTATCACATTAATTTCTGCTTTTTATCTTCATTATTTATTACTTTGCTTTTTTCTTTGGTTCATTGGTGAGTCTTTTTTATCATTTTCTTAACTTATAATTTAATTCATTTATTTTACTCTGTAATTTTACTGATTAATTATATTAATAAAATAGAATTTTCCTCTGATCACCATTTAAAATGTATTCCATAAATTTCAAAATGAAGTGTTTTCTTCATAATTATTTTTTAGTTCTGTAACATTCAGATTATATTTCCCCTTTTATTTAACAGTTTTTAGTAAAAATTTTTCTTTTCTTAATTTCCAGGTATAAAGACCTTTGATTTTAAATTGTGTTAATGATCAAAGTTTCTTTATTTCATTCATCTAATCTCATCAATCTCTTTTATTGTGAAGAACATATAAACTATAAACTACATAAGAACAGTTCGAGGCTGGGATTAGCAGACTTTAAGAACACAGAAACCAAAAAAAGGGGGGAAGATGGTCATCTATCCACTTCACAAATGATTAAATCCATAAATAATTTCTGTTTCTAAACACTTTCAATTTCTCTACTACAAAATCTCTACACTACACTGAATTTGCCCACCTAGCCAAAATTTGAGGAGCAAAAATAAACAGTCTCAAAACAGAATATAAAGTGTATATAATTACTGCAGTATCATTAGCATTAAAAAGCTTATTCTTTATGGGCTAAAGTAATTTCACGATCTTTAGCAAAATATGTAATTTGGTCATTATTTCCAACCAATCAATATTTTATAATTACTGCAATTGTTATAGATATGAGAAAATAAGTCATCTGATTTAAATCTCAATAATAAATAGTTCTAGAAAACATTGTCTCAAGATATAGATGAAAAATGACTTTTAATGAATGAAATAAATGAGACCAAATTAAGTTCCCATATACATTCAAGAGAAATTCTAGAACTCTGTATTGCTTCCTGTCCTCTCCTGACATTTTCAACCTCTCTGCTTTCAACCTCATCTAGCCTTATAGCAGATGTGCTATAACACTCCATCTAGCACAATGTTATTTTGAGTAGCAAAGACCCTGAAGAAGATGCTGGCCTTGAGATATATGTATTTTAAAATGGGATTAATATTAGCAATCAAGTCTCTTCTCATGGTTTAAGTCAAAATGTTACCTGAAAATGTTAGATAGATGTATTATTGAATTATACTTTTCCAACAAGAATTAAAGATGCAAGATTTCTGATTATGAAGGCAAATCAAAACTAGCTCACAAATTTCACTCCGTCAATTACTTATTAAAATACAAAATTAAAGTCAGAAAAAAAATTACCAACAGCTACCAAACAGGAAAAGCAAAATAACTAAATGTAATAAACCTCAAAAACTAGCAACCAAGGAAAGAAATAGAGATGATGTGCGTGAGTCAACAAAATACTAAGAATTGTCATTAATATTTCCAAATCTGGAAAGAAGCAAACTGAACAAGTTTTGTTATCTTCTTCATTTTCAATCTGTAGTAGAAAAGAAAAATAAGAAGAAAAATAATATAGGGAAAGTGAACCACAGGGCTATTTCTGTCTGACAGATGTAAATAATCTAGTCTATACAATAAATCTGGTCAATGATCCAAAAAGTATTCTTCTGAATGAATGATAGACCCTGATCCCCATTCAAATTGCAAAATCTCAGAGGAGACAGCTCAGATCCCAAATAAAAGCTACATGTCACCTCAGCTGAGTTCTCCCCCACATCTACCTCAATATTTTTTCACCCCTGAGAAATAATTTTCTCCATCTTCTAAGGAGATAAGGCAAAGAGGCAACCAGGAGGAAATAAATACAAAAATCCTGGAAGAAAAAAAACATGATCAAGAATATAATGCTAAAGAAAGATGTCACATACGAAGATGAAAAACAGGTAGATACAAATGTTATAGAAATTTGGGAATACTACACTCCTAAGCCCTTAGGGGGCTGTAAGAAGAGGGCCTTGTTCTTAACAATGAAATTCTGCCAACTAAAAGAAAAAGTGAAAAAAAGTCAGAAAAAGAGAAGCTGTGGTAAAAGAATTAGGAGTGATGACTAAATTCATATACATATAGAATAAACATTGAACAACTATGGGAATTATAAATACAAAAAGAATGTAAATGTTATAAACCTAAACAATGCAAAAGTAAAATAATTAACAAAAACTGAGAAGTGGGCAGTAGAGATTTGGGAGAAAGTGTATAATGCCCTTATCTTTCAAAACAGAAAGCCAACTGTTTCTTTTAAAAATAAATATGTAGCTTTTATAAACTAGACATAATGAGAAAGCCTCTTAATTTTTCATAATGTCCCTCCTCTCCAGTTTTTAAGCCTTAAGGGAAATCTTTTAGCAAATATTATCCCTAATGCTAAAAATAAACATTGATTTGGGATTCAGCAACTCCTCTAATTCTACCTTGGTTTCTTCTTTTCTATAAAGTAAAATAAAATGTATCAATTTATATTTAGATAGCATCTACAGTATGACCCCATTTTTACAAAAGCCTTTCCATTTGTCCACCCATCCATATGCCCACTCACTTATCCTTCCATTTGTATAAATGTGTAAGAATGATATCTATCTAATATTAATGATGTTAATTTCTAGGTGGTGGTATTAATTTTTCTATTTTTAATTTTCATACATTTCTGTATTGATTCTTTCTCAAAAGGATCTTTAAAAGAAAAACAACAATTATTTTTCTTTAAAAACACACAGAGGTAAATATGCAAAGAGATTAACCATGTTTAGTGCTGGGTAGCAAGAAGACAAATGATTATTCCCCTCTTTGCACATTCCCACATTTGTTAAATTAAAAACAAAAGGATTAAAGGCGCTGTATTCATCATGCTGCCCAAAAATGAAGTTATTCCTCAGCATAGAAAGTGATACAAAGGTCACAATCAAACTTGTTCATTCTTAAGTATTTTCAGACAGCTAACCCAAAGACAATACGTGAAATCTCAACTAAGAGATTTCCCCTAAATAAATTATTAGGCCTTTTGGCTTTGTGTAACAAATTCTCACCTTATTATTATGTCATTAAGTATAATAGTATGCAGGTAGCCTAGGCAAGGGGCATTGGACAGCTATGTCTTACTTTTTAAATTTCCCTATTACTTCAGAAAAGAAATAAAAGAAAAAGGAATAAAAGACTAATGGATACAGAGGGGCAGAATCTTGAAAAGTCTAGAATCTAAGTAATGGGTATACAAGGGTTAATTATAACATTCTTTCTAGCTTTTTGTACACTTGAGTTTTATAATACATTTTCTTAAATTCCCCTTACATATTACACAAAGTAAGGATTCTTCGCAATTATTTCATAAGCTCATCTTTAAAACAAAACACCTCTTAGGAGCCCGAGGCGGGCGGATCACGAGGTCAGGAGACTGAGACCATCCTGGCTAACATGGTGAAACTTCATCTCTACCAAAAATACAAAAAAAAAAAAAAAAAAAATAGCCGGGTGTGGTGGCGGGTGCCTCTAGTCCCAGCTACTGGGGAGGCTGAGGCAGGAGAGAATGGCATGAACCTGGGAGGCGGAGCTTGCAGTGAGCCGAGATCGTGCCACTGCACTCCAGCCTGGGCGAAAGAGCGAGACTCAGTCTCAAAAAAGAACAAAAAACAAAACAAAACAAAACAAAAAAACACCTCTTCCTTTGGGGAGTTAAGCCAATTGGTTATTAACATCTTATTGTGAATTATTTTAATCGAATTTAAAATACCTTAATCAAATATTTTTCCTCCTATCACCTAAGATCACTTATACAAAGGGCCTATTTGATAAGGGAAAAGGAAGCATAGGTATTTTAGAGAATAGGACATTTCAGAAAGGGTAGACAGAGATAGCAATAGAGTTGGAATTGGAGTAGCAACTTACACATAGAAACCATATATGCATTTGTTTTCTTGGAAAACTTATCTAGCTTTTTGTTATCACATGTAATAATTTCAAGTACTTCTTAGCTTTCCTCAGATCAGGAAGTGAATATCATCTTAGACACTTTATTACAAAGGATCAAAAATATAAATAGATTCATATTGTAATATTTGTAGTTATCTGGGAGACTTTTCTTCTCTTTTTACCTATAGTGGAATAAATACTATAACAGTTTTTGAGTATCTGATATGATAGCACTTGATATAATATGATGTACATTAAACTAAGTACTTTAAATATATGAATTGCATTAAAATATACAAGTATGTAGAATGAGGTCAGAGAAGTTGGGAAACTTCCTCAAGTCCAGATAGCTAATATATAGTAGAAGTAGGATCCTGACCGAGAAAGTCTAAGTCCAAACTTACTTCTACCACTTTCTGTAAATGTAACTCAAAATTATCTCTAAAGAGACACAAAAATATGACTTCTCAGATTTGCAAAAATATGTGCAAGTCCTTCCTCAGCAAAGTTAGAGATTCTGCCAGAAAGGTAGAAACTAAACCTAAAGACCTTGGCTATAAGTGTAGCCCTGTAAGAGACTAGGTTGGCAATGAAAAAGCCATTCATGATTCCCTTCTCCTTCAACTGCTTTCCACTTGAGAAACTGGAAAATCAAAACATTTGCATTACTAGTCTCCTTTGCAGCTAGGGTCATTAGTCATGTGACCTAGTTCTAGATAATGAGACATGGAAGAAAGCCTGCTATGGGTCTTCTGGAAAAGAATTTTTTTAACCTTGATTACCTCTGTCCCCCAAATAAAAAAGGTATAAATAGAATAATTCTTCGTCATGCACCATCCACTGCTCCCTCTTACAGAATGTGGGCCTGCTGCGACCATCTTATAATGATAAAGGGAAGGCCAGAGGATTTGCAGGAATGCAATCAAGTCCTAACATTGTCAACCTCCTGTACCCATACCAGAAACCACTTACCTTCAGACTTCCTGCTATGTGAAAAAATTAAACACCTATTTCTTTAAGCTACAGTGTGTTGAGTATTTTGTTTTATTTGTTTTCTTTTGTTGTGGATACTTGCATCTTAAAACATTCCTAATTAATGCCAGTTTTAGCACCTAATAATTTTGTCACCTGAAGTATAACTGAACCACAATTTCTTCATTTGCTGCAAAGATTAAATGAGGTAACATTTTTAAAACACTTAGCTTTTCACACGCAGTGAGCATTCTAGTAAAAACAGTTTAATCTAAGACATAAATGCTCACCATGCCTAGCACCAAAGAACACTTTAGTGGGAGAAGCTATATATGTTAAACATTGTCACCGAAGAATCCTTGCTCTAAGGCAGATTACCTAAGGGGCATGAGAGGACTCTGTGCTATGGACTGAACTATGTTCCCCCAGAATTCATATGCTGAAGCCCTACCCTCTAAGTGATGGTATCTGGAGACGTGGTCTTTGGGAGGTAATTAGGTTTAGATGAGATCATGAAGGTGGGGCCTTCATAACAGGACTATTGACCTTAGAAGAAGAGATCTCCCTCTTATCCCTCTCACTGCCCCCACCCACTCCACCATGTGAGGATGCCAGGATGCAGGGAGAAGACAGAGATCTTCAAGCAGGAAGACAGCCCTGACAAGGAACCAAATCTGCCAACACCTCAATCTTCAACTTTCCTGCCTCCAAAACTGTGAAAAATAAATTTCTGTTGTTTAAGCCATCCTGTCTGTGGTATTTTGTTATGGAATCCAAGCTGACTGTAAACACTGTGTGATCAGCTCCTGTTACAAAGAAGCAGATAGAATAAAAAGAAAAAATTGGACTGCACAATAAAGTCTGGTATCTTCCACAAGTACTTAACAAAAGATAAATCTTCATAGGCTACTAACCTTCCATTTACCCCTCAGCCTATAGCTGCTCCAAAGACTCCACACTTTCTTTGGATCAGGAGTGAAGATAGAAAATCCCACATTCGTTTATCTTTCTTTCCTCCCCTGCTGGGGGATTGGAAGTGTAGCATTCACTTTACAGTCAATTTCCCTTATAGTTTAATATATAGCAAGATAATTAATCACATTGGGTTTGGAGTTATTCAACGTGGTTTCAAAGTAAGGTTCTGCCTATTATTAACTTTGTGGCCTTGGTTAGGCCAATTTTATCATTTACAAAGTAAGAATAGTATCTACATCATAGAGTTATTGTGAATACTAAATGAGATCATGTATTAAAAGCACTTGGCCAATGCCTGGTATTACAGAAAGTACTTGATAAAAGTCACAGCCTATATATATATTTCTCTCTTAGTGATTGATAGGATCAACAATGAACAATCCAGGCAAATTTTACCTAAATCTTATAAAATGTTAAGTTACCTTATCTCAACCATTTAAAGAGGAAAAACTGACTTTCCTCTTTTGCTACTACTATTTAGCCTAGCTTACTTCCAAAATGCCAAATAACGTTTTTTTAATTTTTAAACCAAAAAAAATGCAGTTTATTCTGGGTAACTTTCATTAAAATAAAAGATCCCAAATGAAATCTAATTATTACCTACCTGAGAGCATTCAAGTTAAAAACAAATGTTTCAAATAACCCAACAAGGCATAATTGCCTAATGAGTTTATTATCCTATAAACAATACAGTAATTATGACCTATGGTACAAACATAAAACAATACAAGCTTCTTTCTTCCCACAAATACACACTTCATCTGATCAAAACTATACACTAGAAAATATTACTCAGAGCTCATAGCGTAGACGCCAAGCTTTCTAACAGGCCTTAACTTGCACCTGCAAATAGATGGTGACTATTTCTCTTCCAAGTGAAAACTAAATCAAGCACAAAGATTTGGGGCCCCAGAACAATAACATCAAGTTTAGAGCTTGATTAAAAAAAAAAGAAAGAAATTAGATAGTGAAAGAAAACCTGAAGATGAAAATAATGTATTTTATCAACTTGAACATGGATGAAGAGAAAACCTACAGGTCACTTTAACAGTAAGGACTCAAATCCTAAATGACAGAAAATTCTTATAGATTATTAAATGAGGCTAGAATATAGACCTAGATCTAATGGGGTAAAGAAAATTCAGAGGGCTTCAAAAACAGAAACCCAAAAAGAAAACAATAACCATCCAGTTGATCAAGCCTTCATTTTCCTATTCTTGGATGTATAGGTTCAAATGGTAAATGATGAGTTGATGCCACAGAGGAAAAAATAGGTACAGGAAGACTAATGTGAAATGAGCAAAAACACTAAAAAGCTTATGTGAGTGTCTTTTTTTCCTCTTAGAATTTCTGTCTACAACGAAACTGCAGGACTCTTGATACTTTCACAAGAATGCTGTAATTTCCACACTGCCATTCTTTTACTCTGAAAAGCTTAATGTATTTCAGTAACAATGAAAAAGTCCCACTATTGAAATACAACAGTGGATACACCCTAAATGTTACCAAGGGAATGAAAAGAAAACAAGTCCAAAGGACAAAAACTGGATACTATAAAACTGAGATATAAAGTCATTCAAATTCCTAAGAAACTTGTTTTTGGATCATATCAAGACTTTATATGACCTCATTTTAACCTATACAAGGCAAAATCATATGACAAATTTTGAGAAATATAGGGTAAATCAATAATTCTCTTCCTCCAGTTTTTAGACTATCTTTTAAAAATAATACTATTTAATATCTCACTTTCATATTTCAATTTCTGAAGAGTTTGGCTATTGTGACTATATTTCTTTATATGCTAAATGTTGCAGCATGTATTTGAATTTCATCTTCACAATTACAATGTTGCTTATTAAATATTTTTAATACAGAGTCCTTGACTAACTTCAATAATAATATGCCTTGGGAACATCAGAGAATCAGATGAAAACTTACATTTTCAAAATAACAGTATTTTAAATAAGATATGCTAGGTAAATATGCTGAAAGTTAGTTACAAATTGCACAATTTAAGTATTGTGCAAGAAAATACACCCAAAACCTACTTTCACATTTTTATTTGATTTAGTTTTTGAAAATCAACTTTTTCTTAATTCATGAAAACAAAAGTGCCAGCTTAGTTAATACATATTTTATGCATTATAGCTTGATTACTGAGTAATTAAATTGTATACCAATGAGGCATACTAACTCTTGAAAAATCTATATTTGGATGCTATACTCAGAGTTTTCTTAAGATAAATTAAATCAGAAAAGGGTGAAAACAATTTCAAAATGACCCAAAGCTTCAGTCCACACGTCATTTGAAAACAAAGTTTTTCAATGGTAAGCAAACAACAAAATGTATCAAGAAATGACTTAATCAAAAAAGGCCATTTCTTTCTCAATGCTTGACTCCATTAGTCTTATTGGCCAACCATGGACATATGTATATGTTTTCAGTGTATGCGTAAGAGTCAAATATTTCCTTGGAGATGTCAGTTTTGTCGAAAATGCAGATACAGTAATTTTGATGCCAAAAATGATATCAAATTTGCTTTCCCCACAAAAATTTTGGATTTTGTCCTTGATTTATCAAAAACAGAGACCTTTGTGAGAAGGGAATGACTCAAATTGGTTAGCCCACCAAATTTGGGCTTAAATAAAATAGAAAGTTATAATACTTTATTTGAGCTTTTTTTTTTTTTATAGAAACCGTATGCATGACTTTCACTTTCTAGAAAGTGGTTTTCTCTTGAACACACATCAGAACCATTCATCATAATATAATTGCAAGTTGTCAGTCAGGGCCGCACCCTTCACTTTGTGGCAAACCGCCAACACATCTGTCAGAAGCACTCATAAGCTTCCGTGTGTTATTGTAATCCTCTACAAAGAGAACAAGCTCATTCACCGATTTCACATTTTCCAAACAAAACAATGACTTCTTAAAACCCAATCCAAATCAAACTGTGTTTCCCTATAGACCATGAGCTACTTTCTCACCAAATGACTAATGGCACCAGTAGTTAAAGAGAATCGTATTATCTTGTGTACGGTTGAATTACTTATGTGCTAGACATGCATTTTTAAAAACAAAGAAAGGTGTTCATATTGTATGGTTATATGTATGAATATTCAATATGCATATATAAGGACACTGTAATAACATAAATAACATACTATTTCAATAAATTCCTTTGCCTTAATTATCGTTTTGTCATATAAATACTACATATTGATAGAAACCAAATCCATTTTAGTTGAAAACAAAATGTACTCTGGAGTTATAGCAGATCAGTACAATTGTCATTAATTTAAATCATCCCTACAGTCTGAAAGAGTCAGCCCTCAACAAAGTAGGACAGTAGAAAGAGGATAAACTTCCTTGCAGCTACACGAGAGTTAGAGTTTTTCTATTCACTCTACATCTGCCCTTCCAAAGAAGTTTCCAAGTATCAGAAGTAAAGCCTAAAACTTTATTACCAACAGAATAAACCCCTTTAAAAAATAAAATTGGATCCAAGATGTCAAATGTTCAGAAGTCATAGCTTTTCAAATTGCTTTTGGTCGTGTATGTGTCACATATATGTGTATGGTCATTGCTACCCTGCCTGCATGCTCTCTCTCTCTCCGAGTAACAGAGACCCCAAAATGCTATGTCAAAGAAGTTTTCGTACATTTATTTGAATGAAAGACACATGAATTACCATTGAAGATATGAGTATTTTTCCCACAAGATAGAGCAATCTTTACAAAGACACACATAAATATTTATATCCACACATTATATACAGATGTATTTCATTTTTCCTACTGTATTTGTCAGACATAATCAAAGCTTTCAGGAATAGTGGAAGTGATTGGAACAAAATCTCCAAACCTAGTAAAACTTTGTTGATTCTTAGTAATCAATAACATACGTATTTAATAGACCCTATGGTGACTATAAAACAGATTCCATATTAATATCTGTTAATATAGTACTTAAGTCTGGCAAGTGATTTAAACATTCTATATTATTTAAGCTTCATTAAATGTGTTATTTAATGTTGTCACCTAGGTAATAACTTCCCAATATTATAAAAGATTCAAAAAGGTTAAGTGATTTTCCCATGATGATACACCAACGCAAATTCATATCTTCAGATTCCAAAAAAGTCATGGCTTTATTATGTGTATTTTCACTGAGTTATACGAACACACAAATATAAACGTTAACATAAAAGCAAGTTACATAATATTAGACAAGTTATATACACAAGTTATTATATATAAAATCACATATATATAAAATCATGTATATATATATATATATATATATACACACACACCCTTTTACTAAAAAGGACAATACAGATTTAGGAAATTCAGGACATACAATGCACACTAGATGCAAGAAAAAAAATTAATTTGGGATACTTTCTCTCATAAATCTCAGTAAGTTTACCACAATATTTTCATATATTCATTTCTCAGTCAAATATATAGTCATGAAACTCAAATAAAATGCCTTATATCTGTTCCCTTCCATTGAGGTGAAGAGATGCAATCAAATAATTCTTATACTAAATATTATAAAATAATAATAAAGAATATGTATTTGATGAAAGGATAATGAAACCATGCCTGCCAGTCTTTATTGGAAAGAAATACAGATATTCATTTATTTTACTTTTCATCAAGAAAGTAGTTAAGTTTTCTGGACTCAAAATAAAGTTTATTTTTAAAATGTTTACAAGTTTAATTATTGGAACATTACATACACAATGAATGTGAAGTAGAGATTAATACAGGAATTTCTTGAATATGCAAAGTAACTCTATCAAATTGGCCAGCTATAACTGTTTCTTGATACCCACTAACTTTTTTAAATTTTTAAGCCCAGTTTTAAATGGTGGTTAAAAAAACACATTTCCATGATAAGAACATTTGATCCTGAACAGTTTTTGAAAGTCTATTTGCCATTTTGAAGATATATAATTCATTATTATTGAATTATATTTATTATTAAACCATAGCAAAAATAGGTATGAATTTGGAGGTTATTTAAAGAAATTTCAAACTAAATATCAATTGTCAAAATATGTATACGCCAAAAAACTATACATTTTGACAATCCATTACTACTTTATCAGCTATGAAAATTAAAAATATTTTTAAACCACAGTTTTAAAATTAATGTTCTTACTACTTGAAGTGATTATACAAGCACACATATATTTGCCCAATATTTTGGCAAGATATCAAATACAACTCTATAATTGCCCATATTAAAAATGGGAGAATCAAAATTTATTTGGTGAGAGAGAGAAAGGGAGCCCTATGAGATGTGAGTATATATATATATATATATATATGTAAATTATATATAATTTGTATATATATGTAAATTATATATAATTTGTATATATATATATATATATATATATGACTCTGCTGAGGGTCAAAGCCAAATATAAAAATGAAAACATTTATTTTGGTGCCACCCAGTTCATATCAATTGAATGGCAATATCCAAACCACATTTCAAGTAGTAGATGACTCAAATAGTATTCATGCAAGAAACAGGCTGTTTTCAGTATCTATAAACAATCATAAACAAGAAAATTTGACAACCTACTTTTAAAAAATAAATTGATTAAAAATATTAAAATAGAAATATATATCAAAAACATTGCATAGAATTCTTGAATGCTTTCATAATAAAAAGTAGATGATTTTATGTTGTACAATAAAATTGCTCAAGAAAATTATGTTCAAAAGGTGAAACAATAAATTATCCCAAATAAGTTACCTCTAGATAGTTTATCAGAAAATAATTTTCTTTAAACCATAATTTTCAAAAGAAGTTAGAAACACATACATAAACACACAACACTAACATAAGAAAACCCTTTGTAAAACACTAAAAGATTACTTCTGTGGCTTTAATTTTATTTCAATTAAAGGTGCTAAACCTTATTAAGAACATTTTTATTTTTATTTTGTGTTCTTAAGCACTACATAGCAAAAGAAATTATCTCAAGTGAAGGACACAAACAAACCTATAACAAAGAATGATTATATTTACCATATTTTCTTGTTATGTCAGAGAGGAAACTCTATTCAATGCTGCTAATGTTCGATAATTTCAGTTACTTTTTAAAAAGTTCTCTAGATTCATGTTATTCTCCTTTCAGCAGTTATGGTTTAAAATAACTAAGGTACTCCAGAAATCTTGAAAGAAAGACTTGCTGAAAAATATAAAAGATGACCAAATTCAGAGTATAATTATGCACAGTTTCTAATATCAATATTTAAATAATGTGTTTACACTATTAATAATGAGATAGAATACTTCTTTCTTCTTACATTAATATTTAGCAAGAAAGAAGTGTTATTTTCAACCCTAAAATGTTAACTCCAATCACCTAAGACTACAGATACCTTCTCTCTCAAGTCTATCAAGCTGCTTCTGATATCTCTTACAGTAGAGAACTGGGTGTTCATGCTAATTAAATAATCTAACTAAAAGAGTTACTACATTAGTACATGGGCTATTAATTTTCATAGAGTTTATGTTATTTGCTACTGAACATAATTTAGTTTGTATTGCTTCAGGAATGATTTAACAATTTGCAAATGTTATTGTCATTTGTCAATAGGCAAAAATATCTGTTGAAAGAGTGTTCTGACAGAGTACAAGTAAACCTAGTTTTACTGTACGTGGATATAGAATATTTTCAGTTTTACACACTTCAAAGAAGATGTTTTAGTTCTCGTACCATTTACTCTACATTTCCCTTCTTATTCATGCTTCTATTATATAGTTTAACATATTATATTAATATAATCTTTTATATTCACTCCCCAACAGATATTTATTGATCGCCTTTTATGTTCTAGGCAATATGCTAGGTTCTGGGAAGAAAAAGGTGAATTAAACAAACACGGTGCCCTTCCCTGGTTGAGCATCAGTTTACTAGGGAATACAGGTACATCACCAAGCAAATGCAAATGTGTTTTAGAAGAGCTATGATCCAGGAAGTGTGGGTGCAATAGAAACCCACGTATGTCAGTCTACCCCTACGTCCATACCAAACCCACCCGCTACTATTTCCCTTGTGAGCCTCTTCTGGTAAAGCTGTATTTTATTCAAATTCTTGTCCCATGTGCCTACCACTGTGCTCATTTAATCTGCTTGGTATTTTGAATGATTTTTCAGTAATAATGAAACACATGTCCTAAGGTCTAAACACTTTCTTATCTCTTCTTATTTATGACCATTGGCATATAACTAAGGTACATTAAAAGCACATAGTATATACTTCAGTTGCAAATTAGATTATAAATTATAATTTTTTAGATAAAACAGACTATTTCTAGGTTTTATTGGAAGGGCAGTATAGTCAAGTGAGCCTAACTGGACAACAGATGAAACAAACCTGCCAGTTTTCTTTCATTAAATATAAAAAACAAAATAAATGACATTAAAATATCAAATAACTAGACTACAACAAATAAAATGCTAATTAACTGAATGTTTTAATATTAAACTGATAGAATAATTGTAAAAAATATTTTTAAGGCAGGTGCAGTGGCTCATGCCTGTAATTCCAACACTTTGGGAGGCCAAGGCAGGGGGATCATCTGAGGTCAGGAGTTCGAGACCAGCCTGATCAACATGAAGAAACCCTGTCTCTACCAAAAAGACAAAAAATTAGCTGGGCGTGGTGGCACACGCCTGTAATCCCAGCTAGTCGGGAGGCTGAAACAGGAGAATCACTTGAACCCAGGAGGCGGAGGTGGCAGTGAGTCGAGATCGCACCATTGCACTCCAGCCTGGGCAGCAAGAGCGAAACTCCATCCCAAATATGTATATATATTTATATATATTTTTAGAAGGAATTTAAAAAATTTTAAATGTCAGGGTGTTTTTCAACATGCCAGTGACTGTCACTGTGCTTAATATGCAACAAGAGCTCAATAAATGTCTGTGAACGAATGAATGAAAAATTCACCCAATTTTCTACACTTTCTATTATGCTGTATCCTATGATCATCACAAAGACTCAGAGATACTTCTGAGATGTTGCCTGATCCTAAATCAATAAAAGTTATTTCAACTATATTACTAATACAAATGTGCTATGGCAGGAAAACCACCTAAAGTCTCTGTAAATGTTTTCAATTGATACGGAAGCAAATGAGTCTTCTGATGAACCCTCAAATATAATATACATTTGTTTGTATTTTCCATTGTTAGAATTTCCCAAGAGAATACATATTTGGCATAGAAAAATAAAATGAATACGTTTCTATTATATGCCTTATAAAATGATAAGATACAGTGTTCCAAGGTAAAAGTACTCACAAATTCAGGAAACTGAGCTTCTTGAAATAAAGCAAAATATCATGATTTTTAAAGCCATATAAAATGAATATCCAGTTGTTGTCTTATTTCTTGCCTCTGGAGAGGATTTCCTTCTCGAATAAGAGAATGTCTTTTACAGATTTCCAGGGTCCACGGTGATATTCAGAATAAGCTGCTAGATAAAAGCATCTCAGTGTGTACTGGGATCTATGCAACTTAGTTTTGTGTCTAAGCAATGACTAACGTCATTGCTTAAAGAGTCTACTGAAGTTTTAGTCACTGTTGCTGACTTCCCAACAGGCAGACCTGGCAGCAAGAAATTCTTAGTACATATCAAGAAGAAGAGGAATGCTCCTGGACATTCTATTTACTAAACTGCAGGCCAAATTGTCTTAAGATATTACTAATATATAACTAAGAGATACAGCATATCCTTCAATTCATATTCAGCATATATATGCTATATGCTCTCTCTATATAGCATATACTTCAATATAACTAAGATATCTTTTAATATGATGATCACTGTGTTCAGTGAGGTATTTATGAGTCACATGAATTTTTATGTGTAGTGGTGTCTTATAAAAAGGAAATGCTAGCAGACATATTTTGGAAAATTGTGCTTTTACCATTCTCTTCTATTTCAGTGCCCTTTGCCTATTTTCTATCTTCCAATTATTGCAGTCCTGTGCTCATGTTTCATATAAGGAATATAAATTTAAACTATTAATATCTGTTAAATAATAGTAGCAGAAATTTGGGTTTATTATTTTTTGACATATTTCATGATTTATATTTTTTAATTAAACTTTAACCAAAAAAGTGGTAGAACAGATGAAATATTTATGATTGTTTAAGCTAGATGATAGGTCCATAAGGGCTCATCATACTATTTTCTCTACTTTTGTGTAGGTTTGAAAATTTTTCCACCATAAGGTTTTTTTAATGGAAGAAGTTTGTTATGAAAAATGCTAGAAAAAAATTAAATTTGACAGTTTTTTCAAAGCAACATGAAAACACAAATATACTTTCCTGTTGCTGTTGTTAACATAGTTATGTAGATGAATCTATGAAATGTAAAATTGTTGTTCTGATGAAAAGCGTCACTCAAGAGAAGAGCAATAGTTTATTTGATTAGGTATTTGGGGGCAAAGAGATGCTATATTGTGCTATACCATCTCTTCCTGTTAGTCTCTCCTTTTAATCTCTCTTCTCTCTGTCTCTCTCTCTCTCTCTCTCTCTCTCTCTCTCTCTCTCTCTCACACACACACACACACACACACACACACACGCTCCTCCTATACTATTGCTGTATTTAAAGAACCTCCTCATACCCTGAAGACATTAACAATGGTCAAGTAAAGTACAGGCCAACTGAGTTCATGCAATCCTAATAAGCCTGAAATGCAAGTTAGCTCAAAGGGCCCCATTAAACTCAAGTACTCCACCTGGACACTGTGCTTACCATGTTGAACGGAAACATAGAAGAATAGAAAAAACACTGAAATAAGTATTAAGTGCCCTAAAGTTTTACTCCAGCTCCCCATTTACCAGCTATTCAATACATTAATCATTAATTTCCTCATTTCTAGAATAGCATAAGAGTATCTGTCCTTCCTTACACTCAAAATTTTTATGAGGCTGAAATAAGGCATGCAAAAGCCCTTTGCAAACTGTAAACTATGTACGATTAGAGTATTATTAACTTAACAAAGACCCAGAGAATTCCTGGTATACTCATTTATACAACAAAGTCAAGCCATTACACATTTGACCCCACACTGGGAAGCTTTGTTGGGCCTTGGGTACCGTCAGGTGGTTCCTAAGTTTCCCATTGACTCCAAAATAGTGAGCAGGGAAGAAGAAAGATGGGTTGTAAATGAAATTTAAAGTATATTTAAGCTCACATACATTTAATCTGCCTTTGAAAAAAGAGAAGGGTGGAATTGAGCCAAACTTCCTAGTAACATTGTCTCCCACCTTCATATATATCCTTCAGGCTTTGTGCTGCCTTTCATACTTTACAGGTACACTGGCTATTCATTAACTTGATTTCACCTGAAAAATGTTCAAGAGAGGGAGTAGAGAAAAGGCAGGAGTACAGTGTGAATTCTCAAGGGTCCAGTATTCCCTGGAAATAACCCCGATTCAGAAGATTCTCTTCCCATCATATACAATTTCTTCAAACCCTTGCTCAACTCAAGACTATGCTAAGGCCTGGTCTTTCAATATATTTGAGTTTATAGTTATCCTACTCTGGATCAGCCACCTAAATACTTTATTCAACTTCTGTCCACATGACCTGGTGAACCTGCTCTTTTTATATGCTTTATAGTCTCATTTTTACCATTCCCATCCTCATAATAGGATGGTTTGTGGGCTTTGTGTTTGTTTACAAGGGCATTAGATATACTAAATATGAGAAAAAGCAGTATCAGAAGTAGATATCTAAGTGGAGAAAGCAGATATGTTCTAAAGCTAGAATTTTCTTCAAACCACTGAAATGCTAAACATTGGTACATTCAAATATACTTTTTAGTAAGATATTTTAGAGCCCAGTCATTCATTTATTAAATATTCTAACATTTATGGGGACATGCTATTAATATATATAAGCCTATGAGGGCTTGTCAATGACATACCAGATAGTGAAGTTTCATAACAGTTCAGTTACCAAAAAGTACACCTTTGATTTCTCAGTACTATATGATGTCTCTATGTAGAAGTTATCCTTGGACAAAGAGAAAGTATTTTATATAATACTTTCATTTCCAGAACACATTCAGAGATCTACAATCCTGATTTGTCTCAAACCTATTTCTTAGTCTCCATTAAACAAATCATATTTAACATAAATATATCCAGTATACAATTTTTCACAAATTAAAATGAAAGCTAATTTCTGACCTTTGTTTTTTAAAATTCTAATCCACAAACTGATAATTATTCAAAGGTCAGATAAAATAATATAATGAATTCTGGGCACAAGATGTCCTCATATTAATGAATTTATTGAGAAAAAAATTAAGTAATGGCACCAAAACAAATGGCAAGAATTAAAACAAAAATTTTAATTTACCAAGAAAAAAATTTTCCATTAGCTATTTGTATAGTTAAAAACAATTATTACTCCCTACTAAAATCAGTTACATGAAGTAAGGTTAAGATTTTTCTTAACAGTTTTAAACAAGATGACCTATTAGGGAATAAAATTAACAATTTCATACAACTCCCTGGTTGTATGAATAGAAATCAAGGTGCAGGATATGTGACTAGATCTGTGCATATGAAGTAACTGACAAGTCTGGCACACTCTGGTAGCTTCCATAACCTACTCTTTGAGCATGACTACCTCAGGATTTTCATCTCTTAAATAGCTAAGGTTTTCAGCAGGCAGTAAATAATGTGCGTTCAAAAACAACTGAGGTATCTCACTTTTATCTTTCTAATCAAGAGTCAGATTGCTATGCCTAAAGACATTTTCTGTCTTCAACTTAAAGAAATGAACACGTCAGATTAGATAAACCAGACAGCTGCTAACAAAAAACCTAGGTGTGCCTTTTGATTTACTAAAGCCCAGATGCATCCAAATCAAAGAATAAAAAGAGCACATAAATGACAAACTCCTAGAAAACTTTCTAGGTGCATCTGGGCTTTATTCGCAGCCTATCAATTCTGTGTCTGACAAACCAGTCCAGGATTTAAATCTCTGTAAGGAATAAAAGCAGAAGTTGATTGGCCCAGAGTAAAATGTGGTTTAACATGGGCCTAAAGTCCACCTGAATACACTACAATGGCTACGTCACAAAGAATACCAATACTCATCTTCAAGAAAAAAATACAGTGATGAAAATGGACTTCAAGTATTGCTACAATGGTTCTGCTGGGAGCTGAAGTCTAATTAAGATGATTAGATATAAAGTCTTTTAACAAAAAGTCTTTTAACAAGCATAATATTAATAAAGCAAAAAATCTGAAATTTCCTACACCTGCAATGATTTCCATGTTTCCATTTCAACTGCCATATTCACTGTACTTGTTTCGGTTACTACCCTCAGAATGGAGTTAAGTCAACCCAGATGTACTGTCTCTCAGACTATCAAGAAAGTGTCTTCCTCTAGGGCCATGAATCTTCATTTCTTCTAACAAACACAACCAAAGCACAATAAGAGCACTAAAAAATCTGATGAAAATAAACAGCTCAAAATCAAAGAGTAAATAAAATAGCTTTCAAGTTTTCTTAGTTGGTGAATTATTTCCATCTGAAACCTATGAAATCATCCATTTTATGACACTTTTAATAGTAATATTTGGGGTTATTAGCATGATAAACTTCTCACCTATTCATCTTTTACTTTTAAAAATCTGCTCATCTTATGACTAACACCTTGGCATTCAAACAAATACTATGCTGAGACAGAAAAAAATAAAACCTGTATAAATGACAGAGTGTTCAACCATGAACACATTGTCTTTTATGAATATTATAATCACAGAATCAATAAGCCTACAAAGAAAAAACAGGACACAAAACGTGTTTTGTCATTTCTGACGAAGTTATAAAAACAACAGACATTCAATATGCCAAGTGTTCTTCAATCCTTCATAATCATAGCCTTATTGAAGTGAGGACAAAAAGGGTCTAATTGCATAGGAGCAATCTCAATGTAATAGGTTATACACCCAGGCACTGCTGCACAATACAACAAAAACAACGTTCCCTGTGTATAGCAGAATGTCATCTCTCATTTTCAGGCAATTACCTTCTTTCTTGTCAACAGTTTTAATAACCTCCATCATCTCTAAAAGACTTTTGCTTCAGTTAAATAATTTTCAGCTTTTTAATATGCAAATGTGCTTGTTCATATGCATGGGTGAAGTGGCACTGCTACTTGAAATGTGTCAGTACATTGTGGAGCACCTGCACCTCGGGGAAGCTTGATTTAATTGACACCTAATACTATTCATTATTCCACTTAGTGAGCAACTCCTATTAGTCACCTGTAGGTTTTCCTATAAGCAGTGCTTTGGCCACCAATAAAAATATGAATATTTCTATAAATAGAATGTTCATATTTAGTAAATGGGGTTCACTACTGTCAGAGCTTTGGGAGAAGATAGGGGGATAATATGGAATCAATAGTTTTTTCAGCAGGCAATTTATAAACTTCCTCTCATTTTTCTATAAATTTATATATATATATATATATATATATATATATATATATATATATATATACGAGGTGTTGTGCTGTCTGGTAAACACAAGATGCTGTTTTCTTTTATGTGGCTCAATAAGTAATATCCTGCTCAATATAATGAATGAATAAATAAATAAATAAATAAATAAACAAATAAATGAGTGAAAGGAAGGATGGATGAATGGATGGATGGATGAAAGAACGAATAAACAAATAAACCTACCTTGCAGAATACACCATTACGTTTTTTGTTGTTGTTGTTGTTTTGTGTGTTTCAGTAGGGTGTTCTCAATTCTAATGGCTCCAGCCTAAAGGTGCTATTTAAACTGAGTTATTTACCATAATATAGGACCTACATATGCCACAAAGTTAAGAGGCAAAAGCAGAATTTTGTCTATAAACAAATATATATTGATGTCATCTTCTTAGGTAGGCAGGTAAATTAATGGCTAAAATAATGCTATTGTGAGGCATGTGCGTACACATTTTAAATGACTTCAAAATATCAGCGAGGAGAATTATAACACATATGGGATTTTGTGTATTTGTTGGTATTAATGTAATAAATATGTACTGTAAATGATGATAACTTAAGTCTATTAGTCTTTTTTGCCTTTATGAAAATGGAAGGATTAACAATGGAGGGTATGTGCAGACTTAATATTGGGGATGTTTCTTTACCACATGGTCTGTGACCTTATCATCCAGGCCACATTTCTTTCTGGCATTAATGCATTTGTTAGTCCCAGAGGCTTAAACTACAGATGTTTAACATCCTGCTTATGGGCAGATCATCTGGAATACAAAGTGAGAAATCTATACTACTTATTAGTATATATTATGAGTGTAACAGAGATTTAATAGCCCATTCAAACAAGATTAGTGAAACCATAGCTCAGGAAAGGAAAAGTATCATCTTAACTCAGATATGTTATCAAACCTGTGGGGAAAAACAAAGAAGAACTGAAAGTATATTTTCAGCTGGAATATGTTTTAGGACATCAAAAGAAATTGCCACTAATTAATGTTGTTTATATAATAGCATAAGAAACATTAATTATATCCTTCAATGTAAACTTAAAACCTTTTTATGGAAAGGGGATTTATAAGTAAGGTGGTAATCTGGCGCTTTGGAAGGCTTATCTACAACACACTAAGAGCGATCATAAATCATGTTAATGTCTAGAATCCAAAGAAAAGTGAGGTGATAGTGGGAAAAGATTGAGTTCTCTTAACCCCTAGGTCCAATCATTTCTATAGAATAAGTGAAAAAAAGAAAGCAGTGGTCAACTAGACCTTTGTTGGTATCCCCCAAAATGTAATCTCTAAACTGAAGAATGGCAGCTGGCAGAACAGCTGGTGAATAGGATTAATGTCAGAAGAAAGAAATAAAACTCAACATATGTCCAAGCCTGCGGTGCTGGGACTGAGCATGATTATACCCCGACGGATAGGCTGAATACAGCTGGAAAGTGCCACTGTGCCATGCTTCTCTACCCGACAAGGTCATCGCTAAGAAGTACAGCTAATGTCTGAACAGCAAACTCAACTTTGTCTGAAGAACTTGGTAACTGGTACAGAGAGGGAACCCGGGTTTTTAACCCTAACCATGCACTGAATAGTTTAACGCTCGGTGCTTAGTTTCCTGTACCACAAAGCAAACCAAAAGACAGATTAGCATTGAATCTAACAGATTGCACTAAAGTAAATATAATTTTTAAATCATTTAAACCGCTTAATCTCATCTCAATCACATCAAATATTTAGAGCAAACATATTTCCATCTTTCATTTAGAGTTTAAATAGGCACAAAGGAGAAAAAAATCTAATTAAATATCTAACAGTAGATATGCTTTTGTAAATTGTCAATGTTTTTCCAAAGTTAACATTTTAAAATTACTGAATCACAATTAGCAAAAATATTTTAAAGCAGTTTTTTATAGTACAGCCATCATGTTCTCACACTGAATAATATGAGAAAGTTTTATCTTCCTGCCCTATCCCCATGATGTAGTTGGCCCACTTTAGCCTTTTGTAATAGTAGATGAGAGACACCGGAATTTAACTGTTGGAACTAGCTACAGTGATAAACAGCAACCACGTGGACATTACAGATAGATGAGAAAAGGCTTTGTTATTTATAGAAACTTAGGCAGCATAAATTCTGTCCAATTGTTTCCTTATTAAACAACTACTGTAAACATTTTAAAAAGAGATCAGTAATCATTTCTAAGAGAGCACTGCCCTACTTGTTTCTGACATTTATTTCCTTCAGATGCCAGAGCTAACTTGAGCTCAACAAGCAGATTATCAGAGGCAACAAATCACCTTCCCATCTAAAAACAGCTAGCACTCTCACTACATTCTTTTGGCAACACATCCTTAAGTAGGGGTGGGAGTGGGGAGAGGGAGTTAGAGAATTGTATTACAAAAGAAAAGAATAGAGATGTGACTTTTACAGGTCTAAGCACAGTTCCACAGTCTCAAGGGAAATTTATGTGAAATTACAACCAACCAACAAAAATCTACCTAAATAGCCACTCTCTGAAGACATCACATTTTATTTCTCATATCCAAGATTAGTACTTGGGGGTCACCGCAGTGAGAGACGACCAGGCCCTACATCTCCTCTGCTTGCACTGTTCTGAGGCTGTCAAAAACCCAGAGCAGGATTATTCTCTACAGTCAAATGTAAACTTCTCACCACCTTGCTTATTTTCTTTTTCTCTTTCTACACATAAACTAATTACTGGCTTATATATGCATTATGGCAGCATCAATTAAAAAAAAAGCTCCAGAAATTAGGAAACAAAATTTTAGAAGTTTTAGGTAAGCATGCTAATGGTTTGAAATTCAAGGGGCCAATCACGCTTATTTTCTTTCTTAAATGATTTTCAAATAAGCATGGCCATATTTATGCAAGAGGGGCTTCTTACCAGGTAAGATACTCAATGGACCCTTCAAATGACATTTCAGATAATTCATCAGGCTAGAAAAATTGCCATATATCATCATTAATGTAATAAACAGTAAATGTTTATTACATTAATATCAGGAATTATTATTTTTAAAAGTCTTGAGCTTCACTTTGTGTACATGCCAGCTTTTACTTAGATCTAGGAGTAAGTAGCAACTTTCAATGCCTTTGGGCAATTGGACATCGTTATTTTATTTCTAAATTTTTACTGACATTTTAAAACTCTCCTTGGTATTTGGAATTTTTAAAATGTTAATCTGGTGTGGTACATAGCTCAATGAAATCTCAAATCATCCTACATTAAGTGTTTAACACTAAGGAAATAGTCACTATTTCTGGAAAACTCAAATGCTAGAAAAATCTATGTATAGTCCAAATAAATATTTAAATGAAGTTGCCAGTTTTAATGCTGTTATAATGGCTACTACCAACCATTTTATAAAATTCCAAGATTGCATGCTTTGAAGTTTAATGACACTCAACATTTTCTAGATTCTTTAAACACTGAAAAAAATTGTTTTTATTTGTCATTACAGAATATGGAACATAACCTCCATAGCTTATTAATGTCTTCTGAATTGTTTAAGGGGATTTAAAGATATGAGTTAAAAGAATTTCATAATCTTAATTTCAATTTCTCCTTTTCATTTAATAGTAGACATTCATTAGGACCCACACACTGTAATAAATTATAATAATTTCAAACAAGAATTAAATTACTAGGTACCTAGTGAAAGAGCCATTTTTTCTTAGGTACCCTGTAATCTAACTGTCAGATTTAAAATCTATTCCCAATCAACTCTTCACAACATTCACATTTATTCATCTATGTTAAATTAATAAAAGGTGTGAATAATACTGACAAAATTGATCATTATTGTTCATGTAGATTTAGAAAATTATAAGGTAATCTAAAATGTAAAAGGAATTGAGAGAAACTATTAAGGTTCTTATAAATAAATTCATCCTATGCTATTTTTTCAAATCAAGACTGAAAGTTCTACGAGACTTATTTAAATTAACTATACAAGGTATTTGATAAATTGTGCATTTTTAGAGCATAAACCATTTTCATTATTTTTGACAAATACCAGTACAAAGACTCTACTACAGCACTAGGGTTCAACAAATACTTTAGGAAGCTATGCCAAAATGATGTTGCAAAGTAAAACCTAATAGCAATCTGAGACAGTTTATAGCAGTTTGATGAAGAAAAGACACAATCACAAGAGAACATCAAAAGCAGATAGCCATCCGGAAATAAATACCACCCCCCCTCATCTTTCCTGTAGATATAGTAATGGAGGTATAATTCTTACCTGGACTACAAAAGAGAAATACAATTCTATTGACTAATGTCCCAAAACAGAACTCCCTTCACAAAACAAGTTTGCACACTTACTCTATTTCCTACCATCTAACCTTGCTGACCCCCTCCTCTTTAACTGGCATCCCTGAAGATAAAGTAAAACATGTCAACATCTGTTCCCATTCACACCGATTTTAATTTACCAAAAGAGCTTTGCTATTTTCAGAGCAGACTCCAGAGCACAATGACAGATTTAGGGCCTTTACTGGGGTTGCATTTCTAGTGTGTCAGCATTTCCTACTCACTAAGAGTAAATTCCAGGGGGTCACAACAAAGGAATAGCTGAAATTCAAACTTCATTATAGAGATTTTTCCCACCCTTACTTATTTCATCACAACTTAAACTACCAACAGGCTATCCTATTTAGTGAGGCATCACTGGTGCTGCACAGTAATTGGACTAAAATTATCTAGTCCTGGGGCAAAGATGAAGGTCCTTTAGGCCCTTCCTATGGAGTTATACATACATAATTACCTCTTCCAGAACTTTATATCTGATTGAAATTTAATCACCATAATATAACATTTTTATAACTCTTTAAATTTGTAAAATAGTATATGCTTTTTAAAACACTTCCACATCCTTAATGTCTGTTTCATAATTCAATTATAAGTACTGAGTTTTAAGCCACAATTATTCTTTCCAACCTAAGAATTCCATAGTTATGTCTTTTTTAATACCATGCTTTACTCAGATATTTTAAATGTGTATAAAGAAAGTCACTCTCACAACACCCCAGTTTCCCTAGATAATTCAGTTTTTAAGACACAATGTGAAGAGCAACTTGGTGAAACAATGCACAAGTTGTGTTGTAATCAAATAACAACTAAGACATGAGCAGCTGAGCAGAAGGAAGATGGGCAACGGAATGCTGTACAGCAATCAGCACTGTTGACTAATCAGAATTTGAGACACTAGAAGGTAATAAGGGTATTATAAAGAATGGCTTATTGAAGGAGCAGCTGTTTATGTGTAGCTCACTGTTTAAATGAGTTCCACTAGATTGCCATGGTATGTTTTGGTGAAAATGTTTAACTCCTTTTAAAATGATCATTAGAGAAGAAACGGCAAGTGGCAAGTTTGGAGATATCAAAACACCAACTAAGATTTAACAGCTTTAGAACAGTTATCTGGGTGGTTTGAAAATGGTAGGAAATGCCCATTTCAATGACCTTTTAAGTCAAAAGTACTTAGGTACTCATTCTTCTCTTAAAAACCTTAGAAGTTAGGTCTATTCCACTATCATTACTGGGTAATGTTATGGGCACAAAGATGAAGCAGAAATATAATAGTGGAATCTTCAGAGGATAAGAAAAAGAAAAGGCAGAGTAAAAACACCCATCAGGACAGCCACAAATTAAAGACTGTCTTCGAATTTAAAATGTGTCCATCTTCTCAATAAGAAGAAGGAATAAGATCCTGAATTATATTTCAAAATAAAAGTTTTACATATTTTTGTATTAAATATAATACAAAAGCCACTCTCCTACAATGACTTACAAGAAGTAAATAATTTTTAAAGCAGATGAGAGAGAATGCAAAATAACATTTAATTAACTAATGTTACTTTCATAAAGTAATAATCATCTTATTCAAAACTATTTGTCACACAGTTGTGATAGCTTTGTAATTGGACTGATTTACAGTTTTGTCTTCCTTACTTTCACCCAAGAAGCAAGTGTCTACTGTTTCTTCTGCCCCACAAAAAAAATTCCATAAATTACAACATAAATGCACCAAATAATACTTCACTGAATTTATCATAATATAGTATTATGAATATTTCATTTTGACAAGTGTTCGGTAATATTTTTAAGCAGTCAGCAAGTGGTCAAAACTCTGCTATCTTTTGTAACAGTTCACATGTCAAACTGGCAAAGTGCCCATATTGTAAGGCAGAAAAAAAATCTATTTAATGTCTGCCCCACAAGGCGACATGAGGTTTGATTGGCAGAAAGCAGAGAGTGGCTTTTGATCATGTGTCCTAACAAGCAGTTCCAGCTCCTGTCTTTTCAGCTGATGGGCTCCACATTACCCATTCAAACAGAAATGACAGACCACTGCACTACTCTCTGGCTCTAGTCACACGCAGTGGGAGCTATGCTGGAGACAGAGTCACTGATTAAATATATCACTTTTTCAAGACAAGCAGGTTGTCTGAATCAAAGTTGGACAGAATAGACTCAACATTATTAAAAGGGGATATAAAACTTGGATTGAGTGATGTTCAGCCAGTTTGCACAGCCTCAGGGATTCCCAGGCTGACAGGGGGAATAAGGAACAGCAGAACTCATAAAACAGGGTCAGAAATTAGCTGTGACACCTTGGCTATTTTCCCATCACTTTAGGACCACTGGGTTTCAAAATTCTGGAGTCTCTTTTTCACTTTTTTACTTTCTTTTTCTTTAAATGAATTCAGTAGAGGCAGAAAAACACATAAAAGCATGATTACTGCAGTTTGTCAATTATAGTCTTAAAGGGAATAAAATACTGGATGCAAACCCTTTGCGTCTTATTTTAAAACATACTAATATACGTTCTTCTGACTGGGACCCTCATTTTAAAATTTTATTCCATTTATTCGTTTGGCATTATAGTGTAACTTTAAAATCCAGGAATATTAGTCATAGAAATTATACAGTTAAAAATTGTTTAAGTGTCCTGACAACCAGAGGGCTAGCCAAGTTCTAGTTATCATATTTAACCATCCTATTTTCTTTGCTATAGAATGCATATTATTTAAACCTTTGGCTTAAAATATACTTAAAGACATAAATGTCTAAAATGTAAGGAATTTTTCAATACAAACTTGTCTAAATTTATGTGTTTTTTTTAGATTCTGAATATAGCCTCTCATAATCTAGAACATATTATCAGCTACCTATGTGATGCAAATAAATAAAATACAAAGTTGTTTCCTGTTTGGAAAAGTAAAAATAAGTACCCAAAGAAATAAAAAAGAAAGCAACTATCTGGTCATAGAAACTAAGGAAATTATCTGAAACAAATCATTTGAAGCCAAAAGATATAATTGAATAAATGGTCCATTCAGATGTTATTCTAAAACAGTCCTTCGAAGAGATTTTAACTTCTTCTTAACTCTTATATAAAGAATTAGTTTTACTTATTTTTTTTTAGTAACATACTCCAGCTATTCCTTGGAACACTTATGTTCTTATTATTCGTTTTGGCATCACTGTAAATATTTAGTAGCAGCCTGCTCATTAGATGTTTAAGATATGATTAAAAGATTAAATACTCCTACCAAGATGAAGATAGAGTTTTAATATAGAAGAATAAGGAATTAAGAGTAGTCATGAAATAAGATACTGAACTAATAGAGGATGAAGAGATACAAGAATTGCGTTTGCTGGAAGAAGATGGTAAAATTACAAAGAAATGGTGGGTATTAAACCTCTGAAAAGCAATATTTTCTTTTATTGTGTTACTTATTTAGTTAAATTACTTTAAATTTCAAAGTTAATTAACACTAGCTGGTATATATTGGTTAAAGAATGTATCATTTTTCAGAATAATCTTAATACAAATAGTATTTGATTTATGTTCCATATACCATAGAATATGTTATCACTGATAAACAGTTCCATATTAATCAAATATGCATTCTACTGCACGAAAATAAAGTTACATATTCTCTAGCTTCTGCACTTCGTGTCTTTAAAGATCTTTGAGGATTAAGAAAATGATGATAACAATGTATTTTATCCCAAGTGATCACAGGCACGACCAAGCAATTATTTAGAAAGCTGGTTGTTTTCAAAAATGTTAGAAAATTAGCTTGATGAGGCTAATTTGACTCCTTATATGAGCCCAGATTTTTTTTATAAAAAACGGGGGAGGGGTGGGAATCTTTATTGGGAATTGCTTCCCAAAATCTGAAATACAGTAAAGTGGCATTTCATGTTTTCCCTAAGAACTGGTTAATATTTAACATTCTTTTTTTTAAAATCACCACACGCCTTTTCATTTAAGACTGGAAGGAGAGAGAACAGGAAATTGCTAAAATGAATAGTCAACTACGATAGGTAAGAGGAGACAAAATCTGCGTATGTATTGCTAATATATTAGACTAAGTAAACCTGAAGCTCTGCAAAATATGTTTTTCCCTTTTTACAATCCAGGTGTAAAAAACAACTGTGTATTACCCATGCTTTACCACATGGGTCTTTTATATTCTACACCAGGAAAGGCCAAAGAAAGGGGGGAGATATCCACAAAACATTTTGCAACACCATAAAAAGGAATACTTTCTTTTAAAAAAATCCAAAATAATTAATTATTTTAGCCACTATATTATTGCTTACAGTAATACACAGCAATAACATTTACATTGATTGAATTCTGTTTCCTTAATGTGAAATTTGTTTGGGGTTAATTAGCACGGCTGAGGAATAAGCTTAATAATTTTATGTTGTTTACACTGGAGGCAGTTTTCCACGAGCACTGCTCAGGGAGGAAGTGACATCTTCTAATTTCAGACAAAACATGGAGGTGAGGGCGGCTGCTCACTGTGGGATGGCAAGCGAGGCCCTTCCTCCTTCAGCAAGCTTCCCCAGTACTTGGGGTGTCTAATGGCCACAATACAAAGTTGTTCAAATTATTTCTCAGGCATGATAAGTTTCTAAACCAAATACTGAGCTGAGCAGGGATTAAAAAAAAGGACTTATACAAATGGAGAAAGTCCACAATATTAGACATTTTTACTGTCCCTTCCTTAAGAAAAAGCAGGTCTAATTAGTTGTCTTCCTAAAATGCATACCTAGCATTTTTATTATGTATTATAACATTTTGCTCAGAGCTGACATTTTTATTCTGACAAGCACTGTCTGGAGAGCTCTCAATAAATAATACATTGACAATTTTCAGTAAATAAGCAGTGGACACAAATCGTTATCCTTACTTACAGCTGCCCCACTCTAATAGTGCTTTTACAAGTGAGGTGACTATTCAGTCTAATGCAATCCTCTCAGTGCTGGAAAGACATTTTCATTCATTACCACGGTCACAAGCACTTAAAGCACTTTTAAGCCCTGTTGCAAAACAGCAGGAATGGCAGAGCAAGTGGGGCTAACGAAAACTGAAGTTCATCACCAGAGAAACCTGCGGCTGTTCACCTTAACAACTAGGAAATTCACTTCTACCTAGGCCACCTCAACACTTCTAGATCTACATGTCTAAGAAGAATACAGAGTTTTCTTTGGCCATTAAATGTTAAAGCCTGTGGGTTTTGTTTTTCACATTATTTTGGCTCATCATCCAATAATATTTATTAAGCACCATAAGATAAGATAAGGGATCACTCTGTGACCTGTGTGCTATACCTTTGATCAAGGTACAGAAACAATATCTGAATCCAGATTATTACATCTGAAACCACACAATACCTTTTCTTTTTTCCCTCATCAACTTTTCTTCCCTAACAATGGCCCCCAACACTATCACTCTAAACTAGTCACTAAGCCACTAAGGCAGTCCTGAATTTAATTCTTATTCATGAAATCACATCAATTTGATTTTCTAGCAATGTGAGAAACAAACTTATATGAAATAAGACTTAAAGAAAGAATAATAAAATGAGAAGGTAATATCTATTACTCCTTGACATATACAGCCTGTAGCTAGTACTTTCACCCTACTTCTTAATCAAACAAATTTATCCATTATTTGAACACTTCTTAGACAGTTAACCGATCACGAAGATGGCTAAAAATATGTTACCCAGTCAGAAGTCGATTTAATGCTACCATATTACATGGCTTGGACTATATATTACAGAACAATATAGTAGAGTATATCTACTATACCATAGTTCTCAATTGTTGGTGTGCATCTGAAATACGTGGAGAGATTGCTAAAACACAGGTTCATGGGCCCCATCCCAGAGTTTTTGATTTAGTAGGTCAAGGATGAAGCCCAAGAATTTGCACTTCAAACAAGCTCCCAGGTGATGCCAATGCTACTGACAGTTTGAGAAACACTGGGCTACAAAATTAATTGAGTTCATCTGAACAGATAAGCTACACATGACTCATGTTGGGGCTAAAGGTATAGTCACTTCCCTTATTTTATATGAATAGAATGATAGATTATGGAGTTTCCACATATGGACCAAGTTTGATGCAACAATGTTCATTGTTGCAACCTGAAAGCAACAATGATAATTTGAAGTGAGTATCTAAGAAAAAAAAATTCAATCCATAAAACGACAAGAAAAGGAGCCAATATCTCTTCTAATCTCCAAGTCAGTCAATCGTACTTCTGCCTGCTAGATGTATTCCACCTTCATGGAATACTCAAACTTGGTATATCTAAATGCAAACCTTTTCCCCAAACCTTCTCAACTCTCTATATTCACCATTCTAATAGCCCCACCATTAAATCTCTCAGCTAGATATCTCCCTAACCTCACACTCCACTCCTAATTAGCAACCTCAACTATACCTCAAACAGCTGATTCCTTCTCTCTTCTTCCCCTGCCATTGCCTTAGTTTAGAGTCTGATTAGTACCTGCCTGGACCATTAAAATAGCCTGCTACCAGATTCCCCTGTATTTGCCCTTGCCTCTTTCCAACTGATAGTCAAAATGCCACCAAAGTTACTTTTCTTAAAAAAGTGTTCAATTATGTCGATCATCCTCCTACTTAAAAGTTCTCAACTGCTCCCCACTACCCAAAGGATAAAATTCAATTTCTGTAATAATGGCTTCAACATATTGTTTCAGTTGTGTCTCCTGTCCTAGTCACACCAAACTTCTTCACATTCATTAAACTCACAGGTTTATTCATACCATGAAACTTTGTACATGCTGTTCTCTCTACCTGGGATTCCATTATATCTCTTGTTCACTATGATGAGCTTATCAAAATCTAGCTCGAATGTCAATAAATCCCTATTTAGATCTAGAAAAAAATTATGGTTTCCTCTTCTATACTTCTACAGCATTTTTTTTTCTTTTTTTCTTTTTTTTTTTTTTTTTTTTTTGAGAGGCAGTCTCGCTCTGTCACCCAGGCTGGAGTGCAGTGCACGATCTCAGGTCACTGCAACCTTCGCTTGCTGGGTTCACGTGATTCTCCTGCCACAGCCGCCTGTGTAGCTGGGATTACAGGCGTGCGCCACCACACCCAACTAATTTTTCTATATTTAGTAGAGACAGGGTCCTGCCATTTTGGCCAGGCTGATCTCATACTCCTGAACTCAAGTGATCCACCTGCCTCGGTCTCCCAAAGTGCTGGGATTACAGGCAGGAGCCACCGCACCCGGCCAGCCACAGTACCCAGCCAACACAGCATTTTATAGCTTCTTCTACTATTGTACTTATGATAATTACCTTATTTACATGTGTTTCCTACTAAATTATGAGCTACTAAAAAACAATATTTATCTCTGTTCATCTTCTTCTACCCTTTTCTCCACTTTTACTTCTCTCCAACCCAGGCCCACTACAATACTGCATGAAAAAGCTTAATAAATGATTATGGAATTAATAAGCATATGTATGTGTGTATTTAAATATGTATACATATGTTGTTATGTGTGTATATATGTATGTTTTGTTTAGATGAAGAGGCATTCTCTAAAAATTAAAGCTATTCATCTCCTTTTAATCATAATATTATTTATCTCTCTGAAAACTTTTATAATAAATCAACAGTATTTTAGGTTAATGTATATTATATGCTAAGATCCATAACAGGCATTGTGAAGATAGACTAAAGATATGGTATGTGTCCTCAAGAAAATTAAAATCATCTTGTGAGGCAAGATCAATAAATGTAAAATAACAAATACTTTTCATCTATGTCAAAATCAGTTGAGCATATTTCTATGGTTTTATCTGTGGATTCTCTAGTATATTCCATTGATATATGTGACTATTTTTCTTCCAATATCACATTGCCTTGATTACTACAGCTGTATAGTATGCCTTAATACAGTATTGGGTAGAATAATTCCTAACACTTTATTCTTCTTTCTCAAGATTTTCTTAGCTATTCTAGAATATGATCCTTTCTATACAAATTTTAGAGTAAGTTTGTCTAGGTATATGAAAGTCTTGCTGGGATTTTGAAAGGAACTGCATAAAACATACAGACTATTTGGGGGAAAACTGTCATTTTTACCATGTTGAGTCTCCTAGTACATGAATACAATATGTCTTGTCATATTTTTAGGTCTTTTTTCATTTTTGTAATCAGCATTTTGTAATTTCAGCATATAGATCCTGCACATGTTGTTAAGTGCATACCTAAGCATATCATTTTATTTGGAGAAAATGTAAATAGTTTTGTGGGGGGTTTCTTTGTTTGTTTTTTGTTTGTTTGTTTTTGAGACGGAGTTCTTGCTCTGTTACCCAGGTTGGAGTAAAGTGGTGCGATCTCGGCTCACTGCAACATCCACCTCTCAGGTTCAAACATTCTCCTGCCTCAGCCTCTTGAGTAGCTGGGATTACAAGCACACGCCACCATGCCCTGTTAATTTTTGTATTTTTAGTAGAGATGGGATTTCACCATGTTGGCCAAGCTGGTCTCAAACTCCTGATCTCAGATGATCCACCCTCTTCGGTCTTCCAAAGTGCTGGGATTACAGGTGTGAGACACTGTGCCTGGCCAAGTTTTGAGTTTTTAATTTCAGTTTTCATATGTTGCTGTGTTCTGAATTTTGTGTCTCCCCCAAAATTTGTATGTTGAAACCCAGTACCCAATGTGGTAGTATTAAGAGATGGTGGCCTTTGAGAACTGATTAGATCATGAGGGCTCCACCTTCATGAATAGGATTGATGTCCTTATAAAAGAGGTCTGAGGGAGTTTGTGGCTTCCACTATGGGAGAATGCAGCAACAAGGCACTATCTATGAAGCAAAGAGCCCTTACCAGACACCAAATCTGTTGGTGCCTTGATCTTAGACTTCCCAGTATCCAGAAAATATCAGAGAAGCTAATGCCACACAGAAAGCAATAAATTTCTGTTATTTATAAATTACTCAGTTTATAGTATTTTGTTACAGTAGCCTGAATGGACAAAGACATAGGTTCATTGCTATTGTATAGAAATGTGAATGATTTTTAAGTGTTCGTCTTATATCCTGTGACCTTGTTGACTCATTAGTTCTAAGAGGCTGGTTTTTTGTTTTGTTCTGTTTTATTTTGTACTTAGATTCCTTGGAATTTTCTATATAGATAATCACGTGATTTGCAAAGCAATTCAATGGAGGAAGGTTAGTCTTTTCAACAGATGATGCCGCAGCAAATTAAACATCCATAGGCCAAAAGAAATGAGCCTTGACTTAAACCTCACACCTTATACAAAAATTAACTCAAAATGGATTATATACATATATGTAAAGTATAAAACTACACATCTTTCAGAAAAAAAAAAGGAGAAAATATTTAGAATCTAGGGTTAGGCAAAGTATTCTTAGACTTGATGCCCATACTTGATCCATACAGTAAAAAATTGTTCAGTTGGACCTCATCAAAATTATAAACTTTCATCTGTGAAAGCCCATGTAAAGAGGATAACAGACAAGCTAAAGACCGGGAGAAAATATTTCCAAACCATGTATCTATCATAGGACTAGTATTTAGAATAATAAAAAACTTTCACAACAGCAAAAATAAAACAATCCAATTAGAAAATAGACCGAAAACATGAGAAGACATTTTACCTACAAGGATACATATATGGCAAACAAACGTGTGAAATAATGTTCAACATCATTAGCCATAGCATAAATGCTAATTAACCCTACAATAAGATATCAGTACACACCTATAAGAACAGTTAAAACAAAAGTGACAAAACCAAATGTTGACCAAGATGCAGAGATGCTGGATCACTCATACATTGTGGGTGGCAATGTAAAATGGTACAGCTACTCTGAAATACAGTGTGGCAGTTTCTTATAAAATCCAACGTACAATATAGCCAGCAATTGTACTCTTGGGTACTAATTCCAAATAAATGAAAATTTATGTTACAAAACCCTGTACACAAATGTTCATAGCAAGTTTATTTGTAATAGTCAAAAACTGGAATCTGCACAGATGTTCTTCAACAAGTAAATAGTTAAACATATGTGATTTATACATATGATGCATACCATGGAATACACTTAGCAAATTTTTAAGTATGAACTTCTTAAAATTTTGTTTGTATTGACACCCATTAATTGGATTGGATGAATCTCCAGGGAAGTAAGCTGAGTTTTTTTTTTTAAGTAAATTCTAAAAAGCTACATACTATATAATTCCATTTATATAACATCTTTAAGATGGCAAAATGTTAGAAGTAAAGAACATATTAGTAGTTGCCAGGGGTTTGGTATAGAAGGTGAGGGATGCTGGCATTGAAGCAGGGTAGGTGTGGTTACAAAAGAGCAACACAAGGAATTCTTATGATATCAAAACTGTTCAGCATTTGACTGTTGTAGTGGATACATGAACCTAAATAGGTGACAAAAATATATAGAACTTAATACACACCCCCACACACAACTGAGTACAATAATGTAGTACAAATGGAGAGACAAGAGGAACATCAGTGAATTGTTTCAATGTCAATAACCTGGTTGTGCTATTATACAACAGTTTTCTAAAATATTACCGCTGGGGGAAACCGGGCAAAAGGTACATAGAATCTCTCTGTATTATTTCCTATAGCTTCATGTAAATCTACAATTGTCTCAACAAAAATTTCAATTTAAAAAAGAGCAAACAGCATAATTAGGATTATAATTTATTGATAAATGCAGTGGTGTACAGGTTTGAGTATTAATAATTTTAGAGGAGGAGACATTCACAAGTGCCAGTCAGTAGAAGATTAGGTATGATCCGGAAAATGGATAAATGGAAAATTTCAATAAACGGAGAGAATACAAAGTTATTCTGGATAGGAGGGATAATGACTAAGCTTGAAGTATGTTGGACTAAATAACTAATCAACTTCAGCACTGTGCTGACTCAACAGATAAAAATCTTGTCCTGAGATTGTTACATCCTCAAATTTCTTTTTTTTTTTTTTTCTTTTTTTTTTTTTCCTGAGACAGATTCTCGCTCTGTCACCCAGGCTAGAGTGCAGTGGCACGATCTTGGTTCACTGCAGCCTCCACCTCCCCAGTTCAAGCAATTCTCCTGCCTCAGCCTCCTGAGTAGCTGAGACTACAGGTACATGCCACCATGCCCGGCTAATTTTTGTATATTTAGTAGAGACGGGGTTTCACCATGTTGGTCAGGATGGTCTCGATCTCCTGACCGCGTGATCCACCCGCCTCAGCCTCCCAAAGTGCTGGGCTTACAGGCATGAGCCACTACGCTCAGCCTACATCCTCGAATTTCTTAATCACAATGCTCACTAGAGAAAGATTACAACAGAACTCCAGGAACCAAATTCTAATTATGTGCAGTGTGTCTAATATAACTAAGGAATGTCCAAGTTATATGTTTGCGCAAGTGCAAAGGTCCTAAGACATGTTTAAGGAGGAGGGGAGTCGTCCATGGCAGAGAAGAGTAAAGTAATATAAAATGGGGCTTGAAAGCCAGAGTAATATGTTAGGATTTTAAGCAATGAATGTTATTCTAGGCATAATAGAAATTGATATCATTAGCCAGATACCAATGCTCCAATGCCAATAAAATGCCTAAACTCTCTGGATATTAGATAACACCAATAAGAAGCAAAAGGGGCATAATTCTAAATGACTAAAGTTAAATACTGAAGTTCCTGATTTACCTAGAAGTGAGACCAGACTTTCTGCTATTAATCAGGGTCAAGGCTTAAGAGTTAAATTAAAACCAAGGAATAATTTTTAGGACTATGTACATTGGGCACATAAGACAGTTTCCTGTCTACCTCTTCTACTTGAAATCAAAGAAAAATAGTTCCAAAACATGTGGCTTATGCTTTAATTCTTAAATTTTCCATCTCTCCCCTGTCCATAACATAAGCAAAATGTTCAAGATAAGAGATATTTCTGGGGGATAAGCTAGAAAGCTCCAGTTAAGCTAGTAAAGGCATTCTGGAGTGAAATGGAATCCCAGTGCACACAGTTTGTTAGCCACTCTTTAAAAACTGCCCTTTGACTATAGGTTACTGTCATTCAAAAAGTATATATATTAGCATAATAATTCTGCTGCTGTTGTTGCCGCTGTAATGGTGCTGTTGCAAATAATTCAATATTTTGTCATATTTTCACAGTTGTTCTTCATTATACCTTCATCAATTTTTTTCTAGCCACCTATTTGTATTTACTCATTTTCAATTCATTATTTGAGAGCAATTAGGGGAATCCACAGTCTTCTAATTTCTGCACTCCCAATGCTAGCGGATGGCATATATTCTATTACTTCATTGTGAGAGTACTTGTCTGTTCTCTCAGTTCTAGGTACAGCTACTCAGTTATACTTAAACTCAAGACATCAACTAAGAAAGCTACGATAGGTCTGAGCACCACACATATTCAGCTTTAAGCCACAGCCTTGAAGCCATGGCTTTGTCCGTAAGTGCTTCACTGGACAATGACAGTTTCAGATATCAAAATTGGATAGAAGCTTTTATCTCTATCTTTGTAAAAATTCTAACATCAGAAAGAAGAAATTGGAAATAGAAAAGGACAGTTTCAAGCATAATGAAAGAAAATGAATCATGAGATTTATTCAGTTTGAACTGAAAATAGTTTAAAAGAGAAAAGTAATGATAGTAAACTCTAAAATTTGGATACAAACTGTAAAAGAAAATCAAAATGGCATAGAATTTTACAAATTGTCCTTTAATGCTTATCTAGACCAACATCCTCATTTTATAAATTAAGAAACTAGTGCTTAGATCAATTAATTAATTATTAGACACAACCTAATAAGTTAAAAAGAGTTAGGATAAGAATGCACATCAATCCCAAGCCAATATCTGTAAGGATTCTCAAGTTAAACATTCTGAGAGAGAGGTGAAGGTTTCCAGCTAATGTCGACTGTTTGGCCAGAAAAATGTCTATTTCAATATAAATGGTTGGCTAGAACAGTGGCAATAATTAATAGGTTTGTAATTTTGCATTTGAAGTAAGTATTTAAGTAAAAATTATTGTAAACCTGATGCAATTAGAGATGAGGAACTACTCTAATTCTAAAACCACACCCTGTGCTGGAAACATCAATAAAGAGGATCAAAAGGGAAAAAAGTGTTTCCTAACAAACCTAGTAATCACAGTCCAGTAGAAGAACGACGATATTCTTGTGCTCCTAGTTGAAAGGAGGGCTAAAGACATTCAGCCTGTTGTATTCAGATACAACAAAAGGAAAAAGGAAAATTGCAGTGAAGGGTCCATCAAAGGCTCTTGCTGAGCTTCTGAAAAGCTCAGTGATGAAGAAAAGCCTGTACTAGACATTTTGAGGAAGGTGGAACCAAAAGGTATAGACAGTTAAAGCTTTCAGGAATTCTAACACAGGCGCATGCATGCACGTGCGTGCACACACACACACATATTGCAGCAGCAACTTCTTTGTGTAATGTTTTCCAAGAGAGTGGAAAAAGAACACAAAAATGTGTCAATATCAATTCCACTCCTGGGGAAATGCCCTAGAGAAGAAACTTGTTCACATGTGCATCAGAAGACAGGTGCAAGAATCTTCATATGTTATTGTTTGCACCAGCAGAAAACTGGAAAAAGTCCAAGTGTCCAGAAACAATAAACAGGAGAATATACTGCTATATAGCATAGCATGGAATAGTATATGGAAGATTACACAAAAGAGAAAATGAATGAAAGTTCACACAGCAAAACTGATGATAGAATATAAGAATAAAAAGCAAGTCACAAGAGGTTACAGTATGACATCATTTTTATGAAGTTTGAAAACAAGGCTAAACAATCATTATTTAGCGACCGATTGGAAACTATTTTAAAACAAAAAAGGCAGATAATGATTAACAAAGTTCTGGCAAAAATGTAGATAAAAAAACAAAGATTGGACAGGTGAAGAAAACATAAGTAGATTCAATAGTATTAGAAATTTTTATTTAGTTGGATGCTGAGTTCACAAGTGTTTGTTTTACCTTTATGGTTTATAATATACATATCAAATATTACATAATAAATAAATGTTTACATTTACCACTTCCTTTTCTGTTCATTTTTTCTTTTGATATTGCATATATATTGTACAAGGAGAAAGAATACAGATCCCAAAACTGTCCCCTATTATTTCCTGAGACTCCCAGAATAAATTCTGGAGAAGTCAGTCTAATGAATTTTCAATAGAAAAATGCAAAATGCTAATGATCCACTCAACCTCCACAAGCTCAAAATCATATGAGACTATAACTTATTTCATAAAACCATCAGAAAGCTGCATCCTCTTTCTAAACAACAAAATGCCAGGAGAGCACCTTCTAGCTCCACAGTTC